>NC_000017.11:38810980-39435980 GCF_000001405.40 Homo sapiens
TCAGCACTTTGAGAGGCTGAGGTGGGAGGATCACAAGGTCAGGAGTTCGAGACCACCCTGGCCAATATGGTGAAAGACCATCTCTACTAAAAATACAAAAATTAGCTGGGTGTGGTGGTGTGTACCTGTAGTTCTAGCTACTCGGGAGGCTGAGGCAGAAGAATCACTTGAACCCAGGAGGCAGAGGTTGCAGTGAGCTGAGATCACGCCACTGCACTCCAGCAGCCTGGGCGACAGAGTGAGACTCCATCTCATTAAAAAAAAACAAAAAGCCCAGGCGGGGTGGCTCATACCTGTAATCCCAGCACTTTGGGAGGCCAAGGCGGGTGGATCACAAGGTCAGGAGAAGGAGACCATCCTGGCTAACACGGTGAAACACCATCACTACTAAAAATACAAAAAATTAGCTGGGCATGGTAGCAGGCGCCTGTAGTCCCAGCTACTCAGGAGGCTGAGGCAGGAGAATGGCATGAACCTGGGAGGCGGAGTTTGCAGTGAGCTAAGATCGTGTCACTGCACCACTGCACTCCACCTTGGGCAACAGAGCGAGACTCCGTCTCAAAAAAAAAAAAAAAAAAAAAGATTACTGAGACCCCTATCAGTCTCCTTTGAGGGGCGTGGCTCATGCACAAACTGCCTGACTCCATGCCTCTGGGTCTACAGAAGTCCAGGACATTATAGGGGTTCCCTGTCAACACACCAGGGGAAGGGTCTTAACCCTGGCCGTGCACTAACACCCCCAACTACTGAACTGGTATCTGGTAGGTGAGACTAAGAATTTGTGTTTTTAAACAGTCACCAAAACCACTGCCTAGGAGTTTCCATTCTGTGTCACAGGAACTCCAATTCCACTGAAAGCAGTCAGGAACTATAAGGTCAATCTTTAACTTTCCTTACCAACTGATCCAAGACACAATTACATAATATGTCATGTGAATGGTAAGTGGGCCCTAGAAGCCTTATTTTTTTTTTTTTGAGACAGAGTTTCGCTCTTGTTGCCCAGGCTGGAGTGCAATGGCGCAATCTTGGCTCACAGCAAACTCCATCTCCCGGGTTCAAGCAAGTCTCCTGCCTCATCCTCCCAAGTAGCTGGGATTACAGGCATGAACCACCACCCCGGCTAATTTTGAATTTTTAGTAGAGACAGGGTTTCTCCGTGTTGGTCAGGCTGGTCTCAAACTCCCAACCTCAGGTGATCCACCCGCCTCGGCCTCCCAAAATGCTGGAATTACAGGCATGAGCCACCGCGCCCAGCCCCTAGAAGCTTTATACCACGACCAAGGGCATACTCCAACCTCCTGAACACACTGCATGGTAATGCTTTCCACAGGCTTAGCCCACACTCTTCTTCTGGAAAAACGACATCACATGGTGCATTCTCCCACCCAAAAGACTTTCAACCAAAATCAAGCTTAATTAAGCTTAATAAACTAAGATTACATAAAATAACCAACCTGACCAATATGAATAAACCCCGTCTCTACTAAAAATACAAAATTAGCCGGGCGTGGTGGCACATCCCTGTAATCCCAGCTACTAGGGAGGCTGAGGCAGGAGAATAACTTGAACCTGGGAGGCGGAGGTTGCGGTGAGCTGAGATCATGCCATTGCACTCCAGCCTGGGCAACAAGATTGAAACTCCGTCTCAAAAACAAAAAAATGATTACATAAAATAGCCACAACATGGTCTCTAAAAGACAAAAGTTTTAGAGGCCATTCTGTTTTTCCCCTGGTAAGCTGAGAGTAAATGGAGAGACGTTCTCACGTTATATGGCTAAAAGATGCTCTTGGTGCTTATCTGGTATACTACTTACCAATTCTTTGATTTTCTTCATTTTCACTGGATTATTTAATACCTCTCGTTTTTTCTCCTCCTCCTTCTTCCTAAAGAGAGATAATTACAAAATTCATGACTATTTCTTTTCTCCAAATTCTATGGAGTAACCTTTTCTCCAAACATATACAGACAAACTGGCCCATGTTAAAATCTACATGATTAGCTGGGTGTGGTGGTGTGCACCTGTAATCCCAGCTACTTGGGAGGAGGAGAATCGCTCCCAGCTACTTGAGGGAGGAGAATCGCTTGAACCTGGGAGGCGGAGATTGCAGTGAGCTGAGATCGTGCCACTGCACTCCAGCCTGGGTGACACAGCAAGACTCTGTCTCCAAAAAAAAAAAATCTACATGATGATGGGGCTGGGTGCAGTGGCTCATCTCACACCTGTAATCCCAGCACTTTGGGAGGCTGGGGCAGGCGGATCACTTGAGGTCAGAAGTTCAAGACCAGCCTGGCCAACATGGTGAAACCTCGTCTCTACCAAAAAAAACAAAACAAAAAAATTAGCCGGGCATGGTAGCAGCACGCACCTGCAGTCCTAGCTACTCGGGAGGCTGACGTGGGAGAATAACTTAAACCCAGGAGGCGGAGGTTGCAGTGAGCTGAGATTGTGCCACTGCACTCCAGTCTGGGTGACGGAGTGAGACCCTGTCTCAAAAAAAATAAATAAATAAAAAACGACATGATGGTGTCAAAGCCAAAAATCTCTCACAAATATAAGAGATTGTCTCAAAAAAAAAAAAAAAAAAAGAGTCATGCTCAGTCGTCCAGGCTGCAGTGCAGTGGCATGATCATGGCTCACTGCAGCCTTGACCACCTGGGCTCAAGTGATACTCCCACATCAGCTTCCCAAGTGGCTGGGACTATAGGCCCCCACCACCATGCCTAGCTAATTTTTATATTTCTTATAGAGATGGGGTTTCACCATGTTGCTCAGGCTGGTCTCAATTTCCTGGGCTCAAGCAATCCATCCATCTCTGCCTCCCAAAGTGCTGGGATTACAGGTGTGATCCACCGTACCCGGCTGTCAGTTGTTTTTTTTGTTGTTGTTGTTGTTTTTTCGAGACGGAGTCTCGCTCTTTCGTCCAGGCTAGAGTGCAGTGGCGCGATCTCAGGTCACTGCAAACTCCTCCTCCCGGGTTCATGCCATTCTCCTGCCTCAGCCTCCTGAGTAGCTGGGACTATAGGCGCCTGCCACCATGCCTGGCTAATTTTTTGTATTTTTAGTAGAGACGGGGTTTCACCGTGTTAGCCAGGATGGTCTCGATCTCCTGACCTCGTGATCCGCCCGCCTCGGCCTCCTGAAGTGCTGGGATTACAGGCGTGAGCCACTGCTTCCAGCCGTGAGTTGTTTTTTGATGGTTATAGAGTTTCAATTCAGAATGGTGAAAGAGTTCTGGAGACAGGCTGTGGTGATGGTTGCACAACACTTTGACTGTATTTATTTATTTATTTATTTTTATTTTTTATTTTTATTTTTTTTTGAGACGGAGTCTCGCTCTGTCGCCCAGGCTGGAATGCAGTGGCGTGATCTCGGCTCACTGCAAGCACCACCTCAGTTCACGCCATTCTCCTGCCTCAGCCTCCCAAATAGCTGGGACTACAGGCACCCAGGGTCTCATTAATATTATCAAGAAAATAGGCTGGGCGTGGTGGCTCACGCCTGTAATCCCAGCACTTTGGGAGGCCGAGGCGGGCGGATCACAAGGTGGTCAGGAGATCGAGACCATCCTGGCTAACATAGTGAAACCCTGTCTCTGCTAAAAAATACAACAAAAATTAGCCAGGCGTGGTGGTGGGTGCCTGTAATCCCAGCTACTCGGGAGGCTGAGGCAGGAGGATGGCGTGAACCCGGCAGACAGAGCTTGTAGTGAGCAGAGATCGCGCCACTGCACTTCAGCCTGGGCGACAGAGCGAGACTCCGTCTCAAAAAAAAAAAAAAAAAAAAAAGCGAAGAGAAAACTGTAAAGCAAGAGAATCAATGGCCTTAGCAGGGTCTCAAAGCATCTGTAACAAACCCCCTTCCTAGCCCCCCATTAGTACCTGATGATGAAGAGTGGGTCCTCCCGGATCTTGCTGGCCATGTCAAGAAGGGAATTGGCACCTGATGGGGCAAAGATAGAGCCTGGGAGAAGTCCTGTTTCAGAAGAGCAGCCTGCCTCCTTCTCCTCCATCTTCTCAAAAACATATTTGTCAATGGGGCGCCCCAGCAGGTACTCGTCACGGTTCACCATCCCACCAGGACCCTGGTACATCCAGTCCAACTTTTCTTCTTTTTTCCTGGTTCAAGGGAAGAAAAAGAAATACAATTTCTTTAAAAAGCAGACTTCTGCAAACCTACACCTAAAACCTGGACACAAGGGAGAGAGAACCACAGCTAATCAGAGTTCATTCTACTGGCACCTACCATGCAATAAACACGGCACCCCATGTGGCCGGCATAAAGAAATAGTGCGGGTTGCGTGCAGTGGCTCATGCCTGTAATCCCACCATTTTGGGAGTCCGAAGCGGGTGGATCACTTGAGGTCAGGAGTTCGAGACCAGCCTGGCCAACATGATGAAACCCCATCTCTACTAAAAATACAAAACATTAGCCAGGCGTGGTGGCGGACGCCTGTAATCCCACCTACTCAGAAGGGTGAGGCAGGAAAATCACTTGAACCTGGGAGGCAGAGGTTGCAGTAAGATCACGCCACTGCACTCCAGCCTGGGTGACGGAGCCAGACCTTGTCTCAAATAAATAAATAAATAAATGGTGCTTGTCCTCATGAGGCTTACGAGTGAATGGAGAGAGAATATTCACTCACATAAAGCAATTTATAAGGAAAACCAGTGTTCCTCAACATGGGGTGTGGATCTTGGCTCAGAGCTTCTCGAGTCTCCTTTACAGAGTCTTTATATTATGCTTTCATTTCCAAGATGACCTAAAACAATGAATAAGCACATTCTACATCACCATCTTACCATCAAGAACAATTTCAGTGACCACATACGCAGTTGCATTGATTGTGCATCTTGGTGCTTGTGGGCACACAGACACCAGCGGTAACACTACACATTTGAGGGGATGATGGGAAAAAATCAGAGGTAACTGAATAAGTGACGCTTTCAAGCCAAAAGAGCCAAACACTGAATACGTGAATCATTAGGTAACTATCTGGGTTTCACAAGTGAATAAACCCTGGTCTCAGCCATCTAGGGGCCAAATTAAGTCACAGCATCATGCCACACAAACATTTCCCTGCGGTTCTGGGAGAAAAAAGTGGTGAGAAAGTGGAACCCTCATACCACAGACAGTAAAGGCAGGCTAAATTCATAAGAGCATGCGTGGAAGCAGCCAATACTACATTCACACTGCAACCAGGAAAGTACTTTCATTGACAGTATTATCTATAACCTGAAATTAAATGCTTTTTGAATATGACTTTTTTGTTCTTTTTTTTCTTTTAGACACAGGGTCTCACTCTGTCACCCAGGCTGGAATGCAATGGTGCGATCATGGCTCACTGCAGCCTTGAATTCCTGGGCTCAACAAATCCTGCCTCAGCCTCCCAAGTAGCTGGGACTACAGGGATGCACCACCATGCCTTGCTGATTTTTTATTTTTTCAATTTTTAAACAGATGGGACTTGCTATGTTGCCCAGGCTAGTCTCAAACTACTGGCCTCAAGTGATCCTCCTGCCTCAGCCTCCCAAAGTGCTGGGATTACAAGGGTGAGCCACCATGCCCAACCTGAATATGACTTTTTAAATGTGTATACTTGTTTTTGAGGTTATATAACAACTGTGAGCATAAAGAATGTTTTCCTAGTTGCATGCTTGGACATTTTTGGTAAGAATAATTTAAACCAACACTGCAGGGCCATGACCCTTTTTTTTTTCCCCCAGACAGAGTTTCACTCTGTTGCCCAGGCTGGAGTGCAGTGGAGCGATCTTGGCTCACGGCAACCTCTGCCTCCCAGGTTCAAGTTATTCTCCTGCCTCAGCCTCCCGAATAGCTGGGACTATAGGCATGTGTCACCAAGACTGGCTAATTTTTTGTACTTTTAGTAAAGACGAGGTTTCACCGTGTTGGCCAGGCTGGTCGATCTCCTGACCCCGTGATCTGCCAGCCTTGGCCTCCCAAAGTGCTGGGATTACAGGCGTGAGCAACCGTGCCTGGCCCCAAGACCCTTTAGAATTTTTTTCATATTAAAAAAATGAGTCTGAGAAACACTGTAGTCTACAGTTAAGAACTGATCAGCTGGGCACGGTGGCTCACACTTATAATCCTAGAACTTTGGGAGGCCAAGACAGGCTGATCACGAGGTCAGGAGATCAAGACCAGCCTGGCCAACACAGTGAAACCCCGTCTCTACTAAAAATACAAAAAACTAGCCAGGCGTGGTGGTACACGCCTGTAGTCCCAGCTACTCGGGAGGCTGAGGGAGGAGAATCGCTTGAACCCGAGAAGTGGAGGTTGCAATGTGCTGAGATCATGCCATTGTACTCCAACGCAGGTGACAGTGCGAGACTCGGTCTCAAAAAAAAAAAAATAAGAATTGATCATGGGGCCGGGCGCTGTGGCTCACACCTGTAATCCCAGCACTTTGGGAGGCCTAGGCGGGCAGATCACTTGAGGTCAGGAATTCAAGACCAGCCTGGCCAACATGGTGAAATGCCATCTCTACTAAATATACAAAAAAATTAGGCCAGGCACAGTAACTCACGCCTGTAATCCCAGCACTTTGGGAGGCAAAGATGGGCGGATCACAAGGTCAAGAGACCAAGGCCATCCAGGCCAACATGGTGAAACCCTGTCTCTACTAAAAATACAAAAATTAGCTGGACCTGGTGGCGTGCATCTGTAGTCCCAGCTACTCGGGAGGCTGAAGCAGGAGAATCGCTTGAACTCAAGAGGCGGAGGTTACAGTGAGCCGAGATCGCACCACTGCACTCAAGCCTGGTGACAGAGCGAGACTCTGTCACACAAAAATAATAACAATAATAATAATAATAATTAGCCAGGCGTGGTGGCACACGCCTGTAATCCCAGCTACTCAGCAGACTGAAGCAGGAGAATTGCTTGAACCTGGGAGGTGGAGGCTGCAGTGAGCGGAGATTGTGCCACTGCACTCCAGCCTGGGAGACAGAGCAAGACTCTGACTCAAAAAATAATAATAATAATAATAAATAATAGGCCGGGTGCAGTGGCTCACGCCTGTAATCCTAGCACTTTGGGAGGCTGAAGCGGGCAGATCACAAGGTCAGGAGTTCAAGACTAGCCTGACCAACATGGTGAAACCCCATCTCTACTTAAAATACTAAAATTAGCCAGGCGTGGTGATGTGCGCCTGTAATCCCAGCTACTCAGGAGGCTAAGGCAAGAGACCCGCTTGAACCCAGGAGGCAGATGTTGCAGTGAGCCAAGATCGCACCACTGCACTCCAGCCCGGGCGACAGAATGAGACTCCATCTCAAAAAATAAAATAAAATAAATAACAAAAATAAAACCAGCCGGGCACTGTGGCTCACATCTGTAATCCCAACACTTTGGGAGGCCGAGGCGGGCGGATCATGAGGTCAAAGATCGACACCATCCTGGCTAACACAGTGAAACCCCGTCTCTACTAAAAATACAAAAAATTAGCCGGGCGTGGTGGCGGGCGCCTGTAGTCCCAGCTACTCAGGAGGCTGAGGCAGGAGAATGGCATGAACCCGGGAGGCGGAGCTTGCAGTGAGCCGAGATCGTGCTGCACTCCAGCCTGGACAACAGAGCGAGACTCCATCTCAAAAAAAAAAAAAAAAAAAAAAAAAAGAACTATACAAAACAAACAGATGAATACTTAAGTCATCTAAATACATTAGCAGTAAAGACCAAAAAGAGAAGGGGCAGAGAGAACCAAATGCTGATCTTAGTGTTTTACAATATTGTAGGACATGTGATAGGGCAAAACAAAACAAAGCATATAAAATCACCTTCCCCCATTCACGACAGACAAGCAGGCATGAGTCTGCAACAATGCTGGCTCCTTTCTCTACAGTTGTGCATCTGTACTCTGACCTCATTAATCAGACTCCACAAAAGCCCAAATTTCTGATAAATTGAGCACATGATGTGTAATGCTTTGGTGAATAAAAATGTCAAAACAATTTTTACCTTTGGATAGTACCTCGGCTTATGACTAATGGGTATTCAGTCTAAAATCAATTTTTACTTATTTATTTATTTATTTATTTACTTAGAGGCAGAGTCTCACTCTGTCACCCAGGCCGAAGTCAGTGGCAAAATCATAGCTCACTGTAGCCTCGAACTCCTGGGCTCAAGCAATCCTCCTACCTCAGCCTCCCAAGTAGCTGGGACTACAGGCACATGCCACCATGCCCAGCTAACTTTTCCTTTCTTTCTTTTTTTTTTTTTGAGACGAAGTCTTACTCTGTCACCCAGGCTGGAGTGCAATGGCGTGATCTCAGCTCACTAAAACTTCCAACTCCTGAGTTCAAGTGATTCTCCTGCCTCAGCCTCCCGAGTAGCTGGGATTACAGGCATGTGCCACCATGCCTGGCTAATTTTTGGTTTTTTTTTTTTGAGACGGAGTCTCGCTCTGTCGCCAGGCTGGAGTACACTGGCGCAATCTCAGCTCACTGCAACCTCCACCTTCTGGGTTCAAGCGATTCTCCTGCCTTAGCTTCCCGAGTAGCTAGGACTACAAATGCATGCTACCACGCCCAGTTAATTTTTTTTTTTTTTTTTTAGTAGAGATGGGGTTTCACCGTGTTGGCCAGGCTGGTCTCGAAATCCTGACGTCAGGTGATCCGCCCACCTCGGCCTCCCAAAGTGCTAGATTACAGGCGTGAGCCACTGCACCCAGCCTCTATTTTTTTTTTGTTTGTTCGTTTTTTTGAGATGGAGTCTCAATCTGTCGCCCAGGCTGGAGTGCAGTGGCATGATCTCAGCTCACTGAAACTTCTGCCTCCCGGGTTCAAGCAATTCTCCTGCCTCGGCCTCCTGAGTAGCTGGGATTACCGCCACACCCAGCTAATTTTTGTATTTTAATAGAGACAGGGTTTTACCATGTTGGTCAGGCTGGTCTCGAACTCCTGACCTCAAGTGATCTGCCCGCCTCGGCCTTCCAAAGTGCTGGGATTACAGGCGTAAGCCATCGTGCCTGGCTAATTTTTTTCTATTGTTTTGTAGAGATGGGTTCCTACTACAGACTGGTCTAGAACTCCTGGCCTCAAGTGATCTGCCTGCCTCAGTCTCCCAAAGTGCTGGGATTATAGGCATAAGCCGCCACACTCAGCCTATATATTTTTAAACAGAGATGGAGCCTCACTACATTACCCAGACTGGTCTCAAACTCCTGGGCTCAAGTGATTTCTCAGCCTCCCAAAATACAGCAATTACAGGCATGAACCACCGCACCTAGTCCCCAGTTTTAGTCTATCTGTTATTTTATTTTATTCTGACTTAAGAATACACTGCATATTGTATGCTTTTTATTTTCTCAAACATATTTACTCCCATCTCCTTTTATGAGATGGATGGGGTAGTTATTATCTGCTACTCGTATCCTATATTATACAACAGGAAATTGAAGCAGGGTAAAATCTAGTGGCATTGGCCGTAATCACTCAGCTTTTATTGACAAGCATACCATCCACCTTCTCTCATGGGACCTCACTCCCTGCCCCCTGTCCCCGCCGACCCAAGCAAGCCTGAAATACATTAACAAAGGCAGGACTGCATCCTCAACATATGCTGAGAAGCAGGGTAGAGCAACCATCCTCCATCACGGTTATCAGCCATCTACTGTGAGCTCGGCTTACAGCAAGTCCTTACGTGTTATCTCATTTGATTCTCAACAAACCTTAAGAAGGCGTTGGGTATTATTACTCCCTGGTCCTACTGAAGTAACCAAGTCTCTCAAATTTGATCACAGTTCCACAGCTAGTACATGCAAAGCCAACCTTAGAATCCAGGTGAGTCTGGCATTACAACCCATGCCCTTAAGCACTCAGCCATTATACAACACTGGATGATGCATCTCAGGACAGCTCTGCAATTCCCTACACACAAGCGCACCCCCAGCTCCTCACTTACTTGACGGCCCCAACATCCTCCGCATAGCGCTGCATCTCTTCCCGGGCTCTCTCTTCTCGCAGCTCCCGCTGAAGCTCCTCAATCTTCTTCCGCTCAGCCTCATGCTTCTGCTCGGCCTTCCACACTTTCTCCACATTCCTGAGGGTCTGCGGGTGCCAGCTCTTCTTCAGATTCTGTGGTAAATAAAAAGAAGGTGATGATAATTCGGGGGGTGACTGAGTGGTGGGTATAACTAGCCCTGCCTCACCCACCCTTCCATACCCAAGGCAGGCGTGTGAGGGCAAGATGTCTTCAACAATGGCAAGGTTTTCTTCCAATAATCTCTCACACATCTAGAGGGGAAGGGGAGCTTGTTCAAGTGTATAAAGCTTCAGGACAGGTCGGGCGCAGTGGCTCACACCTGTAATCCCAGCACTTTGGGAGGCGGAGGCGGGAAGATCACTTGAGGTCAGGAGTTTTAGACCAGCCTGGCCAACATGATGAAACGCCTCTACTGAAAATACAAAAATTAGCTGGGCGTGGTGGCAGGTGCGCCTGTAGTCCCGGCTATTCAGCAGGCTGAGGCAGGAGAATCGCTTGAACCAAGAGGCGGAGGTTGCGGTGAGCCGAAACTGCGCTGCTGCACTACAGCCTGGGCGACAGAGCAAGACTCCGTCTCAAAACAACAAGAACAAGAACAAGAAAGCTTCAGGATAGAACGGGTCCTTCCTGAATTCCCTTCAAACAGTTTTAACCTTAAAAGCATACAAGTCATCCTTCCACTAGCCATACCTAAATCAGAGTTGGTGATGACAAGACAGGAGGAATGCAGTAATGAGCAGGAAGGCACATATTTTGAAAGAGAACAGAACTCATGCACTTCTGACAGTGGACATTCATTCTTTTTTTTTTTTTTTTAAAGTCTTACTCTGTCACCCAGGCTGGAGTGCAGCTATCTCGGCTGACTGCACCCTCCGCCTCCCGGGTGCCAGCAATTCTCCTGCCTCAGCCTCCTGAGTAGCTGGACTATAGGCACGTGCCACCATGCCTGGCTAATTTTTGTATTTTTTAGTAGAGATGGGGTTTCACCACATTGGCCAGGCTGGTCTCAAACGCCTGACCTCATGATCTGCCCGCAGTGGCCTCCCAAACTGCTGGGATTACAGGGGTGAGCCACCGTGCCCAGCCTTTTTTGTTTCTTGAGACGGAGTTTCACTCTTCTTGCCTAGGCTGGAGTACAATGGCAGGATCTCGGGTCACGGCAAACTCTGCCTCCTGGGTTCAAATGATTCTCCTGCCTCAGCCTCCTGAGTAGCTGGGATTACAGGCATGCGCCACCACACTCGGCTAATTTTGTATTTTTAGTAGAGATGGGGTTTCTCTATGTTGGTCAGGCTGGTCTCAAACTCTCGACCTCAGGTGATCCGCCTGCCTTGGCCTCTCAAAGTGCTGGGATTACAGGCATGAGCTACCGTGCCTGGCATGGACATTCATTCTTTGGAACTCAACCTACCTTAGCTTGGTCTACTTCACCTGCCCTAAACTTGCATGGTTTACAACCCACCCAGAATCTCTTTCAACTTTCCTTCCCAGGAATCTCTCCTTGGTTCTGATCTCCCCATTCACCCTCAAAGAACACTTCTCTCTCTCCTCCCCATCAGATACTGCTTTGGTTCACTTTCCCAATAATGAAATGTTCCCCAAAGTAAGTAATATCTAAAGACAATTGTAAACTAGCCTGGTGATGTGTGAAGGGGAGATGAGGGGGGTAGATTTCCAAACAGAGGGGAACAGTACAGACAAGTGCAGTCCTGGTGGTGAGAAAGAACATAGCAATAATTCAGTGTGGCTGGAGATGTGGCAAGCTGATGGTGCAGGGACGCAAGAAGAAGCCAAGTGAGAAAGGAGCAGAATAAGGGCCTTATAAGCCATGTAAAGGGATTACAGGCATGCGCCGCCACGCCTGGCCAATTTTTTTTTTTTTTTTTTGAGATGTCGCCCAGGCTGGAGTGCAGTGGCGCAATCTTGGCTCACTGCAAGCTCCACCTTCCAGGTTCACGCCATTCTCCTGCCTCAGCCTCCTGAGTAGCTGGGACTACAGACATCCGCCACCATGCCCAGCTAATTTTTTTTGTATTTTTAGTAGAGACGGGTTTCACCGTGTTAGCCATGATGGTCTCGATCTCCTGACCTCATGATCTGCCCGCCTTGGCCTCCCAAAGTGCTAGGATTACAGGTGTGAGCCACCACACCCAGCCTGACTCCAACTTTTTTTTTAACTTTTTTTTTTTTTTTTTTGAGACGAGGTCTTGCTCTGTCACGCAGGCTAGAGTGCAGTGGTGCAATCTTGGCTCACTGCAACCTCCACCTCCTGGGTTCAAGCGATTCTCCTGCCTCAGCCTCCCAAGTAGCTGGGATTACAGGCGCCCGCCACTGCTCCCAGCTAATTTTTGTATTTTTAGTAGAGACGGGGTTTCACCATCTTGGCCAAGCTGGTCTCAAATCCTGACCTCGTGACCCACCCGCCTCTGCCTCCCAAAGTGCTGGGATTACAGGCATGAGCCACTGCACCTGGCTGAGACTCCATCTTAAAAAAAAAAAAAGAAAAGAGAATGGACTGGAGAGGACCAGGAGACCAATTAAGAAAATAAGATCATGTCCACAAGGTACTTGGCATGTGGAAAATGTTCGGTCAATGAGAGCTCCCTTTTCTTCCTTTTCTCTTCCCCTCCTTGTCCTGCCTCTCCCCTTCGTCAGGTCATTCAGTTGGTTGGTTGTGGGTCAGTCCGTCAGTTGGTCTGACCATCCGTCCATCCTTCCGTCCTTCCTCCCTCACTCCCTCCCTCTTTCTCCCTCTAACCCTTCCCATCTTGTCCTCCCTGCCTCAAGCATAGATTATTTTGCTCCCCAGGGAGAAAATCTTCTGGAGTCATTTTTGGCTGTCACAACTGGTGGAGACGGGTGTTAGTGGATAGCTCCAGTCTAGTGGCTAGAGGCCAGTGATGCTGCTAAACATTCTACAATGCACAGGACAGCCCAACTACCACCACTACCACACACCCCCAAAGAATTATCTAGGCCAAACTGTCAAGAGCGCTAATGTTGAGAAACCCTGGATTAGAGCTTTCCTGTCCTTAAATGCAGTTATGTGAAGAATACACTAAATTGGATGAAACTAGATGGAGTCCTGGCACTCACTGTGATTGAGAACACATGACAAACTAATAGGTTTACTGGGCAGGCGGCTAAGCTGATCTACTTGCTGGTTCAATTAGCTCCACTTTCCGGAGGCTAGCATTTTCCCAACCTTGCCCCATGCTCTTGTGGGTACATTTACCCTATTTGGGGCCTTAGCGCTTTACAAATGAACGTTTCAGTTTAAGAGACATTGCCACATAACTTATATTAAGTGGTATGAATTCAAAAGCAAGCTCTGCCACTACAGATCAGAATCCAGCACTGAAGGAGGTGTGGAAGTCAGAAAGATGGACAGGAAGATCCCTTCAGGCTTAAAAAGGACCCCAGGGCCGGGCGCTGTGGCTAACCCTTGTAATCCTAGCACTCTGGGAGGCCGAGGCGGGCGGATCACTTGAGGTCGGCAGATCGAGACCAGCCTGACCAACATGGAGAAACCCTGTCTCTACTAAAAATACAAAATTAGCCGGGTGTGGTGGCGCATGCCTGTAATCCCAGCTACTCGGGAGGCTGAGGCAGGAGAATCGCTTGAACCCAGGAGGGAAAGGTTGCGGTCAGCCGAGATCGCGCCATGGCACTCCAGCCTGGGCAACAAGAAACTCCGTCTCAAAAAAATAAAAAATAAAAAACGACCCCAGGGCATGGCTTAGGGTAGGGAGAATGGGGCACAAACCACCCCTACTTCAGTCCAGGACATGACTCTGAACTCTCACCCAAGGAAGAGAGGTGTGTGGCAAGACAAGATATACAAAACAAAGTGTGGTGACACGTCCTCCATATCTACCTCCTTTCCTAGCCATGGCTCCATCCGCCCCCTCCCCGGTCTTCCCAGAATTTACAGCCGGTAGAGCCGCAGTCAACAAACACGCAAACACCACCTGTCACTGTTCGCGACACACCTCGGACTTTCCCAAATCTCAGTCCCACCCCTCCATTGCCCTAAGGATCCATCCCCTCTTCAGGGCAACGGCCTCCTCCCGGCGAAAGCAAAGCTGCGTTGCCATGGTTATCCACTCCTTCCTCTACCCCCACCCCCTGCCAATTTCCGTCCCGGCCTCAGTCCTCCCCCGCCCAGGCCTCCCTCCACTCACCAGGTCTCCGCCCCCCATGACGGTGGAGACGATTCCTCACTACGCGGATCTGGAAGATTTCGGGAGGATCAAGAGAAAACGTAGAGAAATAGTTCGGGGGCTACCTCGCGGGATCTAGTCCCAGGAGCCGTCAACTGCCAGTTTCACCACCGCTCTAGAGGTCACTTCCGGGAGGGCGTCATCTCACCGCGTCGGCGTCGCGGAACGATGACGTACAGGGCTCGGTCGCGCTTTGTGACGTTGGCGTTACTTGCAGATTTTGCAAAGGTCCGGGCTCCGCTGTCGAGGCCTTTGCTGTCGAGGTCTCATTTTGGCTGCTTCGGGTCGCCACGTTGCCTGATGTCCCAGACTCTCTGTTGAAACGCCACAACTCTGTTCAGTGATGGGTTGCCGTGGGCCTGTGCCCACGGCTGTGTTGCCATGGCAGCTCACCAGGGCATTCGGCTCAAAGCTCCACGTAGTCTCTGCTAGACCTAAGGTGGACCAGACTAGGCCTCCTCCCCTCACCCTGCACACACCCCCACGCTCCAGTTTTCCAAAACGGCTTTGCAAACTGGCGCTTTCCTCAGACCTTGACTCACAGCAAATCCCCTTATGCCAGGCCTATTTTACGAAGCTAAATAGAAACCATCAAATCGAAATTCCATCAGCTTCCGTTTGCCAAACTTTTAAAATCTGCCAGCTTCCACAGTGGCAGATTTTCCCATAGTGGGAAGCTGGCAGATTCCTTTCCCTTCAGTTACTATGTGTTTTTGGCATGTTTTTCTTTTTTCTTTTTCTTTTTCTTCTTCTCCCTTTGTTTTTGTTTTTTGAGAAGGAGTTTTGCTCTCCCAGGCTGCGGTCGAAGCTGACTGCAACCTCCGCCTCCCGGACAGCAATTCTCCTGCCTCAGCCTCCCAAGTCGCTGGGATTACAGGCGCCCGCCACCCGCCCGGCTAATTTTTGTATTTTTTGTAGAGACAGGGTTTCACCATGTTGCTCAGGCTTGTCTCGAATTTCGACCTCAAGTGATCTCCCCGCCTCAGCCTCCCAAAGTGTTGGGATTACAGACATAAGCCACCGCGCCTGGCTATTTTTATTTTTGTAGCAACAGGGTTTTGCCATCTTACCCAGGCTTGTCTCAAACTCCTGGACTCAAGCAATCCTCCTACCTCGGCCTCCTAAAGTGCTGGGATTACAGGTGTGAGCCACTGCGCCCGACCTGTTTTGTAATTTTCAGAATAGAAGTTTTGCACATCTTTTGTTAAATTTATTCTAAATGTTGTATTTTTTGTGATGCTATTTTATTTATTTATTTATTTATTTATTTATTTATTTATTTATTTATTTATTTATTTATTTCGAGACGGAATCTCACTCTGTTGCCCAGGCTGGAGTACAGTGGCGCAATACCAGCTCACTGCAACCTCCGCCTCCTGGGTTCAAGCGATTCTCCTGCCTCAGCCTCCCGAGTAGCTGGGATTACAGGCATACGCCACCACGACCTACTGATTTTTGTGTTTGTAGTAAAGATGGGATTTCACCGTGTTGGCCAGGCTGGTCTGGAACCCCTGACCTCAGGTGATCCGCCTACCTTGGCCTCCCAAAATGCAAGGATTACAGGCACCCGGCCTGTGATGCTATTTTAAATAAAATTTAAAAATTTTAATTTTCCAATTGTTTGCTACTAATAGATAAGAACGTGCTTTTGTATAGTAACCTTCTATTTTACAGGCTTGCTAAATTCACTTATTAGTTCTTATGGCTTTTTAAAAATACTTATTGCCCGGGCGCGGTGGCTCACTCCTGTAATCCCAGCACTTTGGGAGGCCGAGGCAGGTGGGTGGATCACCTGATGTTGGGAGTTTGAGACCAGCCTGGCCAACATGGAAAAACCCCATCCTACTAAAAATACAAAAATTAGCCGGGCGTGGTGGCGGGTGCCTGTAATCCCAGCTACTTGGGAGGCTGACACAAGAGAATCACTTGACCCTAGGAGGTGGAGGTTGCTGTGAGCCAAGATGGCACCACTGCACTATAGCCTGGGCGACAAGAGTGAGACTTTGTCTCAAAAAAAACAGAAAGAAAGAAAGAAACAGGCTGGGCTCGGTGGCTCACGCGTGTAATCCCAGCACTTTTGGGAGGCTGAGGCGGGCAGATCATCTGAGGTTGGGAGTTTGAGACCAGCCTGACCAACATAGAGAAACCCCGTCTCTACTAAAAATACAAAATTAGCCGGGCGTGGTGGCACATGCCTGTAATCCCAGCTACTCTGGAGGCTGAGGCAGGAGAATCACTTGAACCCAGGAGGCAGAGGTTGTGGTGAGCCAAGATAGCGCCATTGCACTCCAGCCTGGGCAACAAGAGCAAAACTCTGTCTCAGAAAAAAAAAAAAAGAAAAGAAACAAACAAAATACCTATTAAATATTTACTTAAATGTATTTGAATAAAGTTTACTTAAAAGAAAAGCAGGCTCACTGCTGTAGTCCCAGCACTTTGGGAGGCCGAGGCAGGTGGATCACTTGAGCCCAGGAGTTGGAGACCAGCCTGGGTAACGTGGTAGAACCCTGTTTCTCAAAAAATACAAAAATTAGCAGGACATAGTGGCATGTGCCTGTAGTCCCAGCTACTCAGGAGGCTGAGGTGAGAGACTGCCTGAGCCCAGGAGGCAGAGGTTGCAGTGATCCAAGATCATACCACTGCACTCCAGCCTGGGCAACAGAGCGAGACCCTGTTTCAAAAAATAAAAGAGGGCCGGGCGCAGTGGCTCACGCCTGTAATCCCAGCACTTTGAGAGGCCAAGACAGGTGGATCACCTGAGGTCAGGAATCCAAGACCAGTCTGGCCAACATGGCGAAACCCCGTCTCTACTAAAAATACAAAAAAATTAGCTGGGCGTAGCAGTGCACGCCTGTAATCCCAGGTACTTAGGAGGCTAGGCAGGAGAATCGTTTGAACCCAGGAGGCAGAGGTTGCAGTGAGCTGAGATTGCACCACTGTACTCCAGCCTGGGTGACAGAGCCAGACTCCACCTCAAACTTAATTAATTAATTAATTTAATTAAATAAAGAAAAGCAAGCAGAGCACAGTGGCTCATGCCTGTAATCCCAGCACTTTGGGAGGCTGAGGTAGGAGGACTGCTTGAGCCCAGGAGTTTGAGACCAGCCTGGGCAACACAATAAGACACTGTCTGACAAAAAAATAAAAGGAAGAAAAAAGGAAAGAAAAGCAATGCTTTGGGAAAGAGTCTGGCAGTTCCTCAAAAGGTTAAACTTAGTTACCATATAACCCAGCATTTCTACTCCTGGGTATATACTCCCAAGAGAAATGAAAGCATACATCAATACAAAATATTGCCCATGAATGGCTTTTTATTTTGTTTTGTTTTGAGACAGAGTCTTGCTCTGTCTTCCAGGCTGGAGTACAGTGCTGTGCTCTTGGCTCACTGCAACCTTCACCCCACTGGTTCAAGCGATTATCGTGCCTCAGCCTCCCAAGTAGCTGGGATTACAGGCGCACACCACCACACCCGGTTAATTTTTTTGTATTTTTAGTAGAGAGGAGGTTTCACCATGTTGGCCAGGCTGGTCTCCAACTCCTGACCTCAAGTGATCTGCCCACCTCGGCTTCCCAAAGTGCTGGGATTATAGGTGTGAGCCACCACACCTGGCCAAAATCTTGTACGTGAATGTTCATAGTAGCCGTTATTCATACCAGTTAAAACATGGGGGAGGCTGGGCATGGTGTTTCATGCCTGTAATCCCAGGACTTTGAGAGGCCAAGATGGCCAGATCATTTGAGGCCAAGAGTTGGAGACCAGCCTGGCCAACATTGCAAAACCCTAAAAATACAAAAATTACTAAAAGTAAAAAATTAGCTGGGTGTGGTGGTGCACATCTGTAATCCCAACTATTCAGGAGGCTGAGAACCCAGGATTTGGAGGCTGCAGTAAGCCAAGATTGTACTACTGCACTCCAACCTGGGCAACAGAGTGAGACTCTGTCTCAAAAATAAAGTAGGGCAGAGAATCAAAACATATCCATTACCTGATGATGATGAATAGATAAAGTATGGTATATCCACACAGTGGAATATTATTTGGCCATAAAAAAAGAAGTACTGGCTACACATGGTGGCTCATGCCTGTAATCCAAGCACTTTGGGAGGCTGAGGCGGGCAGATCACGAGGTCAGGAGATCGAGACCATCCTGGCTAACACAGTGAAACTCCATTTCAACTAAAAATACAAAAAATTAGCTGGGCGTGGTGGCACATGCCTGTAGTCCCAGCTACTTGGGAGGCTGAGGCAGGAGAATCGCTTGAACAGGGGGGCGGAGGTTGCAGCGAGCCAAGATTGCACCACAGCACTCCAGCCTGGGTGACAGAGTGAGACTCCATCTCCAAAAAAAAATAAAAAAGAAGTACTGTTAAGAGCTACAACATAGATAGACTTTGAAAACAGTATGCTAAGTGAAAAAAGCCAGTCACAAAAGACCACATGTATCATTCCATTTATAGGAAATTTCTATAATAGGCAAATCAATAGAGACAGAAAGTAGATTAGTGGTTGCCTAGAGATGGGTAGGTTGGGAGGAAATAGGAAGTTGACTGCCAATGGGTATGGAGTTTCAGTTTGGTGTGATGAAATTGTGCTAAAATTGATTGTATCGATGGGTGAACAACTTTGTGAATATACTAAAAATGATTGAATTGTAGGCTTTTGTTGGCTGAATTGCACGGCATGTAAATTATATCAATAAAGCTATTAAAGAGAATCAGTATTACTTGCCATAAATAGAATGGAAACTAAAAATGACTTTTTTTTTTTTTTTTGAGATGGGGTCTTGCTCTGTCCCCAGGCTGGAGTGCAGTGGCACGATCTCAGCTCACTGCAACCTCTACCTCCCAGGTTCAAGCGATTCCCCTGCCTCAGCCTCCCAAGTAGCTGGGATTACAGGCACGTGCCACCACACCCGGCTAATTTTTTATATTTTTTAGTAGAGATGGGGTTTCACCATGTTGGCCAAGATGGTCTCAATCTCCTGACCTCATGATCCGCCCGCCTCGGCCTCCAAAAGTGCTGGGATTACAGGCGTGAGCCACCGCGCCCGGCCTAAATATGACATTATTAAACACTAACTAGATACATTTTATTTTTCTTGAAATGGGTCTCAATATGTTGGTCAGGGTCTAAATATATTGGTTAAGCTGATCTCGATTCCTAGACTCAAGTGATGCTCCCACTTCAGCCTCCAGAGGAGCTGGGATTACAGGCTGGAGCCACCACTGTGCCTGACAGGAGGAATTCTTATTTGGTGCCAGCTCTCTAACACTTCTAAATCTTCTAAATCCAAAGTGCAAGGATTACAGGTGTGAGCCACCACGCCTAGCCAATCTCCCTCTCTTTTATTCAAAGAGTGTACAGTGCTGGGCATGGTGGCACATACCTATAATCCCAGCTACTTGGAAGGTTGAGGCAGGAGGATCACTTGAGCCCAGGAGTTGGAAGCTACAGTGAGCCGTGATTGTGCCACTGTAGTTCAGCTTGGGTGACAGAGTGAGAGTCCATCTCTTTAAAAAAAATTTTTTAAACGACTTTTTTCTTAAGTTACTGAGGATAGGAAAGGGAATAATTTTTTTAATTCTGTGATTCAGTGTTTTTGTCTATCTCCAGTCAAATTGCAAATGCCTGCAGTACCCATCCCACACTTGGGACAAACAGACACAAGATGTGAAGCTGGGCACGGTGCTCACACTTGTAGTCCCAGCACTTTCAGAGGCTGAGGTGGGAGAATCACTTGAGCCCAAGAGTTGGAGACCAGCCTGAGCAACAAAGCAAGACCTCCTCTCTACTTATGTTAAAAAAAAAAAAAATTAGCCAGGTGTAGTGGCATATGCCTGTAGTCCCAGTTGCTGGGGAGGCTGAGGCAGGAGGATTACTTGAGCCCATGAGTTTCAGGCTGCAGTGAGCCGTGGTCATGCTACTACACTGCAGCCTGGGTGACAGAGCGAGACCCTCTCTCAAAAAAAAAAAAAAAAAAAGATGTAAAGCTGAAGTACACCACCCAGAATGTGACATATGCCCCTTCCATTTAAGCAATAAGCAATTCTTTTTCATCTTATTTTATTTTATTTTATTTTTTTGAGAGGGAGTCTTGCTCTGTCGCCCAGACTGGAGTGCAGTGGCCTGGGTTCACGCCATTCTCCTGCCTCAGCCTCCTGAGTAGCTGGGACTACAGGCATCCACCACCACCACACCCAGCTAATTTTTTGTATTTTTAGTAGAGACGGGGTTTCACCGTGTTAGTCAGGATGGTCTCAATCTCCTGACGTCATGATCCGCCTGCCTCGGCCTCCCAAAGTGCTGGGGTTACAGGCGTGAGCCACCGCGCCTGGCCTCCTTTTCTCTCTTTTTTCCTTCCTTCCTTCTTTCCTTCCTTTTCTTTCTTTCTTTCCTTCCTTCTTTCTCTCTCTTTCTTTTCTTTCCTTCCTTCTTTCCTTCATTTTCTTTCTCTCTTTCTTTCCTTCCTTCCTACTTTCTTTCCTTCTTTTCTTTCTCTCTTTCTTCTTTCTTTCCTTTCTTCCTTCTTTCTTTCTTTTCTTTCTTTCCTTCCATCTTTCTCTCCTTTTCTTTCTTTATCTTTCCTTCCTTCTTTCCTTTTCTTGCTTTCC
Source organism: Homo sapiens (assembly GCF_000001405.40). Lineage (NCBI taxonomy): Eukaryota > Metazoa > Chordata > Mammalia > Primates > Hominidae > Homo > Homo sapiens. The sequence continues at coordinate 38,831,817 of NC_000017.11, forward strand.
TTCTTCCTTCCTTTTTTCCTTCTTTTCTTTTTTTTTTCTTTTGAGATGGAGTCTCACTCTGTCACCCAGGCTGGAGTGCAGTGGCGCGATCTCGGCTCACTGCAAGCTCCGCCCCCCGGATTCATGCCATTCTCCTGCCTCAGCCTCCCAAGTAGCTGGGACTACAGGCACCCGCCACCACGCCTGGCTAATTTTTTTGTATTTTTAGTAGAGACGGGGTTTCACCGTGTTAGCCAGGATGGTCTTGATCTCCTGACCTCATGATCAGCCCGCCTTGGCTTCCCAAAGTGTTGGGATTACAGGCGTGAGCCACTGCTTCGGCCTCTTTTTTTTTTTTTTTTTTAGGAGAGAGAGTCTCACTCTTTTTGCCCAGGCTGGTGCAATCTCGGCTCACACAATCTCCACCTCCCAGATTCAAACGATTCTGGTGCCTCGGCCTCCCAAGTAGCTAGAATTACAGGTGCACGGCACCATGCCCGGCTAATTTTTATATTTTTAGTAGAGACGGAGTTTCACCATGTTGGTCAGGCTGGTCTCAAACTCCTGACCTCATGATCCACCCACCTCGGACTCCTGAAGTGCTGGGATTACAGGCGTGAGCCACCGCACCCGGCATTTCTCTCTCTCTCTCTCTTTTCCTTCTCTCTCCTTTCTTCTGTCTTTCCTTCCTTCTTTTCTTTATTTCTCTTTCTATTCTTCCTTCCTTCTTTCTTTCCTTCTTTTCTTTCTTTCTCTTTCTTTCCTTTTCTCTCTTTCTTTCTTTTTTTTTTTCCCAGAGTCTCACTCTGTCGCCCAGGCTGGAGTGCAGTGGTGCGATCTTGGCTCACTGCAAGCTCCGCCTCCCGGGTTCACGCCATTCTCCTGCCTCAGCCTCCCCAGTAGCTGGGACTACAGGCGCCCACCACCATGCCCGGCTAATTTTTTGTATTTTACGTAGAGACAGGGTTTCACCGTGTTAGCCAGGATGGTCTTGATCTCCTGACCTCGTGATCCACCCGCCTTGGCCTCCCAAAGTGCTGGGATTACAGGCGTGAGCCACCGCACCAAGCCTTTTTTTTTTTCTTTCGACAAAGTCTCGCTCTGTCGCCCAGGCTGGAGTGCAATGGCGCGATCTCAGCTCACTGCAACCTCTGCGTCCCAGGTTCAAGCGATTCTCCTGCCTCAGCCTCTCAAGTAGCTGGGATTACAGGCGTGCACCACCACGCCCGGCTAATTTTTTGTATTTTTAGTAGAGACAGGGTTTCACCATATTGGTCATGCTGGTCTTGAACTTTTTTTTTTTTTCTGGACAGAGTCTCACTCTGTTGCCCAGGCTGGAGTGCTATGGTGCGGTCTCGGCTCACTGCAACCACTGCCTCCCGGGTTCAAGTGATTCTCCTGCCTCAGCCTCCCGAGTAGCTGGGATTACAGGTGCGTGCCACCACACCCGGCTAATTTTTTGTATTTTTAGTAGAGACGGGGGTTTCACCATGTTGGCCAGGCTGGTCTCGAACTCCTGACCTCGTGATTCACCCGCCTCGGCTTCCCAAAGCACTGGGATTATAGGCGTCAGCCACCGCGCCTGGCCCTGGCCCTTCTTTCATGTTTTAATTCGAGGCAGCTTTGCATGTACTAAGTTTTCAAAAGTACGTGCATTTTTATCTATACTCTGACACACACCCAATTACCAAATTGTGTTCACAGCTCTGTCAGACTCACTCACAGATTTAGAATCTCCTCAGGGACTTGGTCTTAATTGAAGACAAATGAGGTCCCAGATGGGCTTTTTGTCCTAAAGGTCAGCTGGAATGTGGGAGGAACAATTTCAGCACAAGAGCAAGTTGAAAGTTGCTTCATCTTTTCAGGTGATACTGTGGCTGACAGTATTTACTGTTAAATGGAGTGGAAGTGAGAAAACACCACAGAAGGGGGCACCTAGATTCGAACCGGGGACCTCTTGATCTGCAGTCAAATGCTCTATCCCTGAGCCCTACCCCCTCTACCTGTAATAAGCTTCTTCCGTGTCCACTTACGGTGACTCAATACAATCAAGTTCCACCCACACGAGTTCTGGCAAGCTTTGTGTTCTAAAGCCCCACCTTCTTAATTATCCATCATCTGCTTTGGCTTTTCCCTTGGCCACCAATAAACTGAAAGGGAACACTTGAAAAATGACATCCTGGGCCGGGCAGGTGGCTCACGCCTGTAATCCCAGCACTTTGGGAGGCCGAGGTGAGGTCAGGAGTTCGAGACTAGCCTGACCAACACGGTGAAACCCCGCCTCCACTAAAAATACAAAAAAATTAGCTGGGCATGGTGGCAGGCACCAGTAATCCCAGCTACTAGGGAAGCTGAGGCAGGAGAATTGCTTGAACCCCGGGAGGCAGAGGTTGCAGTGAGCTGAGATCACACTACTGCACTCCAGCCTGGGCTAACAGAGTGAGTCTCTCTCTCCTTCTCTCTCTCTCTCTATATGCATATATATATACATAAACATATATATATATACATAAACATATGTGTATACACACACACACACACACACACACTCACACACAAACATATATATATGTTTAGTAAAGACAGGGTTTCGTCGTGTTGCCCAGGCTGGTCTCAAGTGATCCACCTGCCTGAGCTCAAGCAATCCTCCCATCTCGGCCTCCCAAAGTGCTGGGATTACAGGCGTAAGCCACGGAGCCTGGCCTTTGCTCCGTTCTTTTTTTTTTTTTTTTGAGACGGAGTCTTGCTCTGTTGCCCAGGCTGGAGTGCAGTGGCGCGATCTCGGCTCACTGCAAGCTCCGCCTCCCGAGTTCACGCCATTCTCTCGCCTCAGCCTCCCGAGTAGCTGGGACTACAGGTGCCCGCCACCAAGCCCGGCTAATTTTTTTGTATTTTTAGTAGAGACGGGGTTTTAGTGTTAGCCAGGATGGTCTCAATCTCCTGACCTTGTGATCCACCTGCCTTGGCCTCCCAAAGTGCTGAGATTACAGGCGTGAGCCACAGCGCCCGGCCCTTTGCTCTGTTCTTGATGGAAACAATAGCCAGCTCTGACCTGGGGCCCTGCTGATAGCTGGGGAAGTGCTTTATTGAGGTTGAGTAGTGTGGCTCCTTCTTATCCCACTGGTAGGGGAGAACTGAAGCCCCTCCTTTCAAACCTGGCACTCGTTGGTATGGAGTGCAAGGGCGTAGGCCTGAGAAGCCCTTTCTCCTCTCACCTTCTCTCCAGAGGGAAGAGAAGCTGAGGGTAGAACTGGCTCCATCCTCTAATCTCAGGGAAGAAACAGCACACGTGGAGACACAAATTAATTTTTTTAACGTAAAATAACACTAAGAGTTCATCTAAACATTTGTCTTAGAAATTCAGGTCGATGGCTATGAAGGGAAAAGATGCTGTTAGAACAGAGGGAAGTGGGTGACCTCTCCGAAGACGGACGTGCTCTGACGGAGGGCTGGAGTGTTCCTGCGGTAGCCAAACCTTCCATTGAACCCATCGATCGGTTTCAGATCAGCATTGTAGTGGTCATGCCCAGTCACCTGCTGGAGAGAATGCCCTTGGGGACAAGGAGAGAGAGGCCTGAGCCTGCATTCAGCCCACCTCTTGGCTTCCCCATTCCCCTGGGTGTGGTATGGGATGCCAACCAGGCGTAGTCACTTGCATTCCCCATGCTGAACACGCAATCCACAAGTGTCCTGAGACTCTGGGCTGAAAAGCCAAGGGCTGGTGAGGTTGAGGGGCAGAAGGCTTCCTAGAAATAAAACCCCGCACCAGGAATAATTGCAGGAAAACTGTGAATGGTTTGTGCTGGGACAGGAAGGGCCAGAAATTCTGGGCTTGGCAAAGCTTGCCTTTCTCCCACAAGAAATGAGAAAAATCTCACCCTTGCCTCTGACCCATGTGGAAAAAATGGATGAGATCAAGATCAATTGAGCCAAATGGCACAAAGTATCATGTGACTAGAGGAGTGGCCCAGGATGGTGGAGCCAGGCTGGGAGGAGGGTTTACCCTGTTAGAAAAATATCTCTCAACTCTTTCCCATTGTTGTTAACCTGGGCCTGGAAAATGAGCAGGATGCAGCAGTGAGGGGAACAGGGGCTTCAGAGTTGGGAAGAGCAGAATCTTTTTGTTTGTTTGTTTTTGAGACAGAGTCTTGCACTGTCGCCCAGGCTGGAGTGCAATGGCGCAATCTCGGATCACTGCAACCTCTGCCTCCCGGGTTCAAGAGATTCTCCTGCCTCAGCCTCCTAAGTAGCTGGGATTATAGGTGCCTGCCACCACGCCCGGCTAATTTTTTGTATTTTTAGTAGAGACGGGGTTTCACTATGTTAGCCAGGCTGGTCTCGAACTCCTGACCTCGTGACCCGCCTGCCTCGGCCTCCCAAAGTGCTGGGATTACAGGCATGAGCCACTGCACCAGGCCAGGAAGAGCAGACTATTAATCCCAGCTCAGCCCTCTTGCCAAATTACTTTAACTCAAGAAACTTGTTTTCCTACCTGTGCCATGGGGTTAGTGTGAGGGTGAAAAGTGCCCAACAAATGGCTCATGTCTGTAATGCCAGCACTTTGGGAGGCTGAGGCCAGAGGATCACTTGAGCCTAGGAGTTCAAGACCAGCGTGGGCCACATAGGGAGACTCCATCTCCACAAAAAATAAAAAATTAACTGAGTGTGGTGGTGCACACCTGTGGGCCCAACTGCTCAGGAGGCTGAGGTGGGAGGATTGCGCAAGCCCAGGAGGTCAAGACTGCAGTGAGTAGTAATTGTGCTACTGCATTTCTTTCTTTCTTTCTTTCTTTTTTTTTTTTTTTTTTTTTTTGAGATGGAGTCTCGCTGCATCGCCCAGGCTGGAGTGCAGTGGCACGATCTTGGCACACTGCAACCTCCGCCTCCCGGGTTCAAGCAGTTCTCCTGCCTCAGCCTCCCAAGTAGCTGGGATTCCAGGTGCGAGCCACCACGCCTGGCTAATTGTTTTTTTGTATTTTTAGTAGAGACAGGGTTCAACCAGGTTGGCCAGGCTGGTTTGGAACTCCTGACCTCAAGTGATCCACCCGCCTCAGCTCCCAAAGTGCTGGGATTACAGGCGTGAGCCACTGCACCTGTCCGTGCTACTGCATTTCATGCATTCCAGTTTGGGTGATAGAGTGAGACCACGTCTCAAAAAAAAAAAAAATGAGGTCTGACATACAGTACTGGTGCTTATTAACTAATATTAGGGGGCACTGTGGCACCATCTGCTCATGTATGTGAAGAAAAGCTGGAAGGATGCAGTCCCTTTGCCTCTTCCCCTCAACCAGGCCTTGCTATGGCCCAGGAACCATGATGAGGCTAGAAATGGAGGCAGCACTTGCCTGTCCCTGCCCAATTTCTCCTGTTGAGGTATCTTTGTCCTTGCCCGAAGATGTGGATGTAGTCTACTATCCAGCCATCCCTTCCTGTACCGCCATGATCCTGAAAGTGGGCAAGAGAAAGTGGGCAAGAACACTGTCAGCCACAATGCTGAGGGGGACACAGTGCAAACTGCCCTGGGGTTTGCTGTGGGGATAGGGAAGAGGTCAGAGCCTTAGGTAACTGGTGCAGACAGATTAAATATATTTAAGAACCAGACCGGGTGCAGTGGCTCAGGCCTCTAATCCCAGCACTTTGGAAGGCCAAGGTGGGTGGATCACCTGAGGCCAGGAGTTCGAGACCAGCCTTGCCAACATGGTGAAACCCCATCTTTACCAAAAATACAAAAAATTAGCTGGGCATGATGGCAGGCGCCTGTAATCCCAGCTGCTCAGGAGGCTGAGGCGGTACAATTGCTTGAACCCCGGAGGCAGAAGTTGCAGTGAACCGAGATCCTGCCATTGCACTCCAGCCTGGGCAACAAGAGCCAAACTCCATCTAAAAAAAAAAAAAAAGAAAAAAAGAAAAAGAAAAAGAAGAACCTATTGCCTCTCCGGGAGGGGCAGTTGAGCTTGGCAGCTGAAGGCTCAGTTTCTGCTGCCAGACAGGCTGGGTTCTAACTCCAGCTCAACCATTAACAGGCTTTGTGACCTTGGGCCAATTACACAGCTTCTCTGGGCCTCAGTTTTCCCATCGGTAAAAGGAGTATTGCTGTGAGGTTTGTTTTTTGAGACACAGTCTTACTCTGTCACCCAGACTGGAGTGCAGTGTTGCCATCTCGGCTCACTGCAACCTCCGCTTCCTGGGTTCAATTATCCTGCCTCATCCTCCTGAGTAGCTGAGATTACAGGCACGCGCCACCATGCCCGGCTAATTTTTGTATTTTTAGTAGAGACAGGGTTCACATATTGGCCAGGCTGGTCTCAAACTCTTGAACTCAAGTGATCCACCCGCCTCGGCCTCCCAAAGTGCTGGGATTACAGGATTGAGCCACTGTGCCTGGCTTGCTGTGAGACTTAAGTGATTTTGTTCAGATAAAGGGCCTGGCATAGTAAAGTTTAATAAATGTTATCTTTATTTAAATGAAAATAATACCTACCACAAATGGTGGTTTTGATAATTAAATAATACTTTTAAAAATTAAACAGATTGGCTGGGAGCAGTGTAATCCCAGCACTTTGGGAGGCCAAGGCTGGAGGATCTCCTGAGGTCAAGAGTTGGAGACTAGCCTGGCCAACATGGCTAAACCCGGTGTCTACTAAAAATACAAAAATTAGCCAGGTGTAGTGGCTCATGCCTGTAATCCCAGCTACTCAGGAGGCTGAGGCAAGAGAATTACTTGAACCCAGGAGACAGAGGTTGAAGTGAGCTGAGATCGTGCCACTGCACTCCAGCCTGGGCAATAGGGCGAGACTCCACCTCAAAAATAAAATAAAATAAAATAAAAGATTAGCTGCTGGGCATGGTGGCACACGCCTATAGTCCCAGCTACTCAGGAGGCTGAGACTGGAGGATTGCTTGAGCCCAGCAGTTCAAGGCTGCAGTGAGCTGTGCCACTGCACTTCCAGCCTGTGTGACAGAGTTGCACTCTGTCTCAAAAAAGAAAATTAGAAAGCCTTTTTCAAGGCCGGGTGCGGTGGCCCACGCCTGTAATCCCAGCACTTTGGGAGGCTGAGGCAGGTGGATCACTTGAGGTCAGGAGTTCGAGACCAGCCTGGCCAACATAGTGAAACCCCGTCTCTACTAAAAATACAAAAAACTAACTGGGTGTGGTGGCGGGCGCTTGTAATCTCAGCTATTCAGGAGGCCGAGGCAGGAGAATTGCTTGAACTTGTGAGGCAGAGGTTGCAGTGAGCTGAGATGACGCCACTGCACTCCAGCCTGGATGACAGAGTGAGACTCTGTCTCAAAAAAAAAAAAAAAAAAAAAGGAAAGAAAGAAAGCATTTTCAAAATATGTATACCCTATCATTTTCAACCTTTTAAATACTCAAGTTCTTCCTTTTCCCCTCCCCAGACTCTGGTTCCTTCTGTCGTAAAATTACGAGTCGATGCCAGCATGGTGGCTCATGCCTATAGTCCCAGCACTTTGGGAGGCCGAGATGGGCAGAACACTTGAGCTCAGGAGTTTAAGACCAGCCTGGGCAACATGGTGAAACCCTGTCTCTGTAGTCTCAGCTACTAGAGTGGCTGAAGTGGGAGGATCGCTTGAACACGGAAAGCAGAGGTTGCAGTAAGCCAAAATTATGCCACTGCACTCCAGCCAGGGTGACAGAACAAGACCCTGTCTCAAAAAAAAAAAAAAAGAAAAGAAAAGAAAAGAAAAATTGGGCCGGGCACGGTGGCTCACACCTGTATCCCAGCACTTTTGGAGGCCGAGGCAGGCAGATCACAAGGTCAGGAGTTCGAGAACACCCTGGCTAACACAGTGAAACCCCGTCTCTACTATTTTTTGTAAAAATACAAAAAATTAGACGGGCGGGCGTGGTGGCGGGCACCTGTAGTCCCAGCTACTTGGGAGGCTGAAGCAGGAGAATGGCGTGAACCCAGGAGGCAGAGCTTGCAGTGAGCCGAGATCCTGCCACTGCACTCCAGCCTGGGCGACAGAGCGAGACTCCGTCTCAAAAAAAAATTAAAAAAAAAATTACATGAGTCAACACATGTGTGACTCATGTATGTCCATATACATGCACTGCACAGACCTATGCAAACAAACATTTGGGACTATACACACACACACAAATCCCGAAGATTTGCTCACAGAATAACCCCATGAGTCTTCCTGTCTCTTCCCCACACCGCTTATACGTAGAAACACAAATACTGGAAGCAAAATGTTGGGGGAAAAATTGAACCATCAGCAAACAGTCTCGGAATCTTTGATCTGGGGGGTTGGTGGAGGAGAACTCTGCTGGGAAGGGGCCTACACCTAGGAGGGAAAAGGCCAGGGGGAGGAACTGAGGTCCGCAGAGGTTTGAGAGGTGTCCCTCCCATCAGACCAAAGAACCCGGAGAGCAAGCCCCATGCCCTGCCACTATGATGTCACAGGAGGAAGGCGTCTCGCCCTGCAGGTCAAATCAATTCCCTTTGTCTTGCTCACTGAGGTCACACGGATTTTTGCGTATTTAGAGAATTTGCGGTGTGAGGTCACCCTAGAGGGCGGGTCTGTGACGTCACAAAAGACAAAGACACCGACTGGTTTGGGAGAAGCTGGCTTTGAGCCCTATCCCCTTGCCTTGCAGAAACCTGGAATGAGTCTATTCTCAAATTCAGGGCTGGAAGGCCATTCTGTGAGCTCAGGGAGCTTGCGCTCAACACCTGTCCTCCCTTTCCTCCAGTCCTCGGGCTGCGTTAAGAAAACTGGGAGGCGGTGGCGGGAGGATAGCGTGAGCCCAGGAGTTCAAGACCAGTCTGGGTAACATGGCGAGACCCCCTCTCTACAAAAAAAAAAAAAAAAAAAAAAAAAAAAAAAAAAAAAAATTAGCCCGGCGTGATGGCGCGAGCCTGTAGTCCCGGCTAATCGCGAGGCTGAGGTGGGAAGGTTGCTTGACCCTGGGAGGTGGAAGCTGCAGTGAGCCGTGATGGCACCACCGCACTCCAGCCTGGGCGAGAATCAGACCCTATAATTACAGGCTCACACCTGTAACATGGCGAAACCCCGTCTCTACCAAAAATATAAAAATTAGTCTGGCGTGGTGGCGCGCCTGTAACCCCAGCTACTCGGGAGGCTGAGGCAGGAGAATCGCTTGAACCCGGGAGGCTGAGGCAGGAGAATCGCTTGAACCCGGGAGGCGGAGGTTGCAGTGAGCCAAGATGGTGCCACTCACTACGCTCCAGCCTGGGCGACAGAGCGAGACTTTGTCTCAAAATAATAATAATAAATAAAAATTTAAAAAAGAAAAGAAAGTAAACCGAGGAGGTGAAAGTGGCGGAGCCTTCTTTGTGGTGAGAACGCTGGAGTGAAGATTTAGGGAGGTGTGTGGGGTCTTCCGGGAAGCTCCTATACCTGATCAGTTTTCCGCAAAAGGGGCGGAACCACGTGACTCTGGAAGTAGCTGCGGGCGTGGTAGTCCTGCTGCGCGTTGTAGGGCGGAATCGCCGACCACAGCTTGGGCCTAGAGCGCCCATAAGCGCGGGCAGCGGTGCTCACAGCCACCCCGTCCAAGATAAAGCCTTTCTCCAGTCGCAGGCGACACTCGCTCAGGTACGCCATCCCAACCACCGTAGCCTCGGAGGGCCTTTCTGGTGGGGGATGAGGACCCTAGATGGGGACACCCCTGCGCATTCTTACGTGATGTCAACGACCCCTGCGACACAAACCCTATTGTCTCCACTCACCCCGGGTTGACCGGTGGGCCCTTAAGGCCGTGGGGGAAGTTGCTTGCTTGGCCCCAGAGGAGGTTGACCAGACTGACTATGCAAGAGGAGTTGGAAAGTGAAGGGGAGGAGACTGGATAACCGATTGTGGGCAGTTTGTGTGCATTTAGGCCCCGCTCCCCCAGTTTTCCTTTAAGGTGAGTATTCTCTTTTCCCACGGTATTACATGCTATTTCCTCAGCTCAGTTTTGTTGAAAAGCTTGTACCCGGAATTGATCAGAAAGTTCAGATCGCACCTACTTCCAATTCTCATTTTACAGAGCTAGAAGTTGAAGCTTAGAAAGTTTCCCTAGGCCGGGCGCGTTGGCTTACGCCAGTAATCCCAGCATTTTGGGAAAACGAGGCGGGGGGGATCGCTTGGGCCCAGGAATTCAAGACCAGCCTGGGCAATAAAGCGAAAGTCCATCTCTACTAAATAAATGAATACTTAGCCGAGTGTGGTGGCGCGCACCTGTGGACTCAGCTGCACTGCAGGCTGGGCCATGGAGGTGGAGGCTGCAGTGAGCCATGATTGTGCCACACTCCTGGATGAGAGAAGGAGGCCCTGTCTCAAAAGACAAAAAAAAAAAAAAAAAAAAAAAAAAAAAAAAAGGCCGGGCGCGGTGGCTCACGCCTGTAATCCCAGCACTTTGGGAGGCCGAGGCAGGCGGATCACGAGGTCAGGAGATCGAGACCATCCTGGCTAACACAGTGAAACCCTGTCTCTACTAAAAATACAAAAAATTAGCCGGGCGTGGTGGCGGACGCCTGTAGTCCCAGCAACTCGGAAGGCTGAGGCAGGAGAATGGCGTGAACCCGGGAGGCGGAGCTTGCAGTGAGCCGAGATCGCACCACTGCACTCCAGCCTGGGCGACAGAGCAAGACTACGTCTCAAAAAAAAAGAGGTTCCCCAAATCCAGTTAGCTGACTTCCGGTCAGTCCACTTAACAATTCTCCTGCCCCACCCGAATTAACATTATTTATTTACTTATTCTTTTTATTTATTTATTTATTTTAGAGACAAAGTCTCGCTCTGTTGCCCAGGTTGTAGTGCAGTGGCTCAATCCTGGCTCACTGCAACCTGTGCCTCCCGGCTTCAAGCAATTCTCTGCCTCAGCCTCCCAAGTAGCTGGGATTACAGGCACCTGCCACCACGCCCGGCTAATTTTTTGTATTTTTAGTAGAGCCGGGGTTTCACCATCTTGGCCAGGCTGGTCTTGAACTCCTGATCTCGTGATCCACCCCTCTCAGCTTCCCAAAGTGCTGGGATTACAGGCGTGAGCCACCGCGCCCAGCCTTTCACTTATTCTATCTATCTATCTATCTGTCTGTCTGTCCGTCTATCTATCTATCTATCTATCTATCTATCTATCTATCTATCTATCTATCTATTTAGAGAGGGAGTCTCGCTCTGTTGCCCAGGCCGGAGTGCAGCGGCGCGATCTTGGCTCACTGCAACCTCCGCCTCCCAGGTTCAAGTGATTATTCCGCCTGAGCCTTCCGAGTAGCTGAGATTACAGGCGCCTGACACTAAGCCCGGCTAATTTTGGTATTTTTAGTAGAAACGGGGTTTTGCCATGTTGGCCAAGCTGGTCTCGAACTCCTGACCTCAAATTATCAGCCCACCTCGGCCTCCCAAAGTGCTGGGATTACAGGCATAAGCCACTGTGTCTGGCCTATTATATATATTTTAATATAAATATAAAATGTATATTTTATATTTAAATATTTTATATTTATATTAAAAATATATATATATATTTTTTAGGTGTCACCCAGGCTGGAGTGCAGTGGTGCGATCTTGGCTCACTGAAACCTCTGCCTCCCGGGTTCAATCTATTCTCCTGTGTCAGCATCCTGAATAGCTGAGATTACATGCCCGTGTCACCACCCCAGACTAAATTTTTTTTTTTTTTTGAAATGGAGTCTCACTGTGTCACCCAGGCTGGAGTGCAGTGGCAGGATCTCAGCTCACTGCAGCCTCCCAGGTTCAAGCGATTCTCCTGCCTCAGCTTCCTGAGTAGCTGGAATCACACGCGCACGCCACCACACCTGGCTAATTTTTGTATTTTCAGTAGAGCCGGGGTTTCACCATGTTGGCCAGGCTGGTCTCGAACTCCTGATCTCAGGTGATCCACCTGCCTCGGCCTACCAAAGTGCTGGGATTACTGGCGTGAGCCATCCTGCCCCGCCACCCAGCTAATTTTTTTTTTTTTTTTTTTGAGACAGGGATTCACTCTTGTTGCCCAGGCTGGAGTGCAATGGCGCGATCTCGGCTCACCGCAACCTCCGCCTCCCAGGTTCAAGCGATTCTCCTGCCTCAGCCTCCCTAGTAGCTGGGATTACAGGCATGTGCCACCACACCCGGCTAATTTTGTATTTTTAGTAGAGATGGGGTTTCTCCATGTTGGTCAGGCTGGTCTCGAACTCCTGACCTCAGGTGGTCTGCCCGCCTCAGCCTCCCAAAGTGCTGGGATTACAGGCATGAGCGACCATGCCCGGCCATTAATTTTTGTATTTTTATTATTATTATTATTTTTTTTGAGATGGAGTCTTGCTCTATTGCCCAGGCCGGAGTGCAGTGGTGTGATCTTGGCTCACTGCAACCTCTGCCTCCTGGGTTTACAGGTGCACGCCACCACGCCTAGCTAATTTTTATATTTTTCTAGATACAGGGTTTTGCCAGGCTGGTCTTGAACTCCTGACCTCAGGTGATTTGCCTGCCTCGGTCTCTGAAAGTGCTGGGATTACAGGCGTGAGTAATTTTTGTCTTTTTAGTACAGATGGAGTTTCACCATGTTGGCCAGGCTGGTCTCAAAATTCTGACCTCTAGTGATCCTCTCGCCTTGGCCTCTTGCCAAAGTGCTGGGATTACAGGTGTGAGTCACCATGCCCAGCCCCACCCGAGTTATTTTCACCCGCTATTATTTATGCTTGTTTTTTTCCCCTCGAGACATGGTTTCACTCCAATTTCCCAGGCTGGCATGCAGCGTTGCGATCCGGAATCACTGCAACCTCTGCCTCCCGGACTCAAGCGATTCTTCTGCCTCAGCCTCCAATTAGCTGGGATTACAGGCACACGCCACCAGGCCCAGCTAATTTTCGTATTTTTTGTAGAGACAGGGTTTCGCTGTGTTGGCCAGACTGGTTTTGAACTCCTGAGCTCAAGTGATCAGCCCACCTTGGCCTCCCAAGCTGGGAGGATTAGAGCCATGAGCCACCAGGACTGGCCTTATCTTTCCTTTAAAATAACAAAACGGTGGGGGGACACATTACCATATTTTTCCTCCAGCTAATTTTCTTTTTCTTTTTCCTTTAGTTTCCACATACAGCATTGGATCTAGGTAATTATATAAATTACATATTTTATTATTTTATTTATTTCTGAGACAGTGTCGCTCTGTCGCGCAGGCTGCAGTGCAGTGGAGCGATCTAGGCTCACTGCAGCCACCGCGTCCTGGGTTGAAGCCATTCTCCTGCCTCAGCCCAGAGTAGCTGGGAGTACAGATACACACAACCACACCCAGCTAATTTTTTTTGTAGAGACGGAGGTGTTTTTTTTGTTTGTTTGTTTTTTGGGTTTTTTTTTTTTTTTTTTTTTTTGAGACAGAGTCTCGCTGTGTCGCCCAGGCTGGAGTGCAATTGCGCGATCTCGGCTCACTGCAACCTCCACCTCCCGGGTTCAAGTGATTCTTCTGTCTCAGTCTCCCGAGTAGCTGGAGTTACAGGCACCTGCCACCACTCCCAGCTGATTTTTTAATTTTTTTTGAGACAGAGTCTCGCTCTGTTGCCCAGGCTGGAGTGCAGTGGTGCGATCTCGGCTCACTGCAAGCTCCGCCTCCCGGGTTAACGCCATTCTCCTGCCTCAGCCTCCCCAGTAGCTGGGACTACAGGCGCCCGCCACCACGCCCAGCCAATATTTTGTATTTTGTTTAGTACAGACAGGGTTTCATTGTGTTAGCTAGGATGGTCTCGATCTCTTGACCTCGTGATCCGCCCGCCTTGGCGTCCCAAAGTGCTGGGATTACAGGCATGAGCCACCGCGCCTGGCCTAATTTTTATATTTTTAGTAGAGACGGGGTTTCACCATTCTGGCCGGGCTGGTCTTAAACTCCTGACCTCGTGATCCGCCCATCTCAGCCTCCCAAAGTGCTGGGATTACAGGCGTGAGCCACCATGCCCGGCCTTGTTTTTTTTTTGTTGTTGTTTTTTGTTTTTGTTTTTTCTTTGAGATGGAGTTTCACTCTTCTTGCCCAGGCTGGAGTGCAATGGCACGATCTTGGCTCACTGCAACCTCTGCCTCCTGGGTTCAAGCGATTCTCTTGCCTCAGCCTCCCAAGTAGCTGGGATTACAGGCATGTACCACCACAGCCAGCTGATTTTGTACTGTTAGTACAGACAGGGTTTCACCATGTTGATCAGGCTGGTCTTGAACTCCTGACCTCAGGTGATCTACCCGCCTCGACCTCCCAAAGTGCTGGGATTACAGGCGTGAGCCACCACGGCCGTTGTTTTGTTTTTTGAGACAGAGTCTGGCTATTGTCGCCCAGGCTGGAGTGCAATGGTGCGATTTTGGCTCACTGCAACCTCCACCTCCTGGGTTCAAGTGATTCTCCTGCCTCAGCCTCCTGAGTAGCTGGGATTACAGGCGCCCATCACCACACCCAGCTAATTTTTGTATTTTTAGTAGAGACGCGTGTTTCGCCACATTGGCCAGGTTGATCTGGAACTCCTGACCTCAGGTAATCCACCTGCCTTGGCCTCTCAAAGTGTTGGGATTACAGCCGTGAGCCTCCGCACCCAGCCGAGATGGAGGTTTTTTTAATTTTTTTTGAGACGGAGTCTCACTCTGTCGCCCAGGATGGAGTGCAGTGGCACGATCTTGGTTCACTGAAAGCTCCGCCTCCCGGTTTCACGCCATTCTCCTGCCTCAGTCTCCTGAATAGCTGGGACTACAGGTGCCCGTCACCATGCCTGGCTAATTTTTTTTGTATTTTTAGTAGAGACGGGGTTTCACCGTTAGCCAGGATGGTCTTGATCTCCTGACCTCATGATCTGCCTGCCTCGGCCTCCCAAAGTGCTGGGATTACAGGCGTGAGCCACTGTAACTGGCCTGTTTTGTTTTTTTCATAGAGACAGTCTTGCCCAGGCTGGAGTGCAGTAGTGTGATCATTGCTCACTGTAGCCTTGACCTCCTGGCCTCAAGTGATCCTCCCACTTCAGCCTCCAGAGTAGCTGAGACTAAAGGTACACACCACCACACCCGGCCAATTTTTGCGTGCCTGTAGCTAGACTTCAGAATTGCTCATCTCAGCCTCCAGAGTAGCCGGGATAATAGGCATGCTCCACTAGGTCTTGTAGTGAATTTACTATTTTTTTATATTTACTACTATTTTTATTATGAAAGTACATGTATTACTGTTCAAGTTGCAAGCTACTATAAATCAGATCTGATATCTTGAATCCATTCTATTAAAACTTTTACCTAGAAAGAACTTGCAGAATATAAACAGTGACAAAGGAAACAATATATATATATATATATCTGGCCGGGCGCAGTGGCTCACACGTGTAATCTCAGTACTTCGGGAGGCCGAGGGGGGCGGATCACCTGAGGTCGGGAGGTGGAGACCAGCCTGACCAACATGGAGAAACTCGGTCTCTACTAAAAATACACAATTAGCCAGGCGTGGTGGTGCATGCCTGTAATCCCAGCTACTCAGGAGGCTGAGGCAGAAGAATCACTTGAACCCGGGAGGCGGAGGTTGCAGTGAGCCGAGATCACACCATTGCACTCCAGCCTGGGCACAAGAGCGAAACTCGGTCTCAAAATAAAAAAATGCTAAAAAAAAAAAAAAAAAAAAAAAAAAAAAAGATACAAAAATCAGCCTAGCGTGGTGGCGGGCACCTGTAGTCACAGGTACTCGGGAGGCTGAGGCAGGAGAATCGCTAGAACCCAGGAGGCAGAGGTTGCAGTGAGCTGAGATTGCACCACTGCACTCAAGCCTGGGCAACAAGAGCCCAGGAGTCTCTTGGAGCCCAGGAGTGAGATGGAGTCTCCCTGGCTCACTGCAACTTCCGCCACTGCAACCCCTGCCTCTTGGGTTCAAGCAATTCTCCTGCCTCAGCCTGCGGAGTAATTGGGACTACAGGCACGCGTCACCACGCCCAGCTAATTTTGTATTTTTAGTAGAGACGAGATTTCACCATGTTGGCCAGGCTGGTCTTGAACTCCTCACCTCAGGTGATCAGCCCATCTCGGCCTCCCAAAGTGCTGGGATTACAGGTGTGAGCCACCATGCCCAGCTGACAAAGGAAAACATTTAGTGAAGTGTAAATATAAAGTTTTTTAATCCAAGTCAAAAAAAATCTCCAAAGAAT
Source organism: Homo sapiens (assembly GCF_000001405.40). Lineage (NCBI taxonomy): Eukaryota > Metazoa > Chordata > Mammalia > Primates > Hominidae > Homo > Homo sapiens. The sequence goes on from NC_000017.11 coordinate 38,847,914, forward strand.
AAAATGTGAGGTGGGATGCAGTGGCTCACACTTGTAATTGCAGCCCTTTGAAGGCCACAGCAGGAGGATTCCAAGTCCAGCAGTTCAAAGTTACAGTGAGCTTCAGTGGTGTTACTGCACTCCAGCCTGTGTGACAGAGCAAGACTGCCTCAGAAAAGATAACATTCAAAAACAGCAGCGATTAGTGGTTAATATATAAGGATCATATATTGCCATAATATATAAAGACATAAATGGTGGGCCTAGGGGCTTGTCACACTAAAGCTGACTTGAAATTGACCATACTCAGGGATGTTATGGTGTAACTCTCTAAAACTAGAGATTTAATACATTTTTTTTCTTTCCCCCCAGAGTTTCACTGGTTGCCCAGGCTGGAGCACAATCGTGCGACCTCAGCTCACTGCAACCTCCATCTCCGGGGTTCAAGCAATTCTCCTGCCTCAGCCTCCCAAGTAGCTGGGATTACAGCATGCACCACCATGCCTGGCTAATTTTGTATAGTAGAGATGGGGTTTCAACATGTTGGACAGGCTGGTCTCACTCTCCTGACCTCAGATGATCCACCCACCTCAGCCTCCCAAAGTGCTGGGATTATAGGTGTGAGCCACCGTACCCAGGCGAGATTTAATACTTCTAAAACCAAGCCTGGTTCAGTCTAGACAGGGTACTGGTTCTCAGTCTTGGGTATACCTTGACATCTCCTGGGAGCTTCACAATTCTGATGTCTGAGTCCTATTCTGCAGTCTGACTTAATTGGTCTAGGGTATGGACCGGAAACATTTTCAAAAGCTCCAGGTTAGAACAACTCCTCTCTAGGTCTGGTACATTCCATAACTAGTCATGGAAGACACTAAGGGTAGTCCTTTTTGATACCAAGTGGAGCTTGTATTATACCCAACTTACAGGTAGAAACATTTATGGCTGAGTATTTGCAGATACAGATACATAAACACAAACCTTAATCTAAAAACCCTGTTTAGTCCACTTCCCTCCAAATTATTGTTCTAAACAAACACCCATTTTTCCAAAACGCTGGGTGTCACCTAAATAAACTCTTACACGTTTAGAAAGAAATGCTAACAACCTCCTACCTTAAGGCCAAGTCCCTTATTATCAGCGCTTTATGCCTGTTCAGTTGGCAAAAATTTACCACATTCTTCCATTCTCAAACTAGAGCTTGGAACATAAATTACACGATCATCCTGTTTGTCAAAACATTTTCATAGCAAAATACCTGTAGGTACCATCAACTTAATCATCTTCCACTATGACAGTAAACCTACATGGCAATTACTGTTGTTTTATAAATATTCAATTTACTCCAAATCTGTTAACTGCTAAAATGTACATACATAAACAAACTCACATCATTCCTCAAAATCCATGTGTGTGTCCAGGATCTAACTATATAGTCTATCTTAACTTCAATGCCTTTTTTTGGGGCGGGGGCGGGAACGGAATCTTGCTCCGTTGCCCAGGCTGGATGGAGTACAATGGTGCAATCTCGACTCGCTGCAAACTCCACCTCCCAGGTTCAAGCGATTCTCTCAGTAGCTGAGATTACAGGCGGTGCGCCACCACGCCCAGCTAATTTTTGTATTTTTAGAAAAGAGGAGGTTTCACCACGTTGGTCAGCCTGGTCTTGAACTCCTGACCTCATGATCTGCCTGCCTTGGCCTCCGAAAGTGTTGGGATTACAGGTGCCAGCTACCGCGCCCAGCCATTTGAATGCCTTCCTCACTCCAGGAGAAGCTACCATGTATAGCCAGTCATTGAGCAGTATCTACTATTATTTTTGGGACTCAAAACCCAAATAATACTTTTTGAGGCCAAAATTGTAAATACAGCAATTGGAAGATGCTGAAAGTCTGCAAACTCACAAAAAAGCAAGGATTGCTTTAAAAAAAAAATGCCCAGAGTTTCCATTTCAGAAAAGTGATGGTCAGGGTATGTCAAAAACACTGTAGAGGCCTGGGTGGGCAGATCACTTGAGATCAGGAGTTTGAGTCGTTTGGCAAACATGGTGAAACCCTGTCTCCACCAAAAATACAAAAACTAGCCAGGCATGACGGCAGGTGCCTGTAATCCCAGCTACTTAGGAGGCTGAGGCAGGAGAATCGCTTGAACCCTGGAAGTGAACAGGGAGACAAGCACTGCAAACAAATACTTTTTAATGGGTTTAGTTTTTTTTTTTATTTTTTACAAATATACTGGAGAATCATGCAATGCTGCCAGCATTGGATGCAATCCGGGGCCACAAGTCTGCACACTCCTTTGCTACTGGTCCTGTAATGGCAGAACCTGCATTAAAAAAATAAAATAAAATAAAATAAAAACATGTGGGGGACAGATTAAGACATCGTCAAACACAGAAGATCCTTGGCCTGTACTTCTAGACAATCCACCCAACCTCAGAGACCTAAGGAACAAGCTGGACTGATTTCCTACCTTTCATCTCGCCTTTATTGTTCACTATGACTCCTGCATTATCTTCAAAATAAAGAAACACGCCATCTTTTCTACGGTATGACTTTCGTTGTCGAATGACCACTGCTGGATGTACTGAGAGAAGAAAAAAGGACAGCAGTCATTAACCTGTCAAGTCGCAGTGCCACCACAAAAGCAGTTTCCAACTAGACAGAATGTACACTCAGCGTTTGAGACAGTGACAGTGTAAATATCAATCTTCAAGGTGATCCTCCCACCTCAGCCTCTCTAGTATCTTGGACTACAGGTGCACACTACCATGCCCAGATTTTTTTTTTTTTTTCATAGAGACAGGGTTTTGCCATGTTGGCAAGCCTGGCCTCCCAAAGTGCTGGGAGTATAGGGAGTAAAGGCATGAACCACGATCATCTATTCACATCTTAAAATCAAAGCTGCCAGTATTTTCTCACAAGTGTAAAACTCTCAGGACAACTATCCTTGCCTATGCCTTTTCCAACTTCACCTTACAGGTAGGTTATTAAGATCCCAGTATCACTGAATTGGGATGTAGAAATGGGACCTGGGACCCCCAACTCCTCCCAGTCCTGGCAATGAGCAGAGACCAAGCTATTCAGATTTACACTGGAAAACAGTTTGAATTCCTGGGCCCAAGCACCAGGCTTTGTTTTACTTTTAATGAACTGTTTTCTAGTGTCCTAAGTAACTTTTATACCCATCTGTACTAAAGTGAAAAAGACGCTTTTCCCAACTTTCAAAATGAAGTATCACTACACAGTGAAATATAATGCTTGTGAAGAACTATTGTAGAGTCAGACACACCTGGATTCACAATCTTCACTGATACTAGCATGGGGTCCTTACACAGAATTTTTATGACAGGAAGACTACACAAAAAATAGATAAGTCTAACCAAGTTAGTAATGGGACACACATGAGGTAGCCAATACTTACTGACTGACCCTCCTCTACTCATAAACCATTTAATCCTCACAAATTCTTCAAGTAGACCTGGTCCTTTTGCATATTTCTGTGCTTGTTATTTATTGATATTAAGTTCCAAGGGGAGGGGATGTATTCATTTAGCAGAAACAAGGACCAAAAAAGACATTAACAGAATTGGAAACTCACAACTAGTTTTAAAACTGAAGTGTTCGGAGCTCTGGTCTGTCCCACCACTGACTGAGACCAACAATCCACCCTCCTGCCATCTCATCTACAAAGTGAAGGCCATTTGCTCTGCTCTTCTCTGACAGCTCCCTGGGCCACCAATCAGACCCAGGAAGTGTTCTGAGAAGAGGAAAAAGCCCATGCAATTGCTGAATCACAATCACAGTGCTACCCAGCCCTCAAATGGATATTAATGGTGAACAAAAAACAATTTCTAACCCAAAGGCTAAAAATCTACTGGACAGCATCGTGGGGTGGATACAGGAATAGGAGTAACTGTAATACAGGGCTGACAAATCAACATCACATTTGTAAATCAAGGGATGGCCAGGAACTCTTTAGAAGAGCAAGACATCCCAGGGTAGAGACAGATTAGGCAGGCACAGGAAAAAAGTGCAAGCGCTGAAGTTAAAATGCACCAAACACCAGAAGTTCTAAAGCCAGACAGGACACAAGCTGCAAGTATTTTGAGGCCTCCCCCTTTAAATCATACACCTGACAGGAAAAATTTTGAGTGGGGAGCCTGAGATTAAGTAATGAGCAATTAGCCGGGTGTGGTGGTGCACACCTATGATCCCAGCTACTCGGGAGGCTGAGGCAGGACAATCTCTTGAGCCCGGGAGGTGGAGGTTGCAGTGAACAGATATGTGCCACTGCACTCCAGCCTGGGCAACAAGTGAGACTCCATCTCAAAAACAAATAATAAAATAAGCAACGGGCAGCTTGTTTTCGTTTTGTAATATATTTTTTTTTGAGAGCCCAGGAGGCGGAGGTTGCAGTGAGCCAAGATCGTGCCATTGCACTCCAGTATGGGCTGGGCGACAGAGAGAGACTCCATCTCAAAAAACAAAACAAAACAAAACAAAAACAACAACAAAAAAACAACTAAGGTATGGAAGTGACAAGATGATGGTCCCCCCTCCAACACAATATGAGCAAAAACTTAAGATACTTATCTCACACTGCCTCTCAATGGAAAACAAACTTGAGGCCTTGAAAACTGATCCATTTTCCAATAAAGGAAAGCGTCCCCCCACTACTCATCAGTATTAAGGTGGGCTCAGTGTTTACTCACCCTTTTTTCTGAGCTCTGGTTTGCCTTTCTTGACTGTGGCCATCACCATGTCACCCACACCAGCAGCGGGAAGTCTGTTCAGCCGTCCCTTGATCCCCTTCACGGAGATGATATACAGGTTTTTGGCTCCTACAAAAGAATGTAAATAAAAATAAAAAATGTTGAGGGCCATCAGGCCGTTCCATCAGTATAACATTTCCCAAACACTTCCAAAGCCCCTCCCTCCACTCACTGCCCAAGCAGTTAGTCCGCAAGAACGCCTTGTCACACCACCGATTGAAGCAAACAACACATGTTGCCACTTCACCCAAAAGCGATGTTTTCACTCTCCCCTTTCTTGACGGCTCAATAGGTCATTAGCCACAGGCCCATTGAGTGCTTTTAAAAGGGGGAGTATAGCAACGTGCAAAGACCTCACCTGTGTTGTCAGCACAATTGATTACAGCTCCTACCGGAAGACCCAAGGAAATCCGGAATTTCGCACCAGAGGACCCACCACGTCCTGTGGATATAAAGGGAAGGGAAACAGGATAAAGAGATCACAATCTAGACATGGTTCGGAGTTCCCCCTCATACTCAAGCTGTAATTCACCGCACATGCTTTGATAGACTGTACGCTATAGATTAGCTCGCTCGGATTTTACTTATGCCGTCCCCATGTGCCACCCGATTCTCACGGAAAGTAGCCTATTTCTTACTATTAACACTCTGACATCGAAATTAAGAAACCTAGACGACTCAACCCTTGCTCTAACTTTCGCAAAACGCAATTACTCCTGCAAGGCATAAAACCGCAGAGGTCGCGCAAACCAGGGCCTAATCCAGTCTAACTTCAACCCCATTACGATAGCCCTATTCGCGGAGCGATCTCGCGGTATCCAGACTACATTCACGTCGGGATCCTGCCATCTCAACTCTCCAGCACCCCACTGCCACTTTCGAGGGCCCTGGCAGTGCTCTCGCGGTGGCCTGGCTCTCTCTCTCCGGCCTGAAGGAGAGCAAAGCGCCCCAGCTGCCTAGGGCCACCGCTCCTGACGAATCCGCCAGCCACTGCACGACAGATGGTGGAGGATCCTCCAGAAACAAAACCTCACCTCGCTTCGACATCTTGAACGCCGGAAAAAAGAAAAAAGGAAGTCGATTCAAAGGACACTGGGATATGAACTTTAACGCCCCGCCCACCCTCCTCACGTGGCCGGAGCAAAAACCGGCCTCTTCCGCCTCTGGGCGCTGCCTTATTACGTAATAAGTTTACGACGTCGCTTTTAGCCCTCTCTGCGAAGTGGGAGTTGAGGTAGAAGCGCAAGAGATAGGAAGTATCTTCTCTACGAGCTTAAGAGTAGTTAGGGACATGGAAACAGTGATTTGTTAACTTGCTCACGACCTCTTTTGACCACTTAATAGTGCCAGGCACTTATCTGCACACTAGAGAATAGGAATTAAAACACGGTTTGTGCCGTGTGGGGGTTCCCCAAGGAACAAAGAAAGTGGGGGAGGGAGGGAGAACAAGCTCTAAACGGTTTCGTTGAATGTAATACAGTTGAGAAGTGCTGCAGATCATTCCATCTATGTGTTCTTGGTATCATACCATTCTGTATTTTACATATACAGTATTGCTCTATTTATTGACCCGTCCCCCCCAACACACACTCTTTTTTTCTTTTTTTGAGACCGAGTCTCACTCTGTCGCCCAGGCTGGAGTATAGTGGCGAGATCTCAGCTCACTGCAACCTCCGTCTTCCGGGTTCAAGCAATTCTCTGTCTCAGCCTCAGAGTACCTGAGACCACAGGCGCCCGCCACAACGCTGGGCTAATTTTTGTATTTTTAGTAGAGACGGGGTTTCGCCATGTTATTGGCCAGGCTGGTCTCGAACTTCTGATCTCAAGTGATCTGCCCGCCTTGGTCCCTCAAAGTGCTGGGATTACAGGCGTGAGCCCCCGCGCCAGGCCTAATTGCTCCTTTCACAGCTTCAGCCGCCCCTTATTCTCTGGGTTCTTTCCTTCCCACGATACATTAATTCACATACTTATTGAGCTCCTACTTTACAGCAGGTTCTGTCCAGGGCGTACAGCGGATTACATCAGAGAACAAAATAGATCAACATTCTTTTCCTTATGGAGCTTACATTCTGCTGGGGTGCAGGTGGAGGAGGATATTAGACACTAAACAAAAGATATAATAAGTAATTGCAGTATGTAGTATGTTAGATGGGGATATGTATTATAAAAATATAAATAGTATCGCTTCTCGGCCTTTTGGCCAAGATCAAGTGTAAAATATAAATAGTGGCCGGGCCTTGTGGCTCACGCTTGTAATCCCAGCACTTTGGGAGGCCGAGGCGGGTGGATCACGAGGTCAGGAGATCGAGACTAGCCTGGCCAACACAGGGAAACTCCGTCTCTACTAAAAATACAAAAATTAGCTGGGCGTGGTGGCGGGCGCCTGTAATCCCAGCTACTCCGGAGGCTGAGGCAGGAGAATCGCTTGAACCCAGAAGGCAGAGGCGGCAGTGAGCCGAGATCGCGCTACTGCACTCCAGCCTGGGCGACAGAGCTAGACTCCGTCTCAAAAATGTATATAGATAAATAGCTCTTTGAGGAAGACGCGGTCGTAGGTGTTGCGGATCGCTGATCCGCACGCTCCTGCTACTGACTCACCGCTGTTCGCCCTCGCCGAGGAACCAGTCGCTCAGGAAGCCGCGCAGCAGCCATGGCTTTTAAGGATACCGGAAAAACACCCAGGGAGGCGGAGGTGGCAATTCACGAATTCGAGTCACTCTAACGAGCCGCATCGTAAAATCCCTGGAGAAGGTGTGTGCTGACTTGATCAGAGGAGCAAAGGAAAATAATCTCAAAGTGAAAGGACCAGTTCGAATGCCTGCCAAGACTTTGAGAATCACTTCAAGAAAAACTTTGTGGTGAAGGTTCTAAGACATGGGATCATTTCCAGATGAGAATCCACAAGTGACTCATTGACTTGCACAGTCCTTCTGAGATTGTTAAGCAGATTACTTCCATCAGTATTGAGCCAGGAGTTGAGGTGGAAGTCACCATTGCAGATGCTTAAGTCAACTATTTTAATAAATTGATTACCAGTTTTTTTTTCTTTTTCTTTTCTTTCTTTTCTTTCTTTCTTTCTTTTTTTTTTTTGAGACGGAGTTTCGCTCTTGTTGCCCAGGCTGGAGTGCAGTGGCGCGATCTTGGCTCACCGCAACCTCCACGGCCGATATCTATCTATCTATCTCTATCTATCTCTCTCTCTCTCTCTATCTCTATAGAGATATATATCTATAGAGATAGATAGAGATATATCTATCTCTATGTATTTATCTATATTAAAAACAACTGGTAATCGGCCGGGCGCGCTGGCTCACGCCTGTAATCCCAGCACTTTGGGAGGCCAAGGCGGGCAGATCACCTGAGGTCAGGAGTTCGAGACCAACCTGGCCAAAATGGTGAAACCTCGTTTCTACAACAATACAAACATTAGCCAGGCGCAGTGGTTCACGCCTGTAATCCCAGCGCCTTGGGAGGCCGAGGCGGTCGGATCACCTGAGGTCGGGAGTTTGAGACCAGCCTGACGACCAACTTGGAGAAACCCCATCTCTACTAAAAATACAAAATTAGCTGGGCGTGGTGGCACATGCCTGTAATCCCAGCTACTCAGGAGGCTGAGGCAGGAGAATCTCTTGAAACCCGGGAGGTGGAGGTTTCAGTGAGCTGAGATTGCACCATTGCACTCCAGCCTGGGCAACAAGAGCGTTTGAAACTCTGTCTCAAAAAAAAAAAAACAAAACAAAACAAAAATGGGGCCAGGTGTGGTGGCTCATGCCTGTAATTCCATCACTTTGGGAGGCCAAGGTGGGTGTATTACTTGAGGTCAGGAGTCAGAGACCAGCTTGCCCTAAATAGCAAAACTCTGTCTCTACTAAAAATACAAAAATTAGCAAGGCATGGTGGCTCATGCCGGTAATTCTAGCACTTTGGGAGGCCGAGGCTGGTAGACTGCCTCAGCTCAGGAGCTGAAGACCCAGCCCAAGCAACATGGCGAAACCCTGTCTCTACTAAAAATACAAAAAATTAGCCAGGCGTGGTGCGTGCCTGCAGTCCCCAGCTACTCGGGAGGCTGAGGCACGAGAATCACTGGAACCCAGGAGGTGGAGGTTGCAGTGAGCCGAGATCGCGCCAGTGCACTCTAGCCTGGGTGACAGAGCAAGATTCCGTCTCAAAAAAAAAAAAAAAAAGATATTGACATGAAACCAGGCACAGTGGCTCACATCTATAATCCCGAAACAATTTGGGAGGTTGAAGCAGGAGGATCCCTTGAGCCCAGGAGTCTGAGACCTGCCTGGGCAACATAGGGAGAGTCCATCTCTACAAAACATTTAAAAATTAGCTGGTGGCGGCTGGGTACAGTGGCTCATGCCTGTAATCCCAGCACTTTGGGAGGCTGAGGCAGGCAGATCATCTGAGGTCAGAAATTTGAGACCAGCCTGCCCGTCATGGTGAAACCCCATCTCTACTAAAAATACAAAAATCAGCTGGGCATGGTGGTGGGCAACCTGTAATCCCAAGTACCCAGGAATCTGAGACAGGAGAATTGTTTGAAGCCGGGAGGCGGAGGTTGCAGTGAGCCCAGATTGCGCCACTGCACTCCAGCCTGAGCAACAGAGCGAGACTCTGTCTTAAAATAAAATAAAATAAAATAAGCTGGTGGCATGGGAATCTGAGGCAGGAGAATCACTTAAACCCAGGAATTGGGGACTGCAGTGAGCCGTGATTGCACCACTGCACTCCAACCTGGGCTACAGAGAGAAACCCTTTGTCATTTTCCAATAAAAAGCCCTAAGGCAGGGGTGTGACTGAACCGAATGAGCACCAGCAAGGAAGCCAGATGTGACTGGACAGGACGAGTAAAGAGCAAAGTAGTAAGAAATGCAGTCAGAAGTAATGGAACGGTGGCTCACACCTGTAATCCCAGCACTTTAGGAGGCCAAGGCAGGTGATAACCTGAGGTCAGGAGTTCAAGACCAGCCTGGCCAACATGGTGAAACCCTGTCTCTACAAAAATACAAAAATTAACCATGCATGATGGCAGGTGCCTGTAATCCCAGCTACTTGGTGGGTTGAGGTGGGAGAATCATGTGAACCTGGGAGGCAGAGGTTGCAGTGAGCCGAGATCACACCATTGCACTCCAGCCTAGGTGACAGAGCGAGAGTTCTGTCTCAAAAAAAGGAAGTCATGGAATGAAACCACTGTGGACTTTGGCATTGGCTGAGTGAAATGAGGAAACATTCTTTGATTTTAAGCAGAGGAGGGACATGATTTGACTAATGTGTCAGAAGGATCACTGTGGTTGAGTTGTTGAGACTACACTGTGGGAGAGGACACAGGGATAGAAGTAAGAAGATCCATTAGGAAGCTATTGCAGTAACCCAGGAGAGAAATGATGGTGGTTTGGACTAGAATGGTAGTAGTGGATGTAATGTAGTCAGATTCTGGATGTGTTTTGGAGGTAGAGCCAATAAAATGTGGGGTATGAAAGATAGGAATCAAAATGTCTCCAAGTCTTTAGGCCTGAGCAATTGGAAGATATCATTGCCGTCAACCAAGATGGAGAAGGCTATGGTTATAGGAGGAATAGTGTTCCTGGTTGGTACTACCACCAGTGTCTCAACCAAAAAACAGGGACACAATTAATTCTCTTCTCCCAGGCTCCTAGAAGTAGTCACCAAGGTCTATCAACTTGACTCTGTTTCCTAAATTTTTCTGCCCATGCCTTCCACGTTCTGCCTTTGTTTCAAAGCTATTGCATCGGCCTCTATATGGTCAGACCATAATTTCCCACTGCTTAAAATCATGTGCTGGCCAGGCATGGTGGCTCACACCTGTAATCCCAGCACTTTGGGAGGCCGAGGCAGGCAGATCACCCGAGGCCAGGAGTTTGAGACCAGCCTGGCCAACATGGTGAAACCCTGTCTCTAATAAAAATACAAAAATTAGTCAGGGGTGATGGCACGCACCTGTGATCCCAGGTATTCAGGAGGCTAAGCAGAAGAATTGCTTGAACCCAGGAGGCAGAGTTGCAGTGAGCCGAGGTTGCCCCACCGCACTCCAGCCTGGGCATGCAGTGAGACTCCATCTCAAGGAAAAAAAAAAAAAAAAAAAACAAGAAAACAAAACAAAAAACATGTACCGACCCTCTGGTACTTATAGAATACAGTCCAAGCTGTTTAAGCATCGAAGTCACTTGAAATGGCCTACCTCTTCCCTGGCTCCATCTTCTGCCACCTTGCCTCTTATATTTCACACACCAGAAACACCAAACCAGTTAGGATTTCTGGACATATAGCTTAGATTCACACTTTCTTGTATTTATGCATTCACCTGCTTTAGCCACTATGTGTTATTTATTTATTTATTTATTTTGAGACAGAGTTTCACTCTTGTTGCCCAGGCTGGGGTGTAATGGCACCATCTCAGCTCACTGCAACCTTTGCCTCCAGGATTCAAGTGATTCTCCTGCTTCGGCCTCCCAAGTAGCTGGAATTACAGGTGTACACCACCATGGCCAGCTAATTTTTTTTTTTTTTTGTATTTTTAGTAGAGATGGGGATTTTACCATGTTGGTCAGGCTAGTCTCGAACTCCTGACCTCAAATGATCCACCTGCCTCAGCCTCCCAAAGTGCTAGGATTACAGGTGTGAGCCACCATGCCCGTCCAACCTGTTCTTTAAAACTCTGCTCAGGTATCATTTCTTCTCTGAGCCGTTTCACAACCCCAGCAGTTTATTCTCTGAGCCACTTCTTTACTAGGAGCTGTGGTTCTCAAATATTTTCATTTTAGACCCCTTTACACTCTTTTTTTTTTTTTTTTTTTTTTAAGACAGAATCTCACTCTGTCACCCAGGCTGGAGTGCAGTGGGACCATGTTGGCTCACTGCAACCTCCATCTCCTGGGTTCAAGCAATTCTCCTGCCTTAGCCTCCTGAGTAGCTAGGATTACAGGCGCCCACTACCACGCCCGGCTAATTTTTTTATATTTTTAGTAGAGACGGGGTTTCACCATGTTGGCTAGTCTGGTCTCAAATTCCTGAACTCAGGTGATCCATCCGCCTCGGCCTCCCAAAGTGCTGGGATTACAGGCGTGAGCCACTGTGCCCGGCCCTTTTTTTTTTTTTGAGACGAAGTTTTGCTCTTGTTGCCCAGGCTGGAGTGCAATGGTGTGATCTCAGCTCAATGCAACCTCTGCTTCCCGGGTTCAAGCGATTCTCCTGCCTCAGCCTCCCGAGTAGCTGGGATTACAGACATGCGGCACCTCGCTTGGCTAATTTTGTATTTTTGTTAGAGATGAGGTTTTTCCATGTTGGTCAGGGTTGTCTCTAACTCCTGACCTCAGGTGATCAGCCCACCTCGGCCTCCCAAAGTGCTGGGATTACAGGCATGAGCCTCCTTGCCCAGCCTCCTTTACACTCCTAAATTATTAAAGACCTCAAGGAGTTTTTGTTCATATAGGTTATATCTGATGACATTTACCATATTATAAATTAAAGTTAAGAAAGTTATTACTTCACGTAAAATAACAATAAACCCATTTTTTGCTAAAGTAAATAACATTTTAGAATGAGGAATAGGTCAAGTTTGGTGGCTCAGGCCTGTAATCCCAGCGGGAGGATCACTTGTCCTCAGGAGTTTGAGACCAGCCTGGACAACAAAGTGAGATCCTATTTCTACAAAATATCAAAAAATTAGCTAGGTGTGGTGGCGTGAGCCTATGGTCCTAACTACACAGGAGGCGGAAGCAGGAAGATCACTTGAGCCTGGGAGGTTGAGGCTACAGTGAGCCATGATTGCGCCACTGCACTCCAACCTGGGCAACAGAGACCCTGTCTCAAATATAAAATAAAATAAAATAAATAAATGTAACTATATTTTTCCAAACAAAAATAATTTAGTGAGAAGGGTGACTTTGCTTTACTTATTTTTTTTTAAATCCCTTTAATACCTGGCTTGATGAAAGAACTGGTTTTTCATGTTTTTACACTAATCTGTTGTGATTTCACACATTTAATCTCTGGAAATCTCCACTGTATTCTCATGAAAGAGCAAGAGTAAGACAGAAAAAAAATGACATTATTATTAAAATAATTCTTTCCTCTGCACAGAAAGGGTCTCACTAATATTATCAAGAAAATAGGCCAGGCGTGGTGGCTCACGCCTGTAATCCCAGCACTTTGGGAGGCCGAGGCGGGCGGATCACGAGGTCAGGAGATCGAGACCATCCTGGCTAACACAGTGAAACCCCAGTCTCTACTAAAAAATACGAAAAATTAGCCGGGCGTGATGGCGGGCGCCTGTAGTCCCAGCTACTCGGGAGGCTGAGGCAGGAGAATGGCGTGAACCTGGGAGGCGGAGCTTGCAGTGAGCCAAGACGCCAAGACGGCGCCACTGCACTCCAGCCTGGGTGACAAAGTGAGACTCCATCTCAAAAATAATAATAATTATTATTATTATTCTGGCTGGGCGCGGGGGCTCACGCCTGTTATCCCAGCGCTTTGGGAGGCCGAGGCGGGTGGATCACCTGAGGTCAGGAGTTCGAGACCAGCCTGACCAACATGGAGAAACCCTGTTTCTACTAAAAATACAAAAATTAGCCGAGTGAGGTGCCGCATGCCTGTAATCCCAGCTACTCGGGAGACTGAGGCAGAAGAATCAGTTGAACCTGGGAGGCAGAGTTTGCAGTGAGCTGAGATCAAGCCATTGCATTCCAGCTTGGGCGACAGAGCGAGACTACCTTAAAAAAAAAAATCCTTTCTTGCACGCAGAAAGGGCCTAAAGGACACCCAGGATCCCCACATCACACTTACAACTACCAGGGATTCAGAGAACACTCCAAAGTTGCAGATAACACATCCTCCTATAACTTACCAGTTTGTATGTTGATATACTTTGTAGAAGGTGAAGTCTATGAAGGTGAAAAGGGGGTAATACGTAGTTTATTATTTTCCCAGTATCCACCACAGAATGCTCCGAGAGCTTTATCTTTCTTGCCCGTCACTGTGTTAAAACGGTGGCTGTGAGGGGGCACCCGGATTTGAACCGGGGACTTCTTGATCTGCAGTCAAATGCTCTACCCCTGAGCTATACCCCCTCTACCAAAAAAAGGAAGACTGCGTCTTAAATGTAGTGTTTTCTGATCAGACATTGCCTGCAGTGATTCAGAATAGTTTGGTGTCTATGATAAACTATTTAGAGTGATCTGGACCCAAGTAAAGTGGTGGGAGAGAAAAGAGAAGTCTAAGTCCTCTCTGATTCTGGCTTGAGGGTCTTGTACGGATGTGCAGTGGGATCCCTCTTTTCCATCACTATAGCGCCCCCTTTTTTTTCCACTACAGCCTTTTTTACCTCTGGCATCTGGGAATTCTCTTATTTTATTATTTATTTTTATTATTTTTTTGAGATGGAGTCTCGCTCTGTTGCCCAGGCTGCAGTGCAGTGGCGCCATCTTGGCTCACTGCAAGCTCCGCCTCCCGGGTTCACGCCATTCTCCTGCCTCAGCCTCCCGAGTAGCTGGGACTACAGGAACCCGCCACCACACCGGGCTAATTTTTATATTTTTAGTAGTGACGTGGGTTTCACCATGTTGGTCAGGCTGGTCTCGAACTCCTGACCTCAGGATCTGCCCACCTCCGCCTCCCAAAGTGTTGGGATTACAGCCGTGAGCCACCGCGTCCGGCTGCATTTGGGAATGCTTCAAGTCAATTTTTTAGCCTCTGTGCCTGCAACGTGAGCTGCAGTGAATCCTCAGCCCCGTGCTTTGCACACAAGAGGAAGTACTTCCCTTGTCCTTCCCAAGACCATCTCTGCTTCCGGGCCAGGTGTGTCTCCGTTGTCTCCATTTTCTCCAGCATCTTCAATCACTTCCTCTTCCCCTGGCTCCTTCAAACATCAACAGGTTTCCATTAGGAAAGTATTCTTCTTTTTTTTTTTTTTTTGAGACGGAGTTTCCCACTTGTTGCCCAGGCTGGAATGCAATGGCGTGATCTCGGCTCACCACAACCTCCGCCTCCCGGGTTCACGCGATTCTCCTGCCTCAGCCTCCCGAGTAGCTGGGATTACAGGCATGCGCCACCACCCCGGCTAATTTTGTATTTTTAGTAGAGACGAGGGTTCTCCCTGTTGGTCAGGCTGGTCTCGAACTCCCGACCTCAGGTGATCCGCGCGCGTCGGCCTCCCAAAGTGCTGGGATTACAGGCGTGAGCCACCTGGCCCGGCCAGAAAAGTCTTTTACCTGTGATTGCCTGTTCATTTTCTTCCTTCTCACTACCAATTTTTTACTTTTTTTTTGGTCTCGCTCTGTGGTCCAGGTTGGAGTGCACTGACACCATCTCGGCTCACTGCAACCTCCGCCTGTTGGGTTCAAGGGATTCTAGTGCCTCAGCCTCCTGAGTAGCTGGGATTACAGGTGCGCACCACCAGGCCCAGCTAATTTTTGTATTTTTTGTAGAGACGGGGTTTCACCATGTTGGCCAGGCTAGCCTTGAACTCCTAAATTCAAGTGATCCGCCCGCCTCTGCCTCCCAAAGTTCTGGGAGTAGAGGCGTGAGCCATCACACCCGGCCAAGATTGTGCATTTTTTGAGGGTAGGGATCATGTTGCATTATTTCTTGCATTTTCCAAAGTAGTCGGCGCAGTGCCTGGTTCATGGTAATCCCTGGTCGTAATCACCAAACTACAGCCTAGTTAAACTCACCGATGGGATTCCACCAAACCTGCACCCAAGCAGCTGAATGTTGCTGAAGAAAAAAGGTGCACAAGTTTGTGCCAATCAATGTAAAACATGCTTTCTGTCTAGCATTGCTTCACTATTGCCCAAATATGTTTACTTTTTCATGCTCCAAAATGACTATTTCACACAGTCTCTCCTTTCTTAAACCTTCCACACCTTCTTTCTCCTCTTGCTGTCAGATGAAGAGCTTGCCTCTTCCTTTTTTTTTTTTTTTTTTTTTTTTGAGAGGGTGTCTCCTCTGTCAGCCAGGCAGGAGTGCAGTGGTGCGGTCTCGGCTCACTGCAAGCTCTGCCCCCCAGGCTCATGCCATTCTCATGCCTCAGCTTCCTGAGTAGCTGGGACTACAGGCACCCGCCACCACGCCTGGCTAATTTTTTTGTATTTTTAGTAGAGACGGGGTTTCACCGTGTTCACCATGATGGTCTCGATCTCCTGACCTCGTGATCCGCCCACCTTGGCCTCCCAAAGTGCTGGGGTTACAGGCGTGAGCCCCCGCGCCAGGCTTCGAAACGCATACTCTTAAATATCAGTTAAGCACCTTAAATGAAACATGTTCATCCCAATACTGGAACATGATGTCTGTGAGGACATGGGGCTGTACTTTGTTACTTTCTTTTAAGAGTTTTAAAAATAAACTCATTTTTTTTCCCCTAAACTCGCCCCTTTCTCAGTGGGATTTTTCTCTTTTCTTTCTGTTTTTTTTCCCTCCAAGACTAAGTTTTGCTCCTCTTGCCCAGGCTGGAGTGCAGTGGTGTGATCTTGGCTCACTGCAACCTCTGCCTCCTGGGTTCAAGCAATTCTCCTGCCTCAGCCTCCGGAATAGCTGGGATTACAGGCACCCACAACCATGGCTGGCTAATTTTTTGTGTTTTTGGTAGAGACGTGGTTTCACCATGTTGGCCAGGCTGGTCTCGAACTCCTGACCCCAGGTGATCCACCCACCTTGGCCTCCCAAAGTGCTTGGATTACAGGCATGACCCATCGCGCCTGGCGTTTTTGTTTTTTTTTTTTTTTTTTTTTTTTTTAGATGGAGTCTCATTCTGTCACCCAGGGTGGAGTGCAGGGGTGCGATCTTGGCTCACTGCAACCTCCCACCCCTGGGTTCTATTGATTCTCCTGCTTCAGCCTCCCGAGTAGCTGGAATTACAGGTGTGTGCCACCACACCTGGGTAATTTTTGTGTTTTTTGTAGAGTGGGGTTTTGCCATGTTGAGAAGGCTGGTCTCGAACTCCTGACCTCAGGTGATCTGCCCACCTGGGCCTCCCAAAGTGCTGGAATTACAGGCGTGAGCCATTGTGCCTGGCCACCTGCATTCTTCTCTAGCTCGGCTGTTCTACTTGTTCCTACTTGTAATAGACTAAATAATGACGCTCCAAACATGTCTACATCCCAGTCTCCTTGTGAATCTATTTGTGACTATGTTACCTCTCATGATAAAAGCAACTTTACAGATATGATTAAATTAAATATCTTGAGATGTGAGGTTATCCTGGATTATCCAGGTGAGCTCAGTGTAATCCCACAGGTCCTTACAAGAGGGAGGCAGGAGGATCAGAGTCACAGAGAGAGGAGATGGTAACATGGAAGCATGGAAACCAAGGCTAGACGGAGACAGGATGATATGCTGCTGGCTTTGACAACTGGGGAAGAGGCAATGAGGCAGCAATGTAGCGGCCTCTATAGGCTGGGAAAGTCAAGGAAACGGATTCTCCCCTAAAGCCTACAGAAGGAATGCAGTCATACTAACATTTTAATTCTAGCCCTGTGGATTTTTTTTTTTTTTTTTTTTTAAGATGGAGTCTTACTCTGTCACCCAGGCTGGAGTGCAGTGGCACCATCTCGGCTCACTGCAACCTCCGCCTCCTAGGTTCAAGCGATTCTTCTGCCTCAATTTCCTGAGTAGCTGGGACTGCAGGCGTGAGCCACCATGCCTGGCTAATTTTTCTATTTTTGGTAGAGAAGGGATGTCACCATATTGGCCAGGCTGGTCTCGAACTCCTGACCTCGTGATCTGCCTGCCTTGGCCTCCCAAAGTGTTGGGATTACAGGCATGAGCCACCGAGCCCAGCCAGCCCAGTGAAATTGATTTTGGGATTCTGACCTCCAGAACTGTGAAGATAATAAATTTCTGTTGTTTTATGCAAATAGACTGTAATTTGTTATATCAGCAATATAAAACTAATAAAACACTGTAGTCTAAGACATCACCACCATCTCTGACCCGTATTATTACAATAGATTCCCAACTGGCTTCTCTCTCTCTCTTTTTTTCTTGAGACAGAGTCTTGCTCCGTCACCCTGGCTCACTGCAGCCTTGACCTCTTGGGCACAAGCAATCCTCCTGCCTCAGCCTCCCAAGTAGCTGGGACTACAGGTACACACCACCATACCTGGCTAATTTTTAAATTTTTTTTGTAGAGATGGGAATCTCACCATGTCGCCCAAACTGGTTTCAAACTCCTGGGCTCAAGTGATCCTCTTGCCCTGGCCTCCAAAAGTGCTGGGATTATGGGCATGAGACACCATGCCTGGCAGACCCTCTTAGATTTTCAACTATACAATACAGTATTGTTAATTGAAGGCAAAATGTTGTACAGCCGATTTCTAGAGTTTTTTCATCTTGCAGAACTGACATTTTAGACCTATTGATCAGCAACTCCCTCCAGCCCCTGGCAACAATCGTTCTACTCTCTGCTTCTGGGAGTCTGACTATGTTAGAAACCTCATATAAGTGGAATCATGCAGTATTTGGTCTTCTGTAACTGGCCTGCTTCACTTAGCATAATATCCTCAAGGTTCATCCACGTTATTGCATATTGCAGGATTTCTTTCTTACTTAGTTTTTTTTTTTTTTCTTTTTTGCAACGGAGTTTCGCTCTTGTTGAGAGCGAAACTTGTTGCCCAGGCTGGAGTGCAATGGCGTGTTCGTATTCTTTTTGGAGAGACCAAGGAAAAACTTTATCCAGTTTTGCAGGAGGTTGTTCTCTGACTTGCTAGCGGGGAGAGATGAGTGGGATTGTGGATAAAGAATTGAGCCTAGGCCGAGTGTGGTGGCTCACGCCTGTAATCCCAGCACTTTGGAAGGCCAAGGTGGGCAGATCACCTGAGATCGGGAGTTCAAGGCCAGCCTGTCCAACATGGAGAAACCCCGTCTCTACTAAAAATACAAAATTAGCCAGACGTGGTGGTGCATGCCTGTAATCCCAGCTACTCGGGAGGCTGAGGCAGGAGAATTGCTTGAACCTGGGGGGCACAGGTTGCGGTGAGCCGAGATCGCACTATTGCAATCCCGACTGATCAAGGAGAGCGAAATTCCGTCTCTGGGCAACATAGGGAGACGGCCTCCTTCACCCACCACCTGCCCCCATCTCCACAAAATGGAAAACAAACAAACAAACAAACAAAAATTGAACCAAGCAGGGGTGCGGTGGCTCATGCCTGTAATCCCAGCACTTCGGGAGGCCAAGGCGGGCAGATCATGAAGTCAGAAGTTCGAGACCAGCCTAGCCAACATGGTGGAACACTCATCTCTACTAAAAATACAAAAATTAGCTGGGCGCGGTGGCGGGCGCCTGTAATCCCAGCTACTCGGGAGGCTGAGGCAGGAGAATCGCTTGAATCCGGGAGGCCGAGATTGCGCCACTGCACTCACTCCAGCCTGGGTTACAGAGGAAGACTCCGTCTGGAGAAAAAAAAAAAAAAAGAACTGAACCTAGACAAAGCAGATTGGCACCTAAATTCACACGCTTTTCAAACTGCCACCACGTCTTGGCCTAGCCTTTTTTTTTTTTTTAGATGGAGTCTCGCTGTGTCGCCCAGGCTGGAGTACAGTGGCATGATCTCGGCTCACTGCAACCCCCGCCTCCTGGGTTCTGGGTTGCAGCAATTCTCCTGTCTTAGCCTCCTGAGTAGCTGGGACTACAGGCTCCCGCCACCGCTACCGGCTAATTTTTTGTATTTTTAGTAGAGACGGAGGTGGGGGGGGGGGGGGTGGGTTTCACCATCTTGGTCAGTCTGGTCTCGAACTCCTGACCTCGTGATCCGCCCGACGCGGCCTCCCAAAGTGCTGGGGATTACAGGCGTGAGCCACTGTGCCCGGCCTATCTTGGCCTAGTCTTTTAATTTCTCCTTCCTCATTGGTAATTTCAGTATAATCTAGCAAAGAGACACTAATTTTGAACGAATGGTGAAAGTATGAAAATTTTGGGATCAATCGATGTAAAAACAATTTACCAGAGAGCCACCGCCAGAGGGGGTATAGCTCAGTGGTAGAGCATTTGACTGCAGATCAAGAGGTCCCCGGTTCAAATCCGGGTGCCCCCTCGGGTTTCTTTAAGTTTTTTTCACAGCCATCCAGGAATAACCTGAGTCAGCGAGTTCTGAATGCAAAACTCACGGGAGGTGTCGTTTGTATCTTCCACCTACCTAATTTTCACCTTGAAAGGATTCCCGTACCCTAGAGGGAGAGAACAGCAACCAGAGGCTGCCTTTAGGTGGATCTGAGCCCTCATACCCCAAGTGGCGATAAGCGCACCAGTACTCTCAGTTGGAGAACAAAGGCGCGTATCGATTTCCATCTCCGATGCCCATTGGTTTAACGTTAATTATAATTTGTTTTGGGGTAAAAAATATGTCTTGGACGGGGCAGTAGTTCGTACTTGACTATGAAAACTAGGAGAAGTAATCCAAATTCAGAGGTTTTCATATACTCGCGAACTCGAACAGGACAGGGCACACAGATAGAAGGTAGACAGCGAGCAATTTTCCCCTCTTCCTTCTTGACTCAGCTCATAGGCAGGGCTTTGGCTTGATAAGCTATACATGGAAAGTTCAAGGCCTAAAGGAGAGGTAAAACTGGTTCCTCCTGGGTTTTGCACGGAACCGCAGCTCTGCTGATCTGTGATCTCTCTGTTCAGCCTAGAGATACAGCTCACAGTAATAGGAGCCAGGAGAAAAAAATGCGCGTTTCCCCGGGGTCCGAGGAATGACACAACCACATTCCGGGTTTAAAATATCGCAGCTGCCCTTTGACCCAGGCAGCACGCCTCTTCCTTTCTCCTTTATTTTTCCTTTTTTTGGGCAAAACCTAGTCGAGGGGGACGCCCTTGTCTCCCGTCACACTTACCATTTTCCTCCGGCCCAACAGTGACCCTGTCAGGCACGCAGCCAGCAGATACTTGTCCCCATCTTTAGGTTATGAAACTCCATGGCCTTTTATTCTTACTTCAGTGGTTCTTAAAATGTGGTCCCCACACCAGCAGCACCAGAGGCACCTGGAAACTTGGTAGAAATGCAAATTCTCGGGGCCCCCTTACAGAATCAGAAACTAGCAGTGTTTTAACAAGCCCTGCAGGTAATTCTGATGCACGTTCAAATTTGAGAAACACTGTGTTCGTTTATCTCAGTTTGCACTGGGTTATAACTTTACTTTTGTACATTAATAGTCAAGGATGAACACAGCACGTCCATGTCACCATTAATACAGAAAGTTGAAGTTGGAGAAGGGCTGTGTCTATGGGTTTCCCTCGCCTGACCCACCCTCCACCCCCAAAAGGAACGCCAAGTTGAGGCGTTCCCCTGTCTCCCTACCCCCATTGGAAACATCCTGTCCCTCAAACCCGGCACCTCGAACTGTCTGACCCATCTGAGGCTGGCGCCCGTGGCCGCAGAAATCCCTACACCTCTGGCGCGAGTAATGCGGTCGCGCAGCTTTTATACCCACCCCCTCCTCCCGCTGAGCACAAAGTAAAACCGAAAGATTTCTGCTAAGGTTGAAAAATGAGGAAGATACTTTTTCTTTTCTTTTTTTTTTTTTTTTTAGTCAGGACCCAATGTTAAAATGTGAGTCAAGAATGAAAAACAGATGGTTAACAAGGGGAAGGAAAAACCAAGCCATTGAGGGGGCACCCGGATTTGAACCAGGGACCTCTTGATCTGCAGTCAAATGCTCTACCACTGAGCTATACCCCCGCGCCTCTACAGCGCCTGGAGGCGGCTCCTTGGGTGCTAAGCATTGTTGCAGCTGCTACACTGTGAGTAGTGGTGTAACAGAAGGAGAAAGGAATGCTGGAGAAAAAGGGGTCAAGCTGAACGCAGACGGTGCCCGCATCCGGGGAACCCCGGGAAGGTGCACTGCAGGGGCTCGAGAGGGAAGCACTAGCCCGGGCCCGGCAGCGCGCAGGGTCCAAGAGGGAGGGACGGGTTCCGCCCCACAAATGTGGGAAAGGGTGTGGGCCGGAAGAGAGCTAAGAGGGGCAGGGTAGGGGGTCCCCGTTCGGTCCGCAGATTCATGCCGGGTAGAAAGTCCCCGAATGCGGTGAATCAGTTCCAGCGTTCAGGAGGATCCAACCCCACCCTCGACGGGCTTGAGGGGTTAGCCCGCCTCCCGCAGCCCGGGCGCCCCAGATGTGCAGCCTGCTCGCCTCTGCGCCGCCTCCGGCTGGGGAAGGGCCCTGGGCACCGGGCGCAGTCAGCCTGAGAGCGCTGAGGCGCCAGCACCGCGGGCCCCGCCGTCCCCCCAGGAACCCGCCCCCGCGCAGCCCCACGTCGCCCGGAGAGCGCGCCTCGCTGCGCGTGCCCTTGCCCGCGCCCGAGGCGCGTGCCCGCCCCAGTGCAGCCCCTCCTCCCCGCTGTGTTTATTAGGGGAAGGAGGGCGGAGGCGGAGGCCAGTTCCCCAGCTCCAGCCGCCGTCGCTGCTGCCTGTGTAGTTGCAGCCGCGGCCGCCTCCCGCCAGCTCGCCTCGGGGAACAGGACGCGCGTGAGCTCAGGCGTCCCCGCCCCAGCTTTTCTCGGAACCATGAACCCCAACTGCGCCCGGTGCGGCAAGATCGTGTATCCCACGGAGAAGGTGAACTGTCTGGATAAGGTGAGCCCGGGACCGGGAGACGCGTCTTTGCAATCCCCCGCAGTGCTCCGAATCCAGGGAGGAGAGAAGGGCCGGGTCTTTGCCGCCTTATCCCCGCGATCCCAGGAGAATGGAGGGAGGGCGAGCGGGCGGTGTCATGGGGTGTGGGGACACATCCCAGTCTGAAAACCAGGAGATCTGGGGCGAGGCGGGAAGTCCACGCGTAGCGGGCAGCCGCTGCTGGAGAGGGGTGGGCTCTGTGTCCCGGGGTTGGGAGGACGGGAGAGGAGCAGGGAAGTCAGGCGCCGGGGTGTGTTGGGGGAAGGTTAGGGGTGCAGTCCCGCCCCCTACGGCCTGGAGAGTGAGAAGAGACGGCCGCTCCCTCTCCGCTCTGCGCCGAGCGCCAAGTAGGCGGAAGCGCGGGGCGCTGGTGGAGGGGGCGGGGGGGCGGGGCAGAGGCTGGGGGGCCCTGCAAAACCGTCCGCTCCGGCGGGGGTGGCCTGGCTTCCTGGCCTGGCGGGGCGGGGGCTATCAGCCTGCGAGTGTGTGGCATCTGATGCGGGGGGTTTTGGGTAAGGACCCGGGCTCTGCCGCAAGAGCCCCGTTTTTGAACGACCTGCACCCCCTTGGATTCAGTCGTTAAAGGACTCGCAGACCTCCTCCACAGCTTCCCAACCCCCACCTCCAATTAAAAGCCAACTCCCGGTGCTGGGCCGTCCAGCCTGAGCCGGGTGGGGTTGGGTGGCAGAGTAGGGTGGGTGGAGGGTGCTTAGCTGAGATCTCCTGAAATTGTGCTCAGAGCCAGGAGACCGTGTGGAAGAACAAAGAGCTAACTTTTCAAAGCAGGTTTCTCCAATGGAGGGTGGGGTTGGCTGAGTTCTGGGGAAGCCGAGGAAAGGGGGAGGTATTGGGGGGAGGGGAGGGTGGCCTTGTGGAGATTCAGTGTCCCCTGGGGGCCCTGTCTCCCCAATGCTGGACTTGTTCATCTGGTTGCCATTAGACTTTTGGAGGGGGGTTGGAGAGTAGAACTGGGTGTTTCCCGTACAGTTTAGGGTAGGATCCTGTTCTCTTGTAAGCTCCGTAAGATCCTAAGGTAAAACCTGCCCCTCTGCATCCCCTCCCCAGTCTGGAGGGGAGGCCTCTGTGATTTTGTGCCCTTCCTCACCGCGTCTTTCATCCACCACCCAAAGCTGGCTCCAAGTCCAAGTATTCTGTCCTTTCCATCTGAACTGGGAGGGCTGGGAGGACTGGATGGAAGAGAGGTGCAAGGGTGGGAACACTAGATGAAAGAGGGGTATAGAGCCCTGGGGCCAAGTTCATTACTGACCTGGAGCCAGGTTTTGTTCAGGAGAGGATAGTTTATTGGACACCTTATCTCTCCCCTCCCCCTTGGTGTGTGAGCTTCCTCAGTGACCTTTGGCCTCTGAGTCAGCGTGAGGAGGTGGGGTTGGAGGTTCTGAAAGATATTTGAACTTGCTCTTGGGGAGTGTGGGCATATGGGGCCGCTGCTGTGTCACTGTTCCTCCTGGTCCTGGGCTTGACTGGGCAGGAGGAGAGGAGGGGGTATATTGTGGGCACGAGGAAAGTTGTTGATCTCCCCATGACCATGCCAGCCGCTGTTGGGCAGGACTTGAGCTTAGAGCTATCAGATAATGAAGTCTCCCCTTGAGAATGTACCTGTCCTTGCACACTGGGGTTTCGCCCGCCCCTCGTGGCAGAGATTTTGGCCTCTGCATCTTGAGTTCCCTGTGGTCCCCTTCTTCTCCACAGTCATGAATTGGGAAGAGGCAGTGGGCACTTGACCCGTATAAGGAAAAAGCAAAACATGAAGGCAGGATTGCCACTCCAGGAGTTGGGAAACTGGGTCCTTGTTCCAGGTCTGCTCCCACCAGTTTTATGAATGTCTCTAGGCCTCAGTATTCACCATCTGTCAGATGGGTATGATGATGTCATTTCCTTAAAGGTGGGGCAGTGCACTAAAGTCCCTGAGTGCTAAAGAGGGTGCTGTATAGACTATGCCCTCCCTACCTCTCTGGGATGCTCTGTTCAGCTCCACACCACTCCCCTTGGAAAGACCTTCAGTGCCGTGTACCCGAGGGGAGGGGAGCAGGGATGGGCAGGGTGCCCTCCCCAGTTCTCTTACCCTAGCTGGAAGAGGACGTTCAAGTGGGGGTTGCCCAGGGAAGTGGGAGTTGGTGATTCCTTCCTCTTTTTAGAACTCTCCCTATAGGAAGTGGCCCTGGAGAGACCTCGCCCCCTGTACTGAGCAGGAGACCTGAAATATCCAGGTATCAGACCTATTCCTCTCCACCTGCTCCAGGCAGTAAGGATAGGACCAGGAATGGGGAGCCAGTGCCTGGAGGATGCTGGGCTGTGACCAGGGAGGAGGGGAAACCTTCAGTCCCATAGGCAGCTTCAGTCCCATAGTTGCTAACCAACTTCCCAAGGCCTCCCATTTACAGCAAAAGAGTCAAATTAGACTCACCCGTTTCTCTACAATCCCCCATGGTACTCAGCCCACTACGTGGCCCAAAGCACAGGGTGTGTCCTTGGTTTCAGCCTTTTCTCCTCCCTGAGCCTTATCTCCCAAAGGCATAGGTGGGTAAAAACCTTGTCACCTCTGAAGGCCACCCTGCCCCCAACCTGCAGTACCCAGCATGCTTTGCAAGCTGGATAAATATGTATTGCTGATGACAGTGTTTGAGGAAGGAGGTCGAGATTTGCTTCTCCAGAGGACTTCTGGGATTAGAGCTGGGGGAGAAACAGGGTGACCTCATTTGCTCATTCAACAAATATTTATTGAGCACCTACTTTGTGCACCTGCTTTGTATCTAGGGAGCTGTGTTGTCAAGAACCTCGCCACGTCCCTCTTTCCTGGCTTGCTTCCCCAGGTTTCTGAAAACAGGTGGAGGTAGAGGATTGGTCTGCTGCCAGTTCCCCTGGAATCCCCTGTTAGGGTGGGCTCTCTGCCTCTGCTTGTCTCAGCGCTCCCTCCCCACTCGAGGGGGTTGAAGTCCTCACAGCTGTGGTGCCCCGTTTTGCTAGCTGAAGCTTAGAGTACCCCACCATCATCTTGTGACCATCCCTTCATAATAGCTACTAGTTATCACGATATGCTGGGCTCAGTCTTCACAGCAGCCTCACAAAGTAGGTGTATTCGCTCTTGTAAACGATGCACTCCATAAATGGAGGCTCAGGTAGCCCATGTGGCTCATCTCCCTCTCTTAGAGCTGAAATTCACATCCACAGTTCTTTCTGCTCAGCTCTTCTGCCAGTGTGTTTGCAGAAAGTACTTTTATTTATACATATTTATATTTTATTTACATCTCATTTGTGCCAAAAGTAGGTCCCATCCCTTCCTGACCCTATCTGGAGGAATGCTCTGGGCCTGGGGTCTTGTATGGGGGCGTGGGGCCACTGGGAATAATCCTGTCCTCCTCGGAATTTGTGGAGGTGCAGCAAAGATCTATGCCTTTAAGCCAGCGGGTCAGGTGGCCAACCAAGCTAGGCTGGTGCCCCGGCCAGGGTGGGGCTGGCATTGCCTCTGCAGGAGGGAGAAACTGTAACCCTGGGCAACAGGAAGGGAAGAGATGGTCTCATAATCCATCCCTGAGTCATGGCCACCCCAGGTAGCCTGGGTTCAGAGGCCAAGGTGCCAGGCTGCAGGCACAGTGACACGAAGCTTGCCACATCCCCCCCAACCCAGAGCCACAGAGGGACAGGCTGTCCCAAGTGAGGGGTATCCTTGCAGGCTTCTGCCCCTACCAGCCTGTTTACCTTTCTTTAGAGTGGGTTGCAGGTAGGCAAGGGAAGATCAAGATGACCCTGCCTTGGAGCCTCGGATCCAGGCTGAGAGGCCTCTAACAGGCAGCAGAGGTAGGGTCTGTCTGGTTTCTGTGAACAGGGAAGCCATGGACTTTGCAGGCAGCAGGAAGGGGCAGAGGTGCATGCCTCGAGGTGCAGTTTCCTTGAGTCCTGAGGCCCAGGAATGCTTCGCTGAAATCATCTTGCCTGGGGCCTTTAAAAGAGGGGGGCTCTTGCTCTGGGACAGAGCCCATGGGGCAGGGCAGAGGCAGACGGGGTCACTGTGGGGTCCTCTGGACATATTTCCCTGACAGTGTCCTTCCCCAGACCCCATTGAGACAAGGCAGGAGTTCTTTCATCTTAGGGTCCAGGCTTGGCTCACAGCGGTTGTGGAGGGACTGGCCATTTTCTGCCTCCCCTCCCCACAATTTTCCTACCCCAAAAAGGACACAGTGGAAGGAGCTGGTGGGTTTTCTTGAACCTTGGGGCCTTCCTCCAGAGAGGGTAGGGGAGTCGCCTGAAGCTGCTGGAGGTGCCAAGCATTAGGGGTGGAACGGCCTCCTCTCCTGACCTTCCAGCACTCTGGGAGACAGTGGCTGCAGCTCCACTTGACACTTGTGCTTCATAGTAACTGGTTTCCATGTTTCTGCTCAGAGCCCCCTGCAGGGGGACAGGCGACCACCCTCCTCTGCCCCACCCTTGGGTGTCTGGATGAGAGTGTGGGGCCTGTGAGGGAGGTGGGAAGGAGCTACTGATAGAAATAGGTGCCATCCCCTAGAAGAGGGGCTCTGCTTCCTCCGCGTGGCAGCCTGGAGGGGTCTTTGGAACCACTGGGTCCAGTGTTGGCCCTGTGCCCCCTGCCTGCTCAGTACACCCCACCCTCCTTCTCCAAGGGGCTTGGCTCCGGGTGCAGGCCTGGCCATCTGGAGTAGGGGTCTCTCTCCCTTTGTCTCCCCAACGTCAATCAGGAGGCAGCCTTGGAGGTCCGTGGTCCTAGGACAGTGTGTAGCCCTTCGTGTGTGTGTGTGTGTGTGTGTGTGTGTGTGTGAGAAAGTGGGTCATGGTCTGGATTCTGGAGAATGTTTTTCCTGGCAGGCCCCTGTGGGGGTAGGGGGAGGCAGGGGCCCAGGCAGGGGCCTAGGCAGGGGCCTGTGCAGCTAAGTAGGCAGAGGCCAGCAGACTGGGTGGTGACCAGGCTGGGGCACCCTGCCAATGCCTCCCAGTTACTCGGGGAGGGAGTGGGGCTGTCACTTCAGGGGCCTGTGGGGGCAGGGACCAGCCTGTCTTAGTGTCCCTGGTGGGTTCTGTGTGTTGGGGTATGCACCACTTCAGGGGCCTGTGGGGGCAGGGACCAGTCTGTCTTAGTGTCCCGGTGGGTTCTGTCTATTGGGTTATGCACCAGAAGGAGTCTTTAAGTTGCCTCATAGGAGTTTGGGGGCCCTGGGTCACTGGGATAGGCCCAGGTTGGGGAGGGGGCCAAGCTTAGACCCGCCACTTCTTTGCTTCCAGACTTCCGGCTGGCCGTCCTCCCCAAGAGTGGTTCTCCTAGCATTCTGTTTAATATTCCACCATTAGGTTTTTCCTTTGGGTCTTCTTGATAGGGAACCAGTACCCTATTAGAAGGTGATTTCCCCCTGAAATTACCCTGGGGGTCTCTGGTTGAAGTGGGCCATGGTAGGGAGGTTGAATCCCAGATTCTCAGCCTTCTTTCTGCTATCCCCTCCTCCCAGTGTCTCAGAAGCACCTCTCCCTCCGGGGGTTTGGAGACAACATTTTGAAAAGCATCGCCTTGGGGGAATTCCTTGACAAATGGCCAAGAACCAGCTCTGTGGCTGGGCTCCTTCAAAAGTCCCCCTGGGCCTGCCTCCTGGCCTCCTTCTTTTGGAATGGGGAATGTCTCCCTTGACTACTGGGAAATGGGGCAGGGACAGGCCAGCCAGGTCACTCAGGTGGCCTGGATTATTCTGGGGTCCTGGCAGTGGACCCCTGTTTGGTGGTGATCCAGCACATCATCCTGGGCTTCTGGGGGTGAATTTAGATCCTGTTGTCATGGGTTTGCCTAAGCATCAATACTTCTCAGGGGTTCCACAAAGACCCCTCCAGGCTGCCACGTGGAGCCTGTTAGATCGTTTCTCTTTTTTTTTTTTTTTTTTTTGAGACAGAGTCTTGCTCTGTCACCCAGGCTGGAGTGCAGTGGCACAATCTTGGCTCACTGCAACCTCCACCTCCTGGGTTTAAGTGATTCTTTTGCCTCAGCCTCCCAAGTAGCTGGAATTACAGGCATGCGCCACCATACCCGGCCTATTTATTTATTTATTTATTTATTTATTTATTTTTGAGATTAAGTCTCGCTCTATACCCCAGGCTGGAGTGCAGTGGCATGATCTCAGCTCACCGCAATCTCTGCCTCCTGGGTTCAAGCGATTCTCCTGCCTCAGCCTCCCGAGTAGCTGGGATTACAGGCACGCCGTCACTGCACCCGGCTAATTTTTTTGTATTTTTAGTAGATACGGGGTTTCACCATGTTGGCCAGGCTGGTCTTGAACTCCCAACCTCCAGTAATCCGCCTGCCACAGCCTCCCGAAGTGCTCGGATTATAGGCGTGAGCCACCGCTCCCGGCTAGATCTGTTCTCTTTCTGTCATCACTCTCTTCCCTCCGTCGGCCACCCTGGATGGGCCCTGTGTCCCACATTCTCTTTTTTTTTTTTGAGACGGAGTCTTGCTCTGTCACCCAGACTGGAGTGCAGTGGCCTGGGTTCACGCCATTCTCCTGCCTCAGCCTCCCAAGTAGCTGGGACTACAGGCACCCGCCACCACGCCTGGCTAATTTTTTTGTCTTTTTAGTAGAGATGGGGTTTCACCATGTTAGCCAGGATGGTCTCGATCTCTTGACCTCATGATCCGCCCGCCTCGGCCTCCCAAAGTGCGGGATTACAGGCGTGAGCCACCGTGCCCGGCCGTGTCCCACATTCTCACACGCATGAATGGATTGGAGCTGTGGTTGGCACAGTGAAGCCCCTCTGCACCCCAACACACACAATCTCCAGTGTGAGCCCTGACCCCCTCGGCTAAGGTTCACACCTGCTGTGCCCAGCACCTGACATCTGAGTGCTCAGAGGTGCCAAGTGCTGTGCTGAGGGCTTTGAAGGTGATTTCTCCTCAGTCCTGGACAATCCCAGGAGGGCCAGGTGTTATTACATCCATTGTACACACCAGGAAGTGGGCTCCTCTGAGGTGCAGGGCCCCGCCCAAGGCCATACAGTTAGTGGGGTAGAGCTTTGATGTCCACTATAGGGGTGTCCACCTTCAAGGCTTTGAAGTAGAGCCCTTCAGTGCCTCAGTGGGAGACCCGCTGCCGGGTGCTCTCCTGCCCTCCTCCTGGGGTGGGAGAGGATGAGGGAAGGGTAGAAAGGATGTGTTGTGTTGACAGAGCCTGGGACACCCAGCCCACTCCTCTGGCCAGGCATCCCACAGGAAGTGGGAGGTATCGGAGCTGTAGCACCACCTGGGGCTCATGTGGGGCTGGTGGGTGTGCTGGGCCCTGGTACAGGAGCTAGGAGCACCTGGGTTCTGGGCCTGGGTGTGTGGGGGCTGGGCCTTCCTCTTCTGAGGCCTTGGTGCCACCAGAGGAGCTGCTCCTTCATGTTCAGCGGCTGCTCCCTAGCAACCCAGCGCAGCTTTGCATAAGCAATGAGGCCTCGCCAGCTCTGGGCAGGAGGGGTTCCCTGGGGAGGGTGGAGCTGACTTGGGGGCTGCTGCCACTGCTATAACTGGGCTCTTCCCCCCTGTCCTTCATGCCTGCCTGTCTCTTCCTCCTGGGTTCAAATGGCCCATTGGTGGAGGATGAGGAAGGAGAGAGGGGAGGGGAGTGCCAAAGCCTGTGACCTGAAATGCCCCCAGCTCACCTGGGATGATTCCATGTTCTCCCCACAGCCATGGGCCTAGGACAGTCCCAGCAGCTCCTGAGTGCCCCTTCCTAGGGCCTGAGCCCCTTTTTCAGAAGTCCTGGTATCTGATGTATGTCCTCCTGTCTCCATCCCCAGTTCTGGCATAAAGCATGCTTCCATTGCGAGACCTGCAAGATGACACTGAACATGAAGAACTACAAGGGCTACGAGAAGAAGCCCTACTGCAACGCGTGAGTCCTGTTCTGGGCAGGGGGCTGGGTGGGCACCTTGGCTCCCTCCCCGAGTGAGTTCTTCCTTTCCTTCCAATAACCGCAAGGTGACATTGGCGAACACTTCCATCCCCTACTTGAACATCACAGTTTGTCCTCACAACAGCTGAATGAAGCAAGCACTTTTTATCCCCATTTAAAGTGCTTTTATCCCCCATTTAAAGTGCATTTAAAGTACAGATGAGGAAACTGGGGCTTAGGGAAGGGAAGAGACTCTCAAGGTGGGATGGCTAGGGCAAGACAGGCTCTAACCCAATTTCGGGCAGTAAGGCGAGCACGTTTCTTTCCACTGTCCCCTGCTACAAAAGAGGGGGCTTTCCTCGTGGTCTTTCAAGAATGAGTGACGTGTCTGTTGTATTTGGGGTTGAGGACTTTGTTCTGTTTACCTTCCCTTATTTCTCTCCTCAAAATCGACAGTTTCCTTCTCTCACCTGGGTACTTCTAGGCTTTGGGGGCTCCTTCCTCCAGTGGTTCCTTCAAGAAAACTCTCTGGAAGCCTCATGCCAGCCCTTTTGGTGTTCATTTTTTGAGAATGGGCAGGGGTGCATAAAGGGTGTTGCCTGGGCCAGATAGATCTCTTCCCTGCCTGGTGAGGGAGGCTGTGGAGACTGTTTCTTTTGAGTATAGTCATCTTGAGTATAGTGCAGCTCTGTTCCTTCTGCACTGGGACCTGCAGCAGCTGACGGTAGGGAGGGAGTATAGAGGTGGGGTCCCCCATCCCAGAGCCTGGAGGAATACCTCCCCTCCCATCCCATCCCATCCCATCCCATGCAATCCCAGAAAGTACAGCAATTTTCCATCTTCCAATTGACCTTGTGAGTAGCAAGTACAAACTCAGTGTTGGGGCCTCACAGCCGCCTCCACCTGCGAGGTGGAGGCTTTGGAAGGTCAAGTCACTTATAAGTAATGATGTAATGATAATTTCTTTTTCTTTTAATTTGCTTTTTTTTTTTTTTTTGAGTCAGAGGACTCATCACCCAGGTTGGAGTGCAGTGGCGCGATCTTGGCTCACTGCAACCTCCGCCTCTTGGATTCAAGCGATTCTTGTACCTAAGCCTCCTGAGTAGCTGGGATTACAGATGCATGCTACCATGCCCAGCTAATTTTTGTATTTTTTAGTAGAGACCGGGGTTTCACCGTGTTGGCCAGGCTGGTCTCGAACTCCTGACCTCAAGTGATGCACCGCCTCAGCCTCCCAAAGTGCTGGGATTACAGGTATAAGCCACCTCGCCCAGCCTTAATTCGATTTTTTTTTTAATTTTAACTTTTTTTTTTTTAACTTCAACCAACTCAAGTAATGGTAATTTCAGTGTTCACATGAATTTAGGATCTGACTTGAGTCCAGTTTTTTTTTTTTTTCTCTTAATTCTCAGTCAGGAGGCTCTTTGCAGCTGAAGTTCACCCAGGGAAAAAAAAATTTGGGACTTGTCTAAAAAGGGGGCTTAAACCTCCAGCCTTACCCCTAACCTTACCCCAAACCTTCCTTGCTTCCTTACCCCCTCCCGTTCCCTGGCTAAGACCACTCTTTCATCTTTTTAGGGGCTCGCTCATTCAGCAGACATTTATTGCCTGCCTGCTGCTATAATACATACTAACCTGCACCAGGTGCTGGGAAAACAGATTCCTGATAAAAATCTCAAGCCCAAGAAGCAACATGAAGTTGTCCCTTCTGGAAGAAGGAGGGCACTGGGCAGGTTATCTGGGTAAAGGAAGGGTTGCAGCTCTGTCCTGGCCCCTCCTTCAGCTGCCCCTTCTCTTCTATTAATTTCTACTGTTCCTCTTCCCCCTACCAACCCCTCCCACCCCCACAAGGGAAATGGGACATTCTTCGAATTCTTAAGGGCTCACACAAGCCCTGGTTCTCTGCCACTTCCTCCCTCCATTGGGTAGTGGGGTGGGGTTCAGAGAAGCCAGGGCAGTTAACCCCTCCGTTGCTGGACCACCTCAGGCTAGATTCTGAGCCTCCGCCCCAGCACGCAGAAGTCTGACCGAGCCTTGGAGCCCAGTGACTCAAGCAGCCTAGAATTCAGTGAGCACTGGGAGCTGGAGAAAAATCAGAGGCTTGTCCTTGTTTTCTCTGCGTTTTATCAGCCTCATCCAAAGTTCCAGCTTACTGTTTTTACTGTCTTCTTGGGAAGCTGCCACAAGGTTGGGTGGAGGGCTCCTGCAGGGACTGGGGGAGCCAGAAGAGGCAGATCAAGGTTTCTTCTCTGGGTGATGCTTCCAACTTGCAGAGGCAGAGGTTCCCCTGTCTCCCTCCTGGCCTCCAGCCAAAAGAAGCAGGTTGGCCTCTCCATGTTTCCTCCAGCTTTTGTAGCCCTAGCCTCTGCCATGCCTCATTGACCTTTGGCCCAGTTGGGATGTTTCCTGGGAAGGAGCCTAGTGAGAGAGACCTGGGGGCTTTGTGACCCAGCTGTGTTTCACTTTAGCTGTAGTAGCACCTCCTCGCCCAAGGCAGTCATTCTCCCTCCCCTGCATCCACTGGGCCAAGAAGTTACCCGTGGGGATTCTGGGATGAACCAGGTGTGGCGCCCGCTTGCAAGGAGTGCTCTCTGGACGTGTCTGAGCCTTGGTTTCCCCATGGTTAAAAATTCCTGCCCAGGAGGCCTGGCATAGTGGCTCACGCCTGTAATCCCAGCACTTTGGGAGGCTGAAGCAGGTGGATCACTTAAGGTCAGGAGTTCTATCAGCCTGGCCAACATGGTGAAACTCGTCTCTACTAAAAATACAAACATTAGCCAGATGTGGTGGTGGGCACCTATAATCCCAGCTACTCAGGAGGCTGAGGCAGGAGAATTGCTTGAACCTGGGAGGCCAGGGCTGCAGTGAGCCAAGATTGCCTCTGCACTTCAGTCTGAGCGACAGAGCGAGACTCCATCTCAAAACAAACAAACAAACAAACTAAAGATAAAAAAAAATTCCTGCCCAGGGATGTTGGACCCTAGACCAAAGAGGATTTATTGAGCTCTTGCTATGTGCCAGACGCTAGGCCGAGTGTTTGCTGTCATTCCCTCCTGCTTTCTTACTTTTTTTGTTTTTATTTTGCTTTGGTTTTTTGGAGACAAGGTCTCCAAAAAAACTTCGTCCTGCTCAGTCACCCAGGCTGGAGTGCAGTGGAGTGATCATGGCTCACTGCAGCCTCCACCTCCTGGGTTTAAGTGATCCTCCTGCCTCAGCCTCCCTAGTAGCTGGGACCACAGGCATGTGGCGCCATGCTAATTTTTAAGTTTTTTGTAGAGAGGAGGGCTTGTCATACTCTTGGCCTCAGGTGATCTACCTGCTTTAGCCCAGCCTCCTCGTGTTTTCTTCCTGCCTCTGGTCTTATCCTTGAGTGACATTCAGGTTCCTGAATCCTGGGTTTACCAGGGTACAGCTTTCTGCCATTTCTGTTCTGGTCTTGCTTTGTGGACCACAGGCCTGGCTTCCTTCTCTGAAGCATCACGTGCTCCATGCTGGGCCAAGCCCAGTGCAGGACCCGTAGGGGCACGTGGTTTCTTCTGGCACTTTGCCAGGGAGTTGGGCCCACCCAGTGAGTGTGTGAGTTTGGTGTGCAGGGAGGCCTCTATGTTCTGCCTGTCTCTGGCTAGTCTCTGAGGGGAGCTAGGATCTTGCAGGGGGCTGGTCAAGAAAGAAGAAAGCTATCTTTCCCTGTGGTTTCTCAAGATTCAGATTTAAGCTCTAGAAAGTGACTGTAAAGTAGGCAGTGAAAAGGCCTCTTCTGTTTCTGTCCTTGCATCAGACTTGTTTGGGGGAGAGGCAGGGGAGAGAACATAGGCCAGAGCTCACTGCCAGCCCACCTGGTGTGGCGGACCCCCACATGCGTGCAGTTACACACATGCCTGGTGTGTAGGCAGACACCCACGCCGGTGCTGGGGCGGGGGAGGAGGACTTGGGAGCTGGACTGAATGGGCTGTGTTTGTGTTTCCACCTTCAGGACTGCAGCCATGCAGCCAATGCTGTGGCAAGGTTGAGGGTGCACTCCCGGCTTCTGCACAATAGCCAGTGGTGGAGGAAGAACTGCTAATAGAATTCTTTTTGTTTGTTTTTTTTGAGACGGAGTCTCTGTCGCTCAGGCTGGAGTGCAGTGGTGCGATCTCCGCTCACTACAACCTCTGCCTCCCAGGTTCAAGCGATTCTCCTGCCTCAGCCTCCCAAGTAGCTGGGATTACAGGCACCTGCCACCATGCCCGGCTAATTTTTGTATTTTTAGTAGAGATGGGGTTTTTCCATGTTGGCCAGGCTGATCTGGAACTCTTGACCTCAGGTGATCCACTCGCCTCGGCCTCCCAAAGTGCTGGGATTATAGGCATGAGCCACTGCCCGGCCCGAATTCTTTCTTGAAGCTTCTGGGTGGGTGGAGTGAGCCTGCTCTTGGTGAGAGAGATATTTAAGAGAGATATTTATGCCCTCCATTACTTGTTTTGTAAACTGGATTTTCCAAAAGTGGGGCAGATCAGTCCACACGCCCAGGCTTAGCATAAACCTGCATCGTTGTCTCCCTGCAGATAGTCTAGAGTACTGCCTGTTCCCTCCTCTTTAGGGCCCTACTGACAGGAGGCAGGGTTGCCAGCCAGGGAAACCAGCTTGTGAGGTGTCAAGTGGGAGGTGGGCATGGGCTGGGGAAGGAAAATTGGGGGACTTGGTTGCACCTTTCCCCTCTTCTCTGACTGCACATATTTGGGGTTCATTCTCCAGTTTCCTTGAGCTGTGGGGTAAGGACTGAGGAGGGTAAAGATGTCCCTGATTCTGGGGAGCCAGGAACTATGTTTCTGCCCCTTCCCTTAGGCATCAGATGGGAGTAGGGTGTGGTCTGTGTCAGACAAGGCTGGGTGCTTAAGTGTCTCTGGATTCTAGCAAACTGTCTTTAATCCCAGCTGCTTTTAAAAGGTGGGGCAGGGTTGGGTGCAGTGGTTTATGCCTGTAATCCCAGCACTTTGGGAGACTGAGGAGGGTGGATCGCTTGAGGCCAGGAGTTCAAGACCAGCCTCATCTCTACAAAAAATGAAATAAATTAGCCGAGTGTGGTGGTGTGGGCCTGTGGTCCCAGTTACTTGGGAGGCTGAGGCAGGAGGATTACTTGAGTCTGGGAGGTTGAGGCTGTAGTGAGCCCTGATTGCACCACAGCACTCCAGCCTGGCAACAGAGGGACACTCTGTCTCTAAAAAATGTAAAAATGAAAATAAAAATAGGTGGAGCAGGAGTAGGCAAACCCCGCACTGGGGCCCAGGGCTTTCCCTCCTTCCCAAAATTGTCTGCCTCTAACTGGAAAAATGGGGACTAGGGATGACAGTGTGGGGGAGGGCAAGTGCAAATGGCCAGCCCAAGTAGCCAAATGTGGCCTCCAGGTAGCCCTCCCACCTCACTTACCCCCAAATCCCTGTCCTTCAGGCCTCCTGGAGCCTGAGGGATCACTTTGCTTCCTAACACCTACGTTTTACAGATGAGGAAACAGGCCCGCGTTTCCATGCCTTACTCAACTTGCAGAATTGTTTCTCTTCTATATTACCGACAGGGGCAGGCTTTTTTTTTTTTTTTTTTCTTTTCATTTTGTGTGCAATCTGATGGCTGGTAAGTTCTTCCTCAAGTCTAGCCTTGATCTTTTTGACTGCTCTTTTTTTTCCTCTGATTGAACAATGCCTCCTTGTTGCTTCCTATCGCCACCACTTCAGCCCCTTAGGCCTGAGGGGATGGACGGGTGAGAAACTGGGTTAGCAGG
Organism: Homo sapiens; assembly: GCF_000001405.40. Lineage (NCBI taxonomy): Eukaryota > Metazoa > Chordata > Mammalia > Primates > Hominidae > Homo > Homo sapiens. The sequence goes on from NC_000017.11 coordinate 38,883,936, forward strand.
GAGCCCTCCCTTCCCGCCTGTGGGCAGCCTTCCCAGTAGGGGCTTTTGGAATCCGCAGCTCTTTCTAGAGGCAGGATGTGGGGGCTGTTTTTTTTTTTTCCTTTTGGTAAAACCAAAAGCTCCTTGTTGCTTTTGTTGATGTCTTTTTGTTCCTCCTTGAACACAAAGCTGTGGTTTTTGAAGAGATCCAAGCCTGGAACGGGCGAGGCTCTGTGTAGAAAGGGCGCTGGGCTTTCGGGTTCGCTATCCTGTTCTTCTGACCCTGGAGTGTGGCTGATGGCAGGACTGGAGAGTGAGGCTGGTGGCTGACAAGCTGTCCCTGTCACCTGTGAGCCCGGAAACCTTGCCCCTGTAGTCCCACCAAGCAGGAAGGCCACCCAGAGGTCCTCACAGATAACCCCTCTCCTGGGACACAGGGCCTCTTCAGTATCATATCCTTTTTTTTTTTTTTTTTTAATTTTTATTTTTTGAGACAGAGTTTCGCTCTTGTTGCCCAGGCTGGAGTGCAATGGCGCAATCTTGGCTCACTGCAACCTCTGCCTCCTGGGTTCAAGCGGTTCTCCCGCCTCAGCCTCCCAAGTAGCGGGGATTACAGGAGGCCGCTACCATGCCTGGCTAATTTTTTTGTATTTTTAGTAGAGACGGTGTTTCACCATGTTGTCCAGGCTGGTGTCAAACTCCTGACCTCAAGTGATCCGCCCACCTCAGCCTCCTAAAGTGCTAGGATTACAGCGTGAGCCACCACGTCCGGCTTTTTTTTTTTTTTTTTTTTTGAGATGGGGTCTCTCTCTGTCTCCCAGGTGGAAGTGCAGAGGTGTGATCTCGGCTCACTACAACCTCCGCTTCCCGGGTTCAAGGGATTTTCCTGCCTCAGCCTCCTGGGTAGCTGGGACTACAGGCGTGTGTCACCACGCCCGGCTAATTTTTGTATTTTTAGTAGAGACAGGGTTTTGCCACGTTGGCCAGACTGGTCTTGAACTCCTGACCTCAGATGATCCGCCCGCTTCGGCCTCCCAAAGTGCTGGCATTTCGTGCCCGACCTGTATCATATACCTTTGAAAAGTTCAGAGGGATAGGCAGCTCCTAAGCAGGTGTGGCTGAGAGGCCCCAGAATATCTCTCATAATGGCCGAGCTTGGAAACGAGTTGGGTTTGAAGGATGAAGTGCTTTGTTTTGCACCCAACCTGCCAAGCACATCTTTCCCCAGAACTGAGTGCTGGAGGTGGCTGGGGTCCATCTGGCCTCCCCTTCGCTGTCTGGGCAGCTGTGGTGTAGAGGAGAATGCCTTGGGCAAGGTCTCTGTCCTTGACACTGGACCTCAGTTTCTTCATCTGTAAAACGGCACAATGAGAATGCCAGCCTAAAGCTGTGTGGTGGGTTTTGAGAGAGAATGTGCACAGGACTCAGTGTGCCAAGATGTTGCTTTGTGTCTCTGTAAATTGTCCTGAAGCCCGAGGCTGCTGCCAATAGCTGCCTGTTTGCCCTGCCCTATCCCTGTCCAGTCCCTGTTCCTGCCCCGCTTCTTCCTGTCCTACATGCCTCTCCCTGCAAACTCCCCAGAGCAGCTGATAGCAGGGAGGAAGGGTGGGTGGGGCACCTGCAGAGAGCCCACCACCCACTTGGAATGATTAACAAGGGGCCAGTACAGGCTGGCCTATGGGACAAAGGACAGCTGTGCTCTGGACTCTGCCCTGCACCCAGCTGATCACCTGTCCCTCATTCCTCGCCATGGCCCAGTCTGTCATGGGGTTGGGTTCCAGCGGAGTCACCAGCTGGGACGGGTGGCCCCTGGTCTGTCTTAGCACCCATGTTGGCATGCACACATTTCCAGCCATCCCTGCTGGGATCTAGGGGTAATGGATGGGATGGGCAGGAAGGGAAAAGGTAGAATTCCCAAAAATTGTTTCTGGAGGGAGGTCAAATCAGTTGGAGCTTTCTTTGAAGCCCGGCATGCTGGTGGGGGGAGGGGTGCAGCACTGATGTTCTCATGCCTTTGCTTCTAGAAACAAACCCGTGACACTTGTCCTCCTCACCTAAATTATCCAGAAAGATCCTATAGACACAGTCTCCTGACTTTGCCCTCATGGGCTTCTCCTTAGTTGAGGACCCCCTTGCTGTCTGTGCCTCTTCCTCAACCCCCGTAGACCTCTCTCTCTCTCTCACTCATTCTCTCTCACTCGCTCTCTCACTCTCACTCTCTCTCTCTCTCTCTCTGTCTCGCTCTCGCTCTCTCCTCACTCTCTCTCTCACTGTTGCTGCTCTCCTGCCTGGAGCTGAAGATGAGGTTGCCATGGAAACCTGAAGCGTAGTGAGCCGGGAGAGGGAAAGGCAGAGTCGTCTCGCCAGGGCTGGGGGCTGGGGACTGGGGACTGTGGGCTGTGGGGAGGGGACAGGGTTGACCCAGCAAGAGGAATATAGCCCAAGCTGTCTGCCTGCCTTCCTCTGCCTGGGGTTGGGCTTAGTGGGCAGGGGAAGGAGCTTGGAGGCTCTGGAGTGCCTCTTTAATCTAGTTAATCTGATGCAGGATTAAAATCCTCCCTCACTCCTGCCAAATTAAGCTGAGCTCACATCTGGGCTGGCTCACCCCCACTTCCCTTCTGATGGGATTAGCACTCCAGCTGTCGGGGGCTGAGACTAGGGGGAAGGGTGCTTCTGAAGAGGATGAAGTACCTGCCAACCCCACCCAAGGTGCCTGCTGCATGTTGGAGGGGCTCCCGAGACCGTCTGGTGGGTGTAGGGTGAGCAGAGGGACACAGTGTGGGGTGCAGGGGGTGTGTGGACATGGCCTCAATGCAGCTGCTGCCTGGGTGTCTTGGAGGCGCCCATCGGTGCAGAGGGCACATCTATATATTCATCGTGTGTGAGGCACAGTGCAGTGTGTGTAGGAACTTCAGACTGTGGAATGGGTGGGGCACGTCAGGTGCACCTGTCTGGCGGTCTTTGGGCACTGGAGCTGGCCTCTGTTTTATTTATTTATTTAATAAAAACAGGCTCTCGCTCTGTAGCTCAGGCTGGTCTCAAACTCCTGGCTCAAGAAATCTGCCCTCCTTGGCCTCCCAAACTGCTGGGATTACAGGCGTGAGCCACTGCACCCAGCCTGGCCTGTTTTAACCCTGTGCATTCTGGCCAATGAGAAACCCCAGGGTTTTGCAGACCGGGTCTGGAGGATGTGTTTGCCCTGCTTGCCTCTAGCCCTCCCCATCAAATGCTAACCAGCCTCATCTTCTCAGAATTGAGTCTTCGAGTGCTGGGCCAGAGCTGCCCGGAGGTCTCCTCTCCCCCACCCTGCTTTTGCCACATGTGCCTCTACTTCCATGTGCTTGCCTCACCACAGCCCCTGCCCATACAGTCTGCAGAATGGCTCTGATGTTGGGAGGAGGGTCGTCTCGTCTCTGAAGCGCTCCCTCTTAGGGCCTCAGGGCCTGCCAGCCCTGCTAGAGATCTTCCCTTTCTGGTCTCTAGGAACAGACTCGTGGTTGATCATCCCTTGGCCTGGAATTGTACAGGAACTTTGAAGGGAGCTCCTCAGCTGTGGGTGGCCCTGGCTGCACGGGGACGACCCCAGACTTGGCCACGTATTCATCACAGGCCACGTCTGTTGCCAGCTGCGGACACCTGTGTTTGCCTTTCCTCATCTTCCCTTCCTCTGCTGGAGGAACTGCGAGTCTGGGCTGACCTGGGTGGCCAGGACCCAGGTGAGGGCTGGGGGACGGGCACCGCTAGGATCATCTGGATCCGGGACAGTGAAACTGGCCCAAGGGAAAAAGGATTTGCCAAGGTCACCCAGTAAGTCAGTGGCAGGGCCAGAGCCCTGCACTGGGCCCTGTCAAGTTATGCTCCTTTGATTGAGGTCTCCAAATCCTGAGCCCTGCCCTTCACAAGTGGTGGCCTCAGGGGAAGTCGCCTGTTTACAGGTAGCTCTGATGCACGGCCATGTGGGCGGCAGGAGAACATGCCGAGCAGAGGGGCAGCTCGTTCTTAGCTCTCGAGTGTGTCAGTTTTGGGTGGAACGTGCCTAGGAAGAGGTCCCAGGAGGCCATCTATGGCTTACCTGGGTGCAGCCTGTGAGTCAGGGATCTGCAGGGGTCATAGCTGTGGTGGGCTGTGGTCACCCAGGGCTAAAAATGGCCTGACGGGCTCCGGCTTGGAGAAGCCACCCACCAGTCCCTGAAGTAATTGGGGCCCATGCAGACCCCCAGACATTTCTCATAGCAGCACATACACACAAACCACATGGCTCAGAGCTGCCTGTCTCTCCTGCAGCTGGTTTGCTAGGGGACCTTGTGATGAGAGAGGGATGGAGAAGGGCTGAGTTCTAGTCCTGCACCAGCTTCAATTCCTGGCGTGACTTTTTTTTTTTTTTGAGATAGAGTCTTGCTCTCGCCCAGACTAGAGTACAGTGGCGGATCTTGGCTCACTGCAAGCTCCACCTCCCAGGTTCAAGTGATTCTCCTGCCTCAGCCTCCTGAGTAGCTGGGATTACAGCTATGCGCCACGGTGCCCGGCTAATTTTTGTATTTTTAATAGAAACAGGATTTCGCCATGTTAGCCAGGCTGGTCTCGAACTCCTGGCCTCAAGTGATCCACCTGCTTTGGCCTCCCAAAGTGTTGGGATTATAGGCGTGAGCCACCATGCCCAGCCTGACATTTGTTTATTCAACAAATATTTACTGAGCATCGCCTACTATTCTAGGAACTTGAGATAAATCAATGAACAAAAGAGACCCCAAAATCCCTCCCTTCATAGAGAAGTAGTGGAGAGAGAAGACAATACATTGATGTGATAAATAAGTTAATTATGAAGACTGCTAAGGGAGAAGTGCCTGGTGCCAGCACACCGTTTCCTCCTCTGAAATGAGGGAGTTGGACCAGAGTCTTCTGGAGGTCTCTGCAGGCTCTGAGGGTTGCCGTGGCTTCGGCTGCCTCCAAGCCAGGCCCTCTTCCTGGGGACCAGGCTGTGCTGGGCCTGGAAATTGGCGGCTAAGTTCAGCATGAACTGAAGAAATCGTCTGGGCGCAAATCTGGATCCCTGTGTGTCTTGGCCATGTTGTTTAACCTCTCTGGCCTCAGTTCTCCCATCTGTCAAAGGGGTACGCTGAATACCAGTCACACAGGTGGCTGTGAGAATTCGGTGAACTAGGGCACATAAGCCCTTAGCACAGGGAGAACATTCACTGTTTGTTTTTTTTTGTTTTGTTTTGTTTTTTCTTTTTGAGACGTAGTCTGGCTCTGTCACATAGGCTGGAGTGCAATGGCAGGATCTTGGCTCAGTGCAACCTCTGCCTCCTGAGTTCAAGCGATTCTCCTGCCTCAGCCTCCTGAGTAGCTGGGACTATAGGCGCACGCCATCACACCCGGCTAATTTTTGTATTTTTAGTGGAGACCGGGGTTTCAGCATATTGACCAGGCTAGTCTTGAACTCCTGACCTCGTGATCTGCCCGCCTCGGCCTCCCAAAGTGCTGGGATTACAGGCATGAGCCACTGCGCCCGGCCTAATTCACTGTTGTTACTATAGATTGAGCAGCCCTAATCCAAAAATCCAGAGTCTGAAGAGCTCCAAGATGCAAAGCTTTGAGTGCCGACGTGATGCCACAAGGGAAAATTCCACACCTGGCCTCATGTGATAGGTCATAGGTCAAAAAGCAGTCAATAATTTTGTTTCATGCATAAAATTATTTAAAATATTGTATAAAATTACCTTCAGGCCATGTGTATGAGGTATATAGGAAATGGTCCCATCCCCAAGATGTCTCAGTATGGATATTCAAATATTCTAAAATCTGAGAAAAAATCCAAAATCTGAAACACGTCTGGTCCTGAGCATTTCCAATAAGGGATACTCAACCTGTATTTTACCTGTCACCCTCAGGTGACCTCCTTTTTTGTCCTCAAGCTGGCCTTCCCACCTACCCTCCAGTTAGGTTGGACCTTGTTAACCGTTTGAAATACCACTTTAACCGTGTGTTTTCTCTCTCACCACTTCCTCCAGGAAGTCCCCCTGGATATGTGTGTCCCTTTGTTTTTCTGTCTCCCCCTTGCTCTCCTCTGCATGGTCGGTCTCCACTTCTGGTCTTAGCTGAAAGCTTAGTCCTGACTCACCTGTGCCCATCTTCCCCCAGCCGGGCCCAGTTGCCTCGACCTCCATGTGTGGTAGGCACAAGGCATGGATTATCCCCAAACAAGGGTAACCTTCAACCCTCAGAGAGTGGCCCAGTGGCCATCCTTTCGCTCAGGACAGTTCTCCTTGGCTGGCCCATCACTGATGCCTGCTGCGTCTTCCCAGGTCAGCCAGTCCCAGCTGAGTCTGAGAAACGCTTGTCTCCCCTCGGCCTTGGTGGTGGACACTGAAGTCCTCCTGTGGGGCCGGGCCAGGGCGTGCCCAAGCATAGGACGAAGTTCCCAGGAGGGCATGCTCTGTGAGAAGCCCAGAGGCTCCTGCCCCTCCCCCAGAGTCACCCCCACTCTGTTTTTTCTGTCCTGCAGACACTACCCCAAGCAGTCCTTCACCATGGTGGCGGACACCCCGGAAAACCTTCGCCTCAAGCAACAGAGTGAGCTCCAGAGTCAGGTGAGGGGCTGGGCGGTGCTGGGGCCTGGCAGGGAGGGATGCTGGGGAGGGAAGTTGTAAGGTCGGCATTTGGCAAGAGTACCTTCCCCTGCGGTTACTCTGCAAGGCCAAGGTGCTGAAATCCTAGCATTGCCTTTAATCTTGACCCCACCCCTGACTTTATCAAAGGAGCAGGGTAGAGCGTTCTCCCACTTCCTACCTAGAGGGGGTTGGAGAGGTGTGGGTGTCTATTTGAGCCCGCTCTGGGGCTCCCTAAAGCCTACCTCCTCCAGGAAGCCACTCTCCCCTCCCTCTTCCCCATTCACACTCACCCACAAAGGAGGGGTTTGGGGAGGACCAGGGAATTTGCCCCTCCAGGTCATGCCAGTCTGAGGCTGGGCAACCAACCCTCTATAGCCGCGTCCCAAACCTCCACCCACTGAAGGGCAAGGTGTGAAGGGGGCCCTGCCATGGGGGCACAGGATAGGGGGCTGTTCCGCCTCTGTCTCCTTTGGCTTGACTTTCCAGAACACTGCTGAGTGGGAGGTATGTGCCCCTGTAGGAGGGGAGGACGGGTTCCAGGCCTAGGGAGAACTTGGTCTTTAGGGGACACGGAGGAATAAGCAAAGGGTCTGGAGTCCTGAGAACAGAACAGCTGACCCACCCTGCCTGGGGGTGCGAGGGCTCCTGGGACAAACCTGGCCAGTGATGAGGTGGGGTGGGGTGGGGCGGGGCTTCAGCCGATGAAGGATTAGGCGCGAGAATACATGTAGGGGAATTTACCACGTGGGCAGCGCGCCCAGGACCCACTCAGGATCGGGAGAAGACTGCAGAGGTTCCACCCGGGCCACAGAGGGGATCTCTCCCAGTTCCTCCAGAGGGGACTCCTGCTGCCTGATCTTGATGTGACTGCCCGGGTCCATCAGGGAGAACCGACCCTGCCTTTTGTCAGGCTTTCCATGCACCCTCTCTCAGCATCCTCCCAGCAGCCCTGTGAGGAAGGTGCTATCTTCCCCATTGTTACAGATGAGGCGACTGAGGCCCAGCGACTTTGAGGGACTAGCTGAGGTCCTGCGGGTAGGAGAGGCAATAATAATATTCACAGCTGACGATGGAGGGCTCAGTGCTCCCGGCGTGTGAGCTCGTTTAATCCTCACCCAGCCCTGTGCAGCTGTAGCATCACTTCACTTCAGAGAAGAGGAAATAGACACTGGCAGCTTTGAATGTAGGTTTGTCTAACCCAGGGACTATCCACTCCCCAAGAAACAGTCTCTACCTTAATAATAAACATGATAGTTCCTTATGCTGTTGAGAAGTTTTGTAGTTTAGGGCTGGGAGCCATGGCTCACGCCTGTAATCCCTGTGCTCTGGGAGGCCAAGGTAAGAGGATCACTTGAGCCCAGGAGTTCGAGACCAGCTGGGGCAACATAGCAATACCTGGTCCCTAAAAAAAAAAACGAGCAGAGATGGTGGTGTGCACCTGTGGTCGTAGCTACTTGGGAGTTTGAGGCGGGAGTATCACTTGAGCTGAGGAGTTGGAGGCTGCAGTGAGCCATGATCGCACCACTACACTCCAGCCTGGGTGATGGGGTGAGACCCTGTCTCTAAAAAAAGGAAAAGCAAGAAATTGTGTAGTTCAGCAAGTGCCTTTAGTTAGTTCCCCTGTTTATCCTTGACTGGGTTCTGGGAGAAGGTAAAAGACCCAGCGTCTCTGTCTTACAGATAGGGGAACCGAGTGAGTGAATGCGGATCCAGGATTTGGGCCCTGGTCTTGTCACTCCCAAGTCTGGGGCCCTTGATGCTGCACAGCCCTGGTAGGGCCTGAGGCTCACAGAGGAAGAGAGCAGCAGCTCACACCTGCCACCCACCCACCTGCGGCACAGAAGCTGAAGTTACTAGGAAGCAGGGAACACCACAGCCTGCCTGGCCATATTTTACAGATTCTAGCCAGGCCCTGACTCCTGCCTTCAATTCCCTGCCCTGTGGAAGGGCCATGGGGGCCAGAGGTGGAGGGGCTCAGAAGGACCTCGGAGAAGAGGTGCTGGGAGCAGATAGCAGGTCTTTGGAGACACACACACACACACACACACACACACACACACACACACCCTTCTCAGGGGAGAAATTCAAACCCCTCAGCCTTTGTCAGTTCCACAAAAGCGTGGCTGCAGCTCTTTTTGCCCCGGCACCCTATCCCCGAGGGGTGGGGTTTGAGGAGGAAGCACCTCCACGTTGTTCCCCCTGCCCAGGATGGGCAGCAAGTGGGCAGGGCATGCTGTTGGCAGGGGCTGCTTCTGCCCCCCACAGGGGAAGCCAGCACCACGCTCTGGGTTTGGGGGCTCCTGTCCCTGGCCTGTGCCCCCTGCTTCCCAGGGTCATAGCCTGCTGGGTTCCCGGGGGGGCCTCTTGGGAGATGAAAATGGCGGTCACTCTTCATTAGGGCCTCACTGAGGGCCAGAGCGTGTCCGTGTGTGTATGTGTGTGTGTGTGCGTGTGCACGCATGCACGCGTGTATGTGTGTGTGTGTGTGTGCAAGCATGCACGCATGTATGCGTGTATGCCTGACTTTGTTTAATCCTTACAGCCACCTGATGAAAGAGGGGCTCTTATTATCCCCATCATACAGATAGGGAAACTGAGGTTTACAGAGGCTGCCCTGCTTGTGCAGAGCCCAGGGACAGGGGCAGACATCAAGTCCCATGACCTGGCCCTGGAGCCCGTTGCTCTGAACAGTGCTGATGGCACAGGCACCGAGCCCTGTGCTCCCACCCTGCAGGATGCACCAGTCAGCAGCAAGTAGGATGGGCTTGTTGGAATGCAGATTCCTAGGCCCCACCCAAGGGACTTCTGCTTGGCAGCTCTGGGTGAGGCCCAAGAATCTGCATTTTGACTCCCCCGTGATTCTGATAAGGACTTTTGGCCCCACTTTAAGAAGCTTAGAGATGGGTCCATGGGCAGGAGTGTACCGACCCTGTTTGTATGCTCTGAGGGGTGCCACATTAGGGTAGGGCTTTGCACTAAGGGCACGGCTCTGTTCCCCTGAGGTGGGGGTCCTCGGGGGTTGGGGGCTGAGGGCAGGATAGGCAGGGGAGGAAAGGGTACTGCCCTTTTTGCAGGCCTGTTCTGTCTCCCTTCCCACCGCCCACCAGCTGTGTGGTCTGAGACTGGCCTCAGACTGTCTTTCCTCTCATAGCTTTGCTTCCTCACCAGTAAAATGAGGACAGCAAACCCAGTTGCCTCAAGCTGGGGGCTGGGCCTGATGCTTTGAGGCTTGGAAGGGCTGAGCCGGCCAGGCTGGAGCAGTGACGGGTTCTGGTTCCTGTGGCTGCCGTGGGGGCAGAGCTGGAGAGAGCTGCCTGCGGCTAGCAGGAAGGGAAGGGGGAGCCTCTTCTGCTCACCCAGCTTCACCCCACGGGGTCAGCTGGCTTCTCTCCATGCCCCTTCTGGGCCTGCCTTGCCCTTCCCTGTCTCTGGGAAGCTGCCCAGGCTATTTCAGCTTTATTTATTTTCCCATCTCTATATTGGTCTCCAAAATGGCACTTTGGGTGTCTGGGACACCTGGAGCCTCCCCTGTGGAGGAGGTAACCACAGAACTGTCCAGAAATGACCCTCTCGGTGGTCCTGCCCAGGCCTGGCTGAGGCAGGGGGCTGGCAGCTGGACCCCCAGCCCCCCTTCTCACTTGCTGCTCCTATCCCACCCCCAGGCTGAGCAGAGGCAGTGGCTTTGGGGTGGGACTGAGCTGGAGGTGTCTGTATGGCCCTGAGCCCAGGCAGAAGTGCCAAGTGCCAGTAGACTGTTCTTCCATTTTTTCCTTCATCAACTCACCTTGATGGGGTCATGGGAAATTACAGGGGGGTTTCTATCCTCCTCGGATCTTGTAAGCAGCACGGGTGGTAGAGTATCACTCTTACCCGAACTAGCTGGCCTGAGATTGAATCTCGCATCTGCTGCCACCAGCTGTGTGACCTTGGGCAAGTTGCTTAACCTCTGTGCACAGTGCCTTCGTCTGAATAATGTGGATTACCTCTCTCCAGAGGGTGGTGTGAGATAGGAGGATATGTTAAGCATTTAAAGATTCCTGACGTGGAGTCAGCATTCAGTGTTTGCTACTACTGTTCTCCCGGAAAGGAGAGGAAATGGAACTTGGACATGAAGAAGCTGGGAAATACACACAGCAACCTTTTGACCATGACTTCCAGCCCCGGCCCTTTCCATCAGCTCTCCTCTCCATCTGTGTGTGTCTAATTTTTTTTTTAAATTTGTATTTTTTTGAGACAGGGTCTCTCTCTGTCTCCCAGGCTGGAATGCAGTGGCGTGATCTTGGCTCATTGCAGCCTTGACTTCCCAGACTCAAGCGATTTTCTCGCCTCCACCTCCTGAATAGCTGGGACTACAGGCGTGCATCACCATGCCCGGCTAATTTTTGTATTTTTAGTAGAGACAGGGTTTCGTCATGTTGCCCAGGCTTGTTTCAAACTCCTGACCTCAAGTGATCTGCCCACCTCAGCCTCCCAAAGTGCTGGGATTACAGGTGTCAGCCACCGCGCCCTGCCTAAATTTTAAAAACTAGTGTTTCTTTTTTGTTAGAAGGGGATGGGTTACAAAGTATGTTGGCCCAACACATGGTAGGCACATAATAGTGGAAATTGTATTTCGCTCAATAAATTTTGTATTTTTTTAGAGATTTTTATTAATTTTTTTTTTTTTTAAATAGAGATGGGGTACTATGTTCCCAGGCTGGTCTCGAACTCCTGGGCTCGAGTGATCCACCTGTCTTGGCCTCCTAGACTGCTGGGATTACAGACATGAGCCATTTTGTTTTTTAAGTCCAGCCTAATTTTTGTGTTTTTTTTTTAGACGGAGTTTTACTCTGTCGCCCAGCCTGGAGTACAGTGTCACCATCTCAGCTCACTGCAACCTCCGGCTCCCAGGTTCAAGGAATTCTCCTGCCTCAGCCTCCCAAGTAGCTGGGATTACGCCCACCACGCCCGGCTAACTTTTTTTGTATTTTTTTTAGTAGAGATGGGGTTTCAGCATGTTAGGCTGGTCATGAACTCCTGACCTCAGGTGATCCACCCACCTCTGCCTCCCAAAGTGGTGGGATTACAGGCGTGAGCCACCGTGCCTGGCATAATTTTTGTTTTTAAGTAATGATCCTTCTTCTTATATTGGGTCATCAAGGCAGTTGTTTTCCCAATTATGCTGCTTTGTTTGGAGATTACGTGTCTGCATTCAATTCATTCATGATCCAACAAATGTTGATCTGCACCTCCTGTCTGCTGGGATGAGAAGCAAGATAGATCCAGGGAGAACAACTAAGAACTGACAGAAAAATTAGAGTTTCACGGATGGTGGTTGTTTGGGTGTCAGGAGCCTCAGATGTCAGTCAGTCCTGGGCCTGACAGCAGAGTTTCCAAAATGGGAGCCCAGGTATCTCCCAGGAGTGGGGTCCTCTGGGAGCCCAGGCATCTCCCAGAAGTGGGGTCCTCTGACCGAAGCGCTGAGTTGCATCCTGGCCTGAGCGACAACTGGGTTGTGACCTTGGGCAGGTCCCTTCCTCCACAGGGACCCCCACAGCACCCTGGTGAGCCATCCTAGACAACAGGGGCAAGCACTCCTGCCAGGGCAAGAAGGGAGCCCTGAAGAGGGGCTCTGGGCTGGGCCCTCCCTACACCCCTGGCCCCCCACCCTTCACTTCTGCCACCCCTTCCATACCCAAAGACCTTTCAAAGAGCCTCCCTGTCTTGATTATCCATAGTCAGGGTCTGAAGGTGCTTTAAAATGGTCACAGACTCCAAATGGGAGGGATTTTAGAGATCAGCTAGCCAGCTCCCTTCAGGGGACCCAGAGAGGGGAACTGACTTGCTTAGAAACACACAGCAAGGTGGTGCTGATCCCAGGCTCCCTCCCTTCTCAGCCCCTACCCCTCACCCCTACCCTCTGTGGGCCTCCTATGTTAGCAGTGAAATGAATGATCCTTCCCCAACAGGGAGGGGGAGGCAGAAGCAGTTCCCGATCCTGGGAACCTGCTGATGTCATTGCAGCGTCGCCATGGCGATTATTCCCCTGGATTAGGGGCCTGACCCTTGCAAAGCCAGGAAGCAGGGGACGGAGTGGGGGACTGGCACTCGTTCAGCACTTCATTGCTGACAGAGCACTTTCACACTGGCCCTCCACAGTGCGCTGCTGCTTTAGAGCCACTGTCTGTATCGTGGGTTGGAGTGACTGGCGTTATGGTCCCCATTTTACAGATGTGGGAACTGAGTCTTGAGATGTGAAGTCGTTGGCCCAAGATCACTCAGAAGTGGGAGACTGAGCCTGCGTTAGTGCTAGCTCCGCCTGGCTTTGTGCCCAGACTTGGTGATAAGAAGCCCCCTCCCCATATTATACCTGATTTCTGTCACAACTCTTTTACAGATGAAGAAACCGAGGCCAGGGGCTTGAGATGCAGGGCTTCTGTATCTGGAGCTACATTTCTCTGCCTCTGAGTGCCCTACCTTCCCCGATGCCCGCTTCCCAAAGGGCCTCCCACTAAGAGTCACCGTGCTGGCCCAGGGCTTCCAGGACTGAGGAAGAGCTGGTGCTAGGCAGGTTCTGGACTCTTGGGGTGGGTTGGTGCCTCTATCCACTGCATTCACTTCTGAACTAATGGGGAACAGCACATCCAAGCCCTTCTTGTCTGGATCAGAACAGAGAAGGAGAGGGAACCACATGGATGAGTGACTGGGGGCTTCAGGAGACAAACAAGGACTCTGACCCCCACAGGCATGTGCAGAGGACCTGACAGGTGTGGCCGTGGCTGCATGCGCATGCGCAGTCGCTCCAGTCCAAGCACAGCTCGGTGCTGCTGCCAGATGATTCCCTGCCAGGGAACTGCCTGGGTTTGTGTCCTGGGCTGACCTGTGTCCAGGACAGTGCAGCCCCCGTGGAGGAAATCCAAGCAGCTGGTGGGGTCTGGAACAGATGGCTGATGAGGTGGACAGTGAAGTCTCTGGAAGCCAAGGAATAGTTTCCTGTTCCATGAGTTTTCTCAGCCTCATTCTGTTCTTCAAAACCCTCAGGGGAGGACAAGCTGTTCCTCATATTTCAATTCCTTTCGTGCCAGGGAAGTCCTTTCTGATGTCTGACTTGAGTCCCTCTAGTACTGTGGTGGGGTGGAAGGGTTCTTCCCTGGAGCTTGGAGACCTGCTGAGATGCTGTCTGACCCCCGCTGCTTTCCTCCCCTCCTATGGCGGTGGCCTCTGAAGCCATCCCGGCAGGCTCCCAGAATCCGCGGGGCCTGTCAAAGGCGCACTGATGGAGCCTTCCCTGGGGCTGTCTCACCACCCTCCTTTCTGGGCACCAACTCTGTCCTTTGGCACAGCCCTCACTCAGCTGGTTGCTGAAAAGCTCCCCCAGGCGTAGTGGGCAGGGCCACATCCTGGCTAACATGAGGGCTGGGGCCACCCTGGGAGCCCTGGAAAGAACCTTTTTCCTATAAGCTTCCAGACAGGATGGGCAGGGAGTGAAGGGTCAAGAGTCAGGCAGATGAGGGTTTGCACTCTGGTAGTGCCGGACATTGACTGCTAAGCTCTGTGACCTTGGGCAGGGGACTTTGCCTTTCTGTGGCTCCGTTTCCTGATCCGTAAATTGGAGCTGTTAATTGCGTGGCTATATGTATGGTGGGATCTAAATGAGATGGTTCATGTAAGGCCCTGGACTCTGTGCCTGCCATTCACTGTGCACCAAAGACTTGGTAGTGGCTTATTATTACGAGTCTAACACCTTTTGGCTGAGGCCTCTGCTTTGAGTTGGGGACTTCTGATCAGGGTCTTTCTGCTGACTCCCTGTCCCTGTCTCCTGACTGGTTGCTGCCTCAGAGGGGCCCCAAGCCGAGGCCCTTTCGGCTCCTGGCCTGACTCCAATCCCTCTTCCTCCCCTCCTGCAGGTGCGCTACAAGGAGGAGTTTGAGAAGAACAAGGGCAAAGGTTTCAGCGTAGTGGCAGACACGCCCGAGCTCCAGAGAATCAAGAAGACCCAGGACCAGATCAGTAACGTGAGCTCTTGCCCTGCCCTGCGGCATCCCTGCTGCCCTCTGTTTGGTCCCCTTCCTGCCAGCCTGGCAGACGCAAGCCTGGCAGATGTGAATGAGGCCAGTGCCTCCACTACCCCTGCCCTCCAGGGTGGGCCTGGGGAAGAGCTTGGGGTTCCCAGATGCCTCTTCTCTGTGTACCCCCAGACCACCAGCACGCATAGCATTTTCTTCTTGAAGGGACTGTATTCTGTGGGGGCCTGTGTGCTAAATCAGCCCCCACTCTCTCTGACTGTTGTTCTTTTTTCTGGATATCGTGGGTATCGGTGAAGACTGCATGTCTCATCTTAGCACAAAGGTCAAAACTGGGGGGCGGGGAGCACCTGGCCTCCCCTGGTCTGCGCCTGGGTGCTGACATTGCAGTCATTTCCGCCCTTCCTTGGCCTCCTCCCCCACATCAGCCTGCTCTTCCTTCCTGTGTAAAAACCCCAGCCAGCTTCACCCGCCAGCCCTGCACCCCCTGGCTCACACCCCCCGCCTCCCTGATGGTCAGTGGCATCTGGCTGTGGCAGGGGTGGGCATGGAGAGTGGGCAGGGGATCAACTGTCCCCAGCATCGTGTGCCCTCCATGGCACCTGTGGCCAGAGAACAGGCCTCAGTTTCCTGCTTGGCAGAGCCACAGGCAAGCAGCCTGTGTGGCTTTAGGCATGCGGGGGCAGGGCACTGCGGTGAGCAGCAACCATGGGGGATGCGCACACAGAACTGCAGGGGCTGCCCAGCCAGCCTGGCCTAGGAGGTCCTGCCAGGGAGGGTTTAGGCAGGCAGCTGTCTTCGTGTCTGGAACAGGAAGGGATCAGTGAGCTGCCCATTGTTGCTCTGGGCTGAGGAACTGGGGATAGAGATTGCCGGGGGAGCCTGGCTTTCCGGTGGTCTCAGCACCCACTCCCTGGGCTCCACATCCCTTCCTACCCTCCACCTGGCCACCTCAGCAGGGCGCTCCTTTAAGAGCTTGGCTGGGCCGTGCATAGAGTGGGCTGCAGTGGTGGGTCAGGTGGATTTCAGAAGCACAGGCAGCCCACAGACAGCAGAACCAGCCATGCCCAAAATGGTGGCTTTCAAACTCTGACTTCAGCCTACAGTAAAATATACATTGTACGTCTTGACCCATCTGACAGGCATACATTTATGTAGAGGGAAAACAGAATGGAAGCTTTCATGAATGAGTACTTCCTACTTAGAGGGCGTTCAGATCTTTTTTTTTTTTTTTGAGACAGAGTCTCACTCTGTTGCTCAGGCTGGAGTGCAGTGGTGCTCCGCCTCCAGGGTTCAAGTGATTCTCCTGCCTTAGCCTCCCAAGTGGAGTAGCTGGGATTACAGGTGCACACCACCACCCCCGGCCAATTTTTGTATTTTTGGTAGAGACAGGGTTTCACCATGTTGGCCAGGCTGGTCTTGAACACCTGACCTCAGGTGATGTGCCCGCCTTGGCCTCCCAAAGTGCTAAGATTACAGGTGTGAGCCACCGCACCCGGCCACATTCAGATCTTTTCTAAAGATGCTGGTTGCAGGCCCCTATACACCCTCACATAATACAGCCCCTTTGAGGACTGTATTCCCAACACTTTGGGAGACTGAGGTGGGAGGATTGCTTGAGCCCAGGAGTTTGAGACTAGCCTGGGCAACATAGCAAAACTGTTTCTACAAAAAAAAAAAAAAAAAAAAAAAAATACAAAAACTAGCCAGGCATGATAGCACACGCCTGTGGTCCTAGCTATTCAGGAGGCTGAAGTGGGAGGATCACCTGAGCCCAGAGGTTTGAGGTTATAGTGAGCCGTAATTGCACCACTGCATTCCAGCCTGGGAAACCGAGTGAGACCCTGTTTCCAAAAAAAAAAAGGACCAGGCGCGGTGGCTCATGCCTGTAATCCCAGCACTTTGAGAGGCTGAGGTGGGCGGATCATGAGGTCAAGAGATCGAGACCATCCTGGCCAACATGGTGAAACCCCATCTCTACTAAAAATACAAAAATTAGCTGGGCGTGGTGGCGTGTGCCTGTAATCCCAGCTACTTGGGAGGCTGAGACAGAAGAACCGCTTGAACTCGGGAGGCAGAGGTTGCAGTGAGTCGAGATCGGGCCACTGCACTCCAGCCTGGCGACAGAGCAAGACTCCATCTCAAAAAAAAACCAAAAAGATGCTGGTTGCAGACTTACTGTGAATGGGTTTTGCAACTGGACTGTTGACCTGCAGTTTGAAGTTGGTGGCCTGAGGAAATGGCATGCTTCCCTTTGGCTAGCAGGGGATGCCTAGGGCGGGCACTCTAATCCTCCTTCCCCTCCAACTTCCAGAGGCCTGTCACAGTTGACTCTTTATATGCTAGGGCCTGGCCTCACGCCCTGGAGCTTCCCTTTGGCTCAGACCCTGCAAAGGGTAAGACCCTTAGGTCTGTGTTTCAGAGCTCTCGGCTTGGAAAGTGGGGGAGGGGGAAGATGGTCTTAGATTATGGGGAAAACCCGGAATGGTTCACAGAACTGGAATGTCGGCTCTTCAGCCTCTGCGGCTTTTCATGTAGAGGCTCTAGTCTTTTATCAGTGACACTTGCTCCCAATGTGCAACCCCAGCTCCCTGGCTGTTCACTCATTGCTTCACCCTGTGGGTTTTGGAGGAGGGGAGACAAGCCCAGTCATCCCTGCTTCCCTTTCTGGAAGGCTTCCAGAACACTCCACACTCAGCCTAAGCCACCTCCTCTTCTTCCCTCCCCCAGTTAGAGGTGTTAATATCCTAGTGACAAAACTCACCACCCTGGCCAAGCCATCCGCATCTCAGGAGATAACCATCTTTTACCCTTCTCGCGGTGCTGCAGTGAGCTAATGGTCCTCTGCAGGAGCTGGGGGAAGGGATCGACCCCGACCTGCTAGCTGCTTTTGCAGCTTTAGCAGAGACCTGTAGGGTGTGAATGCAAAGCCTGGAGACTCTTGGTTTTAATGAAAGCAATTACAGTCTGTCGGATATGGGCCTCCAGACAGCTGTAGCACAGTCACCTGTAGGGTTGACTGAAAATGCAGACTCACAGGCCTTCTCCCCTGGCTGCCAGAATCAGCGTCTCTGGGAGTGGGGCCCAGGAATCAGCATGTTAGACACATTCCCTGGGTTTCTGTGGTGCTCTCTGAAGTTTGAGAGCCACCACCTAAAAGTCTGAAAAAGCTTCACCAACCCCTAAGTCAGAGGGTGCCAGATCAGGCTGTACCTCAGAACCCCAGGGGAGCTTTATTTTTATTTTTATTTTTTTGAGACGGAGCCTTGGTTTATCACCCAGGCTGGAGTGCAGTGGCGCAATCTCGGCTCACTGCAACCTCCGCCTCCCGGGTTCACGCCATTCTGCTGCCTCAGCCTCGTGAGTAGCTGGGACTACAGGCGCCCGCCACCACGCCCGGCTAATAGTTTTTGTATTTTTAGTAGAGATGGGGTTTCGCCGTGTTAGCCAGGATGATCTTGATCTCCTGACCTTGTGATCCACCCGCCTCGGCCTCCCAAAGTGCTGGGATTACAGGCGTGAGACACCGAGCCCAGCCTATTTTTATTTTTGAGACAGGGTTTCGCTCCGTCATCCGGGCTGGAGTGCGGTGGTGTGTTCACGGCTCAGTGCAGCCTGAATCTTCTGGGATCAAGCCATTCTCCCACCTCAGACTCCGAGTAGCTGGGACCACAGGTGTGCACCACCATGCCCAGCTAATTTTTCTTTTTTTTGCAGAGACACTATCTTGCTATGTTGCCCAGGCTGGTCTCAAACTCCTGGATTCAAGTTATCCTCCCGCCTCAGCCTCCTAAAGTGCTGGGATTATAGGGGTGAGCCACCTCACCTGGCCTCCCAGGGGAGCTTTTTTTTTTTTTTTTTTTTTTTAATCAGAGACAGGGTCTCACTATGTTGTCTTAAACTCCTGGACTTAAGTGATCCGCCCACCTCGGCCTCCCAAAGTTCTGGGACTACTACAGGCATGAGCCACTGCGCCTGGGAGCTTTAAACCACACATAAAACCATTGCTAAGTTGTCCCAACCTCCTGAAGTGTTTTGGAAAATAGGGTGTTTAGAGCCACACCTTTTGTTTTGTATCCAAAATAGCATTCCTGTTCCTGTATGTAGCTTGTTGCTTTGCTTCCCAGATTAGCACCAAATGACTCCAGTTACTTTATTTATTTATTTTTAATTTTAGTTTTATTTTATTTTTGAGATAGAGTCTCGCTCTGTCGCCCAGGCTGGAGTGCAGTGGCGTGATCTTGGCTCACTGCAACCTCTGCCTCCCGGGTTGAAGCGATTCTTCTGCCTCAGCCTTCTGAGTAGCTAGGACTATAGGCACATGCCACCACGCCTGGCTAATTTTTGTATTTTTAGTAGACACAGGGTTTTGCCATATTGGCTCGGCTGGTCTCGAACTCCTGACCTCAGGTGATCCACCTGCCTTGGCCTCCCAAGGTGCTGGGATTACAGGTGTGAGCCACTGTGCCCAGCTGACTCCAGTTATTTCTAAAGGTCAGGCCATCTTACAAAAGAATGAGGATATGCTTCCTTGGAGGGATATGCTGCAGACTAGGGCTTTTTACCAGCCAGAGCATTTTAAAAACAAGTGTCTGATCTCCTCTGGGGTGTCTGCTTTGGATAAGTGCAGTCTGTCTTCAGTCTTGCTAAGTGGTGAGACAGTGAGGTAGGAAGAGATGGTAAGGGCCCAGATCCTAGCTTCTGTCATTCTGGGGCCAGGCAGGGCTCTTTGAGCCTCAGTTTCCTCATTTGTAAAAATGGGACAGTAGGCCCTACTTTGACAGGTGGTTGCAAGGAACATGCCAAGTGCTTGGCATGGGATAAATGATATCACTCTTATTATCATCATTATTATTTTTGAGACAAGATTGCCCAGGCTGGAGTACAGTGGCACGATCATAGGTCACTGCAGCCTCGAACTCTTGGGCACAAGTGGTCCTCTCCCGTCAACCTCCTGAGTAGCTGGTACTACAGGCATATAGCACCATGCCCAGCTAATTGTTATTTTTTTTGTAGAGAGAGGGTCTTGCTATGCTGCCCAGGCTGGAGTGTAGTCACGTGATCACAGCTCACTGCAGCCTTGAACTCCTGGGTTTAAGTGAACCCTGGCCTAAGACTCCCAGGTTGCTGGGATTACAGGCACACGCCATCACACCCAGTTATGTTGTCAATGTTATCAATACTTTAAAGGCACACTTGTCTGCTTTCTACACTGTTGCCGGAGAAGGGTCATAAAGTGAAGTTTGGCAGAAAAGTTTGGCCATTGTCTAGTACTGAGAATGTGTGGAAGTGAGGAAAGGGGCCAGTATATTACACATCTATGGTGAGTAGTTGTGTCATCATTAAAGGCATTTGAAGAGTTGCCTTTTGATGGGTCCATGCTATGGGATAAAGGTTACATGTTAGGAATCCTGGCCTTTTGTCATGAGCTCTAGCAGTGTTCAAGTATGGAAAACTTTAGTCACTTTACTGGAGCCTCTTCTTTTATTTACTTACATATTGATTTTCTGTATACAATTTTGTGTCCTTAAAACTTTTTTTATGTGTGAAATATGACACATAGTAACATATACAATAAACACCTGTTTCACCAGGCAGGTATACCATACATTGTATTACTGTATGCCTGTCAAGAGCCCAGTGTTCACAGTGTTAAAAATATAACTCCCATGTAGTAAGTACTTATCATATCTTTATTTAATTATGAGGGAACCAGCTAGAGATTAAAACTGGGGAATATGAGAGGCAGAGGTAAATGCTAGTCTGTGAAAGAAAGTGCTGGGGCCGGGCGAGGTGGCTCATATCTGTAACCCCAGCACTTTGGGAGGCCGAAGCGGGCAGATCACCTGAGGTCTGGAGTTCAAGACCAGCCTGGCCAGCATGGTGAAACCCTGTCTCTACTAAAAATACAAAAATTAGCCAGGTGTGGTGGTGCACACCTGTAGTCCCAGTTACTTGGGAAGCTGAGGCAGGACAATTGCTTGAACCCGGGAAGTGGAGGTTGCAGTGAGCTGAGACTACACCACTGCACTCCAGCCTGGGCAACAGAGCAAGACTCCGTCTCAAAAATAAAAAAAAAAAAAGGAAAAAAGAGAGTACTGGATACATTTAGCTACAGAAATGGTTAAGGGCCTACCATTAGTTACACATTGGCTATTGTCCTACAGGAAAATAAAACCATAAACTTTGAAGATATCTTTGCTGCAGGCAGAAATGCTTTGCATCTCAGTTGGCCAGAAATAATGAGCATTTTATACTCTGTAATGAGCTTCAGTCTTTAGAGTCTGGGCCTAATCAATAGTAAATAGTCAAACAAAGTTTTGTCCCCAGAGTAAAATACTCTGAAGGCAGGTTTGTTGGACAATCCTCTAGTTTGATTTTGAAAGCATGTATTTTTCATTATAATTTTAGTATGTAATTATGTATTCTTAAACACTATAGTTTTGCTTTTCCTGATTTTGAACACAGAGTAATTTTGTGTATCTTGCTTCTCTTACACACCATTGGGTTTAAAGATTCATCCATATGTTTGTGTGTAGCGGTAGTACATCCTTTTTCATTGCTATATAGTATTCCATTGTTTGTTTATACCACATTTTATTGATTCTGTTGCTGGTGGACATTTGTACTGTTTCCAGTTGCTATGGACATTTTTGTACATATCTCCTGAGGTCTATGTACATTGGAACTGCTGCATCTTAGAATGTGTGCTCCTTGGGCCGGGCCGTGGTGGTTCACACCTGTAATCCCAGCACTTTGGGAGACCGAAGTGGGTGGATCATGAGGTCAAGAGATCAAGACCATCCTGGCTAACACAGTGAAACCCCGTCTCAACTAAAAATACAAAAAATTAGCCGGGTGTGGTGGCGCACTCGGTGGCGCAATCCCAGCTGCTCTGGAGGCTGAGGCAGGAGAATCACTGAACCTGGGAGGCAGAGGATGCAGTGAGTTGAGATCGCACCACTGCATTCCAGCCTGGGCGACAGAGTGAGACTCCATCTCAAAAAAAAAAAAAAAAAAAAGTGTGCTCCTTCAACTTTACGAGATAATGCGGAACTATTTTCCAAGTGGCTGCACTGATTTACCCTCCCACCAGCAGAGATGAGTTTCATTTGCTCCATGTGCTCAGATATGTTCACTTTAGCATTTTGATCGTGTAGAGTGTGATAGCCGATGGTTTTAGATTGCATTTCTGTGATTACTAATGAAGTTGAGTACAGACTTTTGTTTGTTTTAAAAATAAAATACTGGGGCATGGTGGGCTCACGCCTGTATCCTAACAGTTTGG
The DNA here is from genome assembly GCF_000001405.40 of Homo sapiens. Classification (NCBI taxonomy): domain Eukaryota; kingdom Metazoa; phylum Chordata; class Mammalia; order Primates; family Hominidae; genus Homo; species Homo sapiens. The sequence continues at coordinate 38,905,817 of NC_000017.11, forward strand.
GAGGCTGTGGTGGGAGGATTGCTTGAGGCCAGGAGTTTAAGACTTGCCTGGGCAACATAGCAAGATACCATCTCTACAAAAAAAAGAAAGAAAATTAGCCGTGCATGGTGGCATCCACCTGTAGTCCCAGCTACTCGAGCGGCTGAGGTGGTAAGATTGCTTGAGCCCAGGAGTTTGAGGCTGCAGTGAGCCATGATCACGCCACCGCACTCCAGCCTTGGTGACAGAGCGAGACCCTGTCTCTAAAAAATAAATAAATAAAATATTGTGAGTCTCTGATGGGGAGCAGTATTGCATGGTGGTTGAGAACTGAGGCTCTGATGTTAGAACTGGATTCTGACTTAACCCACTGTTTGCCCACATCTTGAGCCTTGGTTTCCCTATCTGTAAAATGGCAGTATTCTCGGGCTGGCTGAGGAAAGGAAATGAGGCCAGGCGCGGTGGCTCAGGCCTGTAATCCCAGCACTTTGGCAGGCTGAGGCAGGTGGATGATTTGAGGCCAGGAGTTTGAGATCAGCCTGACCAACATGGCAAACCCCCGCGTCCACTAAAAATAGAAAAAAATAGCTGGGCATGGTGGTGCACCCCTGTAGTCTCAGCTACTTGGGAGACAGAAGCAGGAGAATTGGTTGAACTTGGAAGGTGGAGGTTGCAGTGAGCTGAGATCGCACCACTGCACTCCATCCTGGGCGACAGAGCAAGACTGTCTCAAAATAAATAAATAAATAAATAAATAAAGTTAAAAAAGAAAAGGAAATGAGTAATGCATGTAAGGGCACCCAAAAAAAGACCCTAGCTGGTGAGCTGATGATTCCACCCAGAGCCTGCTGTTCCCTCGTTCACTGTGATGTATAATCATGTGAGGAGCACCGTATGGAGAGTCAGACTTTTATTTTCCACCACAGTTGGGAGAGCAGGGGGGTCAGAAAACAGAACATCAGCTAGCAGAGCTTTGTCATGGACCCTAACTTGTCATCCTGGAGTCCCAGCTAGTAGGGTCCTGGCTGAGTCGGGAGGGTCCTTAGGCCTGGACCCCTGAACCCACATGTACTTGGACCTCATGGGCACAGGTAGAGTGTGGCCTGTGTCCACAGAGGCCCAGGACAGCTTCCAGGCTGGGGGCTGTGCTGACATGTCTGGGCTTAGGGCGCTCCTCACTCAGGGCTCTCTGAAGGCCAGAACTTTGCAGAGCTTGGAGCAGGGATGAGCCAGGCCCTTGGAAGCTGGGAAATGTTTCCTTGCCTTCTGAATGTGCTAACATCCCCCTCATGTGCCTATTTGCTTAACAAACCAGTAGGTGGGTCAGGAAAGTAATAACACAATTTCCTCATTTGCTGGCGAGGGGAAGGAGAGGAAGCTGAGGGTTTGGAAATTTTATCCAAGTGGGCCCAGGCTGGAAGGAGCTGAGCCTCACTTTTTCTCAGCCCATTTAGCCGCTCTGTGCCGCCTGTCCTGAGTTGCATGCCTGGTGTCCCTCTCTCTCGAGTTAGGGTGACTTTCTGATTATCATTCTTGTTGAGAGTGAAAAGGGGTGCATTGAAATTTATCCCTGAGCAGCAGACATGAACTGGGACTTGGGCGTGTGGTCACCCTGCTCCACACCTGTTCTCAGGAAAGGGCCTGTCTAGCTGTGATTTTGTCCTTGTGTCACCAGCCTTGGCTGTTACTGAGCAATGAAAGCTCTGCCTCGGGAAGTCATTTAATTTCTGAGCCTCATGTTCCTCTTCTGGAAGATGGGAATGAAAGTGTGCGTGTCCGGCCCATTTTTTAGGGCAATGATTGTCAGGGTATGAAGAGCTTGGTCAAGCTGTGTGAAGAGCTGTACAGCTGCAGAGGTTGTTAACATTGATAGAGCCACCCAGGAAGGGTGTCCTGGGTTCAGGCAGCTACTCCTCCAGCCGTCGGGTCAGCCAGCCGTAACTTTAGATACACTTATCCATGTGTAATGACTTTTTAAGAAGCAAGATCAGTTTCCCCAGCCCTTTATGGGAATACCCATGTGTCCATACTTGCTTTCAGCTTAGAGTTTGCTCAGGTTCCTAGAGCTGGTCAGGGTTTGCAGGACCGCCTGGGAGCAGATGGTACCATGGCCTTATTTACAGATGAGGAAACTGAGACCCAGAGGGGAAAGTGACTCCCAAGGTCATGTAGGTAAGCATACGGCTCCCCTAAGGATGAGGCATTGGTCTGGTGACAGTGCAGCCCATCATAAGGGACTGAGCCTGTGGGGTCCAGACCTGCTCTCCTCCCAGAGGAAAAGGCTCCCTGTCACCCCATCGCTAATGCAGATAGCGTCATGTCCAGGGAAGCTGTCACACATTCATCTGGGCCCCCAACATCAAGGACACCTGTCCCTGCAGGCCCCCTGCTGGCACCTTCGGGGCCCAGGGCAGGCCCCTGTCCATTCCGTGTCTGCACTTCCCTCCCTGGTCACAGGTTCTCAGGGGCAGGCTCTTTTCCTTAGCAGAAAGGAAACAAGGGAAGCTGACCTTTCCCACCTCAGAACAAAAGTTGGAAGGGCAGGTGCCTCGTGAGCCTGGAGGCCTCAGGAGGGGTGTCCCCTTCCCTTGTGCCCTCCCCGCCACCAACACCAGTGGACAGGGATCACTAAGAGAGTGGGGCTCGGGAGACTCACCTTCTGCGCTGGGTCTGTGAGAACATCACCTGGAGTGCCCCTCCCAGCGGATGCTGGGGTCGGTTGGATTTTCAGCCTGGCCAGGGTTGGCTGCCTCACCTCAGGAACAGGCTTAGCCTGTGCTGCCACGTGGGTGCCGGTCCTTGCTCTGGCCTGAAGGGAGGGGGCCGGGAAAGGAGGGACTGATCCTGACCCAAACCCCTAAGTAAACTGCCCTCTGCGTCCAGACTGGACTCCCCCCAGACTCTGTCCAGGCCCTTACCACTGCCCTCCCTGTGCCCCCAGCCCGGGCTGCAGGAACTATTGGCTGTTCAGCCAGCAGGAGCAGCAACCATGCAGGTGTTTCCAGCTGTTAACGTGTAAGCCCTGCCTGGCCACGTGCTTGCTCTTGCCTTTTGTGCACAGCCAGTGCCAAGGGGGAGAGGAGGCAGCAGAGACGTTGTGCGGAGGGGATGCCCAAAGGGGACTGCCCAGGCTGGGACAGCCCTGATGGGGCAGGGGCGTTCCAGGAAACAGCAGGTTTTGCCTCTCCTCCTCTTCCCACCCCACTACTCCCACCCCATTTTCCCGGATCAGGAAAAGGCAGGCCAGCATTCTAGGGAACAGGAAGTGAAGTTGGCTTCCAGCTAGGTGCCTGCCAGGGCCTGGAGGAAATTCCTGCAGGCCTGAGCCCGTCTGGGAAGGACCAGTTTCTCTCCTTGTCCTGGTGTCCTGCTTTCTGAGTTTCCCCTGAGGGTGGGGGAGAGCTGTCACTCTCTTCACTCTATGTCCCGCTTCCTCCCCCATCCTCATGGAGCACTCAAACCCTGAACCCTCACACCTTTCTATGGTTGTACCCGTCCCCACCAGTTTCCTCTCTGGAAAGTGAAGAGGAGGCTGGGCACGGTGGCTCACGGCTGTAATCCCAGCACTTTGGGAGGCCGAGGTGGGCAGATCACAAGGTCAAGAAGTTCAAGACCAGCCTGGCCAACATGGTAAAAGCCTGTCTCTACTAAAAATACAAAAATTAGCCGGGCGTGGTGGCAGTTGCCTATAATCCCAGCTACTCAGGAGGCTGAGGCAGGAGCATCACTTGAACCCGGGAGGCAGAGGGTGCAGTAAGCCGAGACTGTGTCACTGCACTCCAGCCTGGGCGACAGAGCGAGACTCCATCTCAAAAAAAAAAAAGAAAGAAAAGTGAAGAGGATAGAGCCCACTAGGGGTCATCAAGGTGTGGGACAGGCAGCATGTTCCTACAGGAAGAAAACTCTAACTCCTGGTTCTGGTTCTTTTTCATCTCATTCATTCATTCATTCATTCATTCATTCATTTGTTTTGAGATGGACTCACTCTGTCTCCCAGGCTGGAGTACAGTGGCTCGATCTCAGCTCACTGCAATCTCCGTCTCCTGGGTTCAAGTGATTCTCATGACTCGGCTTCCCAAGTAGCTGGGATTACAGGTGCCCACCACCATGCCTGATTAAGTTTTGTATTTTCAGTAGAGACAGGGTTTCACTGTGTTGGCCAGGCTAGTCTTGAACTCCTGACTTCAAGCAATCTGCCAACCTCGACCTCCCAAAGTGCTGGGATTAAAGGTGTGAGCCACCGCACCTGGCCATCTCATACTTTCACAATTCATTCTTTGGTGCAAGTTTTACAATATACATTCTATATTTGTCAAGTGATAACTTCCATGTAACTTATAAAATACACATAATTCAGGAAGATTGTGCTAAAATACATTTAACCAATAGGAGTATGCCGTCAGAATATTTTGGCAAACAAGGGTCACTAAGTTTTTTCTGTAAAGGGCCAGGTAGGAGGTATCTCAGGCTTTGTGGCCATATGGCCTCTGTGGCAGCAGCTCAGTTCTGCAGTTCTGCCATGAAAGCAGCCACAGATAAGAGGTAATTGAGTGGGTGTGGCTGTGTTCCAATAAAACTTTATTTCTGGAGGCTGAAATTTGAATTTCAGAGAAATTTCATGTGTCATGAAATATTATTCCTCTTTTGGTTCTTCTTCCCCCCCTCCACCGCCCCCTGCCAAGCATTAAAGAATGTGGAACCCGTTCTTAGCAGCCGGCTGTGGGCTGGATTTGGTCCATGGACCATAGATTCCCAGCTTCTGCTCTAGACCACCCGTTCTCAGACTTGAAGCCTGCTTCAGACTTACCTGGAGAGCTTTTTTCCAAAATGCATATTCCAGAACCCCAGCCCTGATTTTGTAGATTTTCTGGAAGGCCCCAGAACCCGCATTCTAACAAGGAGCCCAGTTGAGTCAGACACAGGTAGTCTGGAGTCCACTTTTTTTTAAACAGAGTCTCAGTCTGTTGCCCAGGATGCAGTGCAATGGCGTGATCTTGGCTCACTGCGACCTCCGCCTCCAAGGTTCAAGCAATTCTCGTGCCTCAGCCTTCCGAGTAGCTGGGATCACAGGTGCCTGCCATCATGCCCAGCTAATTTTTGTATTTTCAGTAGAGACGGCATTTCACCATGTTGGCCAGGCTGGTCTCAAACTCCTGACCTCAGGTGATCCACCAGCCTCAGCCTCCCAAAGTGCTGGGATTACAGGCGTGAGTCACCGCGCCCGGCCAGGAGACCACATGTTAAGAAGCAAAGCTCAAGGGTCTCCAGGATCCTGGTCTGTTCTCTTCAGCCAGTCCTGAGGCCTGGGGTGTGCAGTGCTGTGGGAGACCCCTGCATCAGAATAACTGGCTCCTTCACTACCTTCCAGGAGCTTCCATCCAGTGGGGGTGGGGGACACCACCCGCCAACAGCACAGCCCAGTCCCAGGTGCTATGGAAGCCCTGGGTTCAGCCTGGAGCCAGGGCCAGCGTCCCGAGGATGAGGTGCCGAGATGGACCTTGAAGGATGAGAGAAGCCTGGACTGCCCTTGAGTGGCGAGGGTGGGCTGCCTCCAGGTTGACCTTAATCCCTTCCCTCCCTACCACCATGTGTCCAGATGACCTTGGGCAGGTCCCTTAGCCTCTCTGGATATCGGGATATGACATTGACTACCTCAGAGACTTGTGGGGAGGATTCGGCGAGCTGATATGCATGAAGTGTATCAACTAGGGCTGCTGGCTGGTATCTCCTTCCCTTGTCTTCCCCCACCACCCCAGCCAGGGGACAGGGTGCTGCTGAGGGAGTGGGCTGGGAGAGTCACTTCTGGCCTTGTCTTAGGGATCTGAGAACAGGGCATGGGCCCCGTGTCTGGGAGTGCCCTGGTGCCCTTCCTAGTGGGGTTGGGCGTGGTCAGTCTGGCCAGGGCTGGCTCCCTCCCCCATAAATAGGCTCACCTGGAGGTCTTTTCCCATTTGAGGCAATGAGATATGTATGTGAGGCTTTATGACTTGTCTTTTTTTTTTCATTTTGAGACAGAGTCACGGAGTCTCACTCTGTCACCCAGGCTGGAGTATAGTGGCATGATCTTGGCTCACCGCAACCTCTGCCTCCCAGGTTCAAGCTATCCTTTTGCCTCAGCCTCCCGCGTAGCTGGGATTATAGGCGCCCGTCACCACACCCAGCTAATTTTTGTAGTTTTAGTAGAGACAGGGTTTCACCAAGTTGGCCAGGCTGGTCTCGAACTCCTGACCTCAAGTGACCCACCCACCTTGGCCTCCCAAAGTTCTGGGATTACAGGCGTGATCCACCGTGCTCGGCCTCACCACCCGCCTTTCTTGTGGTGTAGTTCTTGCTGCCTCAAGAACTACATATATCAGGCCTCAAAACCCACCTGATATATGCGTGCCTGGGAATAGGGACCTTGACTTTTCCCCTGTCCCATATGGGCCCAGGGGCCGGTTCTGGGCTGGCCCAGGTGGGGCTAGAGCAGCTGGATCCAGGCACATGAGATGTGAAAGTGTGGGCCTTACGCCGCATGGAGCGGCTGGAGGAAGGAGAGAGGGAGCAAGGGTGCCGCAGGGTCAGATTGCCACAGGGCCAGGGTGCCACAGGGTCAGGGTAGGGCCAGGGTGCCATAGGGTCAGAGTAGGGCCAGGGTGCCACAGGGTCAGGGTAGGGCCAGGGTGCCGCTGGGCCAGGGTGCCGCAGGATCTGGTTGCCACAGGGTCAGGGTGCCGCAAGCACAAGGAGTCACCCGTGATTCTCCAGGGTCTGGCTCTTGGGCTGAGATCCAGGAGACCTTGGCAGGCCTGTCTTTGGGAGTCTGGCACAGCCCCAGAAGGCCATCTGGACAGTTTTCAGACCTGAGAGGAGGAAAGGGCTTGTGTCTGGAGAAGGTGCCATGGGGGATGGGAGGTGGAGGAAGCCTGGGGCCAATCAGGATCTGGATCTAGCAGGGAACACCGAGGCCGGTGTTCTCGTCCCACCATGGGACTCAGCCTGAAGAAGACAAGGTGAATGAACGACCATTTCTCTCTAACTCAGTTGGCTAAGAGGACTGAGCTGGCGCCGAGGCTCTGGACACAAATGGGCCAGTTGACCCTGAGGTTTCTTTCTGGTAGTGGAGGTGGGGCTTCCTCTGGCTGACCCTGCTTAGGTCTCTGATGGAGGTAGCAGGGGCTCTGGTTCCCCCAAACTGGCCAAGTCCTCCACCATAGCACCCAAGGGGTCTGGGCAGAGTGCAGCTTCCCTCCCCTCCCCAGCTTGGCTTGGTGGGCACCTGCCTCCCCTGCCCTCCTGACCTTGATGGCTAATGCAGCCAGCCCCAGGCAGGCACAGTCACAGCCCTCAAACAACATGAGGCCCAACTCAAGACTCCTGGGTGGTGGTGGTCAAGGTGGGGGACTCTGTAGCCAGTAGAGCACTGTGGGGGCAAGAGACTGACTTGAAGGCTTGGAGCCTCACATGCCCGCCTAGTGGGGTGGTCCTGAGGGATATGACTTCTTTGGGCCTCTCTGCTCATTTTTGGAACCTGACCCGAGAAGGAGCCCATCCAAGACAATGTCCCGCCCTCAGGGAGGGTCTGGCAGTTTTTATCCCTAAAGGCTGGGATTCTCAGCGGAGCATCCTAGGCTGTAGTACCCACGACATCTTGCACACAAGAGGTGGAATCGCCTGTTGATGAAGAGCAAGGCTCTGGAATCTGTGATCTTGGGCCACTCACTTCACTTATCAATCCCTTCGCTTCCTTCTTGCCTGTTACATGGGGTCTGCAATCTACCCCTCAGGGGCGCTGACGAGCTCACATGAGCCTGTGACATAAAACACCTAGCACGGCCCTGGCGCAGTAAGAGCTCAGGAAACGGGCTGCTGCTGTGGTTACTGTGGACCCAGGCGGAAACAGAGCAGCCCCGCCCCTGCCGCAGGCATATAAAAGTGACCACTTGGCCGGTCACGGTGGCTCACGCCTGTAATCCCAGCACTTTGGGAGGCCGAGGCGGGTGGATCACCTGAGGTCAGGAGTTTGAGACCAGCCTGGTCAACATGATGAAACCCTGTCTCTATTAAAATACAAAAAATTAGCTGGGCGTAGTGGCAGGCGCCTGTAATCCCAGCCGCCCAGGAGGCTGAGGCAGGAGAATCACTTGAACCCTGGAGGTGGAGGTTGCGGTGAGCTGAGATCGTACCATTGCACTCCAGCCTGGGCGACAGAGCCAAACTCCGTCTCGAAAAAAAAAAAAAAAGAAAAGGGACCACTCACTTTGGTCTGATTCTTCAGTTCTCATGGTCCTTTTACATCGGTCATTTCATTGCATTCTCCAACAGTGTCTGAGGGAGACTGGTGTCTCATTTTGCAGAGGTGAAAACTGAGGCTTGGCAAGATTAGGTAGCTTGTCCAAGGACACACAGCTGGTGCTTCCAGAGCGAGACCTGGCTTTCTGTACCCAAAGCTCTTGGGTAGTCTCTCCCATCCTGGGATCTTGAGGGTCACGGGAAGGAACTGGGTGGTTTGCAGTGGGACCCTTCACCTAGTGCCTTCTGACCTTGCAGATAAAATACCATGAGGAGTTTGAGAAGAGCCGCATGGGCCCTAGCGGGGGCGAGGGCATGGAGCCAGAGCGTCGGGATTCACAGGACGGCAGCAGCTACCGGCGGCCCCTGGAGCAGCAGCAGCCTCACCACATCCCGACCAGTGCCCCGGGTGAGTGCAGGTCCTGTTGGTGCAGATGACCTGAGGCGAGGCCAGTGGGGTGGGGAGGAAGCCAGGAGAAGACAGACAGACAGATACACCTTCCGGAGCCTTGCTCTTAATCAACAGGCGATTATGCCTCTTGTGTGCAAGAGGGGACCAGAGGACCTGAGGCCGGGCCAGCTGGGGTGGGGAGGAAGTCGGCGAGAGACAGACACACACACACACACACACACACACACACACACACATGCACGCACGCATGCAGGCGAGGAAAAGACTGCTTCCCAAGACCCCAAGTTCCATTCTCATCCAGAATGAGGACGTGAGCACCAGGGTCAGGCCTGTACTGGGCCAAGAGGATTGAAAGGAGAGGCCCCCAGGTCATGGGGCTCAGAGCCCCTGCGTGGGATACAACACACAGGCAAATGTGCACACGTGGACATCAGCCTTTGAGCTGTGGGGCTTGAGCCAGGTTGGGGGCGGGGTGGAAGTGCATGGTATGGACTTCTCGGGAGCTCTGGGAGGGGCTGGGTTTGGCAGGACAGTTTCCAAGCCCTGTCTCCTCCCATCTTCCAGTTTACCAGCAGCCCCAGCAGCAGCCGGTGGCCCAGTCCTATGGTGGCTACAAGGAGCCTGCAGCCCCAGTCTCCATACAGCGCAGCGCCCCAGGTGGTGGCGGGGTGAGTAACCCTGGCCGGAGGGGAGAGGCCAGAGGCAGGGGGTCCTTCGGGAAGGCTTGGACACAGCTCATGGATTCTCCTGACCTTTGCACCCACCCTCTGTTGTGTGTGATGATAAGGATCTCAGCCTTGTGAGCAGAGAGGAAATTGGTTGGCGTAGTGGGCAGAGGCTGGCTGGGACTGGGGCCCTGCGTTCCAGCCCTGGTGTACCATGGGCAGGTTGCTCACCCTGCTTTGGGTGGGGTTTCCTTACCCCAGCTACCTGGGAACACACAAGGCAACTTTCTGCATGGGGCCTTCCAGCACTGGGCGCTGCTCTCCTCGCTTCATGAGGATGGCCCCCACATCCTTCAGCTCTCAGGCTGCCCCTGCCTCTGAGGGGCCTCCCCAGCCATGTCGTGTAAAGCGCATCACCCTGATGCTTTGCATCACTCGACTCCGCTGGCTGCCTTCAGAGCACTTTTTCCAACTAAAAAGAGCTCTTCGTGTTGGTCACCTTCTCTGTGTCCCCTGCTGGGCTGGGGACCCTGGCAGCGTCCGTCTGGTTCACCTACTCTGAGCCAGGCCTAGAGCAAGTGAATAAGCCCAGCAGGAATGGGGTGAGATCAGGCTTCCTGAGCCCTCAGAGCTGAAGTCCCGGCTCTGTAAGTCCTGCCACTCACTCCACCCATGGGTGCCGCTGAGCCACCCTTACCAAGCTCCTGGCAGGCTCAGCGCCTCCAGGCTGGGTGCCTGGGAATTCAAAGTAGCTCACGTAGGAGCAGAACAGATACTTAGAGAGATAAAATCGCCTGAGATAATGGCTGGCTGGAGTCTGATGCTCTGGGCACACAAACAAAGGGATGTTAGGACTGCCCAGGGCACTGTGGGCGCAAGAGTTAGTCTGAAGTATAAGGTTCCAGGCAGCCCAGCCAGTCCCTCCCTCCTCAATGGGTCTGTCCTGGATGTGTAGGGTCCATCTCTGAATATAAAGCCACCTCTCTGCCCTCTGGGGGCTTACATTCCAGTCAGGGGGACAAACAAGAAAACAATAAGAAAATAGGTGTATAACATAAGGTCAGCGGTGACACGCTGTGAAGAGAAAGACAGCAGGGTGAGGGATGGATAGAAAGCAGCTGGATTAAGACATTTGGCCGGGGGTGGTGGCTCACGCCTGTAATCCCAGCACTTTGGGAGGCCAAGGCGGGCAGGTCACTTGAGGTCAGGAGTTCGAGATCAGCCTGGCCAACATGGTGAAACCCCCTGTCTACCAAAAATACAAAAATTAGCCAGGTGTGGTGGTGTATGCCTGTAACCTGTAATCCCAGCTACTCGGGAGGCTGAGGCAGTAGAATTGCTTGAACCCGAGAGGCAGAGGTTGCAGTGAGCCAAGATTGCACTATTGCACTCCAGCCTGGGTGACAGAGCAATATCTCCAAAGAAAAAAGACATTTGGCCGGGTGCGATGGCTCACACCTGTAATCCCAGCACTTTGGGAGGCCAAAGTGGGCAGATCACCTGAGGTCAGGAGTTCGAAACCAGCCTGGCCAACATGGTGAAACCCTGTCTCTACTAAAAATATAAAATTAGCTCGGCATGGTGGTGCATGTTCATAATCCCAGCTACTCGGGAGGCTGAGGCAGGAGAATTGCTTGAACCTGGGAGGTGGAGGTTGCAGTGAGCCGAGATCACGCCATTTGCACTCCAGCCTGGGCAGCAAGAGCAAAACTCCAGCTAGAAAAAAAAAAAGAAAAAAAAGACGTGACATTTGAGCAAAGTCCTCAATAAAGGAAGGAGTGAGCCGTGCAACGAGGACAGGAAGTGCAAAGGCTCTGAGGCAGGAATATTCTAGGAAAGTTCAGGGAGCAGCAGGAAGCCCGAATTGACTAGAGTGGGAGAGGGTGGGAGGTCCGATTATGCAGGGACTTGTGGGCCCCAGGAAGGCCTCTGTGACCTGTGATCTGTGCAGAGCGACATAGGTTTTTGGAAGACCACCCTGGCAGCTGTGTTGAGAAGAGGCAGTGGTTTGAGGGTAGAAGCAGGGAGACCGTCAGGAGGCTGTTGCAGGATATAGGCATGGATGGGAGTGGCTCAGCCCAAGATAGAGGCAGAATTGGTGATGAGAGAGACTGAGGTTACTTCATGGGAGGTGTGACTTCTTATCCCATAGACCTGTTGGTTTCAAACTGTCCTGTGGAGCCTCAGAGACCAGTCAAGGGCAGTGAAGGTCAGGGGAGGTAGAATGTTGTCTATAGCTATAGGATTTATTTTTCTTTTTTTTTTCCTCTTTCTTTTTTTAAACTCCATCCTGGTAGTAGGTGGCGCTGTAGGTTTTTGTGTGCCTTACTGAACATTACCTAGATCTAGGGCTTAAGCGGCAGATTTTGGCTGAGGCTTGGAAGGTGGAACCTGATAGACTCGTCTTCTGTCCTCTGAAGATTTTTCTCCCAAGGAAAGATCTTTGTCCTGAACTTGGACAGGACTCATCATGGCTTCTAAAAGAAACTACTGGTGCTTATAATCATACAAATAATAGCATACAGGGCATGTTTTTTCTGTTTTTTTTTTCTTTTTTGAGACAGGGTCTTGCTCTGCTGCCCAGGCTGGAGTGCAGCAGTGGTGCAATCACAGCTAGCTCACTGCAGCCTTAACCTCCTGGGTTGAAGCCATCCTCCCACCTCAGCCTCCTGAGTAGCTGAGACTACAGGCATGTACCACTAAGCCTAACTAATTTTTTATTTTTTGTTGAGATGGGCTCACGCTAGTACTTTGGGAGGCCGAGGCGAGCGGATCACTTGAGACCAGGAGTTTGAGACCATCGTAGCCAACATGATGAAACCCTGTCTCTACAAAAAAGTACAAAAATTAGCCGGGCATGGTGGTACACGCTTATAGTCCCAGCTACTTGGGAGGCTGAGGCAGGAGAATCGCTTGAACCCGGGAGGCGGATGTTGCAGTGAGCCAAGATCACACCATTGCACTCCAGCTTGGGTGACAAAGCAAGACTCCATCTCAAAAAAAAAAAAAAAAAGAGGGAGTTGGGGGGTCTTACTGTGTTTCCCAGGCTGATTTCAAACTTCTGGGCTCAAGCAGTTCTCCTGCCTTGGCCTCCCACAGTGCTGGGATTACAGGCGTGAGCCACTGCACCTGGCCTGCATGTCGTATTTTTAGACATTACTCTGTCATCATGGCTGGTGGACCTTACTGCAGTCCTGTTCAGGGAGGTGGGGCAGAGCTGATGTGACCCGGTCCCTGCTCTGCCTCTGGCCCTTAGTAGCTGCCAAAGGTTGTAAAAGATCGATTGCTCTCAGAAAGCAAGACACAGAGGTTAAGAATCTTTGCAGCAGAGCCTGGTGCTCCATTTCTGAGTTCACTGCTCCCCCAGGCTCTGCTCCAGGGTCGTGGAGAGTTAGAAAAAAATGCTCAGACCCAGGTGAGCCGGCATGCAGGGCCCTAGGCTGACCACACTTCCCCCACAGAAGCGGTACCGCGCGGTGTATGACTACAGCGCCGCCGACGAGGACGAGGTCTCCTTCCAGGACGGGGACACCATCGTCAACGTGCAGCAGATCGACGACGGCTGGATGTACGGGACGGTGGAGCGCACCGGCGACACGGGGATGCTGCCGGCCAACTACGTGGAGGCCATCTGAACCCGCAGCGCCCCCATCTGTCTTCAGCACATTCCACGGCATCGCATCCGTCCTGGGCGTGACCCGTCCATTCTTCAGTGTCTCTGTTTTTTAAAACCTGCGACAGCTTGTGATTCCTACCCCTCTTCCAGCTTCTTTTGCCAACTGAAGCCTTCTTCTGCCACTTCTGCGGGCTCCCTCCTCTGGCAGGCTTCCCCCTTGATCGACTTCTTGGTTTTCTCTCTGGATGGAACGGGCATGGGCCTCTCTGGGGGAGGCAGGGCTGGAATGGGAGACCTGTTGGCCTGTGGGCCTCACCTGCCCCTCTGTTCTCTCCCCTCACATCCTCCTGCCCAGCTCCTCACATACCCACACATTCCAGGGCTGGGGTGAGCCTGACTGCCAGGACCCCAGGTCAGGGGCTCCCTACATTCCCCAGAGTGGGATCCACTTCTTGGTTCCTGGGATGGCGATGGGGACTCTGCCGCTGTGTAGGGACCAGTGGGATGGGCTCTACCTCTCTTTCTCAAAGAGGGGGCTCTGCCCACCTGGGGTCTCTCTCCCTACCTCCCTCCTCAGGGGCAACAACAGGAGAATGGGGTTCCTGCTGTGGGGCGAATTCATCCCCTCCCCGCGCGTTCCTTCGCACACTGTGATTTTGCCCTCCTGCCCACGCAGACCTGCAGCGGGCAAAGAGCTCCCGAGGAAGCACAGCTTGGGTCAGGTTCTTGCCTTTCTTAATTTTAGGGACAGCTACCGGAAGGAGGGGAACAAGGAGTTCTCTTCCGCAGCCCCTTTCCCCACGCCCACCCCCAGTCTCCAGGGACCCTTGCCTGCCTCCTAGGCTGGAAGCCATGGTCCCGAAGTGTAGGGCAAGGGTGCCTCAGGACCTTTTGGTCTTCAGCCTCCCTCAGCCCCCAGGATCTGGGTTAGGTGGCCGCTCCTCCCTGCTCCTCATGGGAAGATGTCTCAGAGCCTTCCATGACCTCCCCTCCCCAGCCCAATGCCAAGTGGACTTGGAGCTGCACAAAGTCAGCAGGGACCACTAAATCTCCAAGACCTGGTGTGCGGAGGCAGGAGCATGTATGTCTGCAGGTGTCTGACACGCAAGTGTGTGAGTGTGAGTGTGAGAGATGGGGCGGGGGTGTGTCTGTAGGTGTCTCTGGGCCTGTGTGTGGGTGGGGTTATGTGAGGGTATGAAGAGCTGTCTTCCCCTGAGAGTTTCCTCAGAACCCACAGTGAGAGGGGAGGGCTCCTGGGGCAGAGAAGTTCCTTAGGTTTTCTTTGGAATGAAATTCCTCCTTCCCCCCATCTCTGAGTGGAGGAAGCCCACCAATCTGCCCTTTGCAGTGTGCAGGGTGGAAGGTAAGAGGTTGGTGTGGAGTTGGGGCTGCCATAGGGTCTGCAGCCTGCTGGGGCTAAGCGGTGGAGGAAGGCTCTGTCACTCCAGGCATATGTTTCCCCATCTCTGTCTGGGGCTACAGAATAGGGTGGCAGAAGTGTCACCCTGTGGGTGTCTCCCTCGGGGGCTCTTCCCCTAGACCTCCCCCTCACTTACATAAAGCTCCCTTGAAGCAAGAAAGAGGGTCCCAGGGCTGCAAAACTGGAAGCACAGCCTCGGGGATGGGGAGGGAAAGACGGTGCTATATCCAGTTCCTGCTCTCTGCTCATGGGTGGCTGTGACAACCCTGGCCTCACTTGATTCATCTCTGGTTTTCTTGCCACCCTCTGGGAGTCCCCATCCCATTTTCATCCTGAGCCCAACCAGGCCCTGCCATTGGCCTCTTGTCCCTTGGCACACTTGTACCCACAGGTGAGGGGCAGGACCTGAAGGTATTGGCCTGTTCAACAATCAGTCATCATGGGTGTTTTTGTCAACTGCTTGTTAATTGATTTGGGGATGTTTGCCCCGAATGAGAGGTTGAGGAAAAGACTGTGGGTGGGGAGGCCCTGCCTGACCCATCCCTTTTCCTTTCTGGCCCCAGCCTAGGTGGAGGCAAGTGGAATATCTTATATTGGGCGATTTGGGGGCTCGGGGAGGCAGAGAATCTCTTGGGAGTCTTGGGTGGCGCTGGTGCATTCTGTTTCCTCTTGATCTCAAAGCACAATGTGGATTTGGGGACCAAAGGTCAGGGACACATCCCCTTAGAGGACCTGAGTTTGGGAGAGTGGTGAGTGGAAGGGAGGAGCAGCAAGAAGCAGCCTGTTTTCACTCAGCTTAATTCTCCTTCCCAGATAAGGCAAGCCAGTCATGGAATCTTGCTGCAGGCCCTCCCTCTACTCTTCCTGTCCTAAAAATAGGGGCCGTTTTCTTACACACCCCCAGAGAGAGGAGGGACTGTCACACTGGTGCTGAGTGACCGGGGGCTGCTGGGCGTCTGTTCTTTACCAAAACCATCCATCCCTAGAAGAGCACAGAGCCCTGAGGGGCTGGGCTGGGCTGGGCTGAGCCCCTGGTCTTCTCTACAGTTCACAGAGGTCTTTCAGCTCATTTAATCCCAGGAAAGAGGCATCAAAGCTAGAATGTGAATATAACTTTTGTGGACCAATACTAAGAATAACAAGAAGCCCAGTGGTGAGGAAAGTGCGTTCTCCCAGCACTGCCTCCTGTTTTCTCCCTCTCATGTCCCTCCAGGGAAAATGACTTTATTGCTTAATTTCTGCCTTTCCCCCCTCACACATGCACTTTTGGGCCTTTTTTTATAGCTGGAAAAAACAAAATACCACCCTACAAACCTGTATTTAAAAAGAAACAGAAATGACCACGTGAAATTTGCCTCTGTCCAAACATTTCATCCGTGTGTATGTGTATGTGTGTGAGTGTGTGAAGCCGCCAGTTCATCTTTTTATATGGGGTTGTTGTCTCATTTTGGTCTGTTTTGGTCCCCTCCCTCGTGGGCTTGTGCTCGGGATCAAACCTTTCTGGCCTGTTATGATTCTGAACATTTGACTTGAACCACAAGTGAATCTTTCTCCTGGTGACTCAAATAAAAGTATAATTTTTACCTGCGGACTTGGTTTCCTCTCTGGCTCTGAGCTGCTGTTGTGTGTGTCTGTGTGTGGGTGTGTGTCTCTAGCTGTAAGGTGCTGCTGTGTGTGTGTGTGTCTAGCTGTAAGGTGCCACTGTGTGTGTGTGTGTGTGTGTGTCCTGTCTGCTTGGGGGCACTGGCCTGTGGCCCTCCTGGGACCTCTGCTGCCCCTCGGGGAGAGAATGACTTGTCTGGATGCCAAGGGGGAGTTTGCTGCTGTCTGTCAGGCCCTTGGCCCCTACTTCCTCCTTGCTGAGAACTCCCCACCAACCTACTTCTGGCTTTCCACCCGCTCATTCCTCTCTGCCCAACTTGGTGATGCTCCCGGAAGCTTCCCTGAGCTCCGTCTCGTATTACTGTGTCACTTCCTCAGTGACATATCTGTCTCCCCACTAGCCAGAGCCCTTGGGGCAGGTGATGAGTCTAATTCATCTCTAAATCCCGGGTACCTGCCCAGGAGCGGTGCGGAGCTGTTGAATTAATGAATGAGCTTGGCTGGGGAGCAGTTCTAGCACTCTGCCGCTGCCAGGCAGAGAGCAGGAGCTCCACGCATTTGAGGAACGAGATGACAGGGCATTCCACAGTGGGACGGGACCTGGATAAAGCTGTCTGTAAGGTGGCCTGGCAACCCAAAGCACTATTCACAGTGCCTTCTGAATGTAATCTTTAATACACATCCCCTTTCTTCCTTCTTCCTCACAACCCTGTGAGAGAAGTAACTACTTATAGAGGGGCTCACTGAAACCCAGAAAGGCAAAGCAGATTGGTGGCAGTCACAGCTAGTGGCAGAGTGGGGCCTGAGACCCCCATGTGATGCTCACAGTCTGGTGCTGTGCCACCCGGCCATGGCAGGCCGCGTGCCTGTGTCTGTGGCAGCTCTTAGATGTGTGTCTCCTGGGCTCCATGTTTTGCTCCAGGTGCCCAGGGTCTGTGACTGGCCAGAAGGCCAGGCGGCCTCCCCTCTTGCTCATTGGGCTTGGGAAGAGGACAGTGGTAGAGAGGGGAATCTGGCCCTGCTCAGTGCTGCCAATCAGCCTCAGGTCCAGCTGCTTGAGGGGCATTTCTCTCTTGGGGCTCAGAACTAAGGAATTCTCCAGCCTCAGAATCACAGCAGGGTGGAGAGGAGGAGGGCTCTCCTGAGCTGAGCATTTGTAATCTGGAGAATGACATGGCCAGAGTCAGCTGAGCTGGGGCAATGTGGGGAGCATCCAAGGCTGCCCTGGGTGGTATAATTAGAGACAGCACTGACACCTGCTCCCCTCCAGGGGTGCAGGCAGCCCAATACTTTCCCAATAGAAGGGAATTAGTTGGCAAAGCTTGCCTCATGTCGGCCTGCCCCACTCCCCGGGAGGCTTCATTCACCTTCAGATCTATTTGATGGAACAGTGCTTTGGGGGACATTGCTGCCAAGTCTCCACTCCCTGCTCACAGAAAGCTCTGCCTCCTGGAAATGGGCCAATGGGAGGAGTTTCTGGATTTCCTTCTGGCAGTGGCCTAAGTTCCTGAGGTCTTGCATTATGAGGGGGTTACCAATATATCTTAACCCCAGGCCTTTAAAAAAAATATTATTTGGGGTGGGGGCCAAGGAGACTAGGCCTCAGAGACGTCCTAGGGAATGATTTAATTTAATAGAAAATAATTGAGGCTTATAAAAAGGCACAAAAATCCTGGCTAACACAGTGAAACCCCGTCTATACTAAAAATACAAAAAATAAGCTGGGCGCGGTGGCGGGTGCCTGTAGTCCCAGCTACTCGGGAGGCTGAGGCAGGAGAATGGCGTGAACCCGGGAGGCAGAGCTTGCACTGAGCTGAGATCGTGCCACTGCACTCCAGCCTGGGTGACAGAGCAAGACTCCGTCTAAGAATAAATAAATAAATAAATAAATAAATAAATAAATAAATAAATAAAAAGAATAAAATAATTCTCTTTTCCCCCTCAGAAGAAACCACTTGAATTTTTTAAATTTCAGGGATACCCCTGGGGAATTCTTCAGTGTCCTCTCTGTGTACAACACTATGCTGAGCTTTTGGAAGAGGATACCAAAGAAAACAAAACTAGGCCGGGTGCGGTGGTTCACACCTGCAATCCCAGCACTTTGGGAGGCTGAGGTGGGAGGATCGCTTGAGTCCAGGAGTTTGAGACCAGCCTGGGCAAAATGGCAAGACCCCGTCTCTATAAAAAAAGAAAGAAGGAAAACAAAACAGTGGGTAATGACTGCAAAGAGACGAAGGAGTGGGTGGAGGAGGGGTCTCTGGTGCTCGTCCTGTAGGTGGATCGATGTGAAAGCAGTCCACTGCAAGCTGAGCAGTGCACGTGGGGTGTAGGGGCCTTCCGGACCAACAGGGGGAGCAGTGTGGCGCAAGAGGAAGAATATGGACTTTGGTGTCAGCATGCCTAGTTTTGAATCCTGGTCTCTGACATTTTTAATTAATTAATTAATTATTTTGAGACGGAGTTTCACTCTTGTTGCCCAGGCTGGAGTGCAATGGCACAATCTCAGCTCACTGCAACCTCCACCTCCCAGGTTCAAGCGATTCTCCTGCCTCAGCCTCCTGAGTAGCTGGGATTACAGGCATGTGCCACCATGCCCAGCTAATTTTGTATTTTTAGTAGAGCTGGAGTTTCTCCATGTTGGTCAGGCTGGTCTTGAACTCCTGACCTCAGGTGATTCACCTACCTCAGCCTCCCAAAGTGTTGGGATTACAGGCATGAGCCACCACACCCAGCCTTTTACTTTTTATTTTATTTATTAATTTATTTATTTTTGAGACGGAGTCTCGCTCTGTCACCCAGGCTGGAGTGCAATGGCACGGTCTCAGCTCACTGCGACCTCTGCCTGCCGGGTTCAAGCAATTCTTTAGCCTCAGCCTCTTGAATAGCTGGGATAACAGGCACCTGCCACCACGCCCGGCTAATTTTTATTTTTATTTTTTTTTTGAGACAGAATCTTGCTCTGTAGCCCAGGCTGGGGTGCAGTGGCGCGATCTCAGCTCTGCCTCCCGGGTTCAAGCAATTCTCTGCCTCAGCCTCCCAAGTAGCTGGGATTACAGGCATGCACCACCAAGCCTGGCTAACTTTTGTATTTTTAGTAGAGACAGGGTTTCACCATCTTGGCCAGGCTGGTCTTGAACTCCTGACCTTGTGATCCACCTGCCTCGGCCTCCCAAAGTGCTGGGATTATAGGCATGAGCCACTGCGCCCGGCTGGTCTCTGACACATCTAAGCTATGAACCATTAGGGTAAGTTTCTGACCATCTCTGAGCCCCATCTATGAAAGACTCATAGGGAGGTTGAAATTGCACCACATGTACGATATCTGGCCCAGTGTAGGAAATGTATAAATGTTAGCTTCATCCCTCAGGGAAGCCCACTGAGATCCACACGAAACTTTTGTCTGTGTCTCCCCATAATGTGACCTTTAGAAGTTGCCAATGGCCCACCCAATACCCAACCATGATTTTTCTGAGATAATCTGCCCGAGGTGTGTGAGAGGAAACGCGAAGAAGGCAGTCAGGAGGATTCACTCTTGGGGGAGCTGGGTAGGATCCTATCTCCTCCTACATCCAGAGCATGCAGGCTCCATTTAGATACAAAGGGGTGGGATTGGGTTCCTGGGGAGAAATTGAGCCCCTTTGATTCTGCGGTTCTGTGGGTCTAAATCTGGCATCTCCTTGGCTATCCACCCCCAGGCTTTGTGATTGGTTGGCTGTGGTTGGTGGGGGGGCAGGAAGCTGCTGGTGGAGCTGCAGCATCCTTCAGTCTCAGGCCCCTGGGAGGGGGAGGGGAAAGAACCAGGGCTGAGCTGTGGAGTGAAGGGGAGCCATTTCTCTCCACCGACTGCAACCTCCGTGCTCACAGCTCACGGTTCACCAGAATCCAGGGGCTTGGTCGGCCTAGGAATCCACAATGCTGGATATTTTCATCCTGATGTTCTTTGCCATCATAGGCCTGGTCATTCTGTCCTACATTATCTATCTGCTCTAGTGGCCTGGAGCTGCGGCCGGAGCCTGCTGGAGAACAGCTCAGAAGGAAGGATGGAGATGAATGGCCGAGTGCCCTGCTTGCTGACGCACCGGTGGATTTTTGCTTCTGCTGTTATCTCGGGTATTGATTCCAAAAAAAAAAGAAAAGAAAAAAAGAAAGAGTTTGCTTTCCTATTTTTTTTCTTAGACCACTCTGAAAAGAATAAGAAATGCCAGCTTCTTTCTTTGGGACCTAATTTAAAATAAGACTTTAAAAATTACAAATAAAATCCACAATGTAAACGATTTTTAGGCAGAACGGGTTGGGAATGATGGATGTGGTGGGGAGGGACTATTATTTCCTAATTTCTTCTTCAAGTTAGGTGCTCAAACTCAAGTTGTCTATTTTCTTCTGGTAATTAAAGGTAAAACACATCTTTGCATGTCAGCATACTTGCAATATAGTTGTTTACAACTATGCTTGTATAATTGCATTACTTAATGATTGACTCATTCTTATTTGAGGGTGAGACGGCAAATAAATTTTACTTGGGGTGGGGTTTTCGGGGAGATGTCCAACTGTGGGATATGGTGGAGAGGAGGGAGGAACTCCTGGTACTTTGCAGTTGTCCCCATCTGAGACTTTTTATTTCTGGGTTTCTTACAGCTCCTGGTCTCTCCAGTCCAACAAGAGGCCTCTCATCCACAGAAGCAGTCCTACTGCCCAGCAGACCTCTTTCAGAGCCTTCCAGACATGGCTGACCCCTGGCAAGCAAGGGGCTTTTTGAGCTGAGAGGCACTTGGCTGGGACTTCAGGAATTCATGGACAGGGCTGGCAGATACTGCATATGTTTGAGCTGTAGATGGGATTGAGAACAGAAAGTTGAAATGGAGACTTATTAAAGTTACCGTGGAGAACTGCTCAAAAATTCATTTTGAATTAAGGAAACTTAAATTCATTTTAAGTTTCCTTAGATCTAAATGCAACTGCACATTACACTCAAATATGTTCCTTCCTTCTCACACACAGGACTCCCTTGTGAAACTCAAGGGGAAGTTCAAGTTGTCCATCTTCATCTATGAAGTAGTCACTTTATCACTGTCTTTACAGATTGCACAGTCTGGGGTTTTGTGGTTTCTCTTGTCTCACTCTCCAGCCAGGAAGAACTTGTCATTTGAGTTTTTAAAATGTATCATTTCTTCCCCACCTCAAACCACTTGTATCCCAGTTTCTCATTTAAAGGGAGAAATGGTTATATAGTCCTCTCTTTGCACCTGATTGAATTATAAATGATAGAAACAAGATGGCTATACTTATTTAGGAAAAATCTCTTACCCCAAAATGAGTGTGTGTGTGTGTGTGTGTGTGCGTGTGTGTGTGTGTGTGTGTTTTAATCAAAGATCTTTTCTGGAAAAAACTTTCCACATAGTTCTCTGACCCATTAGAGTTGAAGAAACTATGTATTTTGGGATTCAGAGTAGAATTGGCCTGCAAATCTGGGGTGTTTATTCCTTTTACAAGTCTATCATAATTGTTCTACATTTAATTTTCCTTTCTTGCTTAAAAGTAAACAAGGAGAGTCAGGAGTGGTGGCTCATGCCTGTAATCCCAGCACTCTGGGAGGCCGAGGCGGATGGATCACCTGAGGTCAGGAGTTGGAGACCAGCCTGGCCAACACGGTGAAACCCCGTCTCTACTAAAAATACAAAAATTAGTCAGGCACAGTAGTGCGCGCCTGTAGTCCCAGCTACCCGGGAGGCTGAGGCCGAAGAATTGCTTGAACCCGGGAGGCAGAGGTTGTAGTGAGCCGACATCATGTCACTGCACTCCAGCCTGGGAGACATAGCGAGATTCCGTCTCAAATAAAATAAAATAAATAAATAAATAAACAAGGAGAAAGATTAGTTTTTAGTAATAACATTGTGTCCAATTTCCATGTTTTAAAACAAAAATTGAGGCATTATATGTCACAACTGAAATGGAAAAGTTGTGTTTAAAAATTATGGACAAGGCCGGGCACGGTGGCTCACGCCTGGAATCCCAGCACTTTGGGAGGCTCAGGCAGGAGGATCACTTGAGGTCGGGAGTTTGAGACCAGTCTGACCAACGTGGTGAAACCCTGTCTCTACTAAAAATACAAAAATTAGCTGGTGTGGTGGCAGGTGCCTGTAATCCCAGCTACTCAGGAGGCTGAGGCAGGAGAATCGCTTGAACCTGGGAGGCAGAGGTTGCAGTGAGCCGAGATCACACCTCTGCACTCCAGCCTAGGTGACACAGCAAGACCCCATCTCAAAAAAAAATAATAATAAAAACATAAAAATTATGGACAAGAAAAAACACTATTCTGGAAGCTTTGTTTTGGCAACAAATTATATGACCTGACCTTTCATAAGTCATTTAAACTTTAGGGCTAGGCCAGGTGCTATGGCGCATGCCTATAATCCCAGCATTTAGGGAAGTAGAAGCAGGAGGATAGCTTGAGGCCAAGAATTCCAGACCAGCCCAGGCAATATAGCGAGACCCCCGTCTCCACAAAAATAAAAAATAAAATAAAAATAAATAAATACATAAACTTTAGGTCCTCTGTTTATTCTGTCAAATGAAAGTGTTAGGCCAAGGTCGCATTATCTCTTTGGAAACTACATCGAGAACAGAATTCCCATGGAACGAACTCTTAATAGTTCACTGGTAGTCCCCCTTTTCTGAATATTCTTCCCAACATGACACTTTATAACAAAAATTTAACTGCAAAACTCTTTTTTTTTCACCAACAGCCAGATTTTGATGAGAAAATGGCCATATTTATTTACTCCAAATATATATTATGTCTGTGATAATTTGCCTAAACTGTTTAAGGAATATTAACAAGTATGATACTGCATCGTGGTATGTAGCAAAAAGATAGGTAATCTGACATACATGGATGCAAGCAGCATGGCTGTGAACCTGGATATATTTAGAAATGATCTTCAGTGGAGTCCTTGATGTGACATTTTCCACTAAAACATTCTTCTAACTCTGGTATATCTTAGTGTTTCGAACTATAATTTCCGTCTTCAAGCCAAGACAGCAGCTCTACATCCTTACCTAGGTAATTCAGGCATGCGCCAGTATTTTGGAGGGGTCCAAATTAGAGTTAGTTATGATGGTATAGATCTTTAAAGTATAGTCTAACCAAGCTTGCTCTGGTCTTTTGTGACATCAAGGCTTCTCAGTCTGTATTCACATAAAGTTGAAACAACTAATCAATTCAGTGAAAAAAAATCAGCAGATTTCACTCATACACTGGTGATATATACCACTGGTATTGGGTACAATGTAAGGAGAGAGGATTACCCATCTCTTCAGTTACTTGTAAAATATGATTTTAAAAAAATAAATCAATACATTTTGGAAAAATTATATGACTTTGTGCTTATATTTATGCAACAATATGCTAGCTTATAACAGGGTTTTACTGTGTTATTTTGATAGTTGTTTAAATTTTACATTTAAACTATTTGTATTTTGGCATCCCAAAACATAATAAAACACTGCAAAAAGTTACCTCTGTAATATAAGATTTTGTATAAATTTTATAAATTTGTGTCATAGGGTAATTTTGTCCAATAAAATGTCAATGAGATAAAAACCACTCTGAAGAATTATAAATTACTTAGAAAAAAATCAAGTGACAATGCTAAGAATCATTACACTAATACCTGCTTTCTTGATGAAAACAGGGGGTTTGTGGGGAAGAATGATGTATTTTATTTATTTTATTTTTTGGTTTTTGAGACAGAGTTTCGCTCTTGTCACCCAGGCTGGAGTGCAATGGCACAATCTTGGCTCACTGCAACCTCCGCCTCCTGGGTTCAAGCGATTCTCCTGCCTCAGCCTTCCGAGTGGCTGGGAGCACAGGTGTGCATCCCCATGCCTGGCTAATTTTTGTATTTTTTAAAGTAGAGACAGGTTTTCATCATGTTGGCCAGGTTGGTTTGGAACTCCTGACCTCAGGCTATCTGCCTGCCTCAGCCTCCCAAAGTGCTGGGATTACAGGTGTGAGCCACCGTGCCTGGCCAAAATATCATTTTGATTTTAAATTACTCAAAAATAATGGGACTTTTCCTTAGGCATCGAAGTACAACTGAAGTGGAAAATTGTCTTTGTAAATTACATGCTTTGGCTTTATCAAACTATAGATATTTTCAAAGCCTAGAGTGGCCTCTTCTTTTTTTTTTGTTTTCTTTTATTATTATTATTATTTTTTTTTTTATTTTTTATTTTTTATTTTTTATTGATCATTCTTGGGTGTTTCTCGCAGAGGGGGATTTGGCAGGGTCATAGGACAATAGTGGAGGGAAGGTCAGCAGATAAACAAGTGAACAAAGGTCTCTGGTTTTCCTAGGCAGAGGACCCTGCGGCCTTCCGCAGTGTTTGTGTCCCTGGGTACTTGAGATTAGGGAGTGGTGATGACTCTTAACGAGCATGCTGCCTTCAAGCATCTGTTTAACAAAGCACATCTTGCACCGCCCTTAATCCATTCAACCCTGAGTGGACACAGCACATGTTTCAGAGAGCACAGGGTTGGGGGTAAGGTCACAGATCAACAGGATCCCAAGGCAGAAGAATTTTTCTTAGTACAGAACAAAATGAAAAGTCTCCCATGTCTACCTCTTTCTAGACAGACACGGCAACCATACGATTTCTCAATCTTTTCCCCACCTTTCCCCCCTTTCTATTCCACAAAACCGCCACTGTCATCATGGCCCGTTCTCAATGAGCCGCTGGGCACACCTCCCAGACGGGGTGGTGGCCGGGCAGAGGGGCTCCTCACTTCCCAGCAGGGGCGGCCGGGCAGAGGCGCCCCTCACCTCCTGGACGGGGCGGCTGGCCGGGCAGGGGGTTGACCCCCCCTACCTCCCTCCCGGACAGGGCGGCTGGCCAGGCAGAGGGGCTCCTCACTTCCCAGTAGGGGCGGCCGGGCAGAGGCGCCCCTCACCTCCCGGACGGGGCGGCTGGCCGGGTGGGGGGCTGACCCCCCCACCTCCCTCCCGGACGGGGCGGCTGGCCGGGCGGGGGGGCTGACCCCCCCACCTCCCTCCCGGACGGGGTGGCTGCCGGGCGGAGACGCTCCTCACTTCCCAGACGGGGTGGCTGCTGGGCGGAAGGGCTCCTCACTTCTCTGACGGGGCGGCTGCCGGGCGGAGGGGCTCCTCACTTCTCAGACGGGGCGGTTGCCAGGCAGAGGGTCTCCTCACTTCTCAGACGGGGCGGCTGGGCAGAGACGCTCCTCACCTCCCAGACGGGGCCGTGGCCGGGCAGAGGCGCTCCTCACATCCCAGACGGGGCGGCGGGGCAGAGGCGCTCCCCACATCTCAGACGATGGGCGGCCGGGCAGAGACGCTCCTCACTTCCTAGATGGGATGGCGGCCGGGAAGAGGCGCTCCTCACTTCCTAGATGGGATGGCCGCCGGGCAGAGACGCTCCTCACTTTCCAGACTGGGCAGCCAGGCAGAGGGGCTCCTCACATCCCAGACGATGGGCGGTAGAGTGGCCTCTTCTAAGTCAGTTTTGTGCCCATCTATTTTAAACAAAAATAAAACCAAAGTCATATATTAACAGGGGAACAGAAAAAGCCATTGACACAACTTCCATTATAAAATCAAACACACCAAGGCAGATACATTAGAAATGTTTAAGAACATCTTTGTACTTAAAATTTAAACTGTGAGACTGCCAGGTGTGGTGGTGGCTCACGTCTGTAATCCCAGCACTTTGGAAGGCCGAAGCAGGTAGGTCACTTGAGGTCAGGAGTTGGAGACCAGACTGGCCAACATGGTGAAACCCCATCTCTACTGAAAATACAAAATTAGCCGGGCAAGGTGGCACATGCCTGTAATCCCAGCTACTCAGGAGGCTGAGGCAGGAGCATCACTTGAACCCGGAAGGTGGAGGTTGTAGTGGGCCGAGATTGCGCCACTGCACTCCAGCCTGGACGACAGAGAGAGATTCGGTCTTAACAAAACAAAACAAAACAAAACACAAAACACAGGCTGGGAGCAGTGGCTCATGCCTGTAATCCCAGCACTTTGGGAGGCTGAGCTGGGTGGATCACGAGGTCAGGAGTTCGAGACCAGCCTGGCCAACATGGTGAAACCCTGTCTACACTAAAAATACAGAAAAAAAAAAAAAAAAAAAAAAACCTGGGCATGGTGGCACGTGTCTGTAAATCCCAGCTGCTCAGGAGGCTGAGGCAGAAGAATTGCTCAAACCCAGGAGGCAGAGGTTGCAGTAAGCCGAGATTGCACCATTGCACTCCAGCCAGGCGGCAGAGCAAGACTATCTCTCAAAAAAACAAACAAAACAAAAAACAAACACCGTAAGAGGCCGGGCACTGTGCTTCACGCCTATAATCTCAGCACTTTGGGTGGCCGAGGTGGGGCAGATCACCTGAAGTCAGGAGTTTGAGACCGGCCTTTCCAACAAAGTGAAACCCCAGCTCTACTAAAAATACAAAAATTAGCCAGGCGTGGTGGTGTGTGCCTGTGGTCCCAGCTACTCAGGAGGCTGAGGCAGGAGAATCGCTTAAACCTGGGAGGCAGAGGTTTCAGTACGACAAGATCGCACCACTGTACTCCAGCGTGGGTGACAGACTCTGTCTCAAAAAAACACTGTAAGATCTTATAGTCATGGGAAATTGCAGGTAATCCACAATATTTAATTACATATTTTATTTTTTGAAACTGATATTAAGCTATGATAATTGTAGCATTTCTAGTTTAGCAGCAATTGGAATATTCATTGCTTACGGATTTAATCACTGAATTAAATAGCAGAACAGTGCAGAATACTGTTCTATAGATTATTGTTTATGAGTTATTGCTAGTAAATGAAATTATTTAATTTTATATGTTAATATTAAGTGTAAGTATACACATACATAAATATACAGCTAATTACAATATTAATTTATATTAAGACATTTCATTTTTTTGATCATGGTAGAGCTATAATTAACAGCTTAAATGAAGGTAAGTTCCCCCACAAAAAGCTCAATGACTTGCATAATGACAAACTCTGAACAAGATGGAATGTTTTCAATTTTAACATAGTTTTATTAATATAGTAAATAAACAAAATTTAGCAAATATCAAATATTTAGTATCAAAGAAAATTTACCATAAAAAGAATACTTCTGAAATAGCAATGCATATTTTCGTTATACGCACCTTTAAGAAAGCAGTGATCTCAGAATGTCTACAAGTATTACTATTATTATTTTAATTTAAGAGTCTTTCAAAGGCCAAATTGTTGCGGTTTGTGGGGTTCTTTTTTCAGTCTCTAGTTTGAGGAATTTTCTGGAGTTATATTTTTCTTTTTTTTTTTTTCAATCTTGCCCTTAAATGCAATATATTTGTTTTCTTGATGAAAAGAATGCAATCTTAGTCCTTTGGAATTTTTTTTCTTTTTTAACCTGGAGAAGACTGTTCAATGCAGCTATCTTTCAGGTCACCTTTCCTAGCTTAGTAATGCCTCAAAAACCAAGGAGCATATGTCCATATCCTGATTTCTTACAGGTTTCACAGTTACCTGCTAGTGGAAGTGCTACAGAAGTCACGTTGTTAGTAAGATATCCAATAACCAAAGAGGCTTTTGTAATAGCCTTATTTTTACCCTTCACAATATTTATTGACATAAAAATCTGTAATCATACATTTGAGTACTATTTGCATAAGGAGGTTAACCTTTTAGTAATAATCACAAAGAGGTTAGTGTTTGTTATTCATTGACATAAGATGGTATTTCCAGCTGCACCTTCTGTTGGGTATCTCATAATTGGCATGAGCAGGAGTCCTCCAAAAAAGTGTTAAAGTTTCATAGTTTCACAAGATACAGAGAGCTTATCACAAGTTGTACATTTTCAATTAGTTTCTAAGGAAGATAGCATCATTAGTTTGTTAGTACTATTATGGTGCATGGTGTCTGTAGACATAATAATAAAGATAAAGATAATAATGTGTTATTGAACTTGCCTTCTACAGGGAGTAAAAAATCATTCTACAAATCAAAGTCAAAGGAGGCTGAGGAAAGCATTACAAAAACGAAAAAGGAGCTGGGCCCCCAGGTCTGCTAATTTAGGCCAATCTTTTTTTTTTTTTTGAGTCGGAGTCTTGCTCTGTCGCCCAGGCTGGAGTGCAATGGCGTGATCTCAGCTCACTGTAACCTCCGCCTCCTGGGTTCAAGCAATTCTCCTGCCTCAGCCTCCCAACTAGCTGGGATTACAGGCGCCCGCCACCATGCCGGGCTAATTTTTGTATTTTTAGTAGAGATAGGGTTTCACCATGTTGGCCAGGCTGGTCTCTTGGCCGGGCTTGTCTCGAACTCCTGACCTTGTGATCTGCCGCCTCGGCCTCCCAAAGTGCTAGGATTACAGGCATGAGTCACCGCGCCCAGCAGCCAATCTTCTACTTTAAAAAACAGTACAGGCTAAATTATCTGACTTGTTAGTACTTTACATAGTTATGTTGTTATGACTGTTCCAGAGTTAGTGAGAAATTGACAGTCTCCTAATGTTTTTAAACTATTCATTTTCCAAATGCTCTTTTTTTGTGACAATGACTGCCTATACCATCACTTAAACATTGATAATAATGGTAATAACAACATATGCTTTTAAAAGTTAATTTCCCCTTTAAAATTTGACATTACACTTTATTCTTCATGACAAAGGTATTCGGCAAAAAAGAATGGACCACTGAATTGAAAAAACTCCAAATTTGGTCATAAATGTTATTTGTATGTTTTAACAATTGAATGGACAATTTGTCAGCTTGCTTTTTATTGGTGGCAGAATGACACAGTTTATTTCCTGCACCCAAAGAATGAATCAAACTTTTTATGTTCCAAATTTTTGGTAAGATGATATAATAATCTCACAATTATTGAGAATAATGAAATAAATAATGTGAGGTTTTTTTTTAATTACAGCAGCAGTCATGTCAGTTCAAGTGAATAAAGAAGATTCAAAACCCAGACCAAATATGTTTTACATGCTTCTTTTGTAAACTTGCTAAAAATAATTGCTGTGGAGATGGATAATTCAAGGAATTCAAGGAAACTTTACAATGCCAAATTTCTTTCTCTAAGGAAATGAAATCTAGAATCCATTTAGTAAAATATTAAAAATATTCACTATTGCTGGGCATGGTGACTTACACCTGTAATCCTAGCACTTTGGGAGGCTGAGGCAGGTGGATAACCTGAGGTCAGGAGTTTGAGACCAGCCTGGCCAACATGGCAAAACCCTGTCTCTGCTAATGATACAAAAAAATTAACCGGGTGTGGTGGCACACACCTGTAGTCCCAGCTACTGGGGAAGCTGAGGCAGGAGAATAGCATGAAGCAGAGAGGCAGAAGTTGCAGTGAGCCAAGATCACACCACTGCACTCCAGCCTGGGCAACAGAGTGAGACTCCATCTCAAAAAAAAAAAAAATTCACTATTTATATTTGAATATTTTACTTTTTTTTCCTTATTTTTTCTTTCCCTCACAGATAGTTGAAGAGGTATATTCTTAACTTGGAATAATCAATGTTTTGATAGATCTATGCTTTGCAAGCATGTATAGGAAAAAAGAGAGGGGAAAATGAAAAAACTAAGGTATTATTTTATACTCTGGTATCTGCCAACTTTTAATCTTTGTAATTCAATTCCATTTATAATTCAACTGAAGGTGAATTCTTACATTGAGAAGAAGAAAATGAAATCAGGATAAAAGCAAGAACTTTGTTTTTGCATAAATATGCTAATGAAAAACTGGAGAAAAAAATTCCTGCCACCAATGGAATTACAGTTGGAAAATCCATCTAAGAAAGACAGTTAAACTTCTCACCTTCCAGAAATGAAGGTAAGTGCCTTTACTACTGAAGTACAATAAAATCCTGTTTTCACAATTTGTATTTTCTCCACAATTTTCACTCTTCCTCAGTCCTATTCATCTCTCACTGAGTCCCTCTTACCAAACATTTGAGAATTTCCCACAATTTACCCCCTACTTCTGCAGATACTTTCCATATCTTCTAGTGTTTCTTTCCTTCATCAGCTCCAAAGGTGAGTTAAATCAAGAGCTTGGGTAAAGAAGGCCAGCCTCTGAGAAGTCCAGGTGGAAGCAATGTGTCTTCAGAAGTAAAGTGCTCAAACCCAAGGAGAAAAAAATGGGATGGGAGATCCAGGAGGACTCCAGCATTATTTCAGCCCTGTCAAGTACTGTTACTATCTACTTTAATAGTAAAAGTAAAAGCAGGAGTGGCAGATGCTAGTCAGGCTGAAACAGTCCTGCAGCTTCTTGGAATCTATATACTTGAGAGAAGAGAACCGAACCCCACTCTCTCATGGGCTGCTGTAAACCACCCATACGTTTAGTTTCCTTTGTCAAATCTTGTTTTTTTGTTTTGTTTTGTTTTGTTTTGTTTAGAAACAGGGTCTCACTCTGTCACCAGGCTGGAGTGCAATGGTACAATCATAACTCACTGCAGCCTCCAACTCCTGGACTCAAGGGATCCTCCTGCCTCAGCCTCCAAAATTGCTGGGATTACAGGTGTGAGCCACTGTGCCCAGACAAATCTCACTTTTTAAGATAGGGAGAAAAGCTTTAGGAAGAAGTAAAAACTATTTGTAAAGATTATTCTGGCAGCAGAATCGCTATTTTCTTTCATTTTATTTTTCTCTTATTTGCTACATTTTATTTGAATCCCCAGTAAAAGATGATTTGATTGCATTGAGACAATATATACCTTCCTGTATGTATAGACCTTTTGTATGATTACCTTAAAGAAGGAAATATATGTCTGTGTGTGTGTGTCTATATATATATATAGACATATATGTATACTTTGTTTTTTATCCATTAGTTCATGTAAAACATGAACAAAATATAATGTTCTTTGTAAGCATATGCCAAGAAGGTAGTAAAAACTGTGATTTGTATTCTACACATTCCAAAACACCATATTGCAAATCTTCACAAAACATTCTGGGCTATGTCTATACAACTTAAACAAAGTGAACATACACACTATTTAGTGAATTTGGGTCTAACTATAAAATGGAATTTTCTCTTGCTTCAAAAATGCATACATACAGGTTGGCTGGTCCCAGATTCTTGAACAGCTAACATTCTATTTTGGTTTGGTGTTAGGTTGACTAAAACCCGGAGAGGCAGAGCTTGTTTTCCAGAGAAATCTCAGCACATTCTTGAGGCTGCCTGTTATTTTTATATTAATAATGATGTACGTAGTTGCTTCTAAAATTCTATCCAGCTTTTGAATTCTTAGGTTACTTAGATGATAAAAAGTCCCATGGATGCTATTTTTTGAGTGAAAAAGTAGCACTCCTCTAATCATTCGTTCAGTGACGTTCTCTAAAGGCAAGGCTTTCTGAGGATTTAGGTAGACAGAGGAGTATTCATGGTCAAATACAGGACCTCCTTATGGAAGTTAGCCTGAGCATGTACAAGATGGAACAAATTCAAAAAGCTTCTGTCATCTTCATCACGGTCTCCTATATGCCATACATAGTGGGGAAAAGAAAATGACAGTTAAAATGTTAAGTATATAATTTATTTTATTAATTAATTTAATTTTTGAGACACAGTCTCCCCCTGTTGCTTAGGCTGGAATGCAGTGGTGCCATCTCGGCTCACTGCAACCTCTGCCTCCTGGGTTCAAGCAATTCTCCTGCCTCAGCCTCCCGAGTAGCTGGGATTACAGGCATGTACCACCACACCTGGCTAATTTTTGTATTTTTAGTAGAGATGAGGTCTCTCCATGTTGGCCAGGCTGGTTTCAAACTCCTGACCTCAGGTGATCCACCCGCCTTATACGTATATAATTTATTTGAAACATAAGATGTTCTAATTTTCCCTAGTAATATTTATTTATTTATTATTATTTTTTGAGACAGCGTCTCCCTGTGTCGCCCAGGCTGGAGTGCAGTGGCACAATCTTGGCTCACTGCAAGCTCCACCTCCTGGGTTCAAGCGATTCTCCTGCCTCAGCCTCCCGAGTAGCTGGGACTACAGGCGCCTGCCACCACGCCCAGCTAATTTTTTTGTATTTTTAGTAGAGACGGGGTTTCACCGTGTTAGCCAGGATGGTCTCGACCTCCTGACCTTGTGATCCACCCGCCTCGGCCTCCCAAAGTGCTGGGATTACAGGCATGAGCCACCTCGCCCAGCCTTCCCTAGTAATATTTAAACAGGAGACTTTTTGTTAGTGACTTTACTAAGTCAAGTTAACTACTGAAATCATGGAATTATATAAGAAAAGTAGATTAGAAGTCAGAAGAAAAGGATGCTCATCCATGCTTTATTGCTTCTAACTTTGAGACCTTGGTAAGTCAGGTAACTTCTCTAAGCCTTAGTTTTCTCATCTGTAAAATAGGGTTAATTATCATGTTGGTTACTTAATAAAGCTGTAAAATAATATTTACAAATATATTTTTATGCTAGTGACAGTTGGTAAGTGAGCAAGTTAAATTTTTTTGCTGTGCAAAATTGAAAGTGGTTCCTTTCAAAGCAGACTCTTCAACTTTATATTCTCCATTAAAACCAATACCAGATTTTTAAAGTGACGAAAGCCAGGAACTAAATATATTGCAAGGAAAAACAAACAAAAGTCCGCTTCCTCTACTTATTGTTAGTTTTTATTTTTTAAAGTCAACATAGAAATAGCTTTTTTTTTTTTTTCCATTCTTGGACTGTTAGAGAAAAATATCTCTGTTTTAGGTGGAGACTAGAGCGCATTTTTACGCACACCTGTGCACCAAGTACATTCCTACTCACCAGACATAATTGATTGCAGCATTTCCATTATAACACATGCAAATGCATTTGCCACATTCTGCAGGAAGTTCTTTCTTTCCACTGGAGTGCTAAAGACTTTGCAGACTTTTTGCATCATTTTAACTGTCCAATCCATGCAGTACAGTTCTTTCTCACACACCTGATTTAGACATATAAAGCGCTATAAACCTTCATGTGAAGAAAGCTATAGAATTTGAAAATGGTGAACAATGATGAATAATTATAGTTTGTGATTTTACATAATTTATGATACCTGACACCATACTGAGTCTATACATGGGAAATGCTCTTCTATCTAATACTATTTTGCTTTCAAATGGTACAATTTTAATGGGAAAAAAGTATGAAGTAAATACAAGCCTAATTTAAGATTATCATAGAAGAATATTTACTAATGAAATAACTAATATTGAAAACAGGCCAGGCACGCTGGCTCATGCCTGTAATCCCAGAACTTTGGGAGGCCAAGGTGGGCAGATCACCTGAGGTCAGGAGTTCGAGACCAGCCTGGCCAAAATGGTGAAACCCTGTCTCTACTAAAATACAAAAATTAGCCAGACATGGTAGCGAGCACCTATAATCCCACCTACTCAGGAGGCTGAGGCAGGAGAATCACTTGAACTCAGGAGGCGGAGGATGCAGTGAGCGGAGATCATACCACTGCACTCCAGCCTGGGGGACAGAGCCAGACTCCATCTCCAAAAAAAAAAAAAAAAAAAAAAAAAAAAAAATATATATATATATATATATATGTATTGAAAACAGTTACTGAACATAGAAAAAAAATTTCTGCTCATTTACTCATTCAATAAACATTTATTGAGCACCTGCTAGGAGCTGAAGATACAATGACAAACCATAAAGACATGGCTCTATTTTCAAGAAGTCCAATGAAGGTGATAGACAAATGGGCAATTTCAATAAGCAAGAGAATTCTATGGTATTGTCGACTTTCCATCTTGAGAATTTTAGGGAATATTTGTTTCTTCATTATTGAAAAGATAAATATTTAAAGATTACATGTTCCTAGCTAAAACTGACTGAAAAGTAAAAGGTTTCTTTTTTTTTTTTTTTTTTTTTTTTTTGAGACGGAGTCTCACTCTGTCGCCCAGGCCGGACTGCGGACTGCAGTGGCGCAATCTCGGCTCACTGCAAGCTCCGCTTCCCGGGTTCACGCCATTCTCCTGCCTCAGCCTCCCGAGTAGCTGGGACTACAGGCGCCCGCCACCGCGCCCGGCTAATTTTTTGTATTTTTAGTAGAGACGGGGTTTCACCTTGTTAGCCAGGATGGTCTCAATCTCCTGACCTCATGATCCACCCGCCTCGGCCTCCCAAAGTGCTGGGATTACAGGCGTGAGCCACCGCGCCCGGCCAAGGTTTCTTTACTAACATCCTTAATTGCCAATCTAACTCACATAGCCAAATAAATAATGCATATTATTAAAATAAACTGTATAGTAGTGTAACTAAATAATAGCACTGTGATAGGAAAGATCTATTGACTATTTATTATGTGTAAAGCACTGTATTATGAACTATGAAAGAAATAAGTGACACAGTACTGGATTTCAAAGAGCTTGCAGTCTATTTTGGGAGATGACCTACTCCACACATACAGTGGCTTAAGGACACTAATAGTAGATGAAGATAGAGAAGACAAATCAGAGGTAATTCAGAGAACTTTAATGATCAGAATTGACATGTTAATCAGAGAAGGCTTTCTAGAGAAGGCTTCCCCACCCCTAGTGATTTTCTCTTCATTACATTTGCTATAGTGCTGCCAAAATGATCTGCCAAAAACACAAAGCCAATTATGTCTCTCCCCTTCATAAAACTTTTCAGTAGCTCCCTATTAGAAAATGGGTTCAAGCTCCACAGAATGGCCCACAAAACCCTTCCTTACCTAGCCTCTCCCTTCATGTCTAACCTCACCTCCTGCTACTCTTCTGCAGATTCTACCCTTCAGAAATCATACTGAACTGCTTACAGTGTCCTGAATACAGTCACATGATCCCATTTTTCTTCTGCCTTGAATAATCTGCTGCCACCCTCTATCTGCCTGGTGAACTCCTACTTATTCATTTACTTATTTATTTTTTAGAGACAGGGTCTCCCTCTGCTATGCAGACTGAAGTGCAGTGGCGTGACCATAGCTCACTGCAGCTTCAAACTCCTGGGCTCAAGTGATCCTCCTGCCTCAGCCTTCTGAGTAGCAGGGACGATAGACACACACCACCACACCCAGCTAGTTTTATTTTATGTTTTGTAGAATTGAGGCTTTCCCTATATTGCCCAGGATGGTCTTGAATTCCTGGCTTCAAGTGATCCTCTGGGCTCAGCCTCCCAAAGAGCTGGGATTATAGACATGAACCAATGCACTCAGCCTTTTATTTAAGTAATTTATTTTTTGAGATGAGATCTCATTCTGTTGCCCAGGCTAGAGTGCAGTGGTGCTATCTTGGCTCACCACAGCCTTGACCACCCAGACTCAAGTGATCTTCCCACTTCAGCTCCTGAGTAGCTGAGCTCACAGGCACGCATGCCACAACTCCTGGCTAATTTTTAAATTTTTTATTATTTATTTATTTATTTTTTTGAGACAGCATCTCACTCTGTCACCTAGGCTGGAGTGCAGTGGCATGATCTGCTCACTGCAACCTCCGCCTGCCAGGCTCAAGTGATTCTCCTGCCTCAGCCTCCCGAGTAGCTGGGATTACAGGCACCTGCCACCACACCTGGCTAATTTTTGTATTTTTAGTAGAGTTGGCATTTCACCACTTTGGCCAGGCTAGTTTCGAACTCCTGACCTCAGGTGATCCGCCTGACTCAGTCTCCCAAAGTGCTGGGATTACAGGCATGAGCCATCATGTCCGGCCAATTTTTAAACATTTTTATTATAGAGACAGGGTCTTGCTGTGTTTTCCAGGCTGCTCTCGAACTCCTGGGCTCAAGAATCTCATAATTTATGGCCCATAGTAAGCACTCAATACAAATTTGTGTTAAATGAATATTAAATAAATATAATATTATATATATATATATATATATATATGTATGTGTATATGTATGTGTGTGTGCGTGTGTGTGTGTATTGAGAGGGGAGAGGGTCTCGTTCTGTTGCCCAGACTGGAGTACAGTGGCACAATTTTGGTTCACTGTAACCTTAAACTCCCAGGCTCAATCAATCCTCCCACCTCAGCCTCCTGAGTAGCTGGGACCACAGATGTTGCCAACACACCGAGCTAATTTTTGTATTTTTTTGTAGAGACGGGTTTCGCCATGTTGACCAGGCTAGTCTTGAACTCCTGGACTCAAGTGATCCTCCTGTCTCAGCCTCTCAAAGTGCTGGGTTTATTACAGGTGTGAGCCATCCCGTCCGGCCTAAATATATTTTTAAGACTTTTTATTTTGAAACATTTTGACTATACAAAATTAGAGAGAATAATATAATAAACTCCCAGTACTCATTTCCCAGTTTCAACAATTATCAATCTTATTTCAACTCTATCTCCATTTACTCCCAAGTCCTCTCCCCAACCCACCCCCACAGTGATTATTTTGAAGTAAATCAAATGGGATGCTTTTTTTAACATGGAATTTTTTTTTAAAAAGAATATAACTTAGCAGAACTGTATAATGAAAATCCAGACTTGAAGTGGGGAGAAGTTAATAGAAGGGATGATTCCAAATATTATAGTTTATGACATGTTTTAATATTAGGCCAGGTGTGGTGGCTCACACCTGTAATCCCAGCACTTTGGGAGGCCAAGGCGGGCAGATCATGAGGTCAGGAGTTCGAGACCAGCCTGGCCAGCATAGTGAAACCCCGTCTCTACTAAAAACACAAAAATTAGCTGGGGCATAGTGGTGCATGCCTTTAGTCCCAGCTACTCAGGAGGCTGAGGCAGGAGAAATGCTTGAACATGGGAGGTGGAAGTTGCGGTGAGCCGAGATCGCACCACTGCACTCCAGCCTGGACAAAAGAGTGAGACTGTCTCAAAAAACAAAACAAAACAAAAGAAAACATATGTTTTAATATTTTGAAAAAGAAACATTAAAAATATATACTTCAATACTCATTTTTACAAAATCTTTTGTCCACATTTCAGTTCCTTCAGGGCAGCTCCCTGTAGGTCAATTGTAGTGTTAAAAAACTTGCTAGAGAAAAACTTATTTTTACTTACCAAAGCCAAAAAGACTACGAGCCTTGCCAGTTCAATGGTGCGTCCATTCACAGCTTTACTAGCCATGAAACTGAAACAGATGTTGTTTCCACTTAGCATTAGGAGACGTGCATTATTCTCTAGAAGCCACTCACGGGGAACCACTTTTATTAGAGGAAGAACAATTATTTAATGAGAAATCACACAACAGCTATAGTAAATACCATTAAGTACATGCAATATTTTATCTTTATTGGAAATACAATTAGTGCCAAGGGAAATGCTCAGAAAAAAATGCTCTAGTTTTCCAATTATGGCATTCAGTCAGAGACAGGTTATTGCCATGTCATGGAGGCTCTTACAAATGTACTAATAATATAAACAAAGCAATTCTCCTACACATAGGTCAGCAGGCAAAGTGTTCTAATCCTGTGCAAGGAAAGCATCCTTGTAAACTTTAGAATCTAAAGGATTATGCAGGAATAGGAATAATTGTTTCACCTTTCCTTTACTCACAGAAGAGGGCTTTTTACAGAACCTAGGAGGGTGTTTCTGAGAATTTACAACATGGGAGTAATTGAGCTAATTAAATGAAGAAGCTTTCAAATAATAATAATAATAAATGTTTATTTATAAAATTGGCAAGCAAAGGAAAGTAAGTTGATTATATGCATTCTCTTCAAACATAATGCCAAACTCTTTAAATATTTTAGAGCATTCAGTGATTTCCAACAGGCACATCATTTGTTACCTGTAGAATTATCCTTATAATTTTATAACTGCATTTTAACAATAAATTTCTATTATTCTATGTTAGTAAATATATTTTTTACCTGATAGTTCATCTACAAGACTGATAACATCATCTGCTGTCCACTCTTTAGTGCTAGCGTCATATAGTAACTTAATGGCATCAGCCAAACCTTTCAGACTGAATTCATCTGTAGGTTCTTCTATCATTTCCTGCCAAACCACCTGTCCTGAATTGAAACAAAAACGAGGCTATGACAGAATAGTTGGCTTTGTGATAAAGACTTGTTTAAAAAGGAAAGTGAATTGCACAATGGAATCCCATTACTTATACAAGCTACTTTCATTTTAACTTTTGAAACAAGAAGTCAATTCTGGTAATAGTATAGATTTGAACGTCTCTGGCCGGGCGTGGTGGCTCATGCCTGTAATCCCAGCACTTTAGGAGGCCGAGGTAGGAGGATCACTTGAGGTACGGAGTTCGAGACCAGCCTGTGAAACCCTGTCTCTACTAAAAATATAAAAATTAGCCAGGCATGGTGGTGCACGCCTGTAGTCCCAGCTACTCAGGAGGCTGAGGCACGAGAATCGCTTGAACCTGGGAGGCGGAGGTTGCAGTGAGTGGAGATTGGGCCACTGAACTCCAGCCTGGGCAACACAGCGAGACTCTGTCTCAAAAAAAACATGTGTGTGTGTGTGTGTGTGTGTGTGTGTGTGTGTGTGTGTGTATGCTTCTTGGCCAGGCACAGTAGCTCATGTATGTAATTCTAGCACTTGGGGAGGCCAAGGTGGGAGGATCACTTGAGCCCAAGAGGTTGAGAGCAACCTGGGTACCAAAGTGGGACCCTGCAGGAGATCGAGACCATCCTGGATAACACGGTGAAACCCCGTCTTTACTAAAAATACAAAAAACTGGCCAGGCGCGGTGGCTCACATCTGTAATCCCAGCACTTTGGAAGGCCGAGGTGGGAAGATCACAAGGTCAGGAGATCGAGACCATTCTGGCTAACACGGTGAAACCCCATCTCTACTAAAAATACAAAAAATTAGCCAGGCATGGTGGCAGGCGCCTGTAATCCCAGCTACTCGGGTGGCTGAGGCAGGAGAATGGTGTGAACCCGGGAATTGGAGCTCGCAGTGAGCCGAGATTGCGCCACTGCACTCCAGCCTGGGTGACAGAGCAGACTCCGTCTCAAAAAAAAAAAAAAAAAAAAATTAGCTGGTTGTGGTTGCACGCACCTGCAGTCCCAGCTACTTGGGAGGCTGAGGCAGGAGAATCGCTTGAACCCGGGAGGTGGAGGTTGCAGTGAGCCATGATCGCACCACTGTGTGCGTGCATGCATGTGTGTGTGTGTGTGTGTGTGTATAATATATGCTTCCTAAATATATATATGCTTCCTAAAGTAAAAATAATGAACCAGTTATGTTACAACCCTGAAAGATGGGTGCTCACCATCTTGAGGAGATATTGGCCCAAAGATGATATACAGTAATCTTGCCTGATTCACCATTGGCCATGGTTTTAATATTCGCGTCAACCAAAAAGCAGAATCACTTCGATGTGTCCAATGATCAAGGAGGACATTCCTACAGAAGAGTCTGATTCTTAACTCCAGTTTTTGGGCACTTCCTATGAAGACAAAAGAATTGTAAATCATTCTTCGTAGAAAGGCTGCTGTGCATATTGAATAGTGATCAAAGCAACTTATTAATCATTATGGTTAGTGATAGTAAACTAGGTTTCTAAACAGGAAGTAACCAAGAGATTATCTATTCTTAAACTCCCCTAACTTCATAATTTGTCTATCTACTTACTTACTTTTACCTTCCTGATTTATAGTCAATATTTTGAATAATGGGTCAATCAATCAAAAGACATGCTTAAGCTTACCAGACTCTTGTACAATTTTGGATTTAAAAAGAAATAAATGCAGAGAAAGGTCAAAGACATATATCATTAATATACTTTGTACTGAAAGTGTCACTTCATTTTCCTCTATGAAAGTTTTATGGCAGGTGTGGTGACTCTTGCCTGTAATGCCAGCACGTTGTGAAGCCGAGGTGGGAGGATCACTTGAGGTCAGGAGTTCAAGACCAGCCTGGCCAATATGGCGAAACCCTGTCTCTACTAAAAATACAAAAAAAATTGGCCGGGTGCCGTGGCTCACACCTGTAATCCCAGCACTTTGGGAGGCTGAGGCGGGCAGATCACGAGGTCAGGAGATCGAGACCAACCTGGCTAACACGGTGAAACCCTGTCTCTACTAAATATACAAAAAATAAGCCGGGAGTGATGGCGGGCGCCTGTAGTCCCAGCTACTTGGGAGACTGAGGCAGGAGAATGGCGTTAACCCGGGAGGTGGAGCTTGTAGTGAGCCAAGATCGTGCCACTGCACTCCAGCCTGGGTGACAGAGCGAGACTCTGGCTCAAAAAAAAAAAAAATATATATATATATATAAATATATAAATATATATACAAATATATAAATATATATAAATACATAAATATAAAAATATAAAAATATATATAAATATATATAAAATATATAAATACATAAATATATATTTATATATAAATACATAAATATATATTTATATATAAATACATAAATAAATATATATACATATATAAATATATAAATACATAAAAATATATAAATATATAAAAATATATATAAATATATAAAAATATATATAAATATATACAAAAATATATATAAATATATACAAATATATATAAATATAAAAATATGTATAAATATATATAAAAATATATATAAATATATAAAAATATATATAAATATATAAATATATATAAATATATAAATATATATAAATA
The DNA here is from genome assembly GCF_000001405.40 of Homo sapiens. NCBI lineage: Eukaryota > Metazoa > Chordata > Mammalia > Primates > Hominidae > Homo > Homo sapiens. The sequence goes on from NC_000017.11 coordinate 38,946,347, forward strand.
TATAAATATATATAAATATATAGATATATATATAAATATATATATCTATATATAAATATATAGATATATATATAACTATATAAATATATATGAATATATATAACTATATAAATATATATGAATATATATAACTATATAAATATATATGAATATATATAACTATATAAATATATATGAATATATATAACTATATAAATATATATGAATATATATAACTATATAAATATATATGAATATATAACTATATAAATATATGAATATATATAACTATATAAATATATATGAATATATAAATATATATAAATATATATGAATATATAAATATATATAAATATATATGAATATATAAATATATATAAATATATATGAATATATAAATATATATAAATATATATAAATATACAAATATATATAAACATATAAAAATATATATAAACATATAAATATATATAGATATATAAACATATATAAATATATAAATATATAAATATATATAAACATATAAAAATATATATAAATATATAAACATATATATAAATATATATATAAACATATATAAATATATATAAACATATATAAACATATAAATATATATAAACATATATAAATATATAAACATATATAAATATATGTAAATATATATAAACATATACAAATATATGTAAATATATATAAACATATACAAATATATGTAAATATATAAAAACATATATAAATATATATAAACATATATAAACATATATATAAACATATATATAAACATATATATATAAACATATATATAAATATATATATATATAGTAGCCAGGCAGCGGCAGTGGCACGTGCCTTTGATCCCAGCTACTCAGGAGGCTGAGACAGGAGAATCACTTGAACCCTGGAGATGGAGGTGGCAGCGAGCTGAGATCTCACAACTGCACTCCAGCCTGGGTGACAGAGCTAGACTTTGTCTAAACAACAACAAAAAAAGAAAATGTTATGTTGCTGTTGTTGATAGACATGGGGTCTTGCTCTGTCACCCAAGCTGGAGTGCAGTGGCATGACTGATCATAGCTCACTACAACCTTGAACTCCTGAGCTCAAGCAATCCTCCCACCTCAGCCTCCCTAGTAGCTGGGACCACAGGCTAATTTTATTTTTTGTAGCGACAGAGGTCTCACTATATTGCTCAGGCTGGTTTTGAACTCCTGGCCTCAGATGATCTTCCCACCTTAGCCTCCCAAAGTGTTGAGATTACAAAGCATGAGTTACCACACTCGGATATAAAAATTTTAGATTAACGGCCAGGCGTGGTGGCTCATGCCTGTAATCCCAGCACTTTGGGAGGTTGAGGCGGGTGGATCATGAGGTCAGGAGATTGAGACCATCCTGGCTAACATGGTGAAATCCCGTCTTTACTAAAAATACAAAAAAATTAGCCGGGTGTGGTGGCGGGCACCTGTAGTCCCAGCTACTTGGGAGGCTGAGGCAGAAGAATGGGTGTGAACCCGGGAGGCAGAGCTTGCAGTGAGCTGAGATCATACCACTGCACTCTAGCCTGGGCGACAGAGCCAGAATCTGTCTCCAAAAAAAGGAAAAATAAAAAATTAGATTAACATAGGACTACTTTTTCAAAAGCTTTACTGAGATATAAATCACATACCATACCATTTACCCATTTAAAGTGTACAATTCAGTGGTTTTTAGTATATTCACAGATATGTGCAGCCATCACCACAGCCAATTTTAGAACATTTTCATCACTTCAAAAAGACATCCTGTTCTTTTTGCTATCATCCTGTTATCTCTCTGTCCTTTACCACCCCTAGCCCTATGCAACCAATACTCTACTTTCCATCTCCATGGATTTCCCTATTCTGGATTTTTTTTTTTTTTTTTTTTTTTTGAGACAGAGTCTTGCTCGTCACCCAGGCGGGAGTGCAGTGGTGTGATCTCGGCTCATTGCAACCTCTGTCTCCCGAGTTCAAGCGATGCTCCTGTCTCAGCCTCCCGAGTAGCTGGGATCACAGGTGCTCCTCACCACGCCTGGCTGATTATTTTGTATTTTTAGTAGACATGGGGTTTTGCCATGTTGACCAGGCTGGTCTCAAACTCTTGACCTCAGGTGATCCACCTGCCTTGGCCTCCCAAAGTGCTGGGATTACAGGTGTGAGCCACCACGCCCCGCCCCTATTCTGGATTTTTATACGAATGAAATCATATAGTATGTGGCATTTTGTGACTGGCTTATTTCAGCTAATACAATGTTTTCAAGGTTCATCCATGTTGTAGCATATATCAGCACTTCATTCTTTTTTTTTCCTTCAACTTTTAAGTTCAGAGGTACATGTGCAAGATGTGCAGGTTACACAGGTAAACGTGTACCATGATAGTTTGCTGCACAGATCATCCCATCACCTAGATATTTATTTATTTATTTTTATTATACTTTAAGTTCTGGGATACATGGGCAGAACGTGCAGGTTTGTTACATAGGTATACATGTGCCATGGTGGTTTGCTGCATCTATCAACCCACCATCTACATTAGGTATTTCTCCTAATATTATCCCTTCCCTTGCCCCCATGCCCCCATCACCTAGATATTAAGCCCAGCATCCATTAGCTATTCTTCCTGATGCTCTCCTTCCCCCAACCCCCACAGCACTTCATTCTTTTTAATGGCCAAATAATATTCTATGGTATGGATGTAATACTACATTTTGTTTATCTATTGACCCATTGATGGACATCTGAGTTGTTTCCATCTTTTGGCTACTATGAATAATGCTGCTATTAACATTCATGTAGGCCAGGCATGGTGGCTCATGCCTGTAATTCCAGCACTTTGGGAGGCTGAGACAGGCAGATCACTTGAGCCCAGGAGTTTGAGACCAGGCTGGACAACATGGTGAAACCCCATCACTATAAAAAATACCAGAAAAATTAGCTGGGCATAGTGGTATGTGCCTGTAGTCCCAGCTACTCGGGAGGCTGAGGTTGGAGGATTGCTTGAGCCCAGGAAGTGGAGGTTGCAGTGAGCTGAGACCATACCTCTGCACTTCAGCCTGGGTGATAGAGCCAGACCCTGTCTCAAAACAAAACAAAACAAAACAAAACAAAACAACAATAACAACAACAACAACAACAAAACCATTCATGCACAAGTTTCTGTGTGGTCATGTTTTCATTTCTCCTGGGGCTATATACCTAGAAGTGAAATTGATGGATCATATAACTCTATGTTTAATCATTTGAGAAACTGTCAGACTATTTTGCAAACTGACTGCACCATTTTACTTTCCCGCCAGCAATATATGAGGATTGTTGTCACATTCTCACTAACACTTATTATTTAAATCGAACTTTCTGATTCTAGCCATCCTAATGGAATGTGAAATGGTATATTACTATTTCTTTGCTTTTCTGAGACAGTGTCTCACTCCATTGCCCATGCTAGAATACTGTAGAGCAGTCATGGCTCACTGCAGCCTCAACCTTCAGGGGCTCAAGTGATCCACTTCAGCCTCCTGAGTAGCTGGGATTACAGGTGTGAGCCACCTTGCCCAGTCTATCACTGTTTTCTTATGACAGCTTTATTGAAATATAATTTATATGCCATACAATTCAACCATTTAAAGTGTGCAATTCAATGGTTTATAGTATATTATTAAATTTCTTATATTGTGATAAAATATAGATCACATAAAATTTGCCATTCTAACCATTTTTAAGTACGCAATTCAGTGGCATCATTTATATTTACACTGTTGTTCAACCACCACACTATTTCCGAAAGTTTTTCATCATCTCAAACACAAACTCTGTAACCATTAAGCAGTAACTCCCCACTCCCCCCTCCCCTCAGCTCCTGGTAACCTCAAATCTACTTTCTGTCTCTATGAATTTGCCCGTTCTAGGTATCTCATGTAAGTAGAATCATGTAATATTTGTCCCTGTGTTCCTGGCTTCTCTCACTTAGCATAATGTTTTCAAGGTTCATCCATGTTGCAGCATATACCATATTTTGTTTATCCATTCACCTGGTCTTTTTTGTTTGTTTTGTTTTTTTTTCTAAGATGGAGGGCCTCCTCTGTCACCCAGGCTGGAGTGCAGTGACTGGATCATGCCCGCCTAATTTTTTTTTTTTTTTTTTTGGAGATCGGGATCTTGCTATGTCGCCCAGGCTGGTCTCTAACTCCTAGGCTCAAGTAATCCTCCCACTTCGGCCTCCTAAAGTGCTGAGATTACAAGCATGAGCCACTGCCCTCTGCCTGCAATGACCATTCATATGCATGTCTCCTTGTGCATATTGTGGGAGTTTCTCAGAGGGAAACAGCTCGATATAAGGTTCTATAATTTAAAAATATGAAATATTTCTGGTATATAGAGAGGTTTACAGGATGCTATAATGAGCTCCTTTGTATCTACCAGCTGGCTTAAGGAATAAAATATCATCAATACAGTTGAAGCCCTCTTTCTCCAATCTCATATTGCTTTTTGCCCCACTGTCTTATTCGATATTTATCATTCCCTTACATTTCTTTGTCCTTTTACTGTAGATGTGTGCCACAATTTATTTTATTTTTATTTCTTTTGAAAAGGGGTCTCTGTTGCCTAGGCTGGAGTGCAGTTACTTGATCTTGGCTCACTACAGCCTCAGTCTAGTGGGCTCAAGCTATCCTCCCACCTCAGCCTCCTGAGCAGCTGAAACTACAGGTACATGCTATCATGGCTGGCTAATTTTTTGTAGAGACATGGTCTGTTACATTGCCCAGGCTGGTCTTGAACTCCTGGCCTCAAGGATCTTTCTGCCTTGGCTTCCCAAAGTGTTGGGATTGCAGCTGTGAGCCACGGCACCTGGCCCACTATTTATTTTTTTATTTATCGAGACAGGGTCACACTCTGTTGCTCAGGTTGAGTGTGGTGGTGCGATCACAGCTCTCTGCAGCCTCTACCTCCCAGGGTCAAGTGATCCTTTCACCTCAGCCTCCTGAGTAGCTGGGACCACAGGCACACACCACCATGCCTGGATAATTTTTTATTTTTTGTAGAGACAAGGTCTCGCTATGTTGCCTAGGCTGCTCTTGAACTTCTGGACTCAAGTGATCCTCCCACCTTGGCTTCCCAAAGTGCTGGGATTTTAGGCATGAGCCACTACACCTGGCCCAAATTACTTTTAATTACATTTTTAAAACTCTGTTTATTTTTTCTATTTTAATCTCTGTATATTATATGCAAATTATAGTTTTTTACCTGGTTTGCTGCAGACAGCCATTTGTATCTTGCGGCAGAGATTAGTCAGTTCGCATAAGAAATTATAAACGCGATGGCACTCAAGTTCATCCCAACCTGCTGTTAAGGTCTGAGGAAAATAAAGAAAACATTGTGGATATTCAGACTATCAAGTCAAAACATAAGTCACACCAGGCATGGTGGCTCACGCCTGTAATCCCAACACTTTGGGAGGCCAAGGTGGGTGGATCACCTGCAGTCAGGAGTTTGAGACCAGCCTGGACAACATAGTAAAACCTTGTCTCTACTAAAAGTACAAAATTAGCCAGGTGTGGTGGCGGGCACCTGTAATCCCAGCTACTCGAGAGGCTGAGTCAGAATTGCTTGAACCTGGGAGGTGGAGGTTGCAGTGAGATGAGATCATGCCATTGCACTCCAGCCTGGGCGACAAGAGCAAAGCTCTGTCACAAAAAACAAACAAAACAGGCCGGGTGCGGTGGCTCACACCTGTAATCTCAGTACTTTGGGAGGCCAACGTGTGCAGATCACGAGGTCAGGAGATTGAGACCATCCTGGCTAACACGGTGAAACCCCATCCCTACTAAAAATACAAAAAATTAGCTGGGCTCGGTGGCACGCACATGTAGTCCCAGCTACTTGAGAGGCTGACAGGAGAATCACTTGATCCCTGAGTAGAGGCTGCGGTGAGCCAAGATTGCGCCACTGCACTCCAACCTGGGCAACAGACAGAAACTCTGTCTCAAAAACAAAACAAAACAAAAACAACACAAGTCACTACTGCCTTATGAGTGTAACTGTTTTTAGCATATGATCAAGGTGATGTGCAATTTTTACCCATTATGGAACAATCAAATTAATAACAAATTTACATAAACAAAACTTGGGAAGCTCCAAAATCCAGTTTCTTTTTGGTTGGAAAGGAAGTATCTTTTCAGAGAACTTTTTTTTTTTTTGAGATTCAATCTCACTATGTTGCCCAGGCTGGAATGCAACGGAGATAACTTTTTTATTTGTTTGTTTGAGAAGGTTTAAATGGTACTGAATCCTGAACTTCGACAATGTGAGGCAAGTAACTAAAACCCTGAACACAGTTTAGATATTTCACTTACAACCATGCTGTGGCTTTAAGACTAGAGTAGAACCCCTTTGACCTCCCCTAGTTGTCATTTATGATATTGCTTATAAATGAGAATGATCCAATTTCAATGTGACAATTCTGAGCATTTATTTATGACTTTTTTTTTTTTTTTTTTTGTAGAGATGGGGTTTTGTCATGTTGGCCAGACTAGTCTTGAACTCCTGACCTCAGGTGATCGGCCTGCATCAGCCTCCCAAAGTGCTGGAATTACAGGTGTGAGCAACTACGCCTGGCTATTTATGACTTTTGAATGTGAACAAACAAAACACTTTCATTGGCTGGGCACAGCAGCTCATGCCTGTAATCCTAGCACTTTGGGAGGCCGAGGCAAATGGATCACTTGAGGTCAGGAGTTTGAAACCAGCCTGGCCAACATGGTGAAACCCTGTCTCTACTAAAAAAAAAACCACACACACACACACACACACACACACACACACACACACACAAAATAGCTAGGTGTGGTGGCAGGCCCCTGTAATCCTAGCTACTTGGGAGGCTGAGGCAGAAGAATCACTTGAACCCGGGAGGCCGAGGTTGCAGTGAGCTGAAATCACGCGACTGTACTCCAGCCTGGGTGACAGAGCAAGACTCCGTCTCAAAAAAAGAAAAAAAAATTAATCTGGCCAGTCGTGGTGGCTAATGTCTGTAATCCCAGCACTTTGGGAGGCTGAGGTGGGCAGATCACCTGAGGTCAGGAGTTTGAGACCAGCCTGACCAACATGGCGAAACCTCGTCTCTACTAAAAATACAAAAATTAGCTGGGTGTGGTAGCGCATACCTGTAATCCCACCTACTTGGGAGGCTGAGGCAGGAGAATTGCTTGAACCTGGGAGGTGGAGGCTGCAGTGAGCCGAGAGTGTGCCACTGCACTCCAGCCTGGGCGACAGAGTGAGACTCTGCCTCAAAAATAAATAAATTAATTAATTAATAAAAACTAATCTTATTCCCTGTGGAAGGACATACAAGAAACTGAAAACTGATTATTTCTGGTGAAGGAAACTCAGTGGACAAGGAGAGAGACTAACTTTTTACTTTATACATTTTCTACCCTTGGAATTGTACAAGAATACATACATAGGTATTACATGTCCCAAAGAAAGAAAGAAATAAGTAAAAAACAAAATTAAATAAGAAAAATCTGTCTTGGAAGAAGACTAGTAGGAGGGCTTAGACCCCTGGAATCTGGGTGAGTAGGAGTTGGTGGCTGGTAGGCTGAGCACAGCAAGATTCTTACGGGTGCAGTGCCTGCCTCACAAGGTTGTTGTAAATTTAAATTAGTTAATACATGTTGTCGGGTGTGGTTGCTCACGCCTGTAATCTCAGCACTTTGGGAGGCCGAGGTGGGTGGATTGCTTGAGGTCAGGAGTTCGAGACCAGCCTGACCAACATGGTGAAACCCTGTCTCTACTAAAAATACAAACAAATAATTAGCCAGGCGTGGTGGCGGGCACCTGTTATCCCAGCTACTCAGGAGGCTGAGGCAGGAGAATCGCTTGAACTTAGGAGGTGGAGGTTGCAGTGAGCCGAGATCATGCCATTGCACTCCAGCCTGGGTGACAGAGTAAGACTCCGTCTCAAAAAATAAATAAATAAATAAATAAATAAAAATAAATTAGTCAATACATGTAAACTGCTTAGAACAGTGTTTGGCACACACTAAGATGAATAAACGCTAGTTATTATCTTCTTTGTTTACAATAAAAGATTAGTCAAAATGTTCTTGAAATAATACATCTGATTACTAATATCACACCTTAAATAACCAGCCCAAGACTAAACTCATTATATAGATACAGATACACGCATGCACACACACCACCTCATAATATTTCTAATCTTTACAACTAGTAGAAACTTTGAGGACACCAATTCTTCAGGAGGAGTAACCTTCATTCAGCATATAGAATGGTTTGGGGGATAAATAAATGTCAAACATTTTTTACCACTGAGAAACTCAAAACAAAAATCTGAGATAGCAAACACTATTAGATTAATACATTCTCAAATCTTTATTTTATTTTGCTCTTTTTAAGATTATTATAACTTTATTAACCTATGAAAAGAGAGATTGGATATTCTATTTGTTATCAGTTCCAAAGGTATCCCTTTTCTTCTCTGATTAAAAAAAATGTACCTGTAAAAACATGCCATAACATGTTAATCCTAAACACTGCATAGGAGCTGCACAGCCATTGAATTTAAAGCAGGAAACCTGTAAAGAAAACAATGTTAATACCTCCTTGTCAGTGAAACTATAGTTTGACAATGGTGGAACAATGGTTTGACATTCAAATTTAATGGAAATAAGCAAGAATTTTTTCAGCACCTATTCTGATCAACATTGGTTACATAGGTGGGGATTATAAAAGTAGTATAAAAGTCTCGGCTGCGCGCGGTGGCTCATGCCTGTAATCCCAGCACTTTGGGAGGCCGAGGTGGGCAGATCACGAGGTCAGGAGATCGAGACCATCCTGGCTAACATGGTGAAGCTCCGTCTCTGCTAAAAATACACAAAAATTAGCCGGGTGTGGTGGTGGGCACCTGTAGTCCCAGCTACTCAGGAGGCTGAGGCAGGAGAATGGCATGAACCCAGGAGGCGGAGCTGGCAGTGAGTCGAGACCGTGCCATGGCACTCCAGCCTGGGTGACAGAGCAAGATTCCATCTCAAAAAAAAAAAAAAAGTCTCTACTCTCAAGGAGTTCACAATTTATTTAATAATAATATTTTATTTTTATTTTTTATGATGGAGTCTTGCTCTGTCACCCAGGCTGGAGTGCAGTGGCATGACTTTGGCTCACTGAAGCCTCTGCCTCCTGGGTTCAAGTGATTCTCATGCCTTAGCCTCCCAAGTAGCTGGAATTACAGACACCACCAGGCCTGGCTAATTTTTGTACTTTTAGTAGAGACGGGGTTTCACCATGTTTTATAACTTCTTGTATAAAACCTTTTGCCGGTTTAGTAGAGACGGGGTTTCACGCCTGTAATCCCAGCACTTTGGGAGGCCGAGGTGGGAGGATCACGAGGTCAGGAGTTCGAGATCAGCCTGACCAACATGGTGAAACCCTGTCTCTACTAAGAATACAAAAATTTGCTGGGCGTGGTGGCGCACGCCTGTAATCCTAGCTACTTGGAAGGCTGAGGCAGGAGAATTGCTTGAATCTGGGAGGCGGAGGTTACAGCGAGCTGAGATCGTGCCACTGCACTCCAGCCTAGGCGGCAGAGCGAGACTCCATCTCCAAAAAAAAAAAAAAAAAAAAAAAAAAAATTAGCCGAGTGTGGTGGCACACGCCTGTAATCCCACCTACTCAGGAGGCTGAGGCAGGAGAATGGCGTGAACCTGGGAGGTGGAGCTTGCAGTGAGCCGAGATCGCACCACTGCACTCCAGCCTGGAGGACAGAGTGAGACTCCATCTCAAAAAAAAAAAAAAGTTTTATTTATGAATGTCATGCTTTAGGAAGAGTAATCTTGATTCAGCATACAGAGCGGTTTGGGGAGTAATGAATTGGATGACAGAAAGGTCATCTGGGAAGCTGCTATAATAATATAGACCAGAACTCAATGCAAATGCTGACATGAAAAAATTGGCTGGGCAAGGTGGCTCATACCTGTAATCCCAGCACTTTGGGAGGCCAAGGTGGGCAGATCACCTGAGGTCAGGAGTTCGAGACCAGACTGTTCAACAGGGCAAAACCTCATCTCTACTAAAAGTACAAAACTTAGCCAGGTGTGGTGGTGGGTGCCTGTAATCCCAGCTACTCAGGAGGCTGAGACAGGAGAATAGCTTGAACCCAGGAGGTGGAGGTTGCAGTGAGCCAAGATCATGCTGCTGCACTCCAGCCTGGGTGACAAGAGCGAGACTCTGTCTCAACAAAAAAAAAAAAAAAAGAAAAAGTCAGTGTATCAGAAACAGCAGATACCACTGAGTGTAGAACTGAACCATCAAGAGTTGGACATATGCTTGGATTTGTATATAAAATTGAGTCTTATAAAGAGACTATGCCCAAACATATTAATACACATTTCCAAGTCTATTATCATAAAATGTTTGTCATTTTATATATTAAAATACTTTCCCATGTTTCTATACATTTAAACAATAAAATTTCAAAATTCAGAAATTATTTCACTTTAATACAATATCTACATCACTACTTTAAAACTTCCTCAGGATTTGTATGTGGTGTAAAATATACTTTATACTCTGACAAACCTAATAAACTTGAATGATGTGCTTAGTTATATATGAAAATTGTTTTATAAACAAGTGAAAGATTACTACATTTTGACATTATATAATCTCGAAGTACTTGGTAAAGTATTAGATTATAATAAATCAATTTTTTAGTGCTAATTCATGAAATTCTACTAATATAGAGTAAAATGAGCATAAGATAATAATAAAATATCTTTACTGGAAATCAAGATTGTAAACTAATTTAGAAGTATGATCTTACTTCTGTGAGTATCTTGTGAATGTATTTTAGCCTTTCCTTGGTGGGTAGCAGCAATGTGCATCTTTTAAACAGTAGACCTAAGAAAGTAAAGAGACATAAGAAAAAATGACAACAATACAATTAAGAACATCAATAGAGCACAGAATAATGTTTCCTGAAAGTCAAGTATGGTATATCACAGTGGACTATGAGTTGATATGATTTCTAAGAGAAAGTTTGGGAGGAAGGGTGCAAAACACTTTCCATTTATGGTATTTACCAAGTGACTCTGATGCTCATCTAAGAGGCCTTGGCATAAAATCTTGCAAAAAATTGTTAAATTGCTACTATAGGACACATGGAAAAATACATAGAGTATAAAAGATACAATAAGACAAAGACACACTAGAGAAATTTTATTTTGTCTTTATTCCACAGAAAACAGATTTCAATATCTCTTGAAATTAACCTCATGTCCACAAAGGAATATGTTTTAAGAGTTGTTAATCTAAAACATGGAAAGAATGAGAAAACTGATTTTTCTTTTTTTTTTTTTTTTTTGAGACAAGGTCTTACTCTGTCGCCCAGGCTGAAGTGCAGTGGCATGCCATCATGGCTCACTGCAGTCTCGACCTTGTGGGCTCCAGTGATCCTCGTGTGTGCCACCAAGCCCAGCTAATTTTATTTTATTTTTCTTGATACAGAGTCTCGTTCTGTTGCCAGGATGAAGTGCAGTGGCGTGATCTCCGCTCACTGCAACCTCCACCTCCCAGGTTCAAGTGATTCTCCTGCCTCAGCCTCCCGAGTAGCTGGGACTACAAGTGCACACCACCACGCCCAGCTAATTTATGTATTTTTAGTGACGAGGTTTCACCATGTTGGCCAGGATGGTCTCGATCTCTTGACCTCATGATCCGCCTGCCTCGGCCTCCCAAAGTTCTGGGATTACAGGTGTGAACCACCATGCCCGGCCCAAGCCCAGCCAATTTTTAAAAAACATTTTTTTTGTAGAGACAGGGTCTTGCTTTGTTGCCCAGGCTGGTCTCGAATTCCTGGGCTCAAGTAATCCTTCCACCTTGACCTCCCAAAGCACTGGGAATAAATTGCGTTGGGCCGAGAAAACAGGTTGTGTATCCCTCTCTCCAAATACAAAAATTTAAGTCATAAGTACTTAAAATTTCAGAAGCTAGATTTTTTTTTTCCCCACAGAAAGTATCCAGTTAGGATGAAATATCCATCTCTTCCTTCTAAGATATCCTTTTATGGGACTTGCATGTTAAGAATGTATAAGATTTTGTGTACAGATACTTTAAAAAGAAAAAAAAAAAAACTCCTCAATTTCTCAGTGAGATGTGTAACTTGAGCTACAGTGACAGGAAGTGTATGATTTGTTTCCTCTAACTTTAAACGTTCTATTTTCCTAAAATGGCCATACATTGTTAACATTCCTATGAGGGCAAATGTCCTCAAACTAAAAATAAGATATATGGTAGGAAAATACATACCTGAACCTTATGACTTTTTTCAGCTTTCATCTTCTATTTACTTTTTTACATATTATAATTACTTTATATAATTCTGAAGAATCTACAGGAGTCTAACTTATTTTTAGAAGTTGCTATGTTTGAGTAACACATGAACAGAATTGTTTTAAACAAAAACCCTCTTTATTTTTGTATATAAAAAGACATTTTTCATACTTGACAACTAAGGGAAAAAAAAGACATTTTTCAGTGTTTGGTTTTTAAGCTGAGTTCTTTCCCTTCATACATTGGTATCCAGTTTCACAGCATATAATAACTAAGGAATTCCAGGCATTAATTCTTAGAATTCTACTCCTGGGCACAATTGATCCTCCTGCCTCAGCCTCCTGAGTATCTGGGACTACAGGCATGTGTGACTGCATCCAGCCTTATTTTGGTATGCTGACTGCCTAATATAAAACTCCTATTTTTAAGGATTACAACTTACCATAAAACCCAATACTGGCTGTTTAAAAAAAAAAAACAACCACAGGTGCTCTGCTATACCCTTTAGAGACTAACTTTTTTAAAGTTCTTCCCTAAATAGAGTCAGATGTAATGTTCTTTCCACATTGGCCATCTGCTCTGTTTTATGTGAAGAAACAAATTAAAATTTATAATTGGCCGAGTACGGTGGCTCACTCCTGTAATCCCAGCACTTTGAGAGGCTGAGGAGGGCAGATCACTTGAGGACAGGAGTTCGAGACCAGCCTGGCCAACATAGTGAAACCCTGTCTCTACTAATACAAAAATTAGTTAGACATGGTGGTGCATGCCTGTAATCCCAGTTACTGGAGATGCTGAGGCATGAGAATCGCTTGAACCCAGGAGGCAGAGGTTGCAGTGAGCCGAGGCTGTGCCATTGCACTCCAGTCTGGGCAACAGAGTGAGACTCTGCCTCAAAAAAAAAAAAAAAAAAAAAAAAGAAAATTATTCTTCAAAGCATTGTGTGTGTGTGTGTGTGTGTGTGTGTGTGTGTATGAATATGAGACAGGGTCTCACTCTGTTGCCAAGGCCGGAGTGCATTTTCACAATTGACTCACTTCAGCCTCAACCTCTGCGGCTCAAGTAACCCTCCCACCTCAGCATCCTGAGTAGCTGGGACAACAGGTTTTGTCCTCTAATTTGTTTCCTCTAACTTTAAACATTCTATTTTCCTAAAATGGCAATACACTGTTAACATTCCTATGAGGGCAAATGTCCTCAAACTAAAAATAAGATATATGGTAGGAAAATATATGCCTGAACCTCATGATTTTTTTCAGCTTTCAGCTGGGCCGCCATGCCCAGATAATTTTTTAATTTTTTGTATAAATGGGGATCTCCCTATGTTACCCAGGCTGGTCTTGAACTCCTGGGCTCAAGCGATCCTCCCACCTCAGCTTTCCAAAGTGCTGGGATTACAGGCATGAGCCACTGCGCCCGGCCCAAAGCACAGCATTCTGAAAATCTTATTTTAATGTCTGAAAATAAGGCTGGATGCAGTCACACATGCCTGTAGTTTCAGATACTCAGGAGGCTGAGGCAGGAGGATCGATTGTGCCCAGGAGTACGGGCCAGCCTGGGCAACACTGCAAGATCCCATCTCAAAAAAAAAAATAGTGAAAACAATAATAGATCAGGTAAGAATGACGATATGAGAAAATGGTAAGTATATCAAACATTTACTTAAAGAATTAGTCATAAACCAAGTGTTTGCATCAAAATTAAATAGAAAGTTGAAATCCTTACATGAATAAAACCATTTAAAAAAGCAATTAAGATCAATACATATTTGTACTTTTTACTGAATTATACATATAATTGTCTTAGTGTTTTTGTTAGTTTAAGCAATTGAGACTTGATCAGGGAGAAAAATTTCTTTCAGATCAAAACCAAAGTATAAGCTCCACTGTGTTACCCAGGTACCACTTCCTCTACAACTAACGATGAATTAAAAATAATTCTTTCTCTTTTTTTTTTTTTTTTTTTGAGATGGAGTTTCGCTTTGTCACCTAGGCTGGAGTGCAGTGGCGTGACCTCGGCTCACTGCAACCTCCATCTCCTGGGTTCAAGCAATTCTCCTGCCTCAGCCTCCTAAGTAGCTGAGAATACAGGCATGTGCCACCATGCCCGGCTAATTTTTGTATCTTTAGTAGAGACAGGGTTTCACCATGTTGGCCAGAGTAGTCTTGAACTCCTGACCTCAGGTGATCTGCCTGCCTCGGCCTCTCAAAGTGCTGAGATTACAGGTGTGAACCACCGCAGCCAGCCGAAAAATTATATTTATAATGAGAAGTAGGAAAAAGTAGTTTCCATATTCTGTTACAGGCTTTACTAAGCCTAATCATAAATACTGAAACCAACAACACTGTAATCAGATCAGATACTTTTCTTTCATTTGGTCTTATTAAATAAACAGGTAATCATCAAATACATTTTGATATATTTACATATCCACATATTCCTAATATCTTAAATCTAAGCATCCTTGGGCTACTAAAAGGCAGTATTCACTTAACTTACTGTTATGCCTTTATTTAAATCACACCATCTTGACATTTGGTTTTATTGCCATGCTTTGATGAATTATAAAGTGGTTTCATAATTAAATCGGTGTTATTAAGTCAAGTCAAAATTAGAATTTTACTTCAGCACTCTCTGGGACAATGAAATCAATGAATGGAGTAAAAGGCATAAATGATTACAAATTAAGGAAGAAAGATTATACAGAATTTGCTTTGATAAGGTCAGTTTAATTATAGCTTAGCCACTTAGTAAATGTACTTAAAAAACCGTAGTTTCTGCTGAGAGGATAAATAGTCTTCCATAATAATGTGTTTAAATTTCTATTTTAAAGGACTAGATTATGGTTGAAAGGGAAAAGAGATAAAGAGATAAAACTCACTTGATCCACAGGAAGTGACGCATAGAAAATACATCAATTTCCTAACCTGATAAGCCACTAGACATTAAGCATCGGTGACGTTATATCTATATGAAATCTCAAGAATTGACACTTTACATCAAAATGCATTTTCTCACCTTTAAAGATAACTGGTTAAGGGAGTGTTCTCACACTAAAGAGTAAAAACATCATAGAAACAGGCATATTTTGGAATATATTCCATTTCCTACTGGCCTTACAGAATTGTATACTAAGTTTCTCTTAATTAAGCACAGTTCTTTACTTGTTGCAATTCTCATTACATAAGTTACCTAGAGATCTGTAGTGCTCCAGTATAGCAGAGTCTTGTCTCCTGTCAGGCAGCTCAAGGTTATGAAAGTCCTGTAGTAAAAGTCTTTTGCTTCCTGATGAGGTTGAGATATAATTAATAATGTGTTGGCTGACTGTTTTGGACACCATGCTTAGCATGCTGATATCCTTCACTACCAAAAGAAATATATATGTGTATGTATCAATGGCTTAAATGCAAGAACGTCACTATTAACACAGTCTATTAACTTATAGGTTAACTCAATCGTCATCATTATCACCATCATCATCCCTTTGGGAAAAAAGGGAAAAACCTTAAAATTGTTTAAAATCTGGTTCTCAATGAATTAGAGACATGTTTGGATTTACCAATCAAGGTACTATATCATAATTACAGGCATGTTTTCAAGAGTTTAAGTACTGCTGTGTTCAAAGGAAGATTTAAAAAAATTAATTTAGGGCTAGGTGCAGTGACTCATGCCTGTAATCCCAGTACTTTGGGAGGCCAAGGCGGACAGATCACCTGAGGTCAGGAGTTCGAGACCAGACTGATCAACATGGACAAACTCCATTTCTACTAAAAATACAAAATTAGCCTGGCATGGTGGCGCATGCCAGCTACTCGGGAGGCTGAGGCAGGAGAATAGCTTGAACCCGGGAAGTGGAGGTTGCGGTGAGCCGAGATTACGCCACTGCACTTCAGCTTGGGCAACAAGAGCAAAACTCCATCTCAAAATAATAATAATAATAATAATAATAATAATAGTAATAATAATAATTATTTAAGTATTGTGCTTTCTCATTGTACTCCTTACCTGACAATAATGAAACTTTAGAAAATAAACACTTAAACACTTAACATGAATGTCATTAACATTTTAGCATGGCCCAAGATGACAAACTAGTTCTTGGGAAAAATTAAAATACTCTAGTGTCTTGTGTAGGCTATTCATAAGTTCCCAAACCTCACCTGACAAATATTTTAAAATTATCTGGAATATTTCCAATGGTAAGGCTTTAAAATTTCCAAATGTTGATATGGGTTGAAAGCCTGAGCCAAGGGTCTTGGAATAACAGCTGGTTTGACGATTACTACGTCTAAGTTTCTGGTTGGGAATCAAAGTGAAATTTGTATTTATTCTGGATGCCATTCTTCTTCTTGTCTCACAAATTTATCCTGGTCAGAAAAACAAAGTACAAGAGACAAGAAAGAAAGGAAATTAAAGCAAGAAAGAGATTTTTTTTTTTAAACGAAGAGGTTGATAGTACGATATGCAATAGCTGTTTCTCTGTATTTGCAAAAGATTTTTGGTTTTTTTTTGAGACGGAGTCTTGCTCTGTTGCCCAGGCTGGAGTGCAATGGCGTAATCTCGGCTCACTGCAACCTCCACCTCCCGAGTTCAAGTGGTTCTTCTGCCTCAGCCTCCTAAGTAGCTGGGATTACAGTCATGTGCCACCATGCCCAGCTAATTTTGTATTTTTAGTAGAGACGGGGTTTTGCCATGTTGGCCAGGAAGGTCTCGAACTCCTGACCTCAGGTGATCT
Organism: Homo sapiens; assembly: GCF_000001405.40. Taxonomy (NCBI): domain Eukaryota; kingdom Metazoa; phylum Chordata; class Mammalia; order Primates; family Hominidae; genus Homo; species Homo sapiens. Next base: position 38,963,420 of record NC_000017.11, read on the forward strand.
GCCCTCCTCAGCCTCCCAAAGTGCTGGGATTACAGGCATGAACCACTGAACCTGGCCCCACTTACTTTATTACAGCTAAAATTTAAATAGTTTTAAAGTCTCTATTTTCATCTCTTTTTTTATTGTTTCGAACAAAAAAAGTCAGTACTCAGTTTTAAATAAATAGAAAAACATTACTATGAAATTTTAAAGCTACATTAATATTTTGACTTTTTAAAAGAATATAGGCTGGGTATGGTGGCTCACGCCTGTAATCCCAACACAAAAAAGTAGGTGGCATTACTATTACCAATTATGTGCTGTATAATACTCAAATAAGCAGTGAATTAAAGTCTTTCTTCTTTTCTTTGTTGGTTTTTGTTGTTGTTGTTGTTGTTTTGTTGTTTTTTTTTTTTTTGTCAAGGTCTTGCTCTGTTGCCCAGGCTGGAGTGCAGTGGCATGATGATAGCTCATTGCAGTCTTGAACTCTTGGGCTCAAACAATCCTCCTGCCTCAGCCTCCTGAGTAGCTGGGACTACAGGCACAGAGCCACCATGCCCAGCTAAAGTAAAAAAAAAAAAATTGTTTTTGTGGAGGCAGTGTCTGCCTGTGTTGCCCAACCTGGTCTTGAACTCCTGAGCTCAAGTGATCCTCCCACCTCAGCCTCCCAAAATGCTGGGATTATAGGCACAAGCCACTGTGTGTTAATAAGACTAGAATAAATACATGAATAGTAATAATTCTTCCCTCAATTCCACCTTCTGTTAATAATAGCTACTGGCCGAGTGACGTGACTCACCCATGTAATCTCAGCACTTTGGGAGGCGGAGGTGGGTGGAACACCTGGGGTCAGGAGTTTGAGACCAGCCTGACCAACATGGTGAAACCCCGTCTCTACTAAAAATACAAAAATTAGGCTGGGCCCAGTGGCTCATTCCTGTAATCCCAGCACTTTGGGAAGCCAAGGCGGGTGGATCACCTGAGGTCAGGAGTTCGAGACCAGCCTGGCCAACATAGCGAAACCCCGTCTCTACAAAAAATACAAAAATTAGCCAGGGATGGCAGTGTGCACCTGTAATCCCAGCTACTTGGGAGACTGAAGCAGGAAAATTGCTGGAACCTGGGAGGCGGAGGTTGCTGTGAGCCCAGCTAATCTGAAGGCTGAGGCATGAGAATCGCTTGAACCCGGGAGGCGGAGGCTGCAGTGAGCTGAGATCATGTCATTGCACTCCAGCCTGGGGCAACACAGTGAGACTTGGTCTCGAAAAACAAACAAACAAACAAACAAAAAATAACAATAATAATAATAGTCACTGATGAATCTTAGAAAGGGCCTACGCATCTTGATTTCAAAGACAAATATTTCTTAAACTCATTAAATGCAACTTATTAAAATCACTGATTATTTACTTACACTAAATAATTTTTTTTTTAGACAGATTATCGCTCTACTGCCCGGGCTGGAGTGCAGTGGCATGACGCGATCTCAGCTCACTGCAACCTCCCCCTCCCAGGTTCAAGTGATTCTCCTGCCTCAGCCTCCCAAGTAGCTGGGATTACAGGCGTGTGCCACCACTAGTAGCTGGGATTACAGGCGTGTGCTACCACACTCAGCTAATTTCTGTATTTTTAGTAGAGACGGGGTTTCACCATGTTGGTCAGGCTGGTCTGGAACTGCTGACCTCAGGTGAGCCACCAGCCTCAGCCTCCCAAAGTGCTGGGATTACAGGCGAAAGCCACCACGCCCGCCCATTACACTAAATAATTATTTAAACATGTGTACCACACAGCGACTTTGTGTCACTCTATTGTTCTAATTCAGAAAACAATGTCTTTTGTGTATACATATACATATACGCATAATTACAACTCCAATCGAAGGCTCCTTGTTTCTGAAGTAACAACTAAGACATTTTCATCAAAGATATATAATTGTATCTGGCCAAAATGCATTTTCTCCTTTCTACAAATTGCTAAAGTAACATTGTTACTTATACATCTTGAAATGTTACATATCAACTTACATCAATTTAAAATTGGTTACACATTTGAAAACATAACAAAGAAATTTAGTGTTTAGTGAAAAGTACACTCTGAACCTCCTTTGAAACCATACCACAGCGATTGGGGTCAGTATTCAGTGAACACTTAAATTAGGAGGTATTTTAAAATTATCATTAAAATTACACAAATAGGCCGGGCATGGTGACTCACGCCTTAATCCCAGCACTTTGGGAGGCTGAGGCCGGTGGATCACGAGGTCAGGAGATCGAGACCATCCTGGCTAACACGGTGAAACCCCTTCTCTACTAAAAAAAAAAAAAAAAAAAAAAAATTAGCCGGGCATGGTGGCACGCGACTGTAGTCCCAGCTACTCTGGAGGCTGAGGCAGGAGAATCGCTTGAACCCGGGAGGCGGAGGTTGCAGTGAGCCGAGATCACACCACTGCACTCCAGCCTGGGTGACAGAGCAAGAATCTGCCTCAAAAAAAAAAAAAAATAATTACACAAATAACAACTTTACACAATACAGCTAAACAAGAAGAAAAAAATTAAGTTCACTTATAAACACTTTGGTTTATATAATTTCAGACTTTTACATACATATATTTCTTTTTAACAAAAAAGAGGGATCACTATATATAATACTTTGTAATCTGCTTTTTTCAATGAATTCTCTTTCCATGCTAATAACCTTCTACAAGTAATCATATTTTAATGGCTATGTGTCATTCCACCAAGTAAAATAATCTTAATTTGTTTAATCCATAAGGCTGTTTGTAACCTTAACTTTTCACAGTAGGCGTTTTGTTTGTTTGTTTGCGATGGAGTTTCGCACAGTCTCCTGGGCTGGAGTGCAGTGGCGCGATCTCGGCTCACTGCAAGCTCCGCCTCCCGGGTTCAAGCGATTCTCCTGCCTCAGCCTCCCTAGTAGCTGGGATTACAGGTGCCCGCCCCCACGCCCAGCTAATTTCTGTATTTTTAGTAGAGACGGGGTTTCACCGTGTTAGCCAGCCTGGTCTCGATTTCCTGACCTCGTGATCCGCCTGCCCCGGCCTCCCAAAGTGCTGGGATTTACAGGCGTGAGCCACCGCACCCGGCCAACACAGTAGGTGTTTTAAAGCATTTTTATTACAATAGCATAAATCCGGCCTTGGCTTCTTCCTGTTTCTCTGAGAAATGTGGACAGTGGGGCTTGGGCCCGTGGGCTCTTCAAAGACTGTCAGTCACCAGGCGGGGACTTCACTGTGTCAACTGTGAACTACATACATGTTTAAAATAAATATAAACAAAAATTTAAAAATGATAAGCCCAAATTCTTCTAAAACTCAAGTCTCCACTTATAGTTCCTTATTTTCCTCACTCAGAGCTGGACGTTTCGTAGGGAAAAAGCAAGCTTTTGTGAAAATTCTAAAGGTATAATCCTAAATTATTTCTGGTTTCCGCTCACCCCTCTAGCGAATAAGAATCACAGCCCCAAATAATAATAATAAAATGATGTTTCATGCCCCCTGTTCTATCCCACTAATTTTGACCGCGCGTGAAAGGTTTTGAGGGTTCAATTGGATGAACCTCCCCGCCCCCCACACCTTTAAGATAAAAACTACATTCACAGGGATGTCTGTTTTAACATAAAACTCTTGTAAGGGCCCCACCCCATCTGTCGGGCAGCTGCCCCCAAACATCTCCAAAGCCGCAAACTAGGGAAGCCTAAAGGACAAACTGGTCAACAGGAGAATCAGACCACACGGGGTACATGTTTCGCTCCCTTCAGTCCATGAAAGATGAAATTATCGCAATAAAATACTGGGAAAAAAAACCCTCTTTTACCACAGATTTTGACAGTTTTTCCGGCTACAGAGTCACAGGAAAGTGGGAGTTAGTCGTTTTGCCCCACCATCCTCAAATTTCTTAGTGTTTAGAAAAGAAAATATCTCCTCAAGAGCTTCCCGCCAGGAGGCGAGAGGGTCACACTCCCGTAGGCTCCGGAGCTGCAGCCCTACCCACCAGGCGTCCCCGCGGCCTCTAGAATATTGTAGAATCTTCCCAAGAGCCCCCGCGGGAAGGAGGCCCGCCCCCTCATGAATAGCAAGCAGCCTCAGCTCTCGTAGTGCCCGCCTCCCTCATGAATATTGTAGATCTTCCCAGAAGCCCTAGCGGGAAGGAGGTTCCCCCCCGCCTCCCGCCTCCCCGCTTTATGAATAGCAAGAGAGCCAGCTCCCATGGTGCCCTCCGTCTCATGAATAACTAACAAGGGCGAGGTTCCTGGAGCCCAAACTCAGGCCTCAGCCACCCTTCGCTCCAAGCTGAAGACAAGAAGGGGCTGGAGCCGTTACGGTGTGGGGAAGGGGAGGGTGTAGCCCAAGATCCTGAACGTGGCGAGCCACGTCTCTGCTCCACTGCCTTTCCCTTCACCTAGTTTTGAGACAATTTTTGAGTTCCTCCCACCCCCACTGACTCCAGTAGGGCAAGTTACAAGGGGTTTCATCAAACCTTTTGGTGGAAAAAAACCTCCAGACATTCCTTTTTAAATTTGTCTTGCCGGTGCGGTGGCTCACGCCTGTAATCCCAACACTTTGGGAGGCCGAGGCGGGAGGCTCCCTTGAGTCCAGGAGTTTGAGACCAGCCTGGGCAACATAGGGAGACCCCCACCCCCAGCCATAACCCCGCTCCCGGTCTCTAAATAAACACATAAATAATAAATCTGTCTGGAATCAAAGGAAGATGTGTGTCTCCATCCTCTCAAGATGAAATCAAGACAAATCTTTCTAGCTAGGCCTTCCTGGCTAGAAGATTAAATTCTCATTCATTCATTTCTTCATTCATTCTGTAACTATTTATTGAAGCCTGCTCTGGGCCGGGCACAGGAGTAGGCCCTAAGGATGGAATAGAGAACAAGACAGATACGTTTCCTGCTTTAATGGAGTTTATTAGCCTAATGGGGAAGATAGAATGAACAGACAGAGCATCTACAGATGTTGAGAGCAGTTCCGGTGAGAGCAGCGTGACAGAGGAAATAAGACAGAATGATGGGGTGTGTGTGTGTTGGCGGAGAGCTACTTTAGATAGACTGATACTCAAGGTCCCTTTGATATGACGATTTGAGAACTGATGGAGGAGAAGGAGCCAGTCAGGAGAAGGGCTGAGGGAAGAGGGAATGGGGGAAAGATTCTACTTTTGTAGATCAATTCTACATTATACCCAACACAAAATATATAAGGAACTACATAAAGACTGAGTGGAAATTTAGGATTAGTTGGCATGCTGTTATTTTATATAGTCACATATATTCATCCATTTGGCTTTGTATCTTTTTTTTTCCTGACCTCAGGTGACCTGCGTACCTCAGCACTGCAAAGTGCTGGGATTACAGGTGTGAGCCACCACTCCTGGCCTTTTTTTTTTTTTTTTTTTTTTTTGAGACAGAGTCTTGCTCAGTCGCCCAGGCTGGAGTTCAGTGGCACGATCTCGGCTCACTGCAGCCTCTGCCTCCTGGGTTGAATTGATTATCTTGCTTCAGCCACCCAGTAGCTGGGACCACAGGTGGGCACCACCATTGTATTTTTAGCAGAGATGGGGTTTCGCTATGTTGCCCAGGCTGGTCTTAAACTCCGAGGCTCAAGCGATCTGCCTGCCTCCCAAAGTGTTGGGATTAAAGGTGTGAGCCACCGGGCCCAGCCCTGGCTTTGTATCCTTTTGCAGCCAATTCTTTTTTTTTTTTTTTTTTTTTTGAGATGAAGTCTGCCTCTGTTTCCCGGGCTGGAGTGCAGTGGTGTGATCTTGGCTCACTGCAACCTCCACCTCCCAGATTCAAGTGATTCTCCTGCCTCAGCCTCCCAGGTAGCTGGGATTACAGGCACCCACCACCATGCCCAGCTAATTTTTTTGTATTTTTTAGTAGAGATGGGGTTTCACCATGTTGGCCAGGCTGGTCTTGAACTCCTGACCTCAGGTGATCCACCCACCTCAGCCTGCCAAAGTGCTGGGATTACAGGCTTGCGCTACCGTGCCCAGCTGCAGACAATTCTTTTTTTTCCCCCTGTCTCCAACATTGATTAGAGGTCCTTGACCAAGTATCATCCCGTTGGCAGTGGGCCAGACGCACATAATGGAAACAAGGATCCTTAGTGGTGAGAATTTAGCTTTTACTCAAAGTGTCATGGGAAGTGTCATGGGAAGTCCTTGAAGAGTTTTAAGCAGAGAGTGCTATGATCTGATTTACATCATTAAAAGATTGCTCTGGCTTTTATGTGGAGAATAAATGAGGCTAAGAGTGGAGGGTAAGATCTGTTAGGATGTTGCAGGACTAGAATGGTGGCTCTGAGGGATGGGTTTGAGATATATTTTGGTGGTAGAAGTAACTGAATTTACCTAATGGATTGGATATGGGTGGAAGGAAGGGAAAGGAAGGAGACAGGAATAATTCCCAGGTTTCTGACTTCAATAAATGGGTAGAAGTTAATCCCATTTACTGAGATATGCAAGTGAGGAGTTTTTCTAGTGGAGTTTTGTCTTTTCTTTTCTTTCTTTCTTCTTTTTTTTTTTTTTTTTTTGACGGAGTTTCACTCTTGTTGCCCAGGCTGGAGTGCAATGGTGCGATCTCGGCTCACTGCAACTTCTGCCTCCCAGGTTCAAGCGATTCTCCTGCCTCAGCCTCTCCAGTAGGTGGGATTACAGGCATGTGCCACCATGCCTGGCTAATTTTGTATTTTTAGTAGAGACGGGGTTTCTCCATGTTGGTCAGGCTGGTCTCGAACTCCCAACCTCAGGTGATCTGCCCACCTCTGCCTCCCAAAGTGCTAGGATGACAGGCATGAGCCACTGTGCCCAGCCTTATGTTTTTCTTTTCGGAACAAGGTCTCACTCTGTTGCCCAGGGTGGAGTACAATGGTGCAATCACAGGTTACTATAACCTCAAACTCCTGGCCTCTAGCAATCCTCTCACCTCAGTGAAGTGCTGAGATTACAGGCGTGAGCTACCTCGCCTGGCCAACTAGTGGAGAATTAAGAGAATTCTAGTGGATAATTAATTTTCCAAGTGGTAAATTTGAGATTTCTCTGAGGCATCCAAGTGAAGATGTCATGTTAAGGAGGCAGTTGAATTTAAAAATCAGAGTGCTTTTGGAGGAAAATGTCTGGGCTGGAGATATACATTTAAGGATTAGAGGAATATAATTGTAAGCATTAGAGGAATATTGACACTCAGACATTGGGAAAAGGAGGGCAAGATCTCAAAGGAGATTGAAAAGGAGTATCTAGCAAAGTAAACTGGAGAAAACCAGGAGAGTCTGGGGTCACAGAATCCTGAAGCATCGGTGCTTCAAGAATGAGGAGTAGCCCTCTGTGACAAGTGCCACCCAGTTGAGCAAGGTGTCTGTTACATGAGCATTGCAGGTGTCTGCTGGATTTGGCAATCCAATTTAGGTACAAGCACTGCAGGTCCACCTTGTCATTTCCTATTTCAATAACCCATAGTAACTTTGCCTTGCCAACCACCTGAAACTCAAATCTCTCTGCTGTTTCATCAGCGTCCTCTATGATCTGTTGTTCACCTATTCATTCATCCATTTGTTACGTTCAAGCCACGCCTATTTTCTGCCTGGCCTAGTGGTAGCTCAGGATAAATACAATTTTGGCCTTTCAATGGCTCATGCTCAGAGCACCCAACTTGAATAAAATGTAACCCCTCCTTCCCAAATCCGCTACTCCAGCAGGGGTGGAGGCGGTACCTCCTCCTTAACAGATTTATCCCTACCTCTTTGTGCTAAAACTCCCATTAAAAATGACTTCCCTGCTTTCTAAATCTCCCTCTGGGTTCCACTTTAAGATTCACACCCTGCATCAATAAGTGTGCCTTCTTGCCTAAGTGATGCTGTAAACCCCTTGAGATGCCTTATATCTCTTTTGTATTCTTCACATAGAAAAGAATGCCAGGTACAGAGATGGATCTACCGTGAGGCTATGGAAATATCAGGGTTCCCTGCTTGCTCAGGCCCCTTCTAAGTCTTCTTTTTTCTTTTGAGACAGAGTCTCGCTCTGTCACCCAGGCTGGAGTGCAGTGGCACGATCTCGGCTCACTGCAACCTCCGTCTCCTGGGTTCAAGCGATTCTCCTGCCCCAGCCTCCCAAGTAGCTGGGACAACAGGTGCCTGCCACCATGCCCAGCTGATTTTTGTATTTTTAGCAGAGACGGGGTTTCACCATATTGACCAGGCTGGTCTTGAACTCCCGACCTCAGGTGATCTGCCCGCCTCAGCCTCCCAAAGTGCTGGGATTACAGGCATGAGCCACCACACCTGGCCCCTGAGCCACTGTGCCCAGCCCTGTAATTCTGTATTCATAAACAGCAGATGAAGATTGAAGAAATATTTGCTGATGGGCTCAGAATTAGCTAACTTCACATATTTGTTGATTTATTAAGCTTGTTTTATTAACAGGGATTTATGTAAGGGCTTTACTTACTGATCATATCATTCCCTTGCCCCAGAGCTTTCAATGCCTCTGATTAAATATAAGCTTGTTCTTCAATGCCTGCCTCAATGTGGCTGCATTTTTAGGTCTCCAGCCTATCCCCTTAATCTGAAGCCCCCATTATCATCCCTGGTGGCTTTGTTCATGCTAATTTCTCTGCTCAGAAAGCTGTCTCTTCCAACTCTACCTTTTTTTTTTTATAGACAGGATCTCCTTCTGTGCCAGGCTGGAGCACAGTGGCACAATCATGGCTCACTGCAACCCCCCTGAGCTCAAGCAATCCTACTGCTTCAGCCTCCCAAGTAGCTGAGACTACAGGTGTGTACCACCACATCCAGGTAATTTTTCTATTTTTTTAGAGACGAAGTCTCTCTATGTTGCCCAGGGTGGTCTCGAACTCCTGGACTCAAGAGATCTGCCTGTCTTGTCCTCCTGAAGTGCTGGCATTACAGGCGTGAGTTACCACTTCTTCCCGCTTTCACCTTTTCCCATCCTAAAATATCCTTCGTCATTTGCCTCTGAAAGAGAGGTTCCTGGACCAACAACCTAACTGAGAGCTTGTTAGAAATGAAGACTCTCAGACACCATCTCAAAGCTAGTGAATGGGAATCTGCATTTGAATAAGATCCACAGTAAAGTTTGAGACATAGTAACTTAGGCCATTTCACAGGCTACCTCCTTGAGGAATCCGAAATCTTTTAATATCCCTGTAATGAGACAACGTTTTTCCTCTTTTGAACTCTTCATTCATTCTTTGCTGGTACTTCTCTCTGGGCACTTTATTTCACCTTGAATTGTGGTTAATTATGCACAAGACTTAGTTTTCCTGTTAGGTTGTGAGGTCTTTGAAGGCAGTAACAGTGGAATCTCCACTTTGATGAATTAGTTGGCTTGGGAACATTCACACACACACATACATACACGCACCCAAATCTAGGTGGTACTGGTGTTTTAGTTGATCCTCAGAATTTTGCAAGGATTCAAATATAAATTGACTTTCAAATGTGAATGCCATGCATGGGCAAGATCTGTTGCAATTATTTTTACTTAATAAAACAAGCATACAACTATTATTTTATGTCATGAAAGTCTTTAATATAATTTTCTTTTCTTTTCTTTTCTTTTTTTAGAGACAGAATTCCACTTTTGTTGCCCAGGCTGGAGTGCAATGGCCTGATCTCGGCTCACCTCAACCTCCGCCTCTCAGGTTCAAGAGATTCTCCTGCCTTAGCCTCCAGAGTAGCTGGGATTATAGGCACGCGCCACCACGCCTGGCTAATTTTGTATTTTTAGTAGAGATGGGGTTTCTCCATGTTTGTCAGGCTGGTCTCAAACTCCCCGCCTCAGGTAATCCACCCTCCTCAGCCTCCCAAAGTGCTGGGATTACAGGCGTGAGCCACTGAGCCTGACTAATATAACTTTCTTTACCTTTGTCTGGTGCTGTGTGATAAGATTATATCTTCATCTGTAAATTGCAGAGTAGGAAGAGGGCTAGCCTAAATTATTTAAAAACAGCTGGTTACCTGTAACATTCTATAAAAACTCCAGGGAGGCTGGGCGCGGTGGCTCATGCCTGTAATCCCAGCACTTTGGGAGGCCAAGGCGGGTGGATCACTTGAAGTCAGGAGTTTGAGACCAGCCTGGCCAACGTGATGAAACGCTGTCTGTACTGAAAATACAAAAATTAGCCAGGTGTACTGGTGCGCATCTCTAGTCCCTGCTACTTGGGAGGCTGAGGCAGGAGAATTGCTTGAACCTGGGAGGTGGAGGTTGCAGTGAGCCAACATTGCACCACTGCACTCTAGCCTGGGCAACAGCGTGAGACTCTGTCTCAAAAAAACCCCCAAAAACAAACAAAAAAAAACTCCAGGGAAGGAGATTCCACAGATTCCTTTGACTGAAACAATATTTTTTCGGTGGGGAGGGGATGGAATATTGCTCTGTCGCCCAGGCTGGAGTGCAGTGGTACAATCTCGTCCCACTGCAACCTCCACCTCTGGGTTTCAAGAGATTCTCCTGCTTCAGCCTCCCAAGTAGCTGGGATTACAGTTATGCGCCACCAAGCCCAGCTGCTAATTTTTGTATTTTTAGTAAAGATGGGGTTTCATCATGTAGGTCAGGCTGATTTGGAACTCCTGAGCTCAAATGATCCACCTGCGTTGGCCTCCCAAAGTGCTGGGATTACAGGCATGAGCCACAATGCCCGGCCTAGATTTTTTCATAAAATTATTAATTTAGGCTGGGCATGGTGGCTTATGCCTATAACCCTAGCACTTTGGGAGGCTGAGGTGGGATTATTGCCAGGAGTTCAAGACCAGCCTGGGTAACATGGCAAGACTCTGTTTCTACAAAATTAAAAAACAAACAAACAAACAAACAAACAATAATAATCTGGGCATGGTGGCTCATGCCTGTAGTCCCAGCTACTTGGGAGGCTGAGGCAGAAGGACCACTTGAGTCCAAGAGTTTGAGGTTGCAGTTAGCTGTGATTGAGCCACTGCACTCCAGCCTGGGCATCAGAGTGAGACCCTGTCTCTCTCTTAAAAAAAAAAAAAGAAAGAAAGAAAGCAAATTACTTTGAAATTCCCACAAGAAATCAGTGTTCACTGCAGAAAAATATAAAAATTACACACAAGTCTCTCTATTCTCCCCATATCAATCCAATATTTCTACCAGGAGGTAACTGCTGATAACACTTTAGTATATTTCCTTCCTAAAGGACTCTTTCCTGGCCAAGAAATATACATACATATCATCATTTTTCATTTTTACTAGCTACATAGCATTTCACCATAAAGATATATCATACAAATTTGTTTAATTGGTTCTGCATCATTATTAGATTGTTTCCAATTTTTGCCTTTTTTTTTTTTTTTTGAGACCAAGTGTCACTCTATTGCCTGGGCTGGAGTGCAGTGGCACGATCTTGGCTCACTGCAAACTCCGCATCCCGGGTTCAAGCGATTCTTCTGCCTCAGCTTCCTGAGTAGCTGGGATTATAGGCGCATGCCACTGTGACTGGCTAATTTTTGTATTTTTAGTAGAGACGAGGTTTCACCATGTTGTCCAGGCTGGTCTCGAACTCCTGACCTCAAGTGATACGCCTGCCTGGGCCTCCCAAAGTGCTGGGATTACAGGCGTGAGCAACCATCTAATTTTTTTCTTTTTAAACAATGCTGCAATAATCATTTTGTATACTCTTTTAGGATAAACTTTCAAAAGTTAATTTAAAAAAAAATTTTTTTCCCCAAAGGATTCAGGAATAAGAAATGCTCTTGGTACTATTCTTGCTACTCTGCATTTATAAAATTACCTTTCGAAATGTATAGCCTTCGAAGAACTGAGAGATCATCCCAATGGCTCTTAATTATCATCATTGTCATCATCATCATCATCCTATTTCTGGTTTTAAGAAAAAAAAAATATATGTATATATATTTTTTGAAATGGAGCCTTGCTCTGTCGCCCAGGCATGATCTGGGCTCACTGCAACCCCTGCCTTCTGGGTTCCAGCAATTCTCTGGCCTCACCCTCCGAGTAGCTGGGACTACAGGTACATGCCACCATGCCCTGCTAAATGCCTCCTGAGTAGCTGTGACTACAGGAACATGCTACCATGCCCGGTTTCACCATGTTGGCCAGGCTGGTCTCGAACTCCTGACCTCAGGTGATCTACCTGCCTCGGCTTCCCAAAGTGCTGGGATTACAGGTGTAAGCCACCGTGCCCGGCCAGGATTCAATTTTTTTTTGAGACAGAGTCTCGCTCTTTTGCCCAGGCCGGACTGCAGTGGCGCTATCTCAGGTCACTGCAAGCCCCGCCTCCCGGGTTCACGCCATTCTCCTGCCTCAGCCTCCCGAGTAGCTGGGACTACAGGCGCCTGCCACCGCGCCCGGCTAATTTTTTGTATTGTTAGTAGAGACGGGGTTTCACCATGTTAGCCAGGATGGTCTCGATCTCCTGACCTCGTGATCCGCCTGCCTCGGCCTCCCAAAGTGCTGGGATTACAGGCGTGAGCCACTGCGCCCGGCCCAGGATTCAATTTTTATGAGGAAGTTAGAGTAGTCAAAATCATAGACACAGAAAGTAGAATGGTGATTGCCTCGGCCTGGAGGGAGAGGGCAGTGGAGAGTTACTTTTTTTTTTTTTTTTTGAGATGAAGTCTCACTCTATTGCCCAGGCTGGAGTGCAGTGGTGCAATCTCAAGCACACTGCAACCTCCGCCTCCTGGGTTCAAGTGATTCTCCTGCTTCAGCCTCCTGAGTAGCTGGAATTACAGGTGCCTGACACCACGCCCAGCTAATTTTATATTTTTAGTAGAGACGGGCTTTTACCATGTTGGCCACGCTGGTCTCAAACTCCTGACTTCAGGTGATCCACCCATCTCAGCCTCCCAAAGTGTTGGAATTATAGGCGTGAGCCACTGTGCCCGTCCAGAGTTACTGTTTAATGGGTACAGAATTTCAGTTTCTGGAGACAGGATGTGGTGATGGTTGCACAACATTATGAATGTATTTAATACCACTGAACTGTACATGTGGAAATAGTTAAGGTGGTAAATTTTACATGTATTTTACCACAATTAAAAATGCATTTAAGGCCGGGTGTGATGGCTCACATCTGTAATCCCAGCACTTTGGGAGGCTGAAGTGGGCAGATTACATGAGGTCAGGAGTTCGAGACCAGCCTGACCAACATGGTGAAACCCCATTCCTACTAAAAAAAAAAAAAAAAAAAAAAAAATTAGCCAGGCATGGTGGCGCACGCCTGTAATCCCAGCTACTCGGGAGGCTGAGGCAGGAGAATTGCTTGAACCTGGGAGGTGGAGGCTTCAGTGAGCTGAGATCGCGCCACTGCACTCCAGCCTCAAAAAAAAAAAAAAAAAAAGCATTTTAAAAAAGAGATTATATCTGTTAACTAGGATAAAAATTAAATAAAAAATAAATAAATAAAAAAGAGAGTACATATAAAAATGCAGTTTTGGCTGGTGCAGTGGCTCACACCTGTAACCCTAGCACTTTGGGAGGATGAGGCAGGTGGATCACTTGAGTCCAGGAGTTTGAGACCAGCTTGGGCAATGTGGTGAGACCCCTGTCTCTACAAAAGATTAAAAAATATTAGTCGGTCCTGGTGGTGCACGCCTGTAATCCCAGCTACTCGGGAGGCTGAGACAGGAGAATCGCTTGAACCCAGGAGGTGGAGATTGCGGTGAGCTGAGATGGCACCATTGCACTCTAGCCTGGGCAACAAGAGCAAAACTCCATCTCCAAAAAAAAATTACCACGTGCCTGTAGTCCCAGCTATTCAGGAGGTTGATGTGAGAGAATGGCTTGAGGCCAGGAGGTGGAGGCTGCAGTGAGCTTAGATTGCTCCACGGCACTCTCCAGCCTGGGTGACAGAGTGAGAACCTGTCTCAAAAAAAAAAAAAAAAAAAGTCTGGTCTCATTGGCTCATGCCTGTAGTCCCAGCACTTTGGGAGGCTGAGGAGGGAAGATCTCTTGAGCCCAGGAGTTTGAGACCACCCTGGGCAATGTAGAGAGACTCTGTCTCAATTAAAAAAAAATATATATATATACATATATATGTGTATATATATACATATATGTGTGTATATATATGTGTATATATATATACATATATGTGTGTATATATATACATATATGTGTGTATATATGTGTATATATATACATATATGTGTGTATATATATGTGTATATATATACATATATGTGTGTATATATATGTGTATATATATACATATATGTGTGTATATATATGTGTATATATGTGTGTGTATATATATGTGTGTGTGTGTGTGTGTGTATATATATATATATATACACACACACACACACACACACATATATATATTTGAAAAAAAAATCATCTCCACAAAGGATACAAAAATTTAGCCAGGCATGATGGCATGTGCCTGTGGTCCCAGCTATTGGGGAGGCTGAGGTGGGAGGATTACTTAAGTCCAGGAAGCAGAGGTTGCAGTGAGCCATGATCATGTCACTGCACTCTAGCCTGGGTGACAGAGTGAGACCCTGTCTCAAAAACAAACAAAAAAAATGCAGTTTTTAGACAAATACAATTTAAAATATTTGGAGATGTGATTGTAAATAGGTCTAAATAGGCTCAAAGTCCACTAAACGTGGTTGTTAAAATTTATTAGATTCATAAATAGAATATTAAGATTTTTAACCTGAATTTGGAAGCATAAGGGAAAACTTGGATTTTAATGTGTAAGTCTAATAAACCAAATATTAAAAGGAAAAAGAATATGTTGCTTAAAATTATCATAGGCAAGTGACAGAAAATCCCAGATTACAGTACTTTAAACAAGATAGAAGCTTATTTTTCTCACATAAAGTCCTCGGATAAGCAGTCAGGAGTGGTGTGACAGCTCCACAATCATCTGAAACCCAGGCTCCTTCTATCTTGTTGAGCCGCATCCTCAACCTGTGGCTTCCACCTCATGGCCCAAGGTGGCTGCTTAAGCTCAAGCCATCATGTGCACATCTCAGCCGGCAGGAAGTGGGGAAGAAGGGACCCCTACACACATATACTTCAAAGACCAGAACTTAGTCACATGGTCACTACCAATGGGAAAATATTTTGGAAGGCCCTGTGCCCAGCTAAAAAATAGCGGATTCTACTATTATATAGGAAGACAGGAGCAGGGCACAGAGGCTCACACCTGTAATCCAGCACTTTGGGAGGCCAAGGCAGGTGGATCATTTGAAGTCAGGAGTTTGAGACCAGCCTGGCCAACATGGTGAAACCCCGTCTCTACTAAAAATACAAAAATTAGCTGGCCATGGTGGTGAGCACCCATAATCCCAGCTACTTGGGAGGCTGAGGCAGAATTGCGTGAGCCTGGGAGGTGGAGGTTGCAGTGCGCAGAGATTGTGCCATCGTACTCCAGACTGGGCAACAGAGTGAGACTGTGTGCCAAACAAAAAAAAAAAAAAGAAGGGAGGAGCAGATATCAGGGTATGACAGCAGTCCCTGTAAAAGGTAAGCACATTTTTCATTTTTCATACATTTTACCTTCTGTTTCCCATTCCTTAATCAATAGCCTTTTAATGTCTACATTAATCTAACAACAACCTAAACCAATTTCCTGTTGTTCTTGATAGAGAAGAAACATAATTGACTTATGTCTTTTATATAATTGAAAACAATTAAATCTACTTCTAACTTCCCTTCTTTAGACAAAGTAGTTTCCTTTCTAGCTTGACTTGCTTCAAGTTTCCAAACCTTATTCCATCCTGAGATATTTCTCATCTTTTATTGATGTTGCTTTACTTTGGTCCCTAAGTTTGTTATCTCTTTTTCCTACAAAATTATACTTGTTTAAATTGAATTGAATTGAAATATAGTGACTTCATCCTATACTTTCGTTTATTTACTTATTTAAATACTAAGAGTAAAGCTGAACAATTGATGGGTTTTTAACTTCCCTTTTGTCCTCCTTGGTTTTTTTTGTTTTTTTTTTTTTTGAGACGGAGGATGGAGTCTCACTCTGTTGCCCAGGCTGGAGTGCAGTGGCACGATCTTGGCTCACTGCAAACTCAGCCTCCCAGGTTCACGCCATTCTCCTGCCTCAGCCTCCCGAGTAGCTGGGACTACAGGCGCCCGCCACCACGCCCAGCTAATTTTTTGTATTTTTAGTAGAGATGGGGTTTCACCATGTTAGCCAGGATGGTCTCGGTCTTCTGGCCTCGTGATCCGCCTGCCTTGGCCTCCCAAAGTCCTGGGATTACAGGCGTGAGCCACTGCAGCCGGCCTGTCCTCCTTGTTTTTATTAAAAAGACGGATTTTTTTTTCTTTCTTTTTTTTTTTTTGAGACGGAGTTTCACTCTGCCAGCCAGGTTGGAGTGCAATGGCACGATCTCGGCTCACTGCAACCTCCACCTCCCGGGTTCAAGGATTCTCCTTTCTCAGCCTCCTGAGTAGCTGGGACTACAGGTGTGCGCCACCATGCCCAGCTAATTTTTGTATTTTTAGTACAGACAGGGTTTCACCATGTTGGCCAGGCTGGTCTCGAACTCCAGACCTCAAGTGATCCACCTGCCTCACCCTCCCAAAGTGCTGGGATTACAGGCATGAGCCACCACACCCAGCAGAATATTTTCTTTTTACTCGTTATTTTTAAAGACTAGTCAGGTGAATCATAAAAGTTGCTAGCAAACATAATAAGGCATATTCAAGTGATTTGCATGGGGTAGTTAGAAAAAATGTACTGCTGGGATTACAGGCATGAGCCACAGTGCCCAGCAGTATATTTGGGAGGCGGGCAGATCACTTGAGTCCAGGAGTTCAGAGACCAGCCTGGGCAACATGGTGAAACTCCATCTCTACAAAAATTAGCTAGGTGTGGTGGTGCGCACCTATAGTCCCAGCTACTTGGGTGGCTGAGGCTGGAGGATTGTTTGAGCTTGGGGGTCAAGGCTGCAGTGAGCTATGATCACAACACCGTGCAGAGCAAGACCCTGTTTCAAAAAAAAAAAAAAAAAAGAACAAGAAAAGAAAAGAAAAAAATATATACTAACCAAAAATAAAAGAATGTACAAACTAAGGCTATGTGGCACTTGGGGCCGTCTCACATGAGAATGTGACATGGTGACAAGATTTCATCCAAAAACATGCTTTGGCAGAGGAATGGTTTTTAGGGTTGGAAAAAAATTCCTCATTTTTCAGACAAGGGCACCAAGGCCCAAGGAGGTAAAAGCCTTTCCCAAGGTTTTCCACCCCAGTATCCTGGCATGAAGCCAGTTTGTGTAATTACATCTGGATCATGTCAAATTTTGTCTGGGAAAGTGCTATCTTAAAAAGTCAACTATAAAATCATATGTGCTGTATTATCCTATTTTATGAGGGAAATGTACATATAAGTATATAAGAGACTGGAAAGGATGGTGACACTATTAATATGTCAGCAGTAGTTATTTTTGCACTGCAAGATTAAGGGAGGTTCAAGTTCTTTTTTCTTTTATGCATTTCTGGGTTTTCTAAGCTATCTCTATCCCAGCCTATGTTATTTGTGTCGTTAGAAAAAATATTTAAAATATGCACTGTTGTATATTATTTTACCACAAATGGAAGAGATAGAGAAGGGTTGGAAAGTAGTTTTGGATATTTTTAAGTGGGTGTCATTATAAACTGAAAGACGGCAATAAATAAGTGTATTCAGATATCTAAGCCAGTTAATAGTTTTGTCTGGGAAATTAAGAGACAGAGGGACAAATAGCACAGCCGTGAGTAAGCATTACCTCATTTTCCCAAAATCTTTTCCTGACTTCTTTCAAAAGAAGTGCACTGCCCCATGTTAGTTTTTGTTTTGTTTTGTATTTTTTTGAGACAGAGTCTTGCTCTGTCACCCAGGCTGGAGTGCGGTGGCGCGATCTCGGCTCACTGCAACCTCTGCCTCCTGGGTTCAAGCAATTCTCCTGCCTCAGCCTTCTGAGTAGCTGGGATTATAGGCGACCGCCACCATCACGCTCGGCTAATTTTTGTATTTTTAGTAGAGATGGGGTTTCACCATGTTGACCAGGCTGGTCTCAAACTTCTGACCTCAAGTGATCCATCTGCCTCAGCCTCCCAGACAGCTGGGATTACAGGTGTGAGCCATGGCGCCTGCCTGCAAATTTAAACTACAATGTGATACACTGACAACACTAAATGCTGAAGGATGTGGAGCAACAGGAACCCTCATTCATTGCTGGTGGGAATGCAAAATGGTACAGACACTCTGGAAGACAGTTAGGTAGTTTGTTTTTTCTTTCTTTTCTTTTTTGAAAAATTTTTTGTAGAGATGAGATTTGGCCATGTTTCCCAGGCTGCTCTCGAACTCTTGAACTCCTGAGCTCATTTTTTTTTTTTGAGACAGCATTTTGCTCTGTTGACCAGGCTGGAGTGCAGTGGTGCGAGTATAGCTCACTGCAGCCTGGAACTCCTGGGCTCAAGTGATCCTCCCACTTCAGCCTTCCAAGTAGCTGGGACTACAGGAAATGCCACCATCCCCAGCTTAGTTTGTCAGTTTCTTACAAAACTAAATATACTCTTACCATATGACCCAGAAGTCATACTACTTAGTATTTACCCAAATCAGTTGAAAACTTATCTACACAAAAACCTGCATACAGATGTTTATAGCAGTTCTATTCATAATTGCCAAAACTTGGAAGCAACCAAGATGTCCTTCAGGAAGTGAATGGACAAATAAACTGTGGTGCATTCAGACAATGGAATATTATTCAGTGCTAAAAAAAAATGAGTTATCAAGCTATGAAAAGACATGGAGGAAACTTAAATGCATGTTACTAAGTGAAAGAAGCCAATCCGAAAAGGCTACATACTGTATGACTCCAACTACGTGACATTCTGGAAAAGGCAAAACTGTGGAGACAGTGAAAAGATCAATGATTGCCAGGGATTGGTTAGGGGGAGATAGAGGATTTTTAGGGCAGTGAAAATGCTCCGTATGATACTATAAAGGAACTCTATGATACATGTCATTATACATTTGTCAAAACCTATAGAACGGCTGGGTGCATTGGCGCACGCCTGTAATCCCAGCACTTTGGGAGGCCGAGGCAGGTGGATCACTTGAAGTCAGAAGTTTGAGACCAGCCTGGTCATCATGGTGAAACCCAGTCTCTACTAAAAATACAAAAATTAGCTGGGTGTGGTGGCACGTGCCTGTAATCCCAGCTACTCGGGAGGCTGAGGCAGAAGAATCGCTTGAACTCCGAAGGCAGAGGCTGCAGTGAGCTGAGATCGCGCCACAGCACTCCAGCCTAGGTGACCAGAGCGAGACTCCATCTCAAAAAACAAAAACAAAACAAAATAAAACAAAAATTAGCTGGGTGTGGTGGTGGGCGCCTGTAGTCCCAGCTACTCCGGAGGGCTGAGGCAGGAAAATCACTTGAACCCGGGAGGCGGAGGTTGCAGTGAGCCAAGATCGTGCCACTGCACTCCAGCCTGGGAAATAGAGCAAAACTCCTACTCAAAAAAAAAAAAAAAAAAAAAAAAAAGGATAATTTAAATAAAATATTTTTTCTGTCCTATTAAATACTTCTTATGTTCTATTAAATACTTCTTATCAGACCTCATGAGTGCATCACCAAAGACACTTATTGAAGCAAATTCTGTGTGAATAGAATTGGCAAGTCAGTCACTGCAAAGCACTAGACAAGTATGAAAAATACTCCCATGTGGGAAAAACTGCTAAAAAATTAATTTCCAGATGGTCAAAGTTCAGGCTTGACTCATGTGGAATTTTTTAAAAATCAAAAACACTGAAACTTGGAAAACCCAGAAAACTATAATTCTTATTAGTTGACTGAAATTACTAAGTAAACAAGCCACAGTATCGAAGAGCTCATTACTGTTACTGAAGAGCTCATTTTCAAGGAGAAATGTGTGCTGCAATTCTCCCAGAAGGTGGCAGCAGAAAGCTGTATACGACAATATGATTTTTCAAATGAAGCGGGGGGATATCCTAAAGGCAGAAAACTGGAAAGCACTTTAGCTGACACAGAACACTCTCATTTTACAGATGAGAAAGCTGAGTTCCAAAGAGATTACCTGAGTTTCTTAGGCAAAATTCTTCATTGAAATAAATTCCCTGAGGCCGAGCATGGTGGCACACGCCTGTAATCCCAGCACTTCGGGAGGCCCGGGTGGGCAGATCACCTGAGTTTAGGAGTTTGAGACCAGCCTGGCTAACATGGTGAAACCCCATCTCTACTAAAAACACAAGAATTAGCCAGGCGTGGTGGCGCACGCCTGTAATCCTAGCTACTCAAGAGGCTGAGGCAGGAGAATCACTTGAACCTAGGAGGCGGAGGTTGCAGTGAGCCAAGATCAGCCATTGCACTCCAGCCTGGGTGGAAGAGCAACGCTCTGTCTCAAAAAAAAAAGAAAAGAAATAAATTCCTTGAGAGCTGGGAGCAATGGCATGCACCTGTAGTCTAGACCCAGCAACTCAGGAGGCTGAAAAAGGAGGATGGCTTGAGCCCAGGAGTTCTAGGCTATAGTGCACATAATTGTGCCTGTGAATACACTGCAAATTAAAACCTGGGAAATATAGCAAGACCCTGTCATAAATAAATAAATAAATAAATTCCTTGAAATATGTCACACTATGCAGATTTCACTATGCATATTATGCTCAGTGTAAGCAAAATTATTTTTATTTTTGGAGACAGGGTCTTGCTCTGTCACTCAGGCTGGAGTACAGTGGCACAAATCATGGCTCACTGCAGCCTCAATCTTATAGGCTCAAGCAATCCTCCTGCCTCAGCCTCCCAAAGTGCTCGGATTACAGATGTGAGCCACTGTACCTGGCTGCAAATTTAATTAGACATAAAAATATAATATTAAGTTATGATAGAAAAAGCTTTGGGATATTTCCAGAACTTCCCCTCTCTCCACCTTTTTTTTTTTTTTTTTTTTTGAGACTGAGTCTCCCTCTGTTACCCAGGCTGGAGTTCAGTGGTATAATCTTGGCTCACTGCAACCTCTGCCTCCCAGGTTCAAGCAATTCTCCTGCCTCAGCCTCCTGAGTAGCTGGGATTACAGGCACCTGCCACCACACCTGGCTAATTTTTTGTATTTTTTAGTAGAGACAGGGTTTTACTATATTGGCCAAGCTGGTCTTGAACTCCTGTCCTCAGGTCATCTGCCCACCCTAGCCTCCCAAAGTGTTGGGATTATAGGTGTGAGCCACCGTGCTCTGTCAATCTGTCAATTTTTTTTCATTACAAAGTCAAAGACAACCAACCCAAAATTTTAAAAGCTCATATTACAAAACGAAGAAACACCAAAGCAGTGTTATAAAATTTGTGTTACATTAAAAAAATTTATGTTTAATAAGTTAGAATTCCAAACCAAGGAATACATTGCAATATAACTGTGCCAGTCATAAGGTAATAATAGGACATATGAAATATTAATTCACAGGGCACTAAAGAAAGTGTGTGGGCTGGTATTGGGACATATGCTTAAGGCTGTATAATGAATATCTTCATTTCTTCTTTTTTTTTTTTTTCAAAGCAACAACATAAAGTTGTAGGGATATCTTCATTCTTGCTCATTTTTGAGACTGTTGTGCTCTCATTTGGAGATGACGTCAAAGTTTGAATTTGATGACCCTTTGTGACAATGGGGGCTCAGCTAAGCAGCTCTCTGGACTCCCATTATAATAAGCTGTACATACTTTCTGATGTAATAGTAGAGATACTTGGTACTTTATCCTAGAAAAATGTTTTTATTATCAAACATGACAGGCTACTTATGTGGCTGTATTTTATTTATTTTATTTATTTATTTTTTGAGACGGAGTCTTGTTCCATCACCCAGGCTGGAGTACAGTGATATGATCTCAGCTCACTGCAACTTCTGCCTCCCAGGTTCAGGTGATTCTCCTGCTTCAGCCTCCCGAGTAGCTGGAATTACAGGCATGCATCCCCACACCCGGCTAATTTTTGTGTTTTTTGTAGAGACAGGGTTTCACCATGTCGGTGAGGGTGGTGTTGAACTCCTGGCCTCAAGTGATCCGCCCTCCTTGGCCTCCCAAAGTGCTGGGATTATGGGAGTGAGGCACCACGTCTGTCCTGAGGCTGTATTTTAGGTATTGTTCCTTTGTTAACGTTGGAAAATGGCCGAGGAAGCTAATGGGCTGCACGCAGCCAAAGGACATAGTGGCCCGGTTTGTACCCTTCGAGGTACCTGAGGAGCCTCAGTAAAACTTTACCCCGAAAAGGGCCATTTTCTCCTTTTAGCCACTTGCATAAAGAAGAATGATAGTTTACTATGTATTGAAATTGTCCATCACAAGTATTTTTTCTGAGGGTTATGGTCATCACACAGCACCACAAAGGCATTAGGAAAAGAAGCAGTCTAGACAAGTCCAATCAAGTAGATGGCCTTGGTGTTGACACTGAGCCAGATTTACAAATAAAGCCCAAACTTAAACAACAACAAAAAAACTATATTGTTAGGAATGTCTTTTAAAATTACATTTATGGCCAGGTGTGGTGGCTCATACCTATAATCCCAGCACTTTGATAGGCTGACATGGGAGGATCACTTGAGCCCAGGAGTTTGAGACCAGCCTGGGTAACATGATGAAACCAAAAATGTTACCAAAAAATGTAAAAAATGAACTAGGCATGGTGGCACCCACCTGTAGTCCCAGCTACCTGGGAGGCTGAGGTGGGAGGATCACGTGAGCCTGGGAGGTTGAGGCTAGAGTGAGCCACGTTCACGCCACTGCACTCCAGCCTGGGTGACAGAGTGAGACCTTGTCTCAAAAAAAATTATTAAATATTGAAGAGATCAAAATAATATTTGCAAAATATATAAAGTAATAAAGAATCATGATACAATGGACCCTTATGTATTCCCCACCACTCATGTAAGAAACGTGAGGAACAACATCATTGTGAACTTTGAAGTCCACTGGGATTCCCTCCTAGGTCCCCTCCCTTCTTTCTCTCCTTGGAGGTAACCATTATCCTGAATTCATGTTTTTAAATTCCTTTGTTTTTAATTATAGTTTTACCACATGTGTTTGTATTCCTAATATTTATATGTATATAAGTGCTTAAAATTTTAACAGAAATATAGCATGCATACAAAATCATGCATGTTGGCTGGGCGCAGTGGTTCACGCCTGTAATCCCAGCACTTTGGGAGGCCAAGGCGAATGGACCACCTGAGATCAGGAGTACGAGACCAGCCTGACCAACATGGTGAAACCCTGTCTCTACTAAAAACACAAAATTAGCTAGGCGTGGTGGTGCACACCTGTAATCCCAACTACTTGGGAAGCTGAGGCGGGAGAATAGCTTGAACCTGGGAGGTGGAGGTTGCAGTGAGCTGAGATCGCACCACTGCACTTCAGCCTGGGCAATAGAGCGAGACTCCATTAAAAAAAAAGAAAATCACGCATGAAAAAAATGATTTAAGGCTGGGTGTGGTGGCTTATGCCTGTAATCCCAGCACACTGGGAGGCTGAGGCAAGAAGATCGCTTGAGCTTAGGAGTTTGAAACCAGCCTGGGCAACATAGCAAGACCTCGTCTCTACTGAAAAAAAAAAAAAAAAATTAGCCTGGCAGTGGTATGTGCCTATGGTCCCAGCAACTTAGGGTGCTAAGGTGAGAGAACAGCTTGAGCCCAGGAAGTCAAAGCTGCAGTGAGTTATGACCATTCCACTGCCCTCCAGCCTGGGCCACAGAGGGAAACCCTATATCAAAAATAAAATAAAGGGTCGGGCGCAGTGGCTCATGCCTGTAATCTCAGCATTTCAGGAGGCCAAGATGGGTGGATCCTCTGAGGTCAGGATTTCAAGACCAGCCTGGCCAACATGGTGAAACCCCGTCTCTACTAAAAATACAAAAATTAGCCGGGTGTGGTGGTGGCACGCCTATAGTCCCAGCTACTCCGGAGGCTGAGGCGGGAGAATCGCTTGAACTCAGGAGGCGGAGGTTGCAGTGAGCACAGATTGTGCCACTGCACTCCAGCCTGGGTGACCAAGTGAGACTAGGGAGACTCCCATCTCAAAAAAAAAATTAAAAAAAGTAATTAAAAAAAACAATAAAATGAACACACATGAATCTTTTGCCAGTCAAGCAAGAGAACATTGTCACGTTCAGGGAGCCCATGTGCCACTTCTCCAATTGCATCTCCTTTCTTCTTCCGAGAGAAGAATACTATCTGGAATTGTACTAACCACTTTTTATAGTGTAAAATATACACAACATGAAAGTTAACATTTTAACCACTTTTTTTTTTTTTTTTTTTTTGTGAGACGGAGTCTTGCTGTGTTGCCCAGGCTGGAGTGCAGTGTCGCAATCTCGGCTCACTGCAGCCTCCGCCTCCCGGGTTCAAGCAATTCTCCTGCCTCAGCCTCCCGAGTAGCTGGGATTACAGGCATGCGCCACCAAGCCTGGCTAATTTTTGTATTTTTAGTAGAGACGGGGTTTCACCATGTTGGCCAGGATGGTCTTGATCTCCTGACCTTGTGATCTGCCCACCTCAGCCTCCCAAAGTGCTGGGATTACAGGCATGAGCCACCGCACCCGGCCAACCATTTTTAAGTGTACAGTTCTGTGGCATTAAGTCCATTCACATTGCTGTGCAACTATGACTACCATCCATCTCCAGAACTTTTTCATCTTCCCCAAATGAGACACTGTATCCATCAAACAATAACTACCCAATCCTGCCTCTCCCCAGTCCCTGGCACCACCCATTCTACTTTCTGTCTCTGTGATTTTGACTGCTCCAGCTACCTCATATAGGTAGAATCATTCAATATTTGTCCTTTTGTGACTGGCTTATTTCACTTACTGTAAAGTTGTCAAGGTTCATCCATGTTGTAGTATGTGTCAGAATTTTCTTCCATTTAAAGGCTAAATAATATTCTATTGTAGGTACACCCACATTTTGTTTATCCATTCATCTGTTGATGGACATAGGTTGTTTCTATCTCTTGGTTATTATGAATAATTGTGCTATGAACATGGATGTCCAAATACCATTAGAGTCCTTGCTTTCACGTCTTTTGGGTATATACCCAGAAGAGGAATTACTGGATGATGTGATAATTCTATGTCTAATTTTTTTTTTTTAATTTGAGATGGAGTTTCATTCTTGTTGCCCAGGCTGGAGTGCACTGGCATGATCTCGGCTCACTGCAAACTCTGCCTCCCGGGTTCACGCCATTCTCCTGCCTCAGCCTCCCGAGTTGCTGGGACTACAGGCGCCCGCCACCACGCCCGGCTAATTTTTATTTTTATTTTTTTTGTATTTTTAGTAGAGACAGGGTTTCACCACGTTGACCAGGCTGGTCTCAAACTCCTGACCTCAGGTGATCCGCCTGCCTTGGCCTCCCAAAGTGCTGGGATTACAGGTGTGAGCCACAGCGCCTGGCCCTATGTTTAATTTTTTGAAAAACTGCCACATGGCTGCATCATTTTACTTTCTTTTTTTTTTCCTTTTTCTTTTTGAGGCGGAATTTTCACTCTTGTTGCCCAGGCTGGAGTGCAATGGTGCAATCTCAGCTCATTGCAATCTCCACCTCCTGGGTTCAAGTGATTCTCCTGCCTCAGCCTCCCAAGTAGCTGGGATTACAGGCATGTGCTACCATGCCCGGCTAAGTTTTTGTATTTAGTAGAGACGGGGTTTCACCATGTTGGCCAGGCTGGTCTCAAACTCCTGACCTCAGGTGATCTGCCCACCTCGGCCTCCCAAAGTGCTGGGATTACAGTCATGAGCCACTGCGCCCGGCCCTATGTTTAATGTTTTGAAAAATTGCCACACTGGCTGCACCATTTTACATTCTTACCACCAATGTGCAAGTGTTCCAATTTCTCCACATCTTCAGTAACAACTTGTTATTTTCTGTTTTCTTGACAATGGCATCCTAATGGGTGTGAAGTGATAGCTCATTTTTTTCTTTCTTTTTCATGTTTTTGGTGATGCTTTGTTTTAATTATCATTATGGTTTTGATTTGTATTTCCCTAATGATAAGTGATGTTGAGAACATCTTTTTTCTTTGAGACAGAGTTTTGCTCTTGTTGCCCAGGCTGAGTGGCAATGGCATGATCTCAGCTCACTGCAATCTCCACCTCCCAGGTTCAAGCGATTCTCTTGCCTCAGCCTCCCAAGAAGCAAGCCCGCTGCCATGCCCAGCTAATTTTTGTATTTTTAGTAGAGACAGGGTTTCACTATGTTGGCCAGGCTGGTCTTGAACTCCTGACCTCAGGTGATCCCCCCAGCTCAGCCTCCCAAAGTGCTAGCATTACAGGCGTGAGACGCTGCGCCCGGCTGAGCATCTTTTTTTTTTTTTGAGACGGAGTCTTGCTCTGTCCCCCAGGCTGGAGTGCACTGGCACGATCTCGGCTCACTGCAAGCTCTGCCTCCCGGGTTCACGCCATTCTCCTGCCTCAGCCTCCCGAGTTGCTGGGACTACAGGCGCCCGCCACCACGCCCGGCTAATTTTTTGTTTTTTTTTTTAGTAGAGACAGGGTTTCATCGTTTTAGCCAGGATGGTCTCAATCTCCTGACCTCGTGATCCGCCTGCCTCGGCTTCCCAAAGTGCTGGGATTACAGGTGTGAGCCACCGCGCCCGGCCAGCATCTTTTTATGTGCTTATTTTTCAGTTGTATATCTTCTTTGGAGAAATGTCTATTCAAGTCTTCAGGTTGTTTGCTTTTTTGTTGTTGTGTTGTAAAATTCTTTATCTATTCCAGATATCAATTCCTTATTAAAGAAATGATTTGCTAATATTTTCTCCCATTCCAAGGGTTGCCTTTTCACTTTGTTGTTAGTGTTTTGGGGTTGTTTGCATTTTTGTTTTTTTGAGACAGGGTCTTGCTCTGTCACCCAGGCTGGAGGGCGGAGGCATAATCACGTCTCACTGCAGCCTCAACCTCCCAGGCTCAGGTGATCGTCCCACCTCAGCCTCCCAAGCAGCTGGGACTATAGGCACATACCACCACACTCGGGCAATTTTTGTGTTTTTAGTAGAGATGGGGTTTCATCATGTTGCCCAGGCTGGTCTTGAACTCCTGGGCTCAAGTGATCCGCCTGCTCCAGCCTCCTAAAAGTGCTGGGAGTACAGACGTGAGCCACCACACCTAGCCTTGATAGTGTCTTCTGATGCACAAAAGTTGCTTAATTTTGGCAAAATCTAGCTTATCTATTTTTTTGTAGTTGTTGTTTGTGTTTTGGTGTCATATCCAAGAAATCATTTCCAAATCTGATGTTACAAAGTTTTCCCGTCTTCTAAGATCTTTAGTTCTTTGACTCACTTTTTTTTATTTTTTATTTTTATTTTATTTTATTATTATTTTTTTGAGACAGAGTCTTGCTCTGTCGTCCAGGCTGGAGTGCAGTGGCGCAATCTTGGCTCACTGCAACCTCTGCCTCCCTGGTTTAAGCGATTCTTCTGCCTCAGCCTCCTGAGTAGCTGGGATTATAGTCGCACGCCACCACGCCCGGCTAATTTTTGTATTTTTAGTAGAGACGGGGTTTTACCATGTTGGTCTGGCTGGTCTGGAACTCCTGACCTCGTGATCTGCCCACCTCGGCCTCCCAAAGTGCTGGGATTATAGGCATGAGCCACCGCGCCCGGCCTTGACTCATTTTTAATTAATTTTTGTACATAGTAAGGTAAGGGTCCAACTTCATTTTTTTTGCATGTGGATGTCCAGTTTTTCCCAACACCATTTGTTGAAAAGACTGTCCTTTCCCCCACTGAAAGGCCGTGGCATCCTTGTTGAAAGTCGTTTGACTAAATATGCAAGGGTTTTTTCTGGGCTCTATTCTATTCTATTGGTCTATTTTTCTGTCTTTATGCAGTACCATAATCATTCTAAAAATAATTTTTACCTCCTATAGAGTATCTCTAACCTGTTTATTATTTAATTTTGTCTCATAAATTTTTTCAGTGGAACCACACAGTATATATACTCTTGTAGCTTGCTTCTTTATTGAATATTGCATTTTCACAATATTTTTGCAAGACCCCCCGATACAGTTTGCATTTTTGTCCCTACGCAAATCTGTGGAATTGGAAGAGTGGCCTGGTAGTAGGTGATTGGATCATGGAGGTGGATTTCCTCCTTGCTGTTCTTGTGATAGTGAGTGAGTTCTCACAAGATCTGATGGTTTAAAAGCGTGTGGCACCTCCCCGCTTGCTCTCTCTCTCCTGCTCCGCTGCAGTAAGAGGTGGTTGCTTCCCCTTGGCCTTCTGCCATGACTGTAAGTTTCCTTAGGCCTCCCAGCCATGCTTCCTATATAGCCTGTGGAACTGTGAGTCACTTAAACCTCTTTTTAAAAATACATTATCCAGTCTCAGGTAGTTCTTTTTTTTTTTTTTTTTTTTTTTTTGAGACGGAGTTTTGCTCTTGTTGCCCAGGCTGGAGTGCAGTGGTGCAATCTCACCTCACTGCAACCTCCGCCTCCTGGGTTCAAGCGATTCTCTTGCCTTAGCCTCCTGAGTAGCTGGAATTATAGGCATGCACCACCATGCCTGGCTAATTTTGTATTTTCAGTAGAGACGGGGTTTCACCATGTTGGTCAGGCTGGTCACGAACTCCTGGCCTCAGGTGATCCATCTGCCTCGGCCTCCCAAAGTGCTGGGATTGCAGGCATGAGCCACCTCGCCTGGCCTCAGGTAGTTCTTTACAGCAGTGTGAGAATATGGAGGGTCTTTCATATCGATATATGTAGCTAAAACTTACTAATTGTTCCTGATATATGGCATTCCAATAAATGAATGTACCATGATTTATCCATTCTACTATTGAGGAATGTCTGAGTTGTTTACATTATTTTGTTATTATAAATAATGCTTTAATGTATATATTTTTAAAAGATCTCCTGGTGCAAGTGCAGAAGCATTTATCTGGGGTGTGTAGCTAAAAACAGAATTGCTGGGTCTTAGAAACTGAACATCTTCAACTGACAAACTGTTTATCAACGTGGTTGTAACAATTTATACTCTCATTCCAGTATATATTTCCTGTTGTTCCATACCTTTGCCTAACATTTAGTAGTAAGACTTTATTTTTTGCCAATCTGATAGTTGTAAATTGTTCTTTTTTTTTTTTTTGAGACTGCGTCTTGCTCTGTCGCCCAGGCTGGAGTGCAATGGCGCGATCTCGGCTCACTGCAACCTCTGCCTCCCAGGTTCAAGCAATTCTCCTGCCTCAGCCTCCTGAGTAGCTGGGATTACAGGTGCCCGCCACCACACCCGGCTAATTTTTGTATTTTTAGTAGAGATGGGGTTTCACCATGTTGGCCAGGCTGGTCCCAAACTCCTGACCTCAGGTGATCCGCCCACTCGGCCTCCCAAAGTGCTGAGATTACAGGCGTGTGCCACCGCGCCTGTCCCATAGTTGTAAATTGTATCTCATTATTATTATTATTATTTAGAGTTGCTGTCACCGATGTTGGAGTGCAGTGTTACTTTCATAACTCACTGTAACCTTGAACTCCTGGGCTCAAGTGATCCTTCTGCCTCAGCCTCCTGAGGAGCTGGGACTACAGATGCACACTGCCATGGCTGCCTAATTCTTTTTGGTAGAGACAGTGGTCTCCCTACATTACCCAAGCTGGTCTCCAACTCCTGGCCTCAAGCAATCCTCCCACCTCAGCCTCCCAAAATGTTGGGATTACAGGCATGAGCCACTGTACCTGGCCAATGATTTTTAATTTATATTTCTCTGATTACTACTTAGGTTGGGCATCTTTTTTGTATGTTTGGTTTGTTAGTCTTTGGATTTCCTTTTTTCTGAAGGATATACCCATGTCTTCCCATTTTCCCATTGTGTTGTCTTTTTATTGATTGTGCTTCTTTCTGTATCCTAGATAATTTTTAGTCTCTTAATGGTATCTTTTCATGAACAGATGTTCTTTAGTATGAACGTAGTAGAATGTCTCAATCTTGGCACTATTGACATTTTGGGCTGGAAAATTCCTTGTTTTTTTTGTGTGTGTGACTCTGTGTGTGTGTGTGTGTGTGTGTGCGCGTGTGTGTGTGTTGGGGGCTGTCCTGTATATTGTAGGAGGTTTACCAGCATCCCTGGCCTCTGTCCATTAGATACCAATAGCACCCTTCTGCCCAAATTATGATAACCAAAAATGTCTCCAGACATTGCCGAAAGTGCCCTGGAGAGCAACATTGCCTTTCTGCCTCCTGTTTAAGAAATCCTCCACTATTCTGGTGGGGCGTGGTGGCTCACACCTGTAATCCCTGCACGTTGGCAGACTGAGGTGGGCAGATCACTGGAGGTCAGGAGTTCAAGACCAGCCTGGCCAAGGTGAAACCCCGTCTCTACTAAAAATACAAAAATTAGCCGGGCATGGTGGCACATAGCTGTAATCCCAACTACTCAGGAGGCTGAGGTAGGAGAATCGCTTGAACCTGGGAGGTGGAGGATGCAGTGAGCCGAGATTGCATCACTACGCTCCACACTCTAGCCTGGGCGACAAAGCAAGACGATGTCTAAAAAAAAAAAAAGAAAGAAAAGAAAGAAAGAAAAAGAAATCCTCCACTATTCTGAGGTCATGAAAATATTCTCTTTTATTATCTTCTAAAAGCTTTATGTTATTTTTCACTTTTCATATTT
Organism: Homo sapiens; assembly: GCF_000001405.40. NCBI lineage: Eukaryota > Metazoa > Chordata > Mammalia > Primates > Hominidae > Homo > Homo sapiens. Next base: position 38,994,025 of record NC_000017.11, read on the forward strand.
GGATTCCTGATTCACCTGGAACTGAATTTTGTATGTGGTGAAAAGTAGAGTTCGTTTTGTTTTTTTCTGTATAGATCCTCAATGTCCTAGTGCTATTTATTGCACTTATCTAACCACAAGCCCCCCTCTGTTATATGTCAAGTGGCATGGAGGCAGGTGTGTATTTCTGGGCTTTCTATTGTTTTCAGTGCTCTACTTTTCTGACCTTGCTCCAATATCACACTTCCGTAATCATTGTTGACTGTTAAAGAGGCTAGATCTGGAAAGGAAGTCCTTTTATTTTGTCTTGGCTATTCCTGGTCTTTTGTACTTTCATTTACATTTTAGAATAAGTTTGTCAAATTCTTCACAAAATCTGTTGGGATTTTGACTGAGATTGCATTGAATCTGTAGATCAATTTAAGGAGAACTGACATTTTTATAAATGTGTATCTTGCATTGCATGAACACAGTGCTCTATTTATTTTAGTATTCTTTAAATCTTTTAATAAAGCTTTATTATTTTTTCCTTAGAGAGCTCTGGCACATCTTTTGTTTGATTTATTACTCTGTACTTCATATATTTGATCCTATTATAAAGTATCTCTCTCTCTTTTTTTTTTTTTCGAGACGGAGTCTCACTCTTGTCGTCCAGGCTGGAGTGCAATGGTGCGATCTTGGCTCACTGCAACCGCTGCCTGCCAGATTCAAGCGATTCTCCTGCCTCAGCCTCCCGGGCAGCTGGGATTACAGGCGTGTGCCACCACGCCTGGCTAATTTTTGTATTTTTTAGTAGAGACGGGGTTTCAACATGTTGTCCAGGCTGGTCTCGAACTCCTGACTTCAGGTGATCCACCTGCCTCGGCCTCCCAAAGTGCTAAGATTACAGGCGTGAGCCACTACACCCGGCTACTTTACTTTTTAAACTTTTTTTTTAGATTCAGTGTCTCACTGTGTTGACCAGGCTGGTCTTGAACTCCTGGCCTCAAGCAATCCTCCCACCTCAGCCTCCCAAAATGCTAGTATTATAGGCATGAGCCAATGCACCCAGCTATAACTTTTCATTACAAAAAATTGTCAGTGTATATGAAAGGTGAAAGAACAGTACAATCAGCACACAAATACCTAGTTACAACAATTGTTAACATTTTATCATTTTTGCTTTGTCTATTTACCTTTACTTTTTTTTTTTTAATTTTAGAGACAAAGACTCACTCTGTTGCCCAGGCTGGAGTACAGTGGTGAAATCATAACTCACGGCAGCCTCAAACTCCTGGGTTCAAGGAGTGATCCTCCCACCTCAGCCTCCGGAGTAGCTGGGACTACAGGTGCATGACACTGTGCCTAGCTAATTTTAAAATATTTTGTAGAGACAGGGTTTCACTATTATCCAGGCTGGCTTCAAACTCCTGGCCTGAAGCAATCACTCCCATCTCAGCCTTTCAAAAGGCTGAGGCAACTGATGTCAGCCACCATGCCTGGCATCTGCCTGTTTATCTGTCAATCAATCATCTATCTTTTATATATACACACATACATATATACATTATATATCTATATGGAGATGGAGTCTTGCCTTGTCACCCAGGTTGGAGTGCAATGGCATGATCTCGGCTCACTGCAACCTCCGCCTCCTGGGTTCAAGCGATTCTCCTGCCTCGGCCTCCTGAGTAGCTGGGATTATGGGCACCTGCCACCACACCCAGCTAATTTTTGTATTTTTAGTAGAGACGGGGTTTCACCGTGTTGGCCAGGCTGGTCTCAAACTCCTGACCTCAGGTGATCCACCCACCTCAGCCTCCGAAAGTGCTGGGATTACAGGCATGAGCCACTCAGCTGGCCATATATATATTTAAACCATTTGAAAGTGTGTGTGTGTGTGTGTGTGTGTGTGTGTGTGTGTGTGTTTGAAACCATTTGAAAGTTTATGTATGTGTATATATATATATAAACACACACATATTTTTATTGTCTATTTGATTCTTCCTTTTTATGCTTACTTTTTTCTTCTCTCTTCTTTTTGATCAATTACTTTTCATCACTTCATTTTTTTCTTATTTTTCCCCCTCTACTAGTTTGGAAGCTAAATATTCTATTTCTCATCTTTTAGTGACTGACCTAAAAATTTATTGTGCATGCTTGACTTACCAAAATCCACAGTAAATCTTTATCCTTTTACCTTCTCCCATACACCACAATGGCCTTAGAACACTTGAACACCAATCGCTCACCTTCTGACTTCTATGCTACGGGCTGTGTATTTTATTCTGTCTTGGTTTATTCCATCAAGGTTTCATTATGCACAGACAGAGGAGGAGCTCAGTCCTTGTGGCAGCTGCTTTCCTAATGAAGACTGGGGCCCTGCTCAGTCCTTCCCACTCCCTCTTGCTGAGGATGTATGTCCCCACCCTTTTCTTGATGAATGTGAGGGCCAGATCTCCCGTGGATATTTGGAACAGCTCCGCGGGCAAGTTGCTGGCTTGTTTCAGGTGAAGCCCACGCTTCTCAGATCACGCCCCACAAGAACCTGGTGTGCTTGGCGCCATGCCTGCCAGGGGGCTGTGCTTTGTCTTGCTCTCCCTCTTGGTCACCTTATGACCCTTGTTGAGGCCCACAGGGAGTACCAAGCCACGGCTGGGCCTACCCTGTGGCCCTGGGGGTCCGGATGGCAGTGGACACCCTCTTGTTAGCTTTTTAGATGTTAGCTGTAGATTTTGTTGTAGTTTTATGTAGTCAGTAGCAGATCAGATAAAATACAGAGTTCACATGTGATTCACTCCTTCCTTTATCTCATTCCTTCCATCTGAGGTTACGTTCCTTCTGCCTGAAGTAGTTACTTCAGGCTGAGGTAATTGATGTGAGCCACTGTGCCTGGCATCTATCTGTTTATCTGTCGTTTCCTAAGAATTTCCTAAGAAAAGGGTCTTTGGTAGCAAATGATTTTAGGTTCTATTTGTTTGATATTCCTCCTCCTCCTCTCCTCCTCTTCCTCCTTCTTCTCCTTTGTTCTTTATAGATATTTTCAGTGGGTATAGAGTTCTAGGTTGATGGTAATTTCCTCAGCACATTGAAGGTATTATTCCATCATCATCTTACTTTTATTGTTGCTCTTGAGAAATCAGCTGTCAATCAAATTGTTTCAGGCTGAAGTTTTCTGACTCTTTTGTCTGTTTCTTTTCTTTTCTTTTTTTTTTTTTTTTTGAGATGGAGTTTCGCTCTTGTTGCCCAGGCTGGAGTGCAATGGCATGAATCTCAGCTCACTGCAACCTCCACCTCCTGGGTTCAAGCAATTCTGCTTCAGCCTCCCAAGTAGCTGGGATTACAGGCGCCTGCCACCACGCTCAGCTAATTTTTTGTATTTTTAGTAGAGATGGGGTTTTGCCATGTTGTCTAGGCTGGTCTTGAACGCCTGACCTCAAGCAATCTACCCGCCTCGGCCTCCCAAAGTGTTGGGATTACAGGTATAAGCCACTGCGCCCAGCCTCTTTTGTCTGTTTCTAAGATCTAGTCTCTGTCTTCAGTGCTCTGCAATTTTATTATAATGTGTTGAAATGTGGATTTCCTTTTATTTCTGTTATGAAGTTACTGAGGTTCTTGAATCTGGGTATCTTATTTTCCATTTATTTTCTTTCTTTCCCTTCCTCTCTCTCTTTCTTTCCCTTCCTCTCTCTCTTTCTCCCTTCCTTCTCCCCTCCCTTCCCCTGCCCTCCCCTTTCTTTTTCTTTTTTTTTGACAAGGCCTTGCTCTGTTACCTAGGCTGTAGTGCAGTGGTGCAATCACAACTCACTGCAACCTCCACCTCCAGGCCTCAAGCAATCCTCCTGCCTCAGCCTCCTGAGTAGCTGGGACTACAGGCATGCACCACGACACCTGGCTAATTTTTGTGTTTTTGCAGACACTAGGTCTCACTATGTTGCCTAGGCTGGTCTCAAACTCCTGGCCTCAAGCAATCCTCCTGCCTTGGCCTCCCAAAGTGCTGGGATTACAGGTGTGAGCCCATAATCCCAGCAGTGAGATTACAGATACAGTGCCCGGCTCATTTTCCATTTATTTTTCTCACTGTGCTGTCATCTGCATCATTTCTTTCACTCTGTTTTCTCTGCTTTTTTTCACCCCTTCTTCCTCTGAACTGCCTTCTCTTTTCAGTTGTGTCTAACCTGCTATTAAATCTGTCCAATGAATTTAAAATTTTTATTACTATATTTTTCATCTCCAGAATTGTATTTTTTTTAAAAAAAACTGCTTGGTCATTTGTATATTCTTTTATTATTAATTCCATTTGTCTGTCTTTCTTTTTCTTTTTCTTTTTTTTTTTTTGAGACAGAGTCTTGCTCTGTCACCCAGGCTGGAGTGCGGTGGCACCATCTGGGTTCACTGCAACCTCCGCAGTCCCGGGATTAAGCGATTCTCCTGCCTCAGCCTCCCGAGTAGCTGGAACTACAGGCATGCACCACCATGCCCAACTAATTTTTGTATTTTTAGTAGAGACAGGGTTTCACCATGTTGGCCAGGATGGTCTCCATCTCTTGACTTCGTGATCTGTCCACCTCGGCCTCCCAAAGTGTTGGGATTACAGGTGTGAGCCACCATGCCTGGCCTCATTTTTATTTCTTAAAAGCTCTAAAATAGTAATTTTATGTCATGTTTCTGATAATTTCTATATCTACAGTCTTTGTAGGTCTGATTCTGCTGTCTATATTTCTGCTTCTTTTGCTCATGGTGCCTAGTTTGTTTCGGTTTTGTGATTTTTGATTCTGTGGTTATTTTTATCAAAACTATATGTGGGAATTTTTTGAGGCCTGAGATAAAGGTGGGTTCTTCTAGAGAGAATTGCATATGCTTCTTCTAGCACTTTAGGTACTTAGGACCACTTTGTTTTATTTTATTTATTTATTTATTTATTTTTGAGGTGGAGTTTCACTCTTGTTACCCAGGCTGGAGTACAGTGGTGCCATCTTGGTTCACTGCAACCTCCGTTTTTTGGGTTTAAGTGATTCTCCTGCCTCAGCCTCCCGAGTAGCTGGAATTACAGGTGCCTGCCACCAAGCCCAGCTAATTTTTGTATTTTTAGTAGAGATGGGGTTTCATCATGTTGGCCAGGCTGGTCGCAAACTGCCGACCTCAGGTGATCCACTTGCCAGGTGATCCACTTGCCTTGGCCTCCCAAAGTGCTGAGATTATAGGCGTGAGCCACCACACCTGGCCCTTAGGACCACTTTAAATTAAAATCTCTGCTGGAGGCTTTTCAGACGATTCGACCCTGTGAAACTAAACTGCAAATTGTTAGGACTAGCTTTTATATCTTTTTCAGGAGTTCTTTTTCACTTTTTTTTTTTTTTTTGAGATGGAGTCTTGCTCTGTCACCCAGGCTGGAATGCAGTGGCGCAATCTTGGCTCACTGCAAGCTCCGCCTCCTGGGTTCACACCATTCTCCTGCCTCAGCCTCCGGAGTAGCTGGGACTACAGGCGCCTGCCACCACGCCTGGCTAATTTTTTGTATTTTTAGTAGAGATGGGGTTTCACTGTGTTAGCCAGGATGGTCTCGATCTCCCAACCTCGTGATCCACCCGCCTCAGCCTCCCAAAGTGCTGGGGTTACAGGCGTGAGCCACCACACCTGGCCCTTTTTCACTTTTATGTAGTACCAAGAACCAAGGCCATTTTGGCTATAGCCCCTTGTGGTCAGATGTATTTCTAGTTTAGCCTAATAGTAAGGGTATAGCTTTAGGGTCTCACCTGTGTGAGAGAATATGCAATTAGAATCTCCATCTTGGGCAGACCTTGAGTTCTGTCTTCTGTCCCTGGAGCTCCTTAAGGTCTTAAAAACTGAAAGCTACTGGTTTGGCAATTGCTCTGTTTATCTCTCTGGGTATCTGTTGTCACATGGTTTGGCTGAATATTCCTTACTTTCATTCATTTATTTAGAGGAAGATATTTTTAGTATTTGATCCAGAATTTTTAGTTGTTTTCAGCACGAGGATCAGTTAGGGCGCCTGGGTCAATTACACCATCTGAGGGGGACGTCTGGTTCCCCCTCACTTATTTTTCAATAATATCCTTAAAGTTTCTTTAGATAACTCTCAGGTCTATATGTGCATTGGTTCCAAAACCTTTGTACATAGCTTTATATTATTGTTTCCTTTCAATACCATGTCCTTTAAGTATGACACATACACAGTGAATTTTAGCATGTGAAACTGATATATTTGGCTGATGAAGAATTACATAATGTTAGGCAGAGAAAAAGATTTCAAGGGCAGCTGAGGTCTGCAATGTTCATGAAGTTTTGGATTTTTCTTTTTTGTGTGCCTCCTGTTTTCTCTTATGTTTTAAACTTTAATTTTGAAATACTCCTAAATAGCCCTGTTTATTTTCCTTGTTAACATTTCTGGTAAACAGAACAGTTTAATGTTTATCAAAGGAATGTTTTTAAGGACAGCATGATCACATTGGATAGTCTCCATTTTCAGCGAGTCTGGCTTTGAAGCACATAATAGAAACATTTTGAACATCTGATTCTCCACATTTCACCAGAGACTAGGCTTTATTTTCTGTGAATGCACCGATTATGGCAGCAAGAGTCAAGAAAACACAGCGAAGAGGAACTCAAACCTCTCCCCTTCCATTTCTCAGCTTGAAAGGGCTTTTCTTTTTCTCAGTTTTTTCTATTTCCTAAAGCCTTCTCTGACCAGCCTGGGGGAAGCCATCTCCCCTCCCCCTGAAAGCAAACGAGATGGTGCTCTTCTCACTCTCAGTACCATCCTCCCACAGGACCCCCTCAAGCTCTATGTCTTCTCCTACATCACTTTCTCTCTCCTGCCTCTCTGGCCTCTCCTCACCGCCTTTTCTTTTCTATTTTTGCCATTTTTAAAAAATTTTTTGAGACAGTCTTGCTCTGTCGCCCTGGCTGGAGTGCAGTGGTGTGATCTTGGCTTACTGCAACCTCTGCCTCCCGGGTTCAAGCTATTCTTGTGACTCAGCCACCTAAGTAGCTGGGATTACAGGAGCATGCCACAATGCCCAGCTAATTTTTGTATCTTAATTTTTATTTATTTAATTTGTTTGTTTATTTTGAGATGGAGTCTCGCTCTGTCGCTCAGGCTGGAGTGCAGTGGCACAATCTCAGCTCACTGCAGCCTCTGCCTCCTGGGTTCAAGCGATTCTCCTGCCTCAGCCTCCTGAGTAGCTGGGATTACAGCTGCCACCACGCCCAGCTAATTTGTGTACTTTTAGTAGATATGGGGTTTCACCATGTTGGCCAGGCTGGGCTTGAACTCCTAACCTCAAGTGATCCACCTGCCTCGGCCTCCCAAAATGCTGGGGTTACAGGTGTGAGCCACCACGACCAGCCTATTTTTACAATTTTTAAAAACGTCATTTTGTTTTTAAATAGTTTTAACATTTTTTACTATCTATTGTATATCAACTGGTCATATCACAACCTCCTTTTCACCTGCTTCTTTCTTCCTTTTTTTTTTTTCTTTGAGACAGGGTCTTGCTCTGCCACTCCAATTGGAGTGCAGTGGTGCAATCACAGTTCACTGCAGCCCCGACCTCCCAGGCTCAAACCATCTTCCAGCCTCAGCCTCCCGAGTAGCTGGGACTACAGGCACATGCCACCACACCTAGCTAATTTTATTTTTTGTAGGATGAGGTTTTGCCATCCTGCCCATGCTGGTCTCGAACTCCTGGGCTCAAGTGATCCTCCTGCCTTGGCCTCCCAAAGTGCTGGGATTATAGGTGTGAACCACCACACCTGGCTTCTTTCACCTTCTTCTTAAATGCCAGTGCTCCTCCAGGCTGTGTGAGAGGCCCTTTTCTCTTCTCCTTCCAAACACTCATCCCCACTGGTGGCTCATGTTGGTGACTTATGTTGATGACTCACAAAGATTATCTCTAGGTCGGCCTCCCCAGGAGCTCCAGACCTCTGTCTCCAAGTGGACACCTCCACCTGGATGTCCCATAGGCTTCTCAACTCAATGTGTCCTGAACTTATTTGCTACCCAACTCCCCATCCTCACTAATATCTGCTTTTCTTCCTGCTTCTGTTCAAGCCAGAACCTGGAAATCATCCTAGACCCTTCCTTTCCCTATTTCCTCATCTCATTCTTCCTCTAAGGCTGACCAGTTCTTTCTTCACAGACAGATAGTCATTATCTGTTCCATTACAAATGCCACTGCCCCTTCCAGGCCCTCCCCTTTTCTTGCCCAGGCCACTGTATTTGCATCTTAACTAGTCTCCCTGCCTCCCATAACATCCTCCTTGAATCCATCCTCTGCACTACCTCCAGGGGACCTCCAGAGTGAGTGTTCTAGAATGCAAATCTGATATCTTTCCCTTGATCAAAACGCCTCACTGGTTTAAAAGGAAGGAATTAGAATTCTTCAGGGTGGCTGCCATGTTCCTCCCACCCCCATCTTGGCACACTCCTCTCCTGTACCCAGCCACGCCTACCCTGTGTTCCAGCGGAGTGAATTGCTCACAGTTCCCAAAGGCCCCAGGCTCTTGCACACAAACCTCCTTTGCTGGGAGTGGACTTCCTCTTGCCGCCGCCCACTTAGCCGGGTCATTGCGGTTTTTCCTTCCAGGCTCAGCCCAAACATCGCCTCTTCTGGAAAGCCTCCCTTGAATCCCACTCCTCTCCCTTCCCCGGTCTGAAAAAGTGTCCTCCTCTGTGCACATTATGTTTTGGGGCATTTTTGCCAGTAGAAGGAAGCTCAGTCTCCTGGGCTTTGAGCTCCTTGAGGGCAGGAGCCTCTATCGGTCCCTTCTGGGCTCTCAGGCACCTCACACGGTGCTGACACAACAGGTGCTTGACCCCAAGTTCTTCTGTTGATGAGCGAGGTGATCTTGGGTAAATCATTTAACCTCCTTACATTTTAGTAGAGATAAATGTACTCTACCTCCCACCGGATTAAATAAGATAGAGTGTATAAAAATACTTTGGAGATTGCATTTCATTGCTTTTCAAATGTGAGGACTTCTTATTACCATGGATGTGCAACTTCAATTAGTGTGCTTTAGAAAAATGTACTCTGTTCATTTCCCCCTCCTTCTCCGGGGCCTTCTCCGCTCCACCAAATGCCCTCTGCCTCCTTCCTTTCCCATCTGGCTGTTTTCTTCTTTTCCACCTACAAATCCATTCTCAGCTCACCCATTCTAAAAACAAGTCTTCCTCCCATCCCTCCTCCCCCTCGAGCCACAGTCCTTCCTTTCTTCCCCCCATTGCTGCCAAAGCCCTTCAAAGAGTGTTTTACTGGCGGCTTCCGGATCTCACCACCCACTTCTTTCTTAATCGGCACAATCTGGATCCGCCCTCAGCACGTCACAGTCCGTGGATCCTCTGAGAACTCCTGTGACCTCCTATTGCTGCTGGATTGCAGGCTCTTCTCGGGCTTGATCTTGGAAGCATCTGGCCCTGCTGAAACCCTCCTCCTTGGCGATAGGGATCCTGAACTTTCCCCATTTTCCTTTTCTCTCTCCAACAGTTGCTTGTTCTCTTCCCGTAAGTGTTGGCATCCTCGAGACTCTTGCCCTTTGGCCTCTTGTTTTCTCTCCTTCCTGCTTCGTGATCTCACCCACTCCCAGGACTGCCATCAGGCCCTCTTTGCAGATGTCTTCCCAGACTGCCGTTTAGCACTGAGCTCCTTTCTGAGCTGTCGGTCCATGTATCCAGCTGCTGGCTAGACAGCTACATTTGATGGTCCTGCTGGCACCTGAAACTCAAAATGTCCAAAATGAAAATCATCCATGGCTGGGCACCACGGCTCACGCCTGTAATCCCAGCACTTTGGGAGGCTGAGGCAGGCGGATCACTTGGGGCCAGGAGTTCACGACCAGCCTGGCCAACATGGTGAAACCTCATCTCTACTAAAAATACAAAAAAATTAGCTGGGCGTGGTGATGCATGCCTGTAGTCCCAGCTACTCGGGAGGCTGAGGCACAAGAATTCCTTGAACCCAAGAGGCGGAGGCTGCAATGAGCCAAGATCATGCCACTGCACTCCAGCCTGGGCAACAGAGTGAGACTCCATCTCAAAAAAAAAAAAAAAAAAAAAGGAAAATCATCCTCATACTGCTTTTCCCACCGAACCACTTCAGTTCCCGTTTGTCTTATTTCTATTAATGGTGCCCTCATTCTCCCGATCGTCTAGAAATTCCTCACTCTTGCTTTCCTCCCACATCAAGTCACTTGCCAAGTCCTATAGATCCTCTTACAGAAGTATCTGTGGTTTCCCCACCTTCGTGTTTGGAGTGCCCTCCAGAAAGGCCTTCATTACCTCTATCTAAACCATCTCCATAGCCTTACAGGTTTGGCTTTCATAATTTTTTTTCTACTTCCTTCCCTTCCCCCTCCCTCCTCCCTCCTTGTCTCTCTCTCCCTTCCTTTTCTGTCTTTCTCTCTCCTTTTCAATAAATATTTATTGAGCACCTACTATGTGCCAGGCACTGGAAAAATAAAAAGTTAATGCAGTGCAGTCCCATTCCCAAGATTTTGAAAGCCAGCAGAGCACTTATTTCAAGAGCCCTGCATTCCGGTGGGGGCCCTGCAGAAGTAAGCCACAATCACAATAGGGTGTAATTGCACTTAGGGCCTTCCAGCTGGTCTCCTGGCCCCCATTTCTTCCTCCTTCCCAATCCATGGTGTTATTAATTTGTGTTAGATTAATATTCCTCAGGTCTTGTGACAATTCCGCCAGTCCCCTTCATTGGCTGTCCATTGCTATGTCTAAGTCCTCAGTACATTTTTATGAGTTTTTAAAAATTTCCCCATCCTGCTTCTCTACATGCGTCTCCAGGGTTCTCCTCTCCTGCTCTCCACCACCCATCGTTTACTGGGAATTCTCTGAAAATGCATTGTTCCTGCCCCTGTGCCTTTCTTCTTATAATTCCCTCCTCCATCACTCTGGCTGTAAAAATTCTAATTATCGCCAGGTGCGGTGGCTCACGCCTGTAATCCTAGCACTTTGGGAGGCCGAGGTAGGCGGATCACTTGAGGTCAGGAGTTTGAGACCAGTCTGACCAACATGGTGAAACCTCATCTCTACTAAAAATACAAAAAGTAGCTGGGCGTTGTGGCGCAAGCCTGTAATCCCGCTACTCGGTAGGCTGAGGCAGGAGAATGGCTTGAACCTGAGGGGCGGAGGTTGCAGTGAGCCAAGACTGCACCACTGCACTCCAGCCTGGGTGACAGTGAGACTCCAACTCAAAAAAAAAAAAAAAAGTCCTAACCATGGGTCTATTTTGAGCCGTGACTCCAGCAGGTATAACTCTTCCCTCCAGCAGTGCTTCCAACCCCCTCGTCATTCTCACTGTGGCACAAAACGAATGATTCAACCAGCAAACCATCTGCTAGAGTCACAGAGAGCTGCAGCAACCCCCAGCTTTGTGGGGTTAACAAGCAAACCCTGAGAGCCATCTCCACCAGCAACAAGGGTCCCGTGTTAGGGGCAGACGTCCCTGAGCAGTCAGGGGAAACCTTGCACTTATCCAAGAGCACAAATAGGACCAAAGCCCCCAACACGCCATAAGGGCCATCAGCAGCATCATCGCGAGGAGGGACTGCAGAGTAGAACCCATCGTGTGGCCTCTAGAGTCCATAGTACATGGCTGGGTAGAGCAAACTGCTCACAGTTCTGGGGCACATTCTACATCTCACATGCCACCAGCTCCTCCCCTATGCTTTCCTGATTTTCTCATCACACGTTGATGCTACTGCTTTTCCGTATTGCCCCTCATGACATCTGCTGTGGTATTTGGTACCTTTTGCCTAGGAGATCTACTTTTTTTTTTTCTTAGACGGAGTCTCACTCTGTCGCCCAGTCTGGAGTGCAGTGGTGTGATCTCGACTAATTGCAGCCTCCGCCTCCCGGGTTCCAGTGATTCTCCTGCCTCAGTCTCCTGCGTGGCTGGGATTACAGTCGTGCGCCACCATGCCCAGCTAATTTTTGTATTTTTAGTAGAGACGGGGTTTCACCATGTCGGGCAGGCTGGTCTCGAACTCCTGACCTCTGACCTCAGGTGAACTGCCTGCTTCAGCCTCCCAAAATGCTGGGATTACAGGCGTGAGCCAGCGCCCCCGGCCAAGATCCACTTCTTTGTGTACCTTTTTTTTTTTTTTTTAAGAGAGAGGATCTAGATCTGTCACCCAGGCTGGAGTGCAGTGGCATGATCACAGCTCACTGCACTCAACCTCAACCACCCCAGTTCAAGCTCTGCCTCAGCCTCCCTAGTAGCTAGGACTACACGTGCACACCACCATGCCCAGCTAATTTTTAACATTATTTTTGGTAGAGATGAGGGCTCACTATGTTTCCCAGACTGGTCTTGAACTCCTGGGCTCAAGCGAACCTCCTGCCTCAGCCTCCCAAAGTGCTAAGGTTACAGGCTTGAGCCACCGTACCTGGCTCTTTGTGTACTTTTGTCTCATCCACCCTAACTACTAAACTCCCAAGCTTGTTAGGACAGTGATCACAAGCCCTGGAGCATGGGAGAAGGAGATTACTAAGTATCCGTGGACTCCAATGCAGGGAGATTTCTTCCATGGCAGGATAGGGGAGGAACCATAGCCTAGTCTTGGTACTTTCCAGGGTGACTCTCAGGGTGGCTTACACACACACACACACACACTCACCCACACTCACACACTCTTTCTCTCACTCTCTCTTAAGAAATGCTGCTGATTGATAGGTTTAGCCTCTGAAGGGAGTATCTTCTCTTCCCTACTATTCCAGCACAGAATAGAATTTTGAACCAAATGGGAATCTGAACTACAAGAATCTAATCAAAATTTTAAAACCTGAGTGTTAGGTTCTTGGCACATCTGAAAGCACCTAGCTTAATGTCTGAGACATAGGTATGTTCAGAAATGTGAATCTTATCACACACACACACACACACACACACACACACACACACACACACACACCAGGGAACCATGTAACAGGTTCTGAGACAGCACAGCCGGTTACATCTGGTTTCCAGTAGGCATGCCTTTCTTTCTTTCTCTTTCCTTTCCTTCCCTTCCCTTCCCTTCCCTCCCCTCCCCTTCCCTCCCCTCCCCTCCCCTTTTTCTTGACAGAGTTTTACTCTTGTTGCCCAGGCTGGAGTGCAATGGCGCGATCTCAGCTCAGTGCAACCTCTGCCTCCCGGGTTCAAGCGATTCTCTTGCCTCAGCCTCCCGAGTAGCTGGAATTACAGGCATGCACCACCACACCTGGCTAATTTTGTATTTTTAGTAGAGATGGGGTTTCTCCATGTTGGTCAGGCTGGTCTGGAACTCCCGACCTCAGGTGATCTGCCCGCCTCAAGTGCTGGGATTATAGGTATGAGCAGGTTTTCTTTATGGATCAATTGATGTTACTTAGGGGTAACATGCAGAATAGCTTGTTCCACGGGGCAAGGTGGACAGATCCTTGTGATTAAGGGGCTGCCCAGTGGGCATTCCTGGACTCAGCAGACAATGACTATGCCCCACCCACCACGTTATGCTAAAATGCCACAAGACATCCGAAGAAATGCTTTCTTCCTTTGGGGGTAATGCAAATATTGCCATTTTTCTGTTTCAAAGAACAACAAGACATTTTCTTGGTAATCTCTCACCTAAAGATATTATTTTGAGGGGGTTAAGAATGTCTTTATCTTTTAGAGACACATGTTGAACTGTTTATGGGTGAAATGACATGATATCTAATTTTCATTAAAAATGACTTAATTGGCCATGCGTGGTGGCTCATGCCTATAATTCCAACACTTTGGGAGGCCGAGGTGGGTGGATCACCTGAGGTCAGGAGTTCGAGACCAGCCTGGCCAACATGGTGAAACCCTGTCTCTACTAAAAAAAAAAATACAAAAAGTAGGCCGGGCATGGTGGCTCATGCCTGTAATCCCAGCACTTTGGGAGGCTGAGGAGGGCAGATCACCTGAGGTCAGGAGTTTGAGACCAGCCTGGCTAACATGGTGAAACCCTGTCTCTACTAAAAATACAAAAATTAGCCGGGCGTGGTGGTGGGCGCTATTCTGGAGGCTGAGGCAGGAGAATCACTTGAACCCAGGAGGAGGAGGTTGCAGTAAGCCGAGATCGCCTCATTGCACTCCAGCCTTGGCAACAAGAGTGAAACTCCATCTCACACACAAAAAAAAAAAATTAGGGAGAAGGGGGAGATGCAACAAGAGTGGCCCTGTGTTGATGGTTATTGTAACTTGGTGGCAGATATGTGGTGATTCATGGTACTAGTTTGTAGAACTTTTGTGTATATTAGAAATTTGCCATAACAGAAATTTTGTTTGTTTTTTTAGAGCACAGATTTTAGAGCAGAACAGACCTGGGTTCAAATTCCCTCTGGGTTCAAATTCCTGCTGTTTTGTCTGGGCAACCTTCCTATTTAAGTCTTCTGAACCCTGTTTCCGCGTTTGGAAAACACTCATAAGAATAATTCTCAGTTCACAAATTTGTTGCAAGTATACAAAGCACTTAAGGCATAGCCTGGAACATGATTGGCAATCAATAATCCTACGATAGCTTTACTTGAGCCTGACCATGCTAGCTATATAAACTGTACAGCTATGGTTTGAATGTCCCCTCCAAAACTCATGTTGAAATTTAATTGCCATTGTGATGGTTCTAAGAAGTAGGATTATTAAGAGGTGATTAGGTCATGAGGACTCCACCCTTATGAATAGGTTAATGTTGTTATTGCAGAAGTGGGTTTGCTATTGAGAGGGCAGGTTGTTATAAAAGCGAATTTGGCCCTCTCTTGCTTGCTCCTTCTCATGCTCTCTTGCCCTTCTGCCTTTCACTATGGGATGAAGCTGCATAAAGGACCTCACCAGATGCTGGTGTCATGCTCTTGGACTTCCCAGCCTCCAGAACTGTGAGCTAAGTACACATCTATTCCTAGTAAATTTCCCAGCATGTGGTATTCAGTTATAGTAGCATAAAACAGATGAAGACAACGACTTTTGGGATCAGCCTGCAATCATGGTTACTGGCAGAAGGCTGGCCTGAGGTACAAGTACAAATTATATACTTCAGACCCTTTACTGAAACTCCTGGAGGGCATTTATTTTATTATTATTACCTTATTTATTTTTTAGAGACAGGATATCACTCTGTCACCCAGGCTGGAATGCAGTGGCACAATCATGGTTCATTACAGCCTCAACCTTCTGGGCTCAAGTGATCCTCCTGACTTAGCCTCCAAGTAGCTGGGACTTCAAGTGCATCCCACCATGCTCAGCTAATTTTTAGCTTTTGCAGAGACTGGGGGGTGGGTCTCTCTATGTTGCTCAGGCAGGTCTTGAACTCCTGGCCTCAAGCCATTCTCTCATCTTGGCATCCTAGTGCTGGTATTATAGCTGTTTTGAGCCACCATGCCTGGCCTCTTTTATTATTTTTCAATGTGGAAAGTAGAGATGAGAGAGGACAGGGGCAATGGTGGGGTTTGTTCCTGGGTTCACAGCTCTGCTGTCACTGTGAGGGAGCTACAGAGGTGGGGAGGGGCAGACCAGGAAAGCAGACCCCTGAAATACAATGTCATTTGCAGATCCAGCCTCTTGTTTTCCATCCTGGACATTCTTCCATTACCAGGCAGCCAACACTTCCCAGGCTGTCCTGGGACTCGCAGTTCTGTCTACCTGGGCACAGTTTCAGGCTCCAGCTGGCAAGGCAGCCCCATCACTTTCTGCAGAGGAGCATGTGCTGGAATAGGAGACAGTGAGATCACAGGAATTCATTAGCATCCCATATTCATTTTCTTTTCCTTTCTAGGCCTTCTCCCCAACCCTCTACCCGACACCCACCTCAGTCATTTTTTTTTTTTCCCTTAGAGTAGCTGGGGGAATCTGTCAAAGCCAGTTCAGGAGCTTGCCTTTTCTGGTGTCTTTTCTAAAACTACGGCATTCAGCCCTCACCAGATGGGAACCTATCAGCTCAGCAGGCAGATAATTATTCTTTCAAGGGTGGGAGGCCCTACCATGAATGGAAATTCAGGCATTTCTGCAGCTGAGGCCCCAAAGCCCCATCATGGAAGCAGTGCACATACAGCAGACAAGCTTTACCTGGGCAAGTCTGCAGGAAGTGCTGGTCAGTGGAGGTGCGAGGAGTGAGATATAGGATGGATTCGTGTTCCCTTCCCCATGAAGCAGTGTGGAACCCACTGGACCCACTCCTGAAGTCTCTCCTTAGGGACCAGTGCAAGCCAGCCCAGTTTTGGTCTGGCTGAAGGGGGTCACCTCCTCTGTGAGGATCCAGAACTCAAGATCAGATATTAGGATGCACAGATTTCTCCTCATTTGATGGAGGAAAATTCTAATAACCAGCTGCCAACAGTGGAGCATGCTGCCAGGAAGGTAATGAGCTCCCTGTTGTTGGAAGTATTCAAGCAGATGCTGGCTGGCCACCTTCCAAGGATATTGCAAAAAGAAGACCTGACATGAATGAGAGTTTGCCTCTTATGTCCTCCAAAGTCTCTTTACCTTTATTGGTTCTCATGGTGTAAAGGGTGAACTTGGAGTCACCATAGGCCCAGGGTTCAAGTCCTGGCTGTACAGCTAGCTGGCTAGATGGCCTTGGGCAAGACACTTAATTTCTTTATGAAATTATATAGGTATATTTTATTTTTCTGATAATGGGTGATAATTATAAAAAAAAAATTTATTGGCCAGGTGCAGTGGCTCGCACCTGTAATACCAGCACTTTGGGAGGCCAAGGCAGGTGGATCACAAGGTCAGGAGACCGAGACCATCCTGGTTAACACGGTGAAACCCTGTCTCTACTAAAAATACAAAAAAATTAGCTGGGCGTGGTGGCGGGCGTCTGTAGTCCCAGCTACTTGGGAGGCTGAGGCAGGAGAATGGCATGAACCTGGGAGGCGGAGTTTGCAGTAAGCCGAGATAGCGCCACTGCACTCCAGCCTGGGCGAAAGAGTGAGACTCCATCTCAAAAAAAAAAAAATTATTATGGACACTTTCTATCCTAATATGTACAGTTTTAATGTATCTTTTTTAATTTTTAATTTTTGTGGGTACATTTTTAAATTTTGTGGGTAATTTTCTGGGTACATATATACAGTAGGTGTATATATCGGGTACATGAGATATTTTGATACAGGTATATAATGTGTAATAATCACATTAGGGTAAGTGGGGTATCCATCACCTCAAGCATTTATTCTTTGTGTTACAAATAACCCAGATACACTCTTTTAGTTATTTTATTTTTTTTTTTTTGAGACAGGATCTTTCTCTGTCACCCAGGCTAGAGGGCAGCGATGTGATCACAGATCTCTGCAGCCTTGACCTTGCTCAAGCAATCCTCTTACCTCAGCCTCCAGAGTATCTAGGACCACAGGCGCCTGTCACCATGTCTGGCTAATTTTTGTATTTTTTGTACAGTTGAGGTTTCACCATGACGCCCAGGCTGGTCTTGAACTCCCACGTTCAAGCAATCCTCCTGCCTTGGCCTCCCAAAGTGCTGGGATTACAGGCGTGAGCCACCATGCCCAGCCTTCTTTAATTATTTTAAAATGTACAGTTAAATTATTATTGACTATAAGTCATCCTGTTGTGCTATCAAATAAAGATCTTATTCATTCTTTAACTATTTTTTTGTACCCATTAATTATCTCTGATAGGATAGGAGGCAGGGAAATTCTGGGCAGAAGAGGGCAGGTCCCTGGTGAGGGCCCCGTCCTCAAGCCTGGAACTGCAGTGCAAAGTGAGAACATGCATTCCTGTTTTCCTGCTCAAATGTTGCCTTTATAAAACCACCCATGGCCCACCCTGCCCCCTATCCTGTGGCCATAAACACCTAGGCTCTGCCAGCAGAGAAGAGGAGAAAAGAGGAGAAAAGGAGAAGCAGCGGGATGTCTGAGACTATGAGTTGGATGTTACAGAGAAGTAGCTTGACTTCAGAGGGACAGCTTGACAGCATTGCTTCGGAGATGAGTGCAGTGGGGGATGGCTGGACTCCAGGGGAAGGTTATCTTCCCACTCCATCCCCATTTCAGCTCCCCTTCCCACTGAGAGCCACTTTCATTGGCAATTAAATCCCCCCAACTTACTATCTCCAATTCTTTTGTGTGACCTCATTCCTCCTGGATGCCAGACAAGAACTCAGGTGCGAGTACAAAAGACACTGACCCCCCACTGAGCTGTTAACACTTAAGCTGTCCGTGGATGGCTAAGCTAAAAGAGCGCTGACTGTAACTCTTTCTGGGGCTTCAGGGGTCATGGGCATCTCCCTAGAGGCTACCGCAGGACTGCTCAGAGTTTTGCTTCTCCTGGCACCCAAAAGCGCTCGCCCCGACTGCTGCACTCACTCACCTGTGCTTCCCCTCCTGCAAGGCGGGGGACAAAGCAGGACTGAGTGAGTGGAGTCTGTCCTTGCCAGCACCGGCACCCTAGCGGCCGGCTAGTTCTAGTGCCCATGCACTCCGGTTCCCACCGGTGAAGGGGTTGGGGACATTTCCTGCTTCATCCTCACTTCCCACCCACCCCTGACTGCCCTTCCCAGCCTCTGGTAACCCTCAGGCTACTTTTTATCTCCATGAGTTCAATTGTTTTAAAATTTTTAGATCCCACAAATAAGTGGGAACATGTAAAGTTTGTCTTTCCTGGCTTATTTCACTTATCCTTTTTAATAGCTATGTGCCTAAGTCCTTTAAACCAGTGGTCCCCAACCTTTTTAGCACCAGGAACTGATTTTGTGGAAGACAGTTCTTCCAAGAACTGGATTGCCGTGTATGGCTTTGGGATGAAACTGTTCCACCTTAGATCATCAGGCATTAGATTCTCATAAGGAGTGTGCAACCTGGATCCCTGGCATGCACAGTTCACAATAGGGTTTGTGCTCCTATGAGAATCCAATGCTGCCACTGATCTGACAGGAGGCGGAGCTCAGGCAGTAATGCTCCCTTGGCTGCCACTCACCTCCTGCTGTGTGGCTCGGTTCCTAACAGGCCGTGAACTCGTGCAGGTCTGTGGTCCAGCAGTTGGTGATCTCTGCTTTAAACCATGGCTTCCTCACCTGTAAAATGAAATAATAATGAAATTGTGAAGATTACATAAATATTAAATAATGAAACACACATAACACGCTTAGCGTTTAGTTAAGCATCTAAAACATGTTGATAGGCCGGGTGCGGGGGCTCATGCCTGTAATCCCAGAACTTTGGGAGGCCGAGGCGGGCAGATCAGTTGAGGTTAGGAATTCAAGATCAGCCTGGTCAGCATGGTGAAACCTCACCTCTACTACAAAATACAAAAATTAGCCAGGCCTGGTGGTACGTGCCTGTAATCTCAGCTACTCGGGAGGCTGAGGCAGGAGAATTGCTTGAACCTGGAAGGTGGAGGTTGCCGTGAGCCAAGATCGCACCACTGTATTCCAGCCTGGGTGACAGAGTGAGACCCTGTCTCAAAAAAAAAAAAAAAAAAAAGGTCATTGATCATTATTTGAAAACAGCCCTGACTCCTAGAAGTATGAGGTAAGTCTCAGATGTAATTAAAAATTTTCTTGTAGCCACACTAAAACAGTAACAAACAATAAACAAGTGAAATTATTATTATTATTTTTTGAGGCAGAGTCTCGCTCTGTCACCCAGGCTAGAGTGCAGTGGTGCAATCTCGACTTACTGCAACCTCCACCTCCCGGGTTCAAGCGATTCTCCTGCCTGAGCCTTCTGAGTAGCTGGGACTACAGGCATGAGCCACCCCAACTGGCTAATTTCTTGTATTTTTAGTAGATACGGAGTTTCACCATGTTGGCCAGGCTGGTCTTGAACTCCTGACCTCAGGTGATCCACCTGCCTCAGCCTCCCAAAGTGCTGGGATCACAGGTGTGAGCCACTGTGCCCCACCAAATTAATTTTAATAATTTACTTAACCCAACGTCCTCAAAACATGTAATCAATATAAAAATTATTAACGAGATATGTTTATAATCTTATTTTTGTGCCAAGTTTTAAAACTCTGTTGTGTTTTTTGCACTTACAGCACATCTCAGTTTAGACTGGCCATGTGTTAGGTGCTCAATGGTCACATATAGCTAGCAGCTGCCATATTGAACAGTGCAGCACTAAATCTTCTATCTTCGCTCTCCTTTGATTTACTGTAACTCTGACAGTGTAGTCTGTGTGGTGTTATGATATATATTGGTTTTCATCTATGGTTCTGAAACTGCCATTGCAAAATTATAACTGAGACAGTGAAAGCAATCTGACCTAACCAACTCCATCTTGCTTCTAACCTCCAAGCTGTCTTTGTTCATTCCTAGGAGTAGGCCAAACTAAATTTGGGAGGAGCTTAAATTTATAGTTTTACTTTGAAACAAAGATGATAACAGCTCATTCCCCTAAACAAACCCCCTTCTTGCCTGGGGACCAGACTGCCTTTGTAGGACTAACAAATTAGCCGAAAGATTAGAAATTATGGTTTAGGAGCCAGGCAGCTGGAGGCTACAAGATTCTAACCCTCCCCAAATTGCTCCTGGGGACAACATCACTATTGTAAGAAGTAAGATCAGATATTTTACAGATTCTGCACTTGATGGATCAGCTGGCATCACCCAGATCAATAAACTGGCTCATGTGATCTTGTGGACCCACTCAGGAACTGACTCTGGAAGAGGACAGCTTTAACTCCCTATGATTTCATCTTCGACCCAATGAGTCAGCACTTCCGACTCACTGGCCCCTCCACCCACCAAATTATCCTTGAAAACTCTGATCCCTGAATGCTCAGGGAGACTGATTTGAGAAATAATAAAACTCTGGTCTCCCACACAGCTGGCTCTGTGTGAATTACTGTCTCTATTGCAGTTCCCGTCTTGACTAACGGGCTCGGTCTAGGCAGCAGGCAAGGTGAACTCGTTGGGCTGTTCCTGGCTGATAACTCCCAGAGCCCTTCTTACAGTCTTGTTAGAACATTGGGTATGTTAGGCCTCAGGGGCAGGCCTCTGACCTTCTCCTGCCCTCCTTTCACCTGAATGTTCCCCTGATTTCATGACTATGAGTCTGAAGACCACACCCTGGGGGAAGGAATGCTGACATCGTGAAGCTTCCATAAAAACCCAAGAGGCCAGGCTTGGTGGCTCACGCCTCTAATCTCAGCATTTTGGGAGGCCAAGGCAGGAGGACTGCTTGAGGCCAGGAGTTTGGGACCAGCCTGGGCAAAGTGGCAAAATTCCATTTCTACTAAAAATACAAAAAAGTAACTGGGCCTGGTGGTGCACTCCTGTAGTCCCAGCCACTCAGGAGGCTGAGGTGGGAGGATTGCTTGAGCCTGGGAGGTGGAAGTTGCAGTGAGCCGAGATTGCGTCACTACACTGAAGCCTGGGTGACAGAGCAAGACCTTGTCTCAAAAACAAAACAAAACAAGCCCCAAGAGGACAGGGCCCAGTGAGCTTCTGGATAGCTGAACACTGGAGCTTCCTGGAGGGTGATGGGCCCAGGGGGCGCGTGGAAGCTCCGTACCCCTTCCCCCACACCTCACCCTACATGTCTCTTAGATGGGATACTTCCCTCAACCCCCTTCGCGAGTGGGAACTGGAGTGGCTTGTTGCACTCAGCCTGTCACTGACCACTCCTCATGGGAGGGAAAGTGTGAGTGAATAAGTGTGGGAACCCGAGGGGACAAATGCTGGAACCGGCCATTCGCTCCTCTCTGGCTGCATCAGGTTCTGTGTGGGCCCCGCACAGCGTCCAAGCATGTTACAACCAATGCTCTTTCAGTTCTGCTGTCCAGGGCTGGTCGAGTGCCAACTAGCTCAGTGGAGGGTCAGAGTGGGAGCCCCTGCCCTCTCGGCACCCAGATTCTTGTCCAGCATCCAGGAAGAATAAGCTCACATGAACTGTTTGAAATGTGATGAATGGCCGGGCGCAGTGGCTCACGCCTGTAATCCTAGCACTTTGGGAGGCTGAGGTGGGCAGATCGCTTGAGGTTAGGAGTTTGAGACCAGCCTGGCCAACATGGTGAAACCTCGCCTCTACTAAAAATACAAAAATTAGCCAGGTGTGGTGGCGCGTGCCTGTAGTCCTAGCTACTCTGGAGGCTGAGGCACAAGAATCACTTGAACCCGGGACGCGGAGGTTGCAGTGAGCCGATGTCGTGCCATTGCACTCCAGCCTGAGAGACAGAGTGAGACTCCGTCTCAAAAAAAAAGAAGTGATGAATGCGGAAGACTTTATTGAGTGGTGAGTGACTCTCAGTGGAAAGGGAGGCTGGAAAAGGGATGGGAAGGTGATCTTTCCCTGAAGCCTGGCCGTCTCCAGCTGGGCCCCTCTCAGAAGCTGCACCATCTGAAGTTAGCTGCATCTATCCGTAGTCTCCGATGCTCAGTTGCTTCTCTGGTCACAGCTCACATGCTTGTATCCTGACCCTCAGCCACTTGTGTTGCTGTGCCAGCTGAAGTCTTTTATGGGAACAGGATAGGGGCGGGGCAGGCCAAAAAAGGCAACGTTTGGGTGGAAGAATGGGTTCAGCTGTTTTCACCTAGGGCCATGGTTCCAGGCTTAAGGGTGGGGTTTAGTTGGGAGCCCAGCCCTTCTGTATCATCTTCATCTGTATCCTTTGTAATATCCTTCTAATAAACCAGTACATGTAAGTGTCTCCCTGAGTTCTGTGAACTGATTCAGCAAATTAATTGAACCCAAAGAGGGGTCATGGGAAGCCTAACTTGAAGCCTGTTGGCCAGAAGTTCTGGAGGCCTGGACTTGCGACTGGTGTGGGAGTGGGGCAGTCTTGGACACTGAGCCCCCAGCCTGTGGGATCTGACACTATCTCCATGTAGATAGTGTCAGAACAGAATTAGAGGACACCCAGCTGGTGTCCAGTCCTTGGTGTGTGGAGGCAAACCTCCACACACATGGTCACAGAAGCCTTCTGTGTTGATTGTTGTGGTGTGAGAGTAGAGGAAAAACATGGTTAGAGAGAGTTTGAGCTGGGAACCGTGGATATTACCTAATCTACATCATGACACCACATCCTGCTTACCCATGGATTAGGTTCACGTGGCTCATTGCTTTCATGTGATTTCTTTTTTTCTTTTCTTTTCTTTTTTTTTTTATTTGAGACAGAGTGTCACTCTGTTGCCCAGGCTGGAGTGCACTGGTGTGATCTCGGCTCACTGCAACCTCTGCTGCCTGGGTTCAAGTGATTCTTGTGCCTCAGCCTCCCAAGTAGCTGGGATTACAGGGGCCCACAACCATGCCTAGCTAATTTTTGTATTTTTAGTAGAGATGGGGTTTCACCATGTTGGTCCGGCTGGTCTTGAACTCCTGACCTCAGGTGATCCACCCACCTCGGTCTCCCAAAGGGCTGGGATTACAGGCGTGAGCCACTGCGCCAGCCTCTTGTGATTTCATCTTGCCTCACTGACTCCACAGTAAGCACTGTAAGTGCGACTAGTTCTTGTTTTCTGTATTTTCAGAACTGCTTTCCTGGGCCCAGGATAAGTGCCCAAGAAGCGTGTTTGGACTGACATCCTTGGGAATCCAACAATGGTTAAAGATAACCACTTCCTTTCTACCTGCTGATGTGGAGCACATATGAGGCGCTAAGCACCGCCTGCACCAGGCGAGCCATTCAGTAAATGTTAGCTCTTATTGTTCTCTTATTGGTGGTGGGCAGAGTTGAAGTTCTGATGAGATCTTCTCAGAAGGGTTACATTGCAGGGGGGCCTTGGAAAATCATTCAGGGCTCTGAGATTCAGTTTCCTTCATCCCTGAAATGGGATGCGAATTCCCCCCTTGCCAACCTCAAAGAACTAGTAGGATGGTGCAAAAGTAATTGTGGTTTTTGCCATTAAAAGCAATAGCAAAACTGCATTACTTTTGTACCACCATGCCCAGCTCATTTTTTGTATTTATTATTATTATTTTTTTTCCGAGACGGAATTTCACTCTTGTTGCCCAAGCTGGAGTGCAATGGCGTGATCTCGGCTCACTGCAACCTCTGCCTCCAGGGTTCAAGCGATTCTCCTGCCTCAGCCTCCCGAGTAGCTGGGATTACAGGCACCCACCAACACACCCGGCTAAATTTTTTTTAATTTTTACTAGAGACGGGGTTTCACCATGTTGGCCAGACTGCTCTCGAACTCCTGACCTCAGGTGATACACCCACCTCAGCCTCCCAAAGTGCTGGGATTTCAGGCGTGAGCTACCACGGCCAGCCTAATTTTTTGTATTTTAATATGATGATCAGATGAGATATTCTGAGAAAGTGTTTAGAAAACTAAGGGGATCCATCAATCTAAAGTATCATTAAACTTGCACTGAGCTCAGCATCATGCTTGGGCTTGGGCAGGGGGAGAGACCGCAGCGGGTGCCGGGACGGCCCCATCTCTGCATGCGCTCTGCTTGCCCTGCCTTTAAGACTTGAACGTGTGAAAGTGCCTTGAAAGCTGTAAAGTCCTATCCAAGGGATCCTTTTATGATGAGCAGGGGTGGAGGCGGGAGTGGGAGTATCAGCTATGCCAGACTGACGAGGAGCTTTGTTTTACTAGAGTGCAGGAAATACAACTGGTGCAAGAGACCTGCATTCATCCAGGTTCTTGTAATTGCTGGGTGTCAAATCCACACAGTTGCTTGAAAAGAAGAAACCAAGATGGAAGTAACAGAAACCACAGAGGTGGTTATGTCTTTTAATAATCAGACCCAAGGAGGAGAACTGAGAGAAAGCTTGAAGGAAACCTGCAGGAGCTTGTCTGCTTCTCTAAGGTCTCAAAGGCAGAACTACTTCCTCAAAAGGCCTTTTGGTAAATCACCATAAACAAAGGAAAGCGGAAATTCCTTTAAGCTTTTTGGTGCTTGATTCTAATCCACCCTGAGCCATGGTCCCAGGCCTCCTACGCTCCTTGCTCCTCCGATGTTTATATGACAGAAAGTTATTTTCCCCAGAAACTGACAATCTGGATTGCAAAGACCAGGCCAGGAAGGAATTTATTCCAGAAACACTTGCAGTGTCTGGCACTTTGCTCCCCATTTCCTCATTTTGTGTTGTTTGTTTATGCAGTGGAACTGCCTATGAGTCATATATTTGGGTGCTGAGGATGAAGAGTTAATTTGGATGAAGAGTTAATCCAGAGCAAGGTCACAACTCTCTTGAATTCTATGAAGGCTGAGAGGGGTGATGAAGCTTCAGAAGAAAAGTTTGAAGCTCGCAGAGGTTGGCTGAAGGAATGAAGCTGTCTCTGTAACATAAAGGTGTAAGGTGAAGCAGCAAGTGCTGATGGAGAAGCTGCAGCAAGTTGTCGAGAGATCTAGCTCAGATCACTGATGAAGGTGGCTACGCTCAACAACAGATTTTCAATGTGGATGAAACAACCTTCTATTGGAAGAAGATGCCAGCTAGGACTTTCATAACTAGAGAGAAGTCAATGCCTGGCTTCAAGGGATAGGCTGACCCTCTTGATAGGGGCAAATGCAGCTGGTGACTTTATAGTCTTTTACCTTTCTAGAAATCCTAGGGCCCTTAATAATCATGCTAAATTTACTCTGCCTGTGTTCTATAAATGGAACAACAAAGCCTGGATGTCAGCACATATTTATAGCATGGCTTAGCAAATATTTTAAGTTTACTGTTGAGACCTACTGCTTAGAAAAAAAGATTCTTTAAAAAATATTACTGCTCATTGACAATGCACTTGGTCATCCAAGAGCTCTGACGGAAATGTACAAGGAGATCAATGTTGTTTTCATGCCTGCTAACACAACATCTGTTCTACAGCCCATGGATCAAGGTGTAATTTCCACTTTCAAATCTTATTATTTCAGAAGTTCATTCTGTAAGGCTATTGCTGACATAGATGGTGCTTCCTCTTGGGTGGGCGCGGTGGCTCACGCCTGTAATCCCAGCACTTTGGGAGGCCGAGGCAGGCAGATCACGAGGTCAGGAAATCAAGACCATCCTGGCTAACATGGTGAAACCCCGTCTCTACTAAAAATACAAAAATTAGCTGGGCGTGGTGGTGAGTGCCTGTAATCCCAACTACTTGGGAGGCCGTGGCAGGAGAATTGCTTGAACCCAGGAGGCAGAGGTTGCAGTGAGCTGAGATCACGCCATTGCACTCCAGCCTCGGTGACAGAGCAAGACTCCATCTCAAAAACAACAACAACAATTTAGAAGAAGTTGATTCCAATGCTTATGGATGACTTTGAGGAGTTCAGACTTCAGTGGAGAGTAACTGCAGATGTTGTGGAAATAGCAAGATAACCAGAATTAGAAGTGGAGCCTGAAGATGAAACTGAATTGCTGCCATCTCATGATAACACTTGAATGGATGAGGAGTTGCTCCTTTTTTTTTTTTTTTTTTTTGAGATGAAGTCTGGCTCTTGTGCCCCAGGCTGGAGTGCAGTGGTGTGATCTCGGCTCACTGCAACTTCTGCCTCCCGGGTTCAAGCGGTTCTCCTGCCTCAGCCTCCCGATTAGCTGGGATTACAGGCACTTGCCACCATGCTCAGCTAATTTTTGTATTTTTAGTAGAGAT
Source organism: Homo sapiens (assembly GCF_000001405.40). Taxonomy (NCBI): domain Eukaryota; kingdom Metazoa; phylum Chordata; class Mammalia; order Primates; family Hominidae; genus Homo; species Homo sapiens. Next base: position 39,020,485 of record NC_000017.11, read on the forward strand.
GGGGTTTCACCATGTTGGCCAGGCTGGTCTCGAACTTCTGACCTCAGGTGATCTGCCTGCCTCAGCCTCCCAAAGTGTTGGGATTACAGGCGTGAGCCACCGCGTCAGGCCAGGAGTTGCTTCTTATGGATGAGCAAGGAAAGTGGTTTCTTGAGATGGAATCTACTCCTGGTGAAGATACTATGAACATTGTTGAAATGGCAACAAAGAATTTACAATATTCCATAAGCTTAGTTAATAAGCAGCAGCAGAGTTTGAGAGGATCAACTCCAATTTTGAAAGAAGTTTTACTGGGGGTAAAATGCTATCAAACAGCAGTGCATGGTACAGAGAAATCTTTTGTGAAAGGAAGAGTCAATCAATGTGACAAACATAACTGTTGTCTTATTGTAAGAAATTGTTATGACCACCCAACCCTTCAGCAACCACTACCCTAATCAGTCAGCAGGCATGACATTGAGGCAAGACCCTCCACCAGCAAAAAGATCATGACTTGCCAGAGGCTCAGATGATTGTCAGCATTTTTTAGGCAATATTTTAAAGTTAAGGTATTGATAGCGGCAGGAGGCAGACAGATCCTAGGCAGACAGGGGTGGGTCCCCAATGAAAGCTGACCTCCAAACCAGACAGTTTAAAGGCTGAAAGCCAAGCTACAAGTCTTGGATAAATCCGTGGACAGATTGAGAACCTCTCTTTCTGTTTGGCACGCTTTCCTCTGATCGATCCCTGCCTTTAACCTATTTTACATATGCCTACTCTTCCCTGTTTTTTTACGCTGTGCCCATCTTTAAGTGGTGCCTTTTTTTTTCAGCCTTTTTGGCATACTCACAAACCAGTCAGCACACACTCTCCCATTCTGAACCCATAAAAATCCTCTTCAGTCCTGGTTCCACTTCCTGTAACTGAAACAATTACCTGCGAGGTATTATTTAACTTTTGGACTATGATGTTTCTAACCTGTGACCATTTCACATAGCCATTCAAATATAAAGGTACGGTAAAGATTATGAAACGGGTTGGGTGCAGTGGCTCATGCCTGTATTCCCAGCACTTTGGGAGGCCGAGGTGGGTGGATCATGAGGTCAGGAGTTCGAGACCAGCCTGAGCAACATGGTGAAACCTCGTCTCTACTAAAAATACAAAAATTAGCCAGGCGTGGTGGTGCGTGCTGTAATCCCAGCTACTCAGGAGGCTAAGGCAGGAGAATTACTTGAACCTGGGAGGCAGAGGTTGCAGTGAGCTAAGATCGTGCCACTGTACTCCAGCCTGGGCAACAGAGCGAGATTCCATCTCAAAAAAAAAAAAATGAAACAGTTACTTGGTATCATTTTGTAAGTAATGAGTTTTTAGTGCTCTTTGGACATTGAGACCATTTCATAAGATTTAGGTTTTGAGAATTTCACAGCATAAAGCCCATCACTGATGCAGCAATGAAGGAAATGTTCTACAACTCAACAGACAGGTGAGAGGAGAAATGTAATTCATATTAGATTTATTTATTTACTGAACTTAGAGCCTGGGGTTACTACTCGACCCCCACTGTTATCTAGTTTAAGTGTTCTTTTCTACTTTAGCACATACACCTAGTTTCTGTGTTTTTTGCCTTTTATAAATACAGAAAAGAGAATAATGTTTTAAAATAAAATCAAGGAAAGGCCTAAGGCACCTGAGAGGGTTTTGTTTTTGTTTTTGTTTTTTTTTTTTTCAGTGAAATGAAGGGAAATTGTTGCCAGCAAGAACTGTGGCAAGGTTATCCAAGGTGACAAATGTCTGTACCACCCAGCAGCTCCGAGTCCTTCTGAAGCATCCTGGTTGTCCAGAAAGACTCCACCGTGACTCATGATACCGGCCAGTCTTCCCGGTAGCACTCAACATTCGAAAATTAGTCTTCATTTCTCCTTCCCAACATGCATTTCTCCTTCTCTTCAGTTGGAGAAAGTAATTTAATTTTTTTTTTTATAGAGTCTCGCTCTGTTGCCCAGGCTGGAGTGCAGTGGCGCAATCTTGGCTCACTGCAAGCTTCGCCTTCTGGGTTCACGCCATTCTCCCGCCTCAGCCTCCTGAGTAGCTGGGACTACAGGTGCCCGCCACCACACCCGGCTAATTTTTTTTTTTTTGTATTTTTAGTAGAGACGGGGTTTCACCGTGTTAGCCAGGATAGTCTCGATCTCTTGACCTCGTGATCCGCCCGCCTCGGCCTCCCAAAGTGCTGGGATTACAGGTGTGAGCCACCGTGCCCAGCCTTACATCACCAATTCTTTCTTATATGTCTATTTTTTAAGTGTAGTATATGATTATATTCATGAAATTCAAATGATACAAATGAAGTCAAATCTATTTGTATTAGAAATTAATAAGAATTAACAGTAAAGTTAATTCTTTATTGATTTGCACACCTATAGTTGCAGCTACTTGGGAGGCTGAGGCAGGAGAATCGCTTGATCCCGGGACGTGGAGGTTGCAGTGAGCCAGGATGGCGCCACTGCACTCCAGCCTGGTGACAGAGCGAGACTCTGTCTCAAAAAACAAAACAAAACAAAAAGAATTGATGATGTAAGAAATCCACAGGAATGTGTAAATTATTTCAAGAATTAACACTCAGTAGATACTTGCATTCCCAAATAAGCTTATAAATGCAGATGAACCTCTAGTTGTTTTAGTTGCTTGTAAAATTCATAGAGGTACGTGTATTTCTTCATTTAACACGGGTTAGTCACTTGGGGAGGGGGATGGGTGTTGGGTTCTTTTTACCTGTTCTTCAGGTCACATACTCAAGCAGGAGCTACTGAATGGGAAGACTGAAACAATTTCTTTTCTTTGCACACTTGGTATTGATAAATGTCAGGTGTATGCAAAATAAAATCTCTGGCAGGTTGTGATATTTATGGGTCTATCTCTTGTGACTGTAGTTTCGTCTCGGCACCAGACATAAGGCAGTTCAATGTCAGGCCATTGCCCTAAACAGTTCCCGATGCCAAGAACTGACAAATTGCTACTTTGGTTTCAATGGATGGTCAAAAGGGATCATCAGGGCAAACCTTGTAGATTTTCTTTCACCAACCCTATTCTCCTTTCAACATTGAAATCCTAGACTTTAGACAGAAATATTGAACTGGGTTGTAGTGAGGAGATATGAGAGGCCTCCTGCCATTGAGGATAAGTGGATATGTCTGAATTGGCCTGCTACCTAGAATTAATAATCTCAATCACTTGGAGGGTGGTATCCATAATTTTCTCCACTATTTGTGCCACCACACCCGGCTATTTTTAGTAGAGATGGGGTTTCACCATGTTGGCCAGGCTGTTCTTGAACTCCTGGCCTCCACCTGCCTCAGCCTCCCAAAGTGCTGGGATTACAGGCATGGGCCACCATGTCCAGCCAACCAAACCTTTTTCTCTTTTTCTTTCCTTTTCTTTCTTTTCTTTTCTTTTTTTTTTTTTTTGAGATGGAGTTTCACTCTTCTTGCTCAGGCGGGAGTGCAGTGGTGTGATCTTGGCTCACTGCAACCTTTGCCTCCCGGGTTACAGCGATTCTCCTGTCTCAGCCTCCTGAGCATCTGGGATTACAGGCATGCACCACCACACCTGGCTAATTTTTGGTATTTTTAGTAGAGACGGGGTTTCACCATGTTGGTCAGGCTGGTCTCGAACTCCTGACCTCAGGTGATCCTGCCGCCTCAGCCTCCCAAAGTGCTGGTATTACAGGCGTGAGCTGCCGCGCAGGCCGTAAGTATGATTCTTATACAATAATCAGCGGCTTTGCTGTGAACCTTGGAAGTGGTCATGCTATTGAATGGCATTGTTTGTATTCCCCATTCACTTCTACAGTGGCACAAATGTTATAGGCTGTGCCTAAAGGAAACCTGATGATTAACAAAGAGTCCCTGAACAGAGTTGCTCCTGCTTCACAGTGCTGAAGGCTTAGAGACTGAGAGATCCTAATTAAGTTACCACAGACCTTTATTTGCTTGTAAGAGACGGCCCTGATTGCTCTCAGCTTTCCAACCTGGGCAGCCCTGCTAGTGAAAGTATTACTTCCTTGGTCATCAACTGTCAAGTCTGAGTAACAACCTTTAAGAACCAAACTGAATGTGTGGGTTGTTTACCTCTCCCTCATACTCGAAGGTATCCCTTGCACACCTTCAAAACCTCTTAGACCAAAAGCCTTATGGCTCTAGTTTGCCTGGAAGGAAGTTGTATTGTCTATAGAGTATGTGTGCCAGTTTCTGCAATAAAATGTTCAAATGTTCTCTCTCTCTGAAACTTTGTTCATTGTATCTGGTGGAATTTTGGTTCTCAGGGAGTAGACACCTGGCCCTTGCTTCTAATGTGAAGTGTCTACCAGCCCAGTGGTCTCTATTCCAGATTTGAACTTACTTTGACCCCCGCCTTATTATGTCTTAGAATTTAATCATATCATTATTATTATTTTTGAGATACAGTTTCACTCTGTCACTCGGGCTGGAGTGCAGTGGCGCGATCTTGACTCACTGAGACCTCCGCCTCCCGGGTTCAAGCAATTCTCATGCTTCAGCCTCCCGAGTAGCTGGGATTATAGGCGTGGGCCACCACGCCTGGCAAATTTTTGTATTATTAGGAGAGATAAGGTTTCACCACGTTGACCAGGCTGGTCTTGAACTCCTGACCTCAGGTGATCCGCCTGCCTCGGCCTCGAAAAGTGCTAGGATTACAGGCGTGAACCACCACGCCTGGCCACCATTTAATCATATTATGATTGAACATTTTCGTTTCCACAGTTTTGTATTTCTTATGTTATTATTCCTTAGTTCCTATCTGTAAGATCATAAAGTCCTTTGAACCAAACACAGTTAATATTTTATACATATGTTAAAAACTGAGGGCTGGGTGTGGTGGCTCACGCCTGTAATCCAAGCACTTTGGGAGGCCGAGGCAGGTGGATCATGAGGTCAGGAGATCGAGACCATCCTAGCTAACACTGTGAAACCCCATCTCTACTAAAAATACAAAAAATTAGCCAGGCGTGGTGGCAGGCACCTGTAGTCCCAGCTGAGGCAGGCAGGAGAATGGCGTGAACCCAGGAGGCAGAGCTTGCAGTGAGCCGAGATCGCGCCACTGCACTCCAGCCCCAGCCCGGGTGACAGAGTGAGACTCCGTCTCAAAACAAACAAACAAAAAACAAAACAAAACAAAACAAAAAAACTGAGGTGTGAGCCCGGACATGGGGACTCACACCTGTAATCTCAGCACTTTGGGAGGCCAAGGCAGGAGGATCACTTGAAGCCAGGAGTTTGAGACCAGCCTGGGCAACAAAGCGAGACCATGTCTTAAAAAAAAAAAATTACCCAGGCACAGTGGTGTGTACCTGTAGTCCCAGCTACTCTGGAGGCTCAGGCAGGAGGATCACTTGAGCCCAGGAATTCCAGGCAGCAGTGAGCTATGATAGTGCCACTGAACTCTAGCCTGGGTAACAGAGTGAGCCCCTATAAAAAGAAGGAAGGAAGGAAGGGAAGGAAGGAAGGAAGGAAGGAAGGAAGGAAGGAAGGAAGGAAGGAAAACAAGTGTGAGATGAGGAGATGAGGAAACTTTCAGAAAAATGCTCTTATTTTCTGCTTTTAGAAACCAAAAGATGAAATGGTAAGGCATCAGGTGGGAATCAAAGTAAGTTCAAAGATGGAATAGAGACCACTGGGCTAGTAGACACTTCACATTAGAAGGTTGCAGTGAGCCTAGCCCGCGCCACTGCACTCCAGCCTTGGGTGACAGAGCGAGACTCTGTCTCAAAAAAAAAAAAAAAAAAGAATGTCTCATCATGGGGTACTACCATTATACGCAGGATTTTTTTTTTTTAGATGGAGTTTCACTCTTGTTGCCCAGGCTGGAGTGCAATGGTGCGATCTCGGCTCACTGCAACCTCAGCCTCCCAGGATCAAGCGATTCTCCTACCTCAGCCTCCCCAGTAGCTGGAATTACAGGCACACACCACCACACCCGGCTAATTTTTTGCATTTTTAGTAGAGACGGGGTTTCTCCATGTTGGTCAGGCTAGTCTCGAACTCCCGACCTCAGGTGATCTGCCTGCCTCGGCCACCCAAAGTGCTGGGATTATAGGCATGAGCCACCGCGCCCGGCCTGTGCAGGAAGTTTTAGAACGAAAAAGATTCTGAATTGATCCTTGCTAACTTTATTTCAGAAAGTGGTAAAATAGCTGTGAAGTACAGACCCAGTGAAGAGATTGTAGGTGTCAGATGTAAAGAAGAACTACACGGTTTAATTCAAGTATGTGGAGATAAAAACTCACTGGTAACATAACCAGCGTAAACATAATTCAAAACAAGCAGCAGAATTTGGAGGATAATTTGTTTCATTCTCAGGAAAATGTGAAACTCTGAAACTGCTTTTGAGTGCAGGGTATTTCTGGGGCTTTTCCTGAAGTCTTGACCCATGTCTCTGACCCCTTATTTGAAGTTTGGAGAGCAGAACTGAGGACGGTTAGAGTATTACTACAGTTGTGGACACAGGAAAGGGGTTAGTCTCCCCCCACCACCCAGGAGTAAAGGGTGCTGGGCTGCTTGAACACAGACCTTTTAGAATTCCCTTCAAACAGGATCCCAAATCTTTCCTCGCTAAGGGGAGGGGAGGGGTGTTCGGAGGTGGGGTGGGACAGGAAGTGGGGTTTGGATGGGATTGTGGGATAAGATCGCGGAGCGGATCTGGACCCGAGCCTAATAAAGGCGGTGTAAATACAGGTGTCATAAAGGACGGGGCGGGGCGCGCGGTTGTCAGGGGCGCAAGCGTCTCGGGGCTGCCAGAATGGCTCCGGCTCAGGGCGCGGCGCCAGCGCCTGTCATGTCCCAGCTGCGCCTCTGGGTCCCACGGCACCTCCTCAGGTTGGCAACTACTGTGGCTACTAGTCCAGGAGGCTCAGCCTCTGGAGTGGGTCCAGGACCGGCTCCAGCCGACTTCCGACCCTCTGGGGCCGACTGAGCCCTGGTTTTCCTGCTCCCCCAGTCTCCCACCCGAATCTCCCTTTGCGCTTACCCCCGACCCCCGCCCCCACCGGCAGACCCCGGGGACTTTGATTACCTGGGGTCCTCTGCTTCCTCCCAGATGTCAGCTCCGCCTCAGGAATCGACTGAGACTTTGACCGAGACTTTGGTTCCATTCCTGGACACAGATTCAGCTGGAGAGCTGGCCCCGGGGCCAGAGCAGTTAGCGGCTGCACACCAGGACCTGAATGACAAGCTGACTTGGCAAGAAAGGCTCCCAGAGGGGGTCTCAGTGCTGGACTGGGATCAGAAACAGACCTTTGCTCGGCCTCCTCGCCTCAAAAGTAAGGTTCATACTGCAGATCTAGATCAGGCTGCAGATCATCAGGCAAATTAAATACTTTACTTGTTCCACCTCTAGATAGTCAGAATTCAGGCCGGGCGCGGTGGCTCACATAATCCCAGTACTTTGGGAGGCTGAGGCGGGCGGATCACGAGGTCAGGAGATAAGAGACCATCCTGGATAACACGGTGAAACTCCGTCTCTACTAAAAATACAAAAAATTAGCAGGACTTGGTGGCACGCGCCTGCAGTTACTCGGGAGGCTGAGGCAGGAGAATCGCTTGAACCCGGGAGGTGGAGGTTGCAGTGAGCCGAGATCGTGCCACTGCACTCCAGCCTGGGTGACAAAGCGAGATTCCATCTCAAAAAAAAAAAAATAAATAAATAAATATAAAATAAATTAAAAAACAAAATAAAATAAATAAGATAGAATTCAAAAGCAACCAAGTTTACTGTTTCGCCCAAGAACCTGAACAAAGATCTAGCTAAGTATCTGAAGCTTGCTAAGGTTGTTGTGTGGAACTCCACACCTATTTGTATCAAAACCTCAGTGTCAGAAACAAACTTTGCAGGATGAGTATTTAGATTCAAGTATGGATACAGTGTATCGCAGCAGCCTGCCTCCAGAACTCCAGATGAACTCAGATGAGCCTCCAGGGCCCCCTGAGAGAGTTGGACTTTCTCAATTCCATGTAGAGCCTGAAACTCAAAATCCAGAGACCCTTGAAGAGATCTAGTCCTCTTCATTCCAGGAAGAAGCCCCAGAGCAGCTTCCACAGCTCACTGAAGAGGCAGAACCTTCTTCAACCCAGCAGGAGGCCCCAGCTCTGCCTTGAGGGGGTCCACTCTTCTTCAACAGAGCAGGAGGCCCCAGCACAGCAACTACCTGCCTCTGAAGAGATTGTAGCTCTGCCATTGATACATCATGAGGTAAATGTTCCATTGAAAAGTTGGAGTGAAGCTCAGCACTCACACTTGCGCAGTGTCACAGTCAAACCTGTGGATGTGGAGCTTGCGCTAACTCCAGAGCCAGAAGGAACTTATGTCAAGCCAGGAACAGGCCTCTGCTCAGCCTCCAGAGCGCGCCAAAGAGGTGGGCTCTTCCTCAACCCAATTAGAGGCCCCAGCTCAGACACCAGAGCGCCCTGAGGAGACGAAACCCTCTGCAACCAGCAAGGGACCCCAGCTGAGCCTCCAGGTCCTCTTGTGGAGGCTGAACTTTCCCCCAGTGAGCAGGAGCAGCCAGCTCAGCCTTCTGAGTTTCCTGTGGGGGGTGGGGGGGTTGAACCTTCTGAGACCCAGCAGAAGGCCCCAGCTCAGCCTCCAGAGTCCTCTACAGAGAGTGCAGCTCAAACTCCATCAAAGCATGAGGTGACAGTTCACCCTCCAGGTGAGGATCAAGCTCATTATAACTTGCCCAGCATTACAGCGTTACAGTGAAACCTGCGGATGTGGAGATTACCATAATTTCAGAACCTACCAAGGAGGCAGAATCTTCTCCATCCCAGCAGGAGATCCCAACCCAGCCTCCAGAGGAGGTGGAAGCTTCTGCAACCCAGGAGGAGGCCCCAGCTGAGCCTCCAGGTCCTCCTATGGAGTGTGCACCTTCCCCCAGTGAGCAGGAGCAGCCAGCTCAGCCTTCTGTGTTTCCTGGGAGGTTGAACATTCTGAGGCCCAGCAAGAGGCTCCAACTCAACTTCCAGAGTCTTCTATGGAGAGTGGAGCTCAAACTCCACTGAATCATGAGGTGACCATTCACCCTCCAGGTGAGGATGAAGTTCCTTTTGACTTGTCCAACGTTACAGTTAAACCTGTGGATGTGGAGGTTACCATAACTTCAGAGCCTACCAAGGAGACTGAATCTTCCAAAGCCCAGCAGGAGGCCCCAGCTCAGCCTCCAGAGGAGTGGAACCTTCTGCGAGCCAGGAGGAGGCCCCGACTGAGCCTCCAGGTCCTCCTGTGGAACCTGAACGTTCCCCCGGTGAGCAGGAGCAGCCAGCTCAGCCTTCTATTTCTTCTGGGAAGGCTGAATCTTCTCCAGCCCAGCAGAAGGCCCCAGCTCAGCCTCCAGAACATCATGAAGTGACAGTTTCACCTCCAGGTCACTGTCAAGCTCAGCATTCAGATTTGCCCAATGTCACTATTAGGCCTCCAGACATGCAGCTCACTATAGCAACAGAGCCTACTGCAGAGGTGGGAAGTTCTCCAATCCACCAGGAGGCTACAGCTCAGGTCTCAGGGCCAGGAAGTGATGTAGAACCTTCTGCCACCCAGCATGGTGGTGCACCTCTGCGTCCAGAGTCATCAGAAGATGCTGGACCTTTAGCAGGTCAACAGGAGACTTCAGTTCAATCTCCAGAACCTGTTAATAATGAGAACCCCTCTCCAACCCAGCAGGAAGCTGCAGCTGAGCATCCACAGACCCCTGAGGAGGCTGAGTCTTCTCCAGCCCAGCAAGAGGCCCAACCTCAGACTCCAGATCCCCCTAAGGAGGTAGAACCTTCTCCAGTCCAGCAAGAGTTCCCAGCTGAGCCACCAGAGCCCCCTAAGGAGGTTGAACCATCTGCAACCCAGCAGCAAGCCTCAGGTCAGCCTCCAAAGTCCACTGAAGAGGTCAGTCCTCCACCACAGCAGGAGATACCAGCTCAGCCATCAGAGCCACCTGAGAAGGTCAAACCATCTCCAGTCCTACAGCAGACCCCAACTCAGCTTTTAGAGCCACCTAAAGAGGTAGAATCCTCTCCAGTTCAGCAGGCAGGCCCTGCTCAGTCCTCAGAGGCCCCTGTGGTCATAGAACCCTCTCGGACCCAGCAGATGGCCCCATCTTCACCTCCAGAGCTCCCTCAGGAAGTGGAACCATCTCTTAACTCAGCAGGGGGTTCCAGCTCAGACTCCAGAGCCCCCTATGGAGGCAGAACCTTCTCCAATCCAGCAGGAGGCCACAGTTCAGACTCCAGAGCCCCCTATGGAGGTAGAACCTTCAAGCCAGCAGCTGGTCCCAGCTCAGCATCCAGAGTCACCTAAGGAGGTTGCAGCTCAACCTCCAGTGCATGAGATGACAATTCCAATAGCAGGCCAGGACCAAGCCCAGATTCCAGTATCACCCAGTGTCACATTTCAACCTTTAGACCTGGGACTTACCGTCACTCCAAAATCCACTATGGAGGCTGAGTATTCTACAACCCCAAGGAAGACTACAGCTCCTCCAAAACACCCTGAGGTGATGCTTCCACCTCCTGACCAGGTTCAGGCTCAGCACACAAACCTAACAGGTCATAGTTCAACCTTTGCACCTGGAACTTACCACAACTCCGCAACCATGTTTTTTTCCTCCAACCATGAAGAACTCAACTCAGCTTCCAGAGACACCTACAGAGGTTGCAGCTCAACCTCCAGCTCATTATGAGGTGACAATTCCAACACCAGGTCAGGATCAAGCTCAGCATTCAACACTGTCCAGTGTCACAGTTCAGCCTTTGGGCCTGGGGCTTACCATCACTCCAGAATCCATGACAGAGGTTGAACTTTCTCCAACCATTCAGGAGACCCCAACTTAGCCTCCTAAGGAAGTTGTACCCCAACCTCCAGCATATCAAGGGGTAACAGTTCCAACACCAGGTCAGGATCAAGCTCAGCATCCAATGTCACCCAGCGTTACAGCTCAACCTTTGGACCTGGGACTTACCATCACTCCAGAACCCACTACAGAGGTTGAACATTCTACACCCCTGAAGAAGATTCCTCCCAAGCACCCTAAAGTGACACTTCCACATCCAGACCAGGTTCAGACTCTCCATTCGAACCTGACTCAAGTCACAGTTCAACCTTTGGATCTGGAACTTACCTTAACTCCAGAATCCACTATGGAGGTTGAACCTTTTCCAACCATGCAGAAGACCCCAACTCAGCCTCCAGAGCTACGTAAGGAGGTTGTAGCTCAACCTCCTGTGTATTATGAGACGTCCATGCCAACACGAGGCCAGGATCAAGCTCAGCATCCAACATCACCCAGAGTCACAGTTCAACCTTTGGATCTGGGGCTTACCATCACTCCAGAATCCATTACAAAGGTTGAACCGTCTACAGCCCTGATGACTACAGCTCCTCCTCCAGAGCACCTTGAGGTGACACTTCCACCGCCAGACAAGGGTCAGGCTCAGCATTCAAACCTGACTCAAGTCACAGTTCAACCTCTGGACCTGGAGCTTACCATAACTATAGAACCTACTATAGATGTTAAACCGTCTCCAACCACGGAGGAGACCTCAACTCAGTCTCCAGACCTGGGGCTTGCCATCACTCCAGAACCCACTACAGAGATTGGATATTCTACAGCCCTGGAGAAGACTATAGCTCCACGTCCAGACCAGGTTCAGACTCAGCATCGAAACCTGACTGAAGTCACAGGTCCACCTACTGAACTAGAACCTACTCAGGATTCACTGGTGCAGTCTGAAAATTACGCCCAAAATAAGGCTTTAACTGCACCAGAGGAACAGAAGGCCTCCACAAGCACCAACATATGTGATCTCTGTACCTGCGGAGATGAGACGCTGTCGTGTATCGATCTCAGCCCAAAGCAGAGGCTCCGCTGAGTGCCTGTGCCAGAGCCCAACACCTACAATGGCACCTTCACCATCTTGTAAGAATCACCTTTCCTCCATTGTCTTCTGTGTCCTGCCTCACATGGCAGCCTTTTCCTGGAGGCCTTCCTGGGCCTTCTTTATCTCCCCAAGCTATACTGACAACTAACTTTCTGCTTTCACCTCTGCCGGTAATCTCTTCTTTCTCGTCGTTCTCCTTTACTATTAGGCCCCTTCTCCAGTCTTTTACTTGTGATTGCTCTTACTTGTTTACTTGTCCATTTTCATTTAGCCCCATCGCATCATTGCTTAACCGCTGCTCTCCTCCCATTTTCGCTTCACCCTCTTCACAGCAGCCTGTCCCTCTCCCCATCTCAGTGATGATGCTCTAAATGGTTAAGAGTTGATTCTAGAGCCAGGCTGCCTGGGTTTGAACCCAGGGCTGTCATTTATTAGCTTGATGACCCTGAGCAAGTTATTCTGCTCTGTGACTTAATTTCCTCATCTTTAAACTGGGGATTATGCTAGTTACCATTTCATAGGATTGTTGTGAAATTTAGGTGAGTGAATATATGAAACACTTCATCAGTGCCTAGCATATGCAGGAGGGTTGGCTGTGAACATGATTACTCAGTCTTTGAGTTATGTCCAGAACTCATCTTTGTCCCTGGCTTTCTATATGTAGCACTCATTTTGTGTCCAACCCAGAGCCAAGTATGCTACTGTCCCTAGAACACGAAAATGGTAGGAGGGAAGAAAGAGAATAGGCATAAAAAGGGAGGTATATATAATTAAGTACTAAAAGATAATGCAGACCATCGGTGCTAGAATTCACCAAAATCTGTGATCTTGAGATTTGGAGGTCAGAGAAAGCTACATGGATAAGCTAAAACTTTACGTGGGGGTTAAAAAGTAGCTATAATTTGTTAAATAGGGGAAAAAATGGGAGTACAATCTAGGCAAAGGCATGGCTACAGATATGATGAGAATTTAGTAGACCAATCTGGCTGCAAAGAATCAGGCGAGGGAGCGATGAAGAAATGATTATGTAAAACCTTGATTATCAGGTATGGGAGTTTAAAAGTTACACAGTGAGATATGGGAAGCCATTGAAAGTTTCCAACCAAGAGAGATTAAATGATTAAAACAGGGAGGATTATTTTATTTTTTGCATAATGTTCAAGTGTAGACATGCAAAGGATTATTTTAGAATCCATATGTAGAATGCCCTAGAGGGGAAAGCTTAATTCAGGGAGACAAAATAGAAAGGTCTAGCAAAATCTAGGAGTAAAGTGTGAAGGGGCTAAATCAGATTGGTTGTGATAGGAGTGAAAAGAAAAAAGCCTAGGATGTTTCAACTGAGGGCACTGGGCCAAAGCTTTGGTGTTATCCGGCATAGGGTTTCTTTCTTCTTATTTGTTGATAATAATAAGCTTTTGCCCATTTTTCTGTTGAGGTATTTACCATTTTTGATTTGTAGAAGGAGTTAGTTTAGACACATAAGTGATTTTGGATAAAGTCCTTACATTCAAAGTAATTAACCGGCATTATCTGTCTAAGAGATGGGATGGATAGGAAGTTAAGCTTCCGGGAGATGCCTCATTTGTGCCAGTGGTCCCACATTATTTCTTGATTAATTGTGCAAACTGGGAAGCTGATAGCTCTGGAAATGAGAAAGCAGGTGTTATTCTCTGTTTCTGAATATCCCCCACAAGGTTGCCATGATTCTTTTACTTATCCTGTTCATTCTTTTCCTACCTATTCAAGGATATGAACTGTGTTTCTTCACAGAAATTTCCAAGGAAACTATATTTCTTACATTGGTGAAGATGTATGGAAAGCATACAGTTGGACTGAGAAACTGTGAGTATATTCTCTCCAAATATGACAAAAAACTAACTGCATTGTAAGATCCTTCTTGGTACAGAATTTTGAGGTCGGTACCTCTGAGAAAACATGTTTCCCTTCCATACCCCAAATGAACCTCTGTTGATTGCAATCGTGTGGTAATTTTAAAATTAAATTTGGTAGGCTCTCTTTAAAATAAGAGTCAATTTAAATTTATTTTTATTATGCAAATAATACATGGGTATTTTTTTTTCTTTTTCTTTTTTCTTTTTTTTTTTTTCGGAGACAGGATCTTACTCTGTTCCCCAGGCTGGAATGCAGTGGTGCAATCACTACTCACTGCAGCCTCCACCTCCCAGGCTCAAGTGATCCTCCCATCTCAGCCTCCCAAGTAGCTGGAACCACAGGTGCATGCCACCACTCCCACCTAATTTTTTATTTTTTGTAGAGACAGGGTCTCCCTATGTTGCTTAGGCTGGTCTCAAACTCCTGGGCTCAAGTGATCCTCCCACCTTGGTCTCCCAAAGTGCTGGGATTACAGGCATGAACCACCACTCCCAGCCCATGATTATATTCTTAATGTATAAAAATGAAATAACAGCTATAACAAAAATCTTCCTTGTGTCCTACTCCCTCATCCCTGAGGTAACACTCTGTGTTTAGTATATAACCTTCCAGACTTTTTCCCATTTGCCTACATACATATTTACATAAAGCAAAATAGATTTGTTGTGTGGTTTTAAAAATCTTTTTTCTTTACATAAATGGTAACATCTTGCAACTTGATTCTTTCACTTCATGATGTGTCTTAGATTTCCTTCCTTCCCAGTACTTAGAGGGTTACCCCATTCATTTAAACTCCTGCATAATATTCCATAGTATGGATGTATCATAGTTTATTTAATAGTTCCCCCATTGATGGATGTTTAGATTATGTCTAGTTTTCTTGTTACATGCATTGCTGCAATGAAATCCATGCTTCTTTGTGAACATGGGCAAGTATTTCTGTAGAATAGATATCTAGAAATGGAATTGTTGGAGTGAAGCCTATGTAGATATGAAATTTTAATTGCCGTCAAAAATGTTGTGCCTACTTACACTATCGTCAGCAGAGTATGACAGCATTCATTTCCCCACACCTTTTCACCACTGGCTATTCTCCAACTTTTTGTTGATGTTATGGATGAATAAAAGGTATCCCATCTAAATTTGAATTTTTCTGATTACTTATGAATTTAATGAAATGTTTTTATGTGTTTATTGAACATTTGTGTTTCTTCTCTGAGTTTTCTGTCCTTTGTTCATGATCTCGTTGAATTTTTAAAATCATTTTCACATTGATTTATAGAAGGAATTCGACACATAAATGATTTTGGAAAAAATGCTCACATTCAAAGTAACTGGCTTTTTTTTTTTTTTTTTTTTTTAATTGAGACAGAGTCTCGCTCTGCCGCCCAGGCTGGAGTGCAATGGCGCCATCTTGGCTCACTGCAACTGCCACTGCCCGGGTTCAAGCGATTCTCATGCCTCAGCCTCCCGGGTAGCTGGGACTACAGGTGCGCACCACCATGCCCCGCTAATTTTTTTGTATTTTTAGAGATGGGGTTTCGCCTTGTTGGCCGGGCTGGTCTTGAACTCCTGACCTGAGGTGATCCGCCCACCTCGGCCTCCCAAAGTGCTGGGATTATAGACGTTAGCCGCCACCCCCGGGCAGTAACTGGCATTTTTTACAACAGTTTGTGTGTCACATTATTAGTTCAACTTACATAGACAAGTTATACACGAGCTCTAAATTAAAAATAAAACACATGACAATCATAGTCATCTAAGAAGAGGAATTATGACCACTTTAAAGTAGTTTCCCTCACCCTTAGTGTGATATCTTATTGGTAAGAAAAAAAAATGCTAGAACCAGACAATCCTGTTTTCTAGCTCTAGAGGAGAGATGGGATTCTGCGGCTTGTGTTCCAGATGGAGTCTCCTGATAACAAGAAGGTGTGGGAGATGGCTAGTAAGGGAGTGTACACCCTTCCTCCAGGGCTCCAGGACCCTGCCCCCTTTCTAACACCAATTGTTCCTGCCTGGAGGAAGACACTCTTTGCTGCCTGGCCCAAGGAAGAAAGATATGTGGTTGATGTGCCTCTGGCTTCTCCCACTCCACTGTCCCAACCAATAACTTGTAGGTAGTTCCTGGGCATTTCTGACAGGGGATCATTTGTAGAGATGCTTCCACATTTTGAGCTAAGTTTGTGGATTTTTAAATTATTTCTGTTCTATGATTTTTAGAGATTTGCTAGAGGTTGGATGGGTAGAGACTTGGCATGTTTTCAATCTGCCACTTGAAATACCACTTCTTAGGAAAACAATTTTGTGCCCTTATTATATCCTAGAGAAACTCAGGCAAAAGTACTATCAGGATACAAGTATAAGAATGTTCAAAGCAGCATTCTTTGTAATAACTAAAAACTAGAAATATCTCAGTATCCATACCCAGTAGATGAATCAATATATTGCAGTAGAATCATATAATGGAATACTCTATTATTCTATTATATAATAATAGAAGTATGTTAATACTTTATATAGTAATAGAAGTATTATTAATACTTATTAAAAGTATTATGTGTGTGTAATACTGAATGGAAGGATTATTAATACTTCTATTATTCATTAGAAACATAATGCAAGCCACATACATAATATTAACTTTTCTGGTAGTCACTTAAAAAATAAAACTAAAAAAGAAACAGGTGAAACATGTTAATATATTATATCCAAAATATTTTCATTTCAACATGCAGTCATTATATATGTTATTAATGAGATATTCTATTTTCATACTAAGTCTTCAAAATATCCAAAGGGGTATCATTTCTACATGTTGTTAGTATAAAAATTAATTGGGGAGTTTACATTCTTTTTTCCATACTAAGTCTTCGAAGTCTTAATTTGGTTGCTAAATTTTTATAAAAAAAAAAACCTTAATCTGTTCTGCTCAGCAGTCTAGGGAGACAAGTAAATAATAATAATAAAAATACTTAACCTGGCTGGATGTTAGGTAGCTCATGCCTGTAATCCCAGCATTTTGGGAGGCATAGGCAGGAGGATCACTTGAACCCAGTGGTTCAAGACTAGCCTGGCAACACAATGAAACCACATCTCTACAAAAAATTAAAAATATTAGCCAGGCATGATGGTGTGTGCTTATAGTCCCAGCTACTAGGGAGGCAGAGGTGGGAGGATCACTTGAGCCTGGGAGGTCGAGGCTGCAGTACGCAGTGATTGTGCTACTGCTCTCTAGCCTGGGCAACAGAGTGAAACCTTGTCTCAAAACAAACAAACAAACAAAACACCTTAGTCTATATTTAGATTTTGTAAAATTTGCAGTTGAAAAAGTAGCATCATATACCCAAGTTGTTGCAAACATAAATTTTCTAATGACTACATTGAGTATCAGCTTTTAAATTTAAAAATAATTAAAATGAATATATTAAAGATTCAGTTCCTCAGTCACACTAGTCACTAACAGTAGCCAAATATAGCTAGTGACTACCTTATTGGAAGCACAACACAGGCCTTGAAATGAATCAATCTCAGCAACATACATCTTAAATGTCCAAACAGATTATTGAGTGAAAGAAGTGATACAGAAAATAATATGTGTAATATGATTTCATTTATATAATGTTCAAGTAGGCAAAACTAAAATATGTTGTTTATGACTGACATATAATAGGTAAAACGACATTTTATTTTATTTTATTTTATTTTATTTTATTTTATTTTATTTATTTTTGAGACAGGGTCTGCAGTGGTGCAAATGCAGCTCACTGCAGCCTGGACCTTCCATGCTCAAGCGATCCTCCCATCTGAGCCTCTCCAGTAGCTAGGACTACAGGTGTGCACCAACATGCCCAGCTAATTTTAAAATTTGTCTAGAGATGAGGTCCTGCTGTATTGCTCAGACTGGTCTCGAACTTCTGGGCTCAAGCAATCCTCCTACCTTGGCTTCCCAAAGTGCTGTGATTACAAGTGTGAGCCACTGTGCCCAGCCAGAACTACATTTTACTTTACTATTTTATTTTATTTTATTTTATTTTATTTTATTTTATTTTATTTTATTTTATTTTTTGAGATGCAGTTTTGTTCTTGTCGCCCAGCCTGGAGGACAGTGGCGTAAACTCGGCTCACAGTAATCGCTGCCTCCTGGGTTCAAGCAATTCTCCCATCTCAGCCTCCCAAGTAGCTGGAATTATAGGCGCCCACCACCATGCCCAGCCAATTTTTGTATTTTTAGTAGAGATGGGGTTTCACCATGTTGGCCAGACTGGTCTTGAACTCCTGACCTCAGGTGATTCACCCGCCTTGGCCTCCCAAAGTGCTGGGATTACAGGCGTGAGCCACTGTGTCAGGCCAGAGCTACATTTTAAAAACAAGAAAATTATTACGAAAGTCAGGATAGTGGATATCTATAAGGGTTAGAGAGGGGGTTGTGATTGGAAAGGGGCACACCTGGGGCTTCTGGGATGCTAGTAATGATCTTTCGTAATGATATTATATGGGTATCTGCTTTATAATTATTAAACTGAATATTTGGCCAGATGCAGTGGCTCACATCTGTAATTGCAACACTTTGGGAGGCTGAGACAGGGGGATCACTTGAGCCCAGGAGTTTGAGACTAGTCTGGACAACAGAGTGAGACCCTGTCTCAGAAATAATAAAATAAAATAAAAACAACATTTATGTTATGTGCACTTTATGCACATTGTAGTTCTCAAATATTTTTAATGGGAGAAAAAAGTCAAATGGCTTCACTTGCAGCCCTGACATAGTTCCATGTGGGGCTTTTATAACAAGGTTTGGGAAAAGAGAGGAGGAAATGGAAGTTCTGCTGATCTTGGTGCCACCCAGAGTTGGATTCTAACAGGGACTTTGTGATCTAGAGAGGAGGCATTAAATATACAATTTGGTGGGAAGAGTGGGTAGGGGTGTGCTTGTGTGTGTGTGTGTGTGTGTGTGTGTGTGTGTGTGTGTGTGTATGTGGTGGTGGTGGTGGTGGTGGTGGAGACAGATGGACACAAAAAGGAAAATGTAAGAAAAGCTTTTAATGAAAGCAGAGCAGATACCACCATCTTGAAATTATCATGACCCAGATTTCCTCCACATGTAGGAGTTAGTCCTGTGTAGCAAATAGTTGTAGTTTGCATTTTGATCTAGAAAATAACTTTTTCATTTTCCAGAATTCTCAATGAAAATTATTTGACTAAATTACATAGGGATTCATTTGAAGGGCCTGCTATCCCTCCAGTATTTGTAAGTTAGTTAGTTAATCATATTTATTAGTTTTTAGTCATATTATCTGTAAAATGAATATAGGGGTTCAAATTAGATAATCTCTAAGATTTCTTTCAGCAATACAATTCTGCAATTCTGTAAGTTTGTATAGGGTCTCAGCCCATCTCTAGCATTAATACCTTCTATGCATTTTCAATTTTTTAATTATATAGACAGAATACAGACAGAAAAGAATTTCACATGGTAATAAGATCTGAGCAGTGATTGACACCCATATGAACCTTGTTTTATAAAAAGTGTTCACATCTCATCTTCCTATATTCAGTCTACAACCAATAGATCAAATCTAATCTACAGTCTGTTTTTAAATAGCCCATTAAGTTAAGAATGGTTTTTACACTTTTAAAGGACTGGGAAAGAAAAAGAAAAGAAACAAAGAGAAATATGCAACAAAGACCACATGCGGCCCACAAAGCCTAAAATATTTACCAACTGACCTTCCCAAAAAAGATTTGGGTCCGGGCACGGTGGCTCACGCCTGTAATTTCAGCACTTTGGGAGGTCGAGGTGGGAGGATCACCTGAGGTCAGGAGTTTGAGACCAGCCTGGCCAACATGGTGAAACCCTGTCTCTACTAAAAATACAAAAATTAGCCAGGCATGGTGGCAGACGCCTGTAATCCCAGCTACTCGGGAGGCTGAGGCAGGAGAATCTCTTGAACCCGGGAGGCGGAGGTTGCAGGATCATGCCACTGCACTCCAGCCTAGGCGACAGAGCAAGACTCTGTCAAAAAAAAAAGAGAAAAGAAAGATTTGAAAAAGTTGCTTTAGTAGAATGAAAGGAATTAAAGTTAACTTCAGATTGTTGCCTAAAGGAGAAGAAAATATAGACTACCTACATTAATTTGAATATCATTAATCCAGAATTTTTTGATAATTTAATCTAAATTAAATTAACATTTATATATTAAATAATAAGCAGCTGAATTATATAAATAATATTATCAAGAATATTAAGCTACCAAAAGAATAGCCTGGTATTAAGGATTTCATTTCAGGAATTGTTATATTAAAACAGATGTTTAAAATGATGGTTAAGTGGTATAGCTAGAGTGTTTATAGTAAGTAAGCATATCAGAAATGCCCCTAACTCTTCACTAATTACAAAATAACTATGTCCTCAGCCCTGTTACCAAGGAAGGGATACCTGCATAGTATTTCTGTCTGTTTAGAGATAAGAAGATACTATGTTCATTGCTATGAAAGCTGGATTTTTATCCTTTGCCCATGGTTTAGAGGTGTGTATGTCATTAATCCTCATTAAGCTCATTAGTGATGCTTTTTTGCAGACAGATTCTTTCAAATGTAGAAGGCTTAAGGAAAGTGGGTGTAAAGACCCTCAGGTGGATGCCAAAGCGCTACAGAGGCCATGAAGTAATAAAACTATATTTCCTTTAAAATAGTCATTTTCCTTCTACTCACTGCCCCAGCTATTCATTTATTTTATAAATATGTGAGTTCATTTTATTTCCATGTGTCAGTTTTAAACATGGTGGGCAACGCAGATGAGCAAGAGCTAGTCCATGCTTTCAAGGAGTTTATGCTCAGAAGAAATGGGATGAAAAATAAGTACATTCAAAAGAAGAAATGGATGTGGGCACTAGGAGGGATACATTGTTTCTGGAGCATAGAAGAGAGGAGATTGACTTCAATTTGGACCCATGAAGATGTTACTAGAACAATGCCATTTGAATAGGACTTTGAAGGGCTGCTGCGTCACATCAGACAAACATGTTGGGGAAAAGATTCTAAACTTGCAAAAGGAAAATGGGAGAGGGGCAAATCACAGGAAAGTATTTGAGGAATACCATGAGTACCTGTAGAGTACAAGGAGGGAGAGTAGGAAATTGGAGCCAGATCTTCTAGGGCTTTGAATGTCAAGCTAAGGGGCCATCATACGGACCAGTGTTATCACAGCAGTGCTGTGAGATAGAGCTGCATCACAATCACTGGGAGGTCGCGTTAGAACTCAGTTCTGCACTCTACCCTCGCAGTTACTGATTCAGTTGGTCTAGAGTGGGACCAAAAATTTGCATCTTCAGTAATTTCCTAGGAGATGCTGATCTTTGCAAGCCACTTCTGGAGAGTTTATCTGATGACTGTGTGCAGGATGGTTTAGGAAGGGAGAGACTAGAGATGGAGACATCAGCCAGACAACGTTACACCATCCAGGTAAAGAGGGAGGGACAAGCTGACAAGCTGGAATCAATGGAAGTAAGAGTTAACTGGAGTCAAGAATGGGTGTTGACTACAACCGTTTTTATTTGAAAAATAAAAATCTAGTTCCATGTTGTTTTGTTGCCCCATCACTGTATAAGTGAAGAAATTGCTTTCATGGAATATTAAAGCAATATGAAACCAAAAAAGAATTTATATTAATATGACAGAAATTAATTATATTAATATGATTTGAATTAGTTCAAAGTTATGTATTAGTTAAAGGGGTAACTTCCTTTCAGATGATGTGAAAGGATGTCTTTTATTTCTTCTGATATTGAACTGGCTTAGGAAAACAGACCTAAACTAGGAAGGTGAGACTATTCCTTTTAATATCAGAAACTATATATAAGGATAAAAACTTTGAGCTTACAATCTAGGATTTGATGAGACTACAAAAGGTCATCTAATCAAGTCTACTGCTCTCAGGAAAAATTAATTCCAAAGTCTATCAAGATCTATAGTTGTATATTTTATTTATTAAAACTATGAAGGTGAGACTCTAGGAGAGGTACTGGCAGGGTTAGGGACTCTGGGAAGTTCAAATACAAGTCTAAAGATTTAGAGTTTAGACGAAAACCATGTATTCAATGTTACTCTAAACCCTTCCTATTTATTCCTACTAATTTGACATCTAATAACTAATCAAGGCAATATTTTCCTTTTACTTTTCCTAGAGATTTATCCTGCAATAAAATACAGCCTATTGAAAGACATACATTTGAACCACTACCATTTTTGCAGTTGATGTAAATTACAAATATAACTCGATTACATTTAGAACTTTAATAAAACTTAATGATAAACCTCTTTGCTATTCATTTTGAAATATGATTAAAATTTTAAAAGTAGAAAGTTACTAAAATTATACAGCAAATCCTCTTTGTCTCTAGGAAAGATTAGTGTAAGAATTACTACAGAGATCATAGTGAATCATCAGAGAGCAGTGGTTCTCAACCAGTGTGATTTTGCACCCAGGTGACACTTGGCAATGTCTGTAGACAGTTTTGGTTGTCACAACTGTGGTGTCCTCCTGGCATCTGGTGGGCAGAGGCCAGGAATGCTGCTAAATATCCTACGAGGTACAGGACAAACCCCCACGGCAAAGAATTATATAGTCCAAAATGTCGATGGCCCTGAAGTTGTGAAATCCTGTCCTACAGAAATAAAGATCACTTAACATAAGTATTTACTGAGCATTCACTCTTTTGTATCTAATGCACCACATGTGCAATGTTAAAGTATAAATCATAAGCCAGTATCTTCCACAGTGAGATTTCTTTAGTGCATAAAGTATTGAGGTTATGTTCCATCCTATATAAATTAGAATCAATGCAAGTGATACATGTTCTGAAAGAACATACATATTTTTCTTCTTTGGCTTGTGTCTTTTTTGGTAGGAATCTTGGTTGCAATTTACTGACAGAACTGAGCTTTGGAACCTTTCAGGCCTGGCACGGAATGCAGTTTTTACACAAGTTGTAAGTGAAATAGAAGATGAATACATGTAAACAACTATTTACATGTAAGAACCTCATACAATTATTGGTTAGCTGGGTATAAGCCCATTATGGATTCTGAAAAGCATGTCTTAAATCCATTCGTTTTTTCAAATGGGGAAACTAAAGTACGAAGAGGCCAAGAAACTTATATAGTTTATATATGACCTGCCCTGCTTTTCCTAGTTCTGACCTTTGGCATGGGCAAGAAAAGGCATGAAACAAGTGACCCTATTGGCACAATGGTCTCAACACAGCAAATGTATGTTGGGGGCTGGGCTCCTTTGTTTTGGGTCGAATCTTTCTAGTAAACAGAACTAATTTGCTTCAGGAAACATTTGCTGCAGTGAGATATATGCCCATTGCATTTCTTTCCAAAGGCAAGTTGCCAAGCGAAGCTGCCAGTAATTTTGTGACCGATATGACACTATTCTGTGGTGTTTGTAAGTTGAAACAGTATATTTTATTGCATTACAAAAGTTTGTTAAAAAAAAAAAGGGGGGGCCCCAGCTGTGGTGGAATGATGATGAATTGAATAGAGCCTCAGCATCAGGGCTTCTCACTTGCACGGTCCTGGGAGGCCCTTGGGAATCGTTGTATTCATACTTTTCCATGTTTTTATTATTAATAGGTAAGGTTCAGGCCCCATAAAATCCTGAAATCACCCTGGGTTCCAATAATTACAATTTTGAATGAAGCCTCTATGTTATTGACAAATACTGATCAGCCGAGTTAGCGGTGTGGTAGGGTCAGTCTATTTTGAATTTGAAACCCATCCCAAGGATATAGCAAGAGCTTATTAGCGGACTTAACTGGGGTCCACTGGCCCAGCACAGTAAAGCCAAACCATTCTGAGGTTTTGCAGTGGGAGAAAGGAGCACATTGGTTTGCAGGGCGCCAAGCAAGGAGGACCAGGCAGTTAACAATCAAAGTCCCCCTCTGAATGGTAGCAATAATCATATCTCTTACAGATGAAATCAGGAATGAAATGGTCTATGGAAAACCAGCAGTGGTTGATAATACTAAATGTTAAGTATGTACATATTTTTTCCCTGACTTTAAAGTGCTTCTCCTTCATTTACCTACACAGGTCCGGATTGATGGCTTATTTTAAAAAATTTTCTTACTCACTTCATTGGTTCTAATAATACAAGCTCCATAATTTTGGAAACTGAATGACTCTGCAATGTAGAAAGGCTATACCTTGGCCCGGCGCGGTGGCTCACGCCTGTAATCCCAGCACTTTGAGAGGCCGAGGCGGGCGGATCACAGGATGCCCGGGCATTTGTAGAGAACACTGCCAAAGAAAAAAAGGCTCAGGAGTCCAGCCCCAAGGGAGCTGGAACAGCCTCACATGGTGCAGGGGCCAAGAAGTTAGCCAAGAACTACTTCATTTCCCACCCCCCATCAAATGATGCCAAGGAGACTAACTCCGAAGAGGACTGATGTAAAATGCTTCTGCCCAGCATGGGTGTTCACTGCACGAGAGCACTTGGCCAAGGGGGTGAGTGGGGCTGAAAATCCTGCTCAGGCTCCATGCTGAGCCACATACAAAGTCTCCCCGAGACATTGTGGGGCCCTTCTGGACAGACATGGAGAGCTTCTGAAAGTCCCGCATGCTTGGAATTATTTTCAAGACCCCAGGTATGTGGTCTGCAGTGGTTCTAATCACTGTTACTATGGACTGAGGTACTCATTTAGTCCTAATAAGACCAGAGAAGTACATTGTGAGAGGCGTGGGAACGGCAGCATCACTCACTGTCTTGTCCACGTGTCTCCCCGGAGGCATTTTCAGATTTCTGCCACATAGGAGATGCTCATGGCGAACTGAAACTCAGGTACATTGGAGGATTCATTGCTGTGGCCAGAGAAAGCAGAGGACATGCAAAATGCATATTTCCCTATCCTCCAGGATGGCTTTGTCTAGTTAAGACAGCCACTCTGGCTTAGGGGTATGTACAGACCTCCCAGTGCTGCACGCGTGAAAAACATGGCACAGAAACCTCACGGCAAGGAGTCTTCCAACAAGGATGACATCTTTCACAAGGACGTGGAGTAAACGACAGAGCCTTCGTGGTTCCCATCTAAAATGAAGAGGGAGTGAAAAGTTGAATTGCTCCTTTCAAGAATCAACAAGCTTGGCATTTTAATTCCTATCCCAGGGGCAGTGAAGCCCCAACAGAGAAAACTCAAACCAGAAAGTCGTCTGGCTGCTGAGCGGGAGGAGTGTGAGGTCCCCTGGGAGGACCTCAGGCCTCAGGCCTCTGCAAACTTGGGAAACTGCTGCTGAGGTCCTTCCAGCTCCATGGTCCCCAGGCTGGTGACTGATGGGGGAATATGGAGTCCAGCTGACTACCAGAGCCTGCATGTCTGCTGCTAGCCGGGAGGAAAGGATGACTTCTACCTCCTTTCCATATTCCAAATTTTACATGACTGCATTTTTTTGGCAGCACCCTGCTGGCAAAGGAGACTTGACGTGTGGTTCCTGGGCTTCTGTCACCTGCACAGACAGGGGTGAAATGAGTGTCACAAGCAGCCACCACTCTGCAGCATACCTCCACATCTAGGCGTGGTGGGGAGCCCCACTTATACTTGGAGGTGTCCTGGCACCCTACCCACTTTTTGGTAGGTGTTTGGGTGTCCAAGGCTTTGCAGAAGAAGCAGGCAGGGAGTCTATGGTGGAGTAACGTGGTGGAGAGGCCTGGAGAGGTGTCATTCTAGCTGGGCAGCGGGTGACACGCAGTCATCCCCTCAGTGAACGCTGGACGTGCTCTGTGGCTCCCTGCAGGCCTGCGGATCCACCAGGGGGCTCCGTTCCTTCTGGGCCAAAGCTGAAGAAGCGGCTGCTGCACCAGAGAAGTGCATCTGGATGAAGGTGGAAGCACACGCGGGCCCGCAGAACCGCCTAAGATATCTTCAGGTGTGGGCTTGGAACTGGTAGGCTTTCATTTCTGCTTCATTCCATGGCCAAAGCAAGCCACATGGGCAAGTCTGAAGCCGGGGCAAGAAAGTATCCTCCACCCACAACGAAACCATGGCAAGCGGTAGGTACTAAGAGGGCTGAGGAATTGAGGCCAATAGTTCTATCTATCCAAGTGAGTGAGGAGCTCTGCTTTGGGGATTGCACAACCTGGGTCTGCTCTTGCTGTGGTGTCTGTCACTATGAACATGACAACATGGATCGCCATCAGGTCAGGGACCCTGACAAGGCAAGAATCATGTCCTCCTCTGCACACAACCCCACTCCCTTCCCCACCATGCCTAACACCAAGCCTGGCCCTCAGGGATGACTCAGGAGAGCATTTTAGGCCATTCCTTCATTATCCCCATGTGACTTGTTGATAAAGATAAGTGCCTCTTCAAGTTCACCTTTTTGAATAAAAGGGATTTATTTAAATATTTCTTTTAAATCTCCACAGCTTTTCATATCTCACACTAACAGATCTTTTATTCTACTAATAATTCTTTGTTAAGCCCAAGTAGTTGTTAAATGGAGTAAAAGAGTGAGTATATTCTGTGTTCTTATATTGTAACCAAGGCCTATCTCATTTTTTCCCTAAGTCTGTCCAGACATGCCTGAACATGCCCAGGCATGTCCCAGCTTGCAGCCTATGCCCCTTCCTTATTTGGAAATGTTATTGCCTTCCTAGTTTCCTGTAAAAAGTCCCCTCCCTTCCTTTGTTTCCCATTGCACCTTTACCTATTTAGGAAAATTTCAAGGTTTTAGCCAGTCGGGATCAGTTTAGATTGTGAGGTGCAGCTCCAACCAGTGGAGGTAGGACACAGCAGTAGAAGCCCAGTGCGTCAGGGATAAGAACTCCTGCCTTTCTTTGTTCAGTGTGCTCTCGTGGCAGTCCAGCTTCCAAGAAGCACCCTTTCTGCAGAAAGTAAATTTGCCTTGCTGAGAAAATTATTTAAGTGCTGGTTCTTCTTTGCAGCACTGAGGAACAAGCATTTGTTTGCAACACTTGTTATGAAATATAGACTGGGCTGGGCGTGGTGGCTCACACCTGTAATCCCAGTGCTTTGGGAGGCTGAGGCAGGTGTATCACCTGAGGTCAGGAGTTCAAGACCAGCCTGGGCAACATGGTGAAACCCCATCTCTACTTAAAATACAAAAATTAGCTAGGCATGGTGGCATGTGCCTGTAATCCCAGCTACTCGGGAGGCTGAGGCAGGAGAATTGCTTGAGCCCAGGAGGTGGAGGTTGCAGTGAGCTGAGATTGCGCCATTGCACTCCAGCCTAGGTGACAGAGACTCTGTCTCAAAAAAAAAAAAAAAAAGAAAGAAACATAGACTTATTTCCTAAAGATCAGCACATAGTGCTAAGTATTTCCCCTGTAAGCTGTAAACAGACTCTGCCATTTGAAACTGGGATCTGTCCCCAGATGTGTCAGACCACCAAATCCCATGTCTACTGCTGCCCTCCAGAAGAAAGGGTTTATACAGAGCCAAACACCAAGGCAGGTTAGTGAAATTACTCTAAAGGCCATTTAAAGCTGGAAAGAGGCTCACCACCTGAAATGCCCTAAGAGGAAGGCTGTCTAGGGATCCAGATGGGACTTAAGGACAATTTTTTTTTGACACAGTCTCATTCTGTCTTCCAGGCTGGAATGCAGTGGTGCACTTGGCTCACTGCAAGCCTCAAGCTCCTGGGCTCAGGTGATCCTCTCACCTCAGCCTCCCAAGTAGCTGGGACTACAAGCATGTGCCACCATGCCCAATTAATTTTTTTTAAGATTTTTTTTGTAGAGACGGGGTCTCCTTGTGTTGCTCAGTCTAGTCTTAAACTCCTGGACTCAAGCAGTCCTCCTGCCTCTGCCCCTCAAAGTGCTAGGATTACAGGCATGAGCCAAAGCACCTGTCCTCTTAAGGACAATTTTAAGAATAGTGAGGCTCACCGTCAGAGCCCCTGCTGCTCTACAAAGCCCCTTGGCCCCTCTCATCAGGATAAAAGCAAGAGCAGCCCCAGATGTTTTGTCTTAATGGCCATCTTTCTCAGGAGACTTTGCTCTTTAAAGGAGAACCACTTAGAACTATGATTAACTCTAAAGAATGCCACCAGCACTACTGAATGCCAGGCATGGGCCTCATGGGTGAAGAGTATATTTTAGAGCAGTGATTCATGGTAAATTATCTCCCCCAGCCCCTAAAATTGACTATTCAATGTCAAACTATCTCAGGCTCAGGCCGACAAAAGTGGAGGTGTGACGAACCTAGGGTTGTTTCGAAGTGTCTTGGTTACGGTATATGTGGAAGATTTTAGAGCTTGTTGTAAAAACATGATGACCCATTGCTCTCCAGGCTGGGTGAGGGATTGCCTTTGTAGATTACAAGAGGATATTATGCAGCAGTTTTTAAAAATGAGGCAGACTAGGCCAGGTGAGGTGGCTCACGCTTGTAATCCCAGCACTTTGGGAGGCCAAGGTGGACAGATCACCTGAGGTTGGGAGTTCGAGACCAGCCTGACCAACATGGAGAAACCCTGTCTTTGCTAAAAATACAAAAATTAGTTGGGTATAGTGGCAGGCACCTGTAATCCCAGCTACTTGGGAGGCTGAGGTAGGAGAATTGCTTGAACCCGGGAGGCGGAAGTTGCAGTGAGCCGAGATAGCGCCACTGCACTCCAGCCTAGGCAACAAGAGCAAAACTCCATCTCAAAAAAAAATAAAGGTGGGGGGCAGACTGGGGCAATCTGTCTCCAGAATACATAGGTGCTGTTAAGGGAGTAAAGCAAGATGTAGGAGGGCGTGTATAGTATGCTACTGTGTGCTGTGCATTAGCTGTACAGAATTGTGTGGTCCGATACAGTAGCCACTAGCCACATATGGCTACTTATGTATAAATTTAGGCCAGGCAGGGTGGCTTATGCCTGTAATCCCAGCACTTTGGGAGGCCAAGGTGGGAGGATAACTTGAGGCCACAGCCTGGGCAACATAGTGAAACCATTTTTCTACAAAAAAATTTAAAAATGTAATAATTGGCCAGGCACAGTGGCTTGTGCCTGTAATCCCAGTACTTTGGGAGGCCGAGGCAGGTGGATCACCTGAGGTCAGGAGTTTGAGACTAGCCTGCCAACATATAGTGAAACCCTGTCTCTACTAAAAAATACAAAAATTAGCCAGGCATGGTGATGCACGCCTGTAGTCTCAGCTACTTGGGAAGCTGAGGTAGAATCGCCTGAACCTGAGAGGCAGAGTTTGCAGTGAGCTGAGATAGTGCTGCTGCACTCCAGCCTGAGTGACAGAGCAAGACTCTGTCTCTCAAAAAAAAAAAAAAAAAAAGTAACCAAACATGATGGTGTGCATCTGTAGTCCCAGCAACTCAGGAAGCTGAGGTGTGAGACTAGCTTGAGCCCAGGAGGTCAAGGTGGCAGTGAGCTATGATTGCACTATTGCACTCCAGCCTGGGCAACAGAGTAAGGCCCTGTCCCAAAAAATAAATTTAAATTTAAATTAATACAAATTAAATACAGTTTAAAAGTCAGCTCCAGTTGGATGTGGTAGCTCACACCTATGATCCCAGCCCTTTGGGAGGCCAAGGTAGGAGGATCGCTTGAGGCCAGGAGTTTGAGACCAGCCTTGCTGACATTGCAAAACCCCATCTCTACTAAAAATACAAAAAATTAGCCAGGCGTGGTGGCGGGCGCCTGTAATCCCAGCTACTTGGGAGGCTGAGGCAGGAGAATCTCTTGAACCTGGGAAGCAGAGGTTTCAGTGAGGCGAGATGTGCCGTTACACTCCAGCCTGGGCAACAAGAGCAAAAGTCCGTCTAAAAAATAAAAATAAATAATTTTAAAGGAATATTTGTCAGAGGATCAGAATAGAATGTACTTTATTTAACAGCCTTTTAGTTTAATTTATAATTTGCAAATATTGAGACAGATGGCCTGTGGCATCCATCTGTCCTCTTGCCCTGAGCTGCACGTCCAGACTTGACTCATAGGCCCCAGCTTGGGTTTTCCAGTTCTTTGAATAGGTAGGAATCTACCCAGGGCTCATGTTTTTCCCAGCTGTGGGGCTGGGGTGGAGGGTCCCTCTGGTACCCCTTTGAATGCTGCAGAAACCAATTTCCAGCATGTGGTCCTGGGCTATGGAAACCTCTCCTTCTGCCTGGGACTCTCACTCTCCAGAGACGAGTTCATTCAGGTCATCTGAGGCCCCTGAAGATTTTTGGCCACAAATGGTTCCTCATAAAGTGGTGCCCCCAGGATGTTCAGCCTCCCCACAACCCCTGCAGGCTTCCTATCCCAGGGTGCCATGTGCTACTGCCCTGCTGGGAAGAGAAGTCTGGAGGGGCACAGGGCAGCACTGCCAGCTTAGAAGCCCCTTGTCCTTTCTTTCTGTCAGATCCTGCCGCCCTGTTCCAGAGGGAAGAGTGGTCTGTCAGTAACAAAATTTCTTCTGTCTTGCCCCTTTTTTGCTACAGTTGGTAGAAATTCGTCCCAGACTTCTTTGGTAACTAATGATGTTGGGATGTTGTGGCCTTCACTGGGAGGAGACAGGTTGTCAGGTCATCCATTTCACAGATGGTTGACCCGATGCCAACCATAACAGGCAGGTCTCCTTTGGCTGCAAGTGACAGAAACCCAATTCAAACCTGTTCTGTGAGTAGGGACATTTCTTGAACCTCAGAATTGAAGGAAGGGGAAGGGTGTGTTTGGGTCCCAGAAAGGGTGAACCGTGGGACTAGAATCCCATCCAGCCTCTACTCCCTCTTCACGGAGGCTTAGCGCCTCAGATGGGTTGTGTACTCTGGCCCAGCACCCACAGGCTTCCTGTGAGAAGCTGAGCAGCTTTACTTGCTTCCACTTCCAAATGTAGTGACTGGCACACAAGCATTCCTATGCCTATGGGGGGAGTGGCGGGGGAC
The DNA here is from genome assembly GCF_000001405.40 of Homo sapiens. NCBI lineage: Eukaryota > Metazoa > Chordata > Mammalia > Primates > Hominidae > Homo > Homo sapiens. The sequence goes on from NC_000017.11 coordinate 39,051,170, forward strand.
AGGGCCCTGGGACTGGCAGCCCCCGCTAAAGCCCCATGAGGGAAGGAGTTCCCCCAAAGGCAGTGCTGTTCTCAGACAGGAAGGGAAGAGTCAGTGCTCTCCACTCTGTCCCGCCTGGCCATTTTCCTCACAGATGTCACCTGTCCTTCCAGGCCCAGCTGCTATTTCTGCCTGACGTTTGGCCAATTTGCATGGTTAAAACCAGTGTATTTCCAGGAGATGGATGATGTTACAGAACTAGGGTTCCAGAAGGCTGGGGTGGCCCGGCACTCCCGCCTTCTTTAGAACACGGAGAGCTATTAGTTAGACAGGGCTGAAGCGTAGGTGGCGAGGAAGAGGAGGCTCCTACTGCAGATGGCCTTGTTCTACTGGTCCTCCCAGAAATTCCTGGGCCAGCTGGAACCCGGGGTCAGAGAGGGATGGGAGAGAGGTAGGCTGTGAAAGGGGATGCGAACACACCTTCTGGAGCCACTGTCTTCCTTGAGGGGACCCCGAGAGGGGGCTTAATGGGCAAGGATGGAGCTTCCTGCTTCCCGAGGCTCAGCGACACCTATCTCTGAGCGACCCTCCTGAGTTAGTGTGGGGTAGTCAGTTGTTGTTTGCCTGAAATTCTAATTTAACAGGGGATCTTGTAAATTTTATTTGCTGAATCTGTTAGCTCTGGGGGTAGGAGGATGAGAAAAGCAAAAGAATGGCCCCAAGCTCAGGCCACTGTGGAGTGAGACAGAACAAGAGACCAGAGAGGAAACAAGCCCACCAGGGTAGCCATCTTGTCCAAGCAGAAACCGCCTGACACCTGAAGGCGGTGGATGGAAGAATTCAGGCCTCTGCCCCCTCAGCAGCATACACCTAGTTTAGGGGAAGGACATACCTTCCCTCAGTGACAGAAATAGCCCCAGATTTTCAGTCTTTACAATCTATACATCTGACAAAGGACTAATATCCAGAATCTACAATGAATTCAAACAAAGTAAGATAAAAAAAAAACCCATCAAAAAGTGGGCTAAGGACATGAATAGACAATTCTCAAAAGAAGATAGACAAATGGCCAACAAACATGAAAAAATGCTCAACATCACTAATGATCAGGGAGATGTAAATCAAAACCACAGTGTGATACCACCTTGCTCCTGTAAGAATGGCCATAATAAAAAAAAATCGAAAAACAGATGTTGGCGTGGTGCGGTGATCAGGGAACATTTCTACACTGCTAGTGGGAATGTAAACTAGTATATCCACTAAGAAAAACAGTGTGGAGATTCCTTAAAGAACTAAAAGTAGAACTACCGTTTGATCCAGCAATCCCACTACTGGGTATCTACCCAGAGGAAAAGAAGTCATTATTTGAAAAAGATACTTGCACACACATGTTTATAGCAGCACAATTCACAATTGCAAAATCATGGAACTAACCCAAATGCCCATCAATCAACGAGTGGATAAAGAAACTGTGGTATATGTATATAATGGAATACTACACAGCCTTAAAAAGGAATGAATTGACAGCATTTGCAGTGACCTGGATGAGATTGGAGATTATTATTCTATGTGAAGGCCAGTGGAGGAAAGGCCAGAGGGCTAGCAATGAAGGGGGTTCTGGGCATTGCTCTATATGGGAGACTCAGCAAGAACTGGGTCACGTGTGTGGAGAAGTTACTGAGTGTGAGGCAAGAACCATGTCTTTTTTCTCCACAGGGTAGAATGGAGGTTGCACTATTCGGGCCGGCCACTCTCCTACTGGCTGACAGGATGCTGCCCGAGATGAAACAGGGTGTGTGTGCACCACGGAGTCAGTCCAAGACTCCTGTTCTCACTCAGGGATTCTTCATTTCTTCTTCCTATTGCCTCCACTTCATGTTATTTTCTTCCCTTCCCATTTACAAGTAAAACTGACCAGAGCCCCAGGAATAAATGGTTTTCTTGGCTTCCTCCTTGCTCCCATCTGGACCCAGTCCCCTGGTTCCTGTTGGTCATTTGCAAACCAAGAGGACCACAATAAACAAATCTCTATTTTTTTTTTAAATATTAAAGCATTCACTCTGCAAAGAATGTGTCAATTTATTCATTACTAATTCTATGTATATTTGAGTACATAAGACAGTAGGAGTGTACTAGGTACGAGAAGGAAGATAGAACTATTTTTCTTGAGGTGTTCATAATCTAGGTGGAGAAGCAGAGACATCCACAAACATTACAAGAGATTATTAAATGTATAATAAAATCCGTATTTATTGCTTTGAAACAGTATTGGCGTCCAAAAATTCCTCCGAAGAACAATTTTTGAAGTAAAACAGAAAGCTCAGAAGTAGGCAATGGGTGAGGCTAAGGGTCTGGTGTTGGGGTGGAGAAAGTAGTGATGGGATGGAGAAATAGTAGCAGATGACAATGATTTGGGGGTAATTTGGGAGAATAGGCTAGGATCTAGATGATTTAAAAAAAGGCTTCTCTGAACAGGATCTGGTTTGCTTGGAGGGTGCTGATGTGGAGTAGAACATGTTTAAAGAAAAGGCAAAGGCAGAACAGCGACAGTTGAAGGAATATCCAGCATAAAGCCACCATCAGTAGTGTCTGACCAAGCTGGGGTTTTATCTTGGACCCCTCGTTTCTCTACCTCTGAGCCTTAACAGCTTCTACCATAAAAGGAGAGATTTGACTATTCAGTGGTTCCTAGACTTTTGTTTTTCACAGGTCATAAAGTGTAAAAAAAATTAAACCTGAGATTTTAAATTTTTAATTATAATATCCAAGTAAGAGCATTAAAGCAACTATATTTATCCAACTATCCTCTATTTATCAGCATCTTTTTATAAAGGGAGGTCATACTTGTAGGAGAATGGAGTGGAATCTATTTTATTTTATGAAATTATTAAAAACCTAATTATATTTTCCATATTGTCCTCATTTTGTAGAGTAGGGGTGGAAACTTCATCACAGCATGGGTCTGAGGACCATTATTTAGAAACCACAAGAGACTTGTCCTGCAGGGTCTCATCTGGCTTTGACATTCTAGGATTAAAGTAAAGAGCAGTAGGACCCACTTTCCCTCTTGTGTTACTGAAACTGCCTTTACAAAAATTATGACAATTCCGACCTAACTGACTCCATCTTGCTTCTAACCTCCAAACTGCCCTTGCTCATTCCTGGGCACAGGCCAAGCTGACTATGGGAGGAATTTAGTTTATTGTTTAACTTTGAAACAAAGATGATAATCCCTTCCTAAAACAAATCACCTCCTTGCTTGGGAATCAGACGTCCCTTGTAAGACTAACAAATTAGCCACAAGATTAGATATTATAGCTCAGGAATTATGTAACCAGAGGCCACAAGATTTCAAACCTACCCAATTGCTCCTATAGATAACATTGTTGTAGGCTGGGCACAGTGGCTCATGCCTGTAATTCCAGCACTTTGGGAGGAGGGGGGTGGATCACTTAAGGTCAGGAGTTCAAGACCAGCCTTGCCAACATGGTGAAACCCTGTCTCTACTAAAAATACAAAAATTAGCCGGGTGTGGTGGCAGGCACCTGTTACCCCACCTACTTAGGAGGCTGACGGGGGAGAATCGCTTGAACCCAGGAGACGGAGGTTGCAGTGAGCCAAGATTGCGCCACTGCCTGGGCAACAGAGGGAGACTGTCTAAAAACAAAACAAAACAAAACAAAAAAAACCCCATAACATTGTTATAGTCTCAGCAATGCACCAAGATTTAACAGTCGCTCCTTGTCTGAGATAATGCGCCCCAGAGTTCTTTGTCCTACCTCCAAGACAATTAAGGAGAGCAGACACAAAGGTGAGGTTAGAGTGAAAGTTTAATAAGCGAAAGAAGAAAGCTCTCTGCCAGCAGAAAGGGAGTCCCACACGGGTGCCCCTATGAGGCTGATGTCCAGGGTTTTTAAAGACTGGGAAGGGGAAGGAATGTGGTTAGTTGCCCCAGGACCACTCAGGAGCTGAAATGATGATTCCTAGATGCTGCTTAGCTTGGCCCAGGACCAATCACGAGCTGAAATGATGATTCCTAGATGCTGCTTAGCTTGGCCCAGGACCTATCAGGAGCTGAAGTGAAAGCTTGGCCCCGGACCTATCAAGGGCTGAAGTGATAATTCACAGAGGCCAAACTTATAGTCCAAAAAGGAAAGTAGAGTGTCCACTGGAACCCACTGGAGCCCACTGTAGCCACGCCCACAAAAGGAGAAGAAACTTTGTCCTGGGAGGCCGCTGACTATACAAAGGACAAAGACATTTCTATGCCAGGTCTTGTTCCTTTATGTGAGTGAGATGGAAGTTTGTTGAAGTTTTTATCCAAATGGACCTGAGGTTTTTCTATCTGTGCAGCCGTGGGCATGTCTCCAGGCACAACACCCTGTGCCTGTTCCCTTATGGGTGCCTGCAGCTTGAATGTTTTCCCAGGCTGCTTTTTCTGTTGTGTGGGGATGAGGCACTGACCTGTGGGCCGGGAGCTCTCTGGGGACCCTTCCCTTGTTATCTACCTAAGGCAAGCTAACTAACTCCTTTCAATATTACTATTGTAAAACCTAAGGGCCGGGCGCGGTGGCTCATGCCTGTAATCCCAGCACTTTGGGAGGCCGAGGCGGGTGGATCACAAGTTCAGGAGATCGAGACCATCCTGGCTAACACAGAGAAACCCCGTCTCTACTAAAAATACAAAAATTAGCCGGGCGTGGTGGTGTGTGCCTGTAGTCCCAGCTGCTGGGGAGGCTGAGGCAGGAGAATGGCTGAACCCGGGAGGCGGAGCTTGCAGTGAGCCAAGATTGCGCCACTGCACTCCAGCCTGGGCAACAGAGCAACACTCCGTCTCAAAAAAAAAAAAAAAAAAAACCTAAGATTGGCGTTCTAGGTATTTTTCAGACCCTGTATTCTGATGGACCAGCTGGGACCACTCAGATTGGCAAACTGGCTCATCTGGTCTTGTGGCCCCCAACCAGGAATTCACTCAGCACAAGAACACAAGTTTTGACACCCTATGATTTCATCCTTGACCCAACCAATCAGCATTTCCCACTCCCTAGCCCCCAGCCTGCCAAACTATCCTTAAAAAACCCTAGCTTCCAAATTTTCAGGGAGGCTGATTTGAGTAATAATAAAACTCCAGTCTTCTATTTAGCTAGTTCTGTGCTTATTAAACTCTTTCTCTATTTCAATAATGCTGTCTCAGTAAATCGGCTTTTCTGGGCAGTGGGTACAATGAACCCATCAGGTGATTACACTGCTCTACCACGTAGCTGATTATGACACCTACCCCTCTCAGACACTATCAGCTCCAATTTGGACCTATTCTTTGAATTTTTTTTTTTTTTTCAAAATTGATCTCTACTTCTCATTCAAACCTCCCATCTCCCACATCATCTGACCTCCACAAGTTCACGTACACAATTCCCCAGAATCACGTAGGACAACTAGGAAATTCTTTTTAAGGATTTCATGCTAGACTGTTAATAGCTTAGTGAGTTATACTTTTATTTGAATATGTTAAACTCCTTAAAAAAAAACCTCTTAAGTCAAAAGATTGCATCTTTCATGGTTATTTCCCACAAGCTCAGTAGGTAGTGCTAATACTTAGTACCCTAATCTCCAGCAGGAGTGAAGATGAAACTGGCTGCTATAAATATGTCCCTACCCTTTCATGCTGTCAGGCCATTTTGGGACTGTACCCTAAACATGCACTTGAATGGAAGTTCTAAACTCAGGGATCGTGGCGGTGTGGCTGGAGGACAGGAACAGGCTCAGAGGCCGGCCCCAGGTAGGAGGGGCGAGGGAGCGATCCGGGCGCCGCCCCTCCCCTCGCCTGCGCCTCTTTTTTTAAAAAAAGCGTGGGCGTGCCTTGCGCAGGCGCAGTACTGCGCGAGCCTTAGCCGCGCAGGCTCAGCGAAGGGAGGCTGGCGGATCTGCTACCTTTTGCGGTTCCCACCAAGAGTGACAAAACCTTGCTAGTGTGGGAGCTGAGCTCTGGACCCACGGCCGACGCTTTGCATGTGAGCCTGGGCCAGGGTGGAGGGAGGGATGGAGAAAGCCGCCCACCTGCTAACTGGGAGTTCCAGAGTCCTGCTTCAGCACCTCACCTGCCTCAGCCTCTGCTGAAGGACTCTTTTTTTTTTTTTTTTTTTTTTTTGAGACACACTGTTGCTCTGTTGCCCAGGCTGTAGTGCAGTGGCGCGATCTCTGCCCACTGCAGCATCCGCCTCCCGGGTTCAAGCGATTCTCCTGACTCGGCCTCCGGAGTAGCTGGGATTACAGGTGCCCGCCACCACACCTGGCTAATTTTGTATTTTAGTAGAGGCGGGGGTTTCACCTTGTTGGCCAGGCTGGTCTCGAACTCCTGACCTCAGGTGATCCGCCCGCCGTGGCTTCCCAAAGTGCTGGGATTACAGGCGTGAGCCACCGCGCCTGGCCCGCTGAAGGACTCTTAATTCTAGAGGGGACCCCAGCAGACAGCTACCCCAAACAGATTTTTAGAGTCCCGGAGAGGTACCTCTCCAGTCAGCACATTTTACCTTCTAGGACTTCTTCAAGTTTAGGATCTTAAGAAGAAAACTTGTTGGTTAAGTGGGAAGTGTTTTGAATTGCATCCTTCTCGAAGAAGCGTTTGGGGAATATGAAGGCATGGGCGGTTTTGTTTTCTGGGCGTGAGATTTCATGCGCTTATTTGGCGTAGGACCACCCCCACAGCTTTCACTGTTCACAGCATTTTCCCAGTTTGACCTTTTGTATTCAGTCCGGGTCTTCCCAAATGCTGCAGTGGCCCATTCTGGTTTCTATGGCGTCATTAAGTTTTATTCAGCAATGGCTGTCCACGGAGCCCAAAAGGCATGCCACCGGAAGCAGCTTTTTCAGACATCTCCTGTCAAGGTGGCTCCAAATATGGAATTCCTAGCTCCGCTGAAATGAAGTGCTGAATTCAATAATAGATTAGCATTTGTCCAGCACTCTGGTTTACAGAATATTTTCAGATGCATTGCCACACTAATCTTCCAGTTCTCTGGTTTTTTTAGATTAAGAAACTCAAACTCAGGGTGGTTAATTGACTTGCTTAAGGTTCCTGACAAGAATTATGGAAGCTTAAGGTTGAACTCAAACCTACTGATGCTAAACCCCATGTCATTTTATGCTGTCCCTTTTTAAGAAATCTCAGCTTGGGCAACATAGTGAGACCCCATCTCTACAGAAAAAATTTAAAGATCAGGCTGGGCACGGTGGCTCATGCCTGTAATCCCAGCAGTTTGGGAGACTGAGTCGGACGGGTCACTTGAGACCAGGAGTTCGAGAGCAGCCTTGGCAATATGGCAAAACTCTATCTGTACTAAAAATACAAAAACATACAGTTCCCTATTGCGCTGTGCCTCAGTGGCCTCCTGTGTAGGGTAGAGGTAGCAACAGCACCCACCCCATAGATGACGATACAAGTAAATCTCCTAAAATGTGCTTGGAACATAGGAAACACCCAGTAAATGTGAGCTGCCGGCAGCACCACCAGCAGTACCATCCCAGAGTCCAAAAGTCAGTAGACCAGGACCTTTGGTTTTAAGTAATGTTTACCTCTGCCTAATTTTGTTAGTTGTGGCTCCTTCTTCACGGCTAAAGAGGGCTAAGTGCTTGTCTACAGAGGCAGAGGGAAGAGTGAGCACAGCTGGGAGGATTCTGCTCAGTCTGTAATGGGCCTGGGGGAGAAGAGCCCCAGGGAACAGAGAGGGGTGTCAGCAGCTGTAGAGAGGGGATGCTCCATCCGGGCGTGGTGGCTCACACCTATAATCCCAACACTTTGGGAGGCTGAGATGGGAGGATTGCTTGAGCCCAGGAGTTCAAGATCAGCCTAGGCAGAAAAACAAGACCCCATCTCTACAAAAAATAAAATAATTAGCCAGGCATGATGGTTCCCACCTGTAGTCCCAGCTACTTGGAAGGCGGAGGTGGGAGGATCACTTTAGCCCAGGAATTCAAGGCTGCAGTGAGCCATGATTGCATCGCTGAACTGAATCCTGGACAACAGACTGAGACCCTGTCTCTAAAAAAAAAAGAAAGAAAAAAAAAGAGAGAGAAAAGGGAGGCTCTGAGAACGGGAAGGTAGGCCCTACAGGAGGCTGCCCTTTTGGCCTTGAGGAGGGGCTCTTGGAATTGCTTAATGTTCCTTAGGAGAGCAGAGTCAGTGCACAGGTTTGCTGAGAGCAGCATCTTCATCTCTTAATTAAAAATGGGATCTAAGGCCGGGCACAATGGCTCATGCCTGTAATCCCAGCACTTTGGGAGGCTGAGGTGGTCGTATCACTTGAGGCCAGGAGTTCAAGACCAGCCTGGCCAACCTGGAGAAACCCTGTCTCTACTACAAATACAAAAATTGACTGGGTGCAGTGGCTCATGCCTGTAATCCCAGCACTTTGGAAGGCCAAGTAGGGCGGATCACCTGAGGTCGGGAGTTCGAGACCAGCCTGACCAACGTGGAGAAACCCCATCTCTACTAAAAATACAAAATTAGCTGGGCGTGGTGGTGCATGTCTATAATCCCCGCTACTCGGGATGGTGAGGCAGGAGAATCGCTTGAACCCGGGAGGTGGAGGTTGCAGTGAGCCGAGGTCACGCCACTGCACTCCAGCCTGAGCAACAAGAGCGAAACTCCATCTCAAACACACACACACACACACACACAAATACACACAAATTAGCCGTGCATGGTGGCACACACCTGTGGTCCCAGCTACTCAGGAGGCTGAGGCAGGAGAATCGCTTGAACCCAGGAGGCAAAGGCTGCAGTGAGCCGAGATCATGCTACGGCACTCCAGTCTGGGCAACAGAGCAAGACCCTGTCTCAAAACACAAAGAAACAAAACCACACAAACTTTGAGGGGGAGAGACTGAAAAAGGGGAAAGACAAGCTGGAAGGGAAGGTTCTAACCCAAGACTCTGGGAAGGTATGATGAAATTTTATTGGCCCATATTCAGGTGATTTTTTTTTCAGTGCTTTTAGCTTTGTGGAAAACTGTAGGCATAATTTAGCTATCTCTAGGGACCAAATGTAAAAATGTTTTATGAACATCAGAAAAATCATTCCCCACAAAATTTCTCTCTGGATTTCACAGTTGAAGTAAAGATTCTACCCCTCTTCCTTCCTCCCTGCACCTCTGGCCCCATCTTGGCGAAGGAAGTAATCCATTGTCCTCCATCCAAGAAGATAAATTAGATGGAGGCATCGCCTGGTGCTCTGTAAGGCTTGTGAGGAGTACTTCTAATTCTTCATGTGGGAGGGTCGCTAGTGTGAGCAGCGGGATGAGAAGGAGGCAGCAACAACTAGGACATTCTCAAGCTCCTGGGACTGTGCAAATAAATAGATGGTAAGCTCACAGTTTCGTGAGCCAAGAGCGAGGATCTGAAGTCATCACTAGGCATCTCTTCGAGGATCTCTACAGGCCTGGAGCAGTCTGTCTGTCATAATCCATAATCTGCTTCTATATTAAACTGTGGCCATGTGGTTCTGGCAACACCCTGAGGTACACAGAGAACAACCTCAGATGGGAATCCAAAAATCTGCACTTGGGGTTTTTCTCTACTTACTAGCTGTGTGACCTTGTGCAAGTCACTTAATGGTGCCTGGCACACAGGCGTTTAATGAATGTGGATCAAGTGAATAAATAAGTAAGCCACCTCCCTGAGCCTCAGTTTCCTCATCTGGGAAAGGAAAAACAGTGCTTCTCCAACAGGCTGCGATCATGTAGGTAGAATTGCTTCCTAAATGGTGCATCTCAAACTTTCATGCCCTTCACAGGAGTCACCTAAGGAGCTGCTCAAATGCAGATTCGGACTCAGTAGTTCTGGGGTTGGGGGGCCTGAGTGCTGCATTTCCAGCTAACCCCAGGGAATGCTAATGCTGCCTGGCTGGACCACACTTTATTATTTTATTTATTTATTTATTTATTTTTGTAGAGACAAGGTCTCGCTGTGTTGCTCATGCTGGTTTTGAACTCCTGGCCTCAAGCCATCCTCCCATCTTGGCCTCCCAGAGAGCAGGATTACAGGTATGAGCCACTGTACCTGGCCTGGACCACACTTTATTATACAGATTTACATTTTTTTAAAGCAGGGTCTTGCTCTGTCCCCCAGGCTAGAGGGCAGTAGCGTGATCATGGCTCAATGAAGCTTGGAACTCCTGGGCCCAAGCCTCCCGAGTAGTTCGGACCACAGGGCATGTACCACTGTGCCCAGCTAATTTTTTTTGTTTTGTTTTTGTTTTTGTTTTTGTTTTGTTTTGAGAGAAAATGTCTCCCTGTGTTTCCCAGGCTGGTCTCAAACTCCTGGGCTCAAATAGTCCTCCCACCTCAGCTTCCCAAAGTGGTGGGATTACAGGCATGAGCCACTGTGCCTGGCCCTGGACCAGACTTTAACTAGCAAGGTTCTATATTCTAAAGTGCTTTCCAGGTGCTTGAAATCATTATTTCTTCAGCCAATGGGGTGGGAGGGCTGTGCCAAGGGTAGAGGGGACCAAACATGGCGAGGGAGCTGGGGACACCCACACATGGGGATAAAGGAAAATCTTGAGTTCCTTCAGGGAAATCCTAGCTAGCCCTGAGAAGTAAATCAGCAACTTGGTAAGCAGGAAGGTAATAGTAGTCTAAAACAATAGCTGAGGAAGTTAGAGCCAGGAGATGTTTGGTTCCCCTCTCTACAAACTAAAGATAACATCTTAACGTATGTCCCTGAGTTGTTTTTCAGAAGCCCAGACCCCTCCAAAAGGGATCCGCTGGCATGTAGACCTCAGATAAACGGGTGCTGAGGACTGACTCTGACTATAGTTCGTTGTTCTAAATTTCTTCCTGAGGGACCTGGAGGAGGCCATTGCCCATGAGCCAGAGCTAACATTCTTTTCTGCTGATCCCACATGTCTAGACAAAGCTTCGCCTCCTGAACCAATCGCAAATCAGAAAATCTTTGAACCCACCTTATGACTTGTGGGTCCTGCTTTGAGACGTCCTGCCTTTTTAGGTCAAACCAACGTATAGCTTCCATATATTGATTTATGATTTTACCTGTAACATCTGCTTTCCTGAAATTTACCCCTGCCTTTTAAAATCCTTACCTGTGGCTGGGCACAGCGGCTCATGCCTATAATCCTAGCACTTCGGGAGGCCGAGGTGGGCAGATCACTTGAGGCCAGGAGTTTGAGACCAGCCTGGTCAACATAGTGAAACCCCGTCTCTACTAAAAATACAAAAATTAGCTGCACGTGATGGTGCATGCCTGTAGTCCCAGCTACTCAGGAAGCTGAGGCAGGAGAATCACTTGAACCCAGGAGGCAGAGGTTGCAGTGAGCTGAGATCGCACCACTGCACTCCAGCCTGGGCAACAGAGTGAGTGAGACTCTCTCAAAAAAAAAAAAAACAACAAAAAAACCTTACCTGCAAGCCATCAAGAGTTCATATCTTAAGCATAAGCCACCCAATTCTCCTTGCTTGGAGTCCTGCAAACAAATGCCTTCCTTTCTCTATTGCTGCAAAGTCTCAGTGTGGACATCTGGTGTTATTGCGCCAGGTGAGAAGACCTGGTTTGGTTCTATAACATTCCAATGTGCCCAGGATTGAGGAGATTCCTGGGATGCAGGACTTTGTGTGTTAGAACCAGGAGAGTCCTGGATAGAACAATTTGGTCACCCTATCGGGATAATGAAAGAGAAAGGCATGCTTTGGTCTAAGTTGCTGTGTGACCTGAAAAAGGACCAGGCAGCTGATTGCTCAGGTCCCACTTTAGACCAGTTAGTCTAGTACCTCCTATTTCACAGGGGTGGAAGCCAGCCCAGAGAAGTCCAGTGACTTGTCCACATCACCCAGCTACTCAGGGGCAGGGCTGAGGCCAAGCTCCCACCTTCCCACTCCCCGTCCAGCTCAGCACCTTCTCCATCAGTTCACGTTGTCTTCTCTTAACACATTCCTCTTGATTTGGCGAACACAGCATGTTTATTTATAAATTGGCTTGTTTGGAGCCTGAAATGTGGCATCACTGATTTTGGCTGTGAGGTGTTCACATTTTTCCTCTCTTTGTTTTGGCTCGCTAAACCATGTTTTGTGAGCAAAACCACAAAGTAATAAAAACACAATGAGGCCGCTAAAGTTGTTCAAATGCAAAGCATCCAGAAATGTGACAGCATAGACTTTCTCAGATTTATTGTATGTCCTCAGACAGTAGATAAAAATGCATGGGGTTTACTTCCAGGGATTTACAGACCAATATAAGTAAACAGCTGGGGTTTCTTTTTAGGCTGTTTCTCTTGGAGGTGGTGCAGGAGGTTGAGGAAAGCACCTCTGATGAGCAGATAGCTGGAGGCTGTTCCCACAGTCATGTCTCAGCGAAGAAGTCGGAGTTCAGCAGCCATCAGAACCAAGGTATGTGTGGTGATCTTCGGAATGCCACTCCAAATCCTTTGCACTTTCTTTTGCACACAGCAGGAGTTGTAAAAGAATGCTTCCTTTTATTATTAACACTGAGAATCCATGCAGAGAGTTTACACTAAACACATGAATACATTGTGTTTTAGAAGGCTGGGTGCCCTCAGTCCCCAGATCTTTGAATTCTACCATTAAGTTCAGGTAGGTTTTTGGAGACAGAGATTGGCCGCATCATATCTGTGACACTGACTCTTCTGGTGTAGGTTTGCTTGGCCAGGGAGTCTGAGTGCAGCCCCTGATCAGTGCTTCATGCCAATCTGTGAGTCTGTTCCAGGAACTAGAGGAGAGAGAGCCTTAGCCTTGCCTGCAACCAGATGAATGGTTAGCTTTAGTGGTGAACACTTTGCTTTTTGAATAGTGTGGTTGGCTGGCAGCTCTTGTCATTGTTTATCTCTCAATTTAACAAACCAAGCTGAAGCCTGAGCACAGCTACAACCTTGTCCAATCTCTTTAGCAACAAAATACCTGTGTGTGCATATCTTATTGCTCAAAACATTAAACAAGGCTGTATACAAACACACACACAAACATACACAGATACACTGTACAGGAGACCCCTGATAAAACACACAAATTTTAAAAATTTATTTTTAAACAAATGCAGTGGGATGATCATAGCTCTCTGCAGCCTTGAACTCCTGAGCTCAAGCAATCCTCCTGCCTCAGGCTCCCAAGTACCTGGGACTACAGGCGTGAGCCACTGCACCTGGCCATGTAGTGAAGGACTTTCTAAGCAAGACCTTGACTTGGAAAGTTGCCACCAACTCCCCAGCTCTGTGAGAAGTTTTAGGGGCAGGGGGTTTAAATTATCAAATTTAGCTGGTTTGCAGGGGGAGTTCTTTCCCAGTGATGAGTTGGGGCTGCTTCTCCCCAGAGTAAAAAATGGCAGCAAATAAATGTTAGATCACAGCCTCTTCTTAGTCATACCCATTTATACATGTCATGAGGGTCATTGCCAAAGAAAGAAGTGAGTTAAGTGTAAGGGAATCTGGTCGGGGGTGGACCAATAACCAGACTCATCCGAACGCTTGGCTGATGGTTTTCCAGTTGCTCCGTGGTTTATCCTTTGTGAAGATGCAAGTGACAATCAGAGTTGGAAACGTGGGGCCTCAGCTCTGCTTGATAAACCAGGCAAGGAAGAGCTGAGGGTGGAGTAGGGGGGTGCCGGTGGAAGGAGGGTCTGAATTTGAGGAAGAAAAAGGACAGTGCAGCAAAGAGTTGGGTTCCTTTCAAGCTTCTAAAGGACACAGTGGGCTGTAACAGAGCTCTCTGAATGAGGGAAGCACAGCCCACCAGCAGAGCATTTACCACCTGTGTGTGTCTCAAATGGCCAGTGGGGCAGTTCCTGCTGTGGCCTGATTCCATGGACAGCACCACTCATCTCACTCCCCAACTCTAGCACACGTTTTCCCACTGGGAGCTCGGCCAACCATTTTGGATCCCTGAAGGGAAAGAATGTCAGGAGTGGAGGAAGGGGTGGTGATGCGGTGAAGCCTCTGCTGCTAGCCCCTGCAGGCAGAGAAAGTTCCAGATGCCTCGGCCTCAGTCAAAGCAAGCCTGGCTGACCCATAGGATGTCAGTGGCATGGGGAGTGGATGTATTTGGCGGCAGATGGCCTGTTTGTTTATGACAAAAAGTACTAGAGATGTGTCACCAAGAGAGGCCTATGGATTTCTTAAGCCAAAACACTTGGACAAAGTCTCCCAAAAAAATAGAACCAAGCATCTCATAGAGTTAATGATTGTCTACAGGATCCCTGACAATGTAAGCATTTCTTTTTCCGTTCTTTTTTTTTTTTTTTTTTTCGGAGACAGGGTCTCACTCTGTCACCCAGGCTGGAGTACAGTGGCATGATTATGACCCCCCACTGCAGCCTCAACCTCCCGGGCTCAAGTGATCCTCCTGGCTCAGCCTCCCTAGTAGCTGGGACTACAGGTGCACCCCACCACACCTGGCATTTTTGTTGTTGTTGCCCAAGCTGGTCTCAAACCCCTGGGCTCAAGCAACCCTCCCACCTCAGCCTCCCAAAGTGCTGGGAGTACAGGCACGAGCCATCAGGCTTGGCCAAATAAGCGTTTATTGGACAGATCCAGTTCTCCAAAGTTTAGAGCAGGTTAACTTGGTAGCTATGGAGTATGACCAGATGGAGACATGGGTCTTGTGGCCGGCCCTGCGACTGGCTGACAGTCCAGCAAGGCAAGGAGGTAGGTACTTCACACACTGTGCACACCCATCTCAGGCAGCCGTAGACCCCTACGCCTCCCCACCCCACAGGCACATGCAGGCTCCAGGGAAAGCAAGTAGTTGGCAGGTGCCTCTCCAACCTGGTGTCTTTGGGCATCCTTGCCCTGGGCGACACAGTGAGACCCTGTCTCAAAAAAAGTCCCTCCCATGCCAGCTGCCTGTGTCCCAACCACTCAGGTGCTTTGCCTCTCAACAGAATCCACCTGCAGTTCCCTGCTAGGTATGTCTCAAGGAGCCCTCTAGCCACCCGACTTGTCTTTAATGCCTATAAAATCCAGTTCAGAGGAGGAAAAATATTTATCAGGCAAGTCCTGCCTTTGGAGGTATGTACAGGCACTGACATCAGAACAGGGCAGTGAGTAAACCCGGCACCGAACAGGCCATCAGAATAGGGAGCCCCACATGGTAAATGTGGCTGCGCATAGCAAGCTCACCCAGGGAAGGCTGGGCTGCAGGTTGGGGTAAAGCCCTTGATGCAGGCTGTAACATGTTTTGATGCAGAAGTTATTGGTTCTGAGTAGAAAGGGCAAGGTAAGAGAGCAAAGCCTAAAAATGCAGTTTCCCCCTTGAGTTCTTTTCTCTCCTCTTATTTGACTTCCCTCCCATGATAACATGCCCCAAGGGCTGAGAGCCACTATACTGTGTTTAACAGATGGAGAGAATACCTTCTTTAGGCTTTCAGAGCTACAGAAGCTGGGGCTAAAATGCCAACTCTATAGCCATGAGGATCTGCTTTCTTTTTTTTTTTTTGAGACGGAGTCTCGCTCTGTCACCCAGGCTGGAGTGCAGTGGCACTATCTGAGCTCACTGCAACCTCTGCCTCCCAGGTTCAAGTGATTCTCGTGTCTCAGCTTCCTGAGTAGCTGGGATACAGGCAAGCGTCACCACACCCAGCTAATTTTTTGTATTTTTAGTAGAGACATTTTAATTATGTTGGCCAGGCTGGTCTCAAACTTCTGACTTCAGGTGATCCGCCTGCCTCAGCCTCCCAAAGTGCTGGGATTACAGGCGTGAGCCACTGCACCTGGCCAAGGACCAGCTTGTGAGTCTAGGGAACCTGGAATGCAGCAGCCCCAATCTTGACTTTAGTTAACCTGTGTCATATGCAGGGGCTTTAAAGGTGGCCAGGAGCAGGGCATCTGGCTATCTGGCTATCTCCAGGTAGTGGGTCGGGGAGGCTCTGAGACTGCTACAGAGCAGACCATTGACAGCCTGTAACTGAGTCCAAATTCATTCTGCTTGCTGCGTCATAGCCAATACGTTGAGAGACAAGGAGTTGGAGCAAGGAAAGGGACTTTATTTCGGAGAGCCAGCAAACCAAGAAGATGGTGGACTAATGTCCTAAAGAACCGTCTTAAAATTATGCGGGCTTTGCCTTGTCTTTTATGTTTAGGTCGGGGGAAAGGAAGGGGCTGACAACCGCAGACATCTGGACACCAGCAAGGGTCCAGGGGAGGTTTGCAGAACTTCTTTGTCCTTGGCTAACAGTCTGTCATGTGACAATAGCCAAACCTCCTCATTCCTATAAATCTTTAACAAAAACAGTTAGCTGTTTACATGCTTCCCCTTTAATCCCAGAGTTAGTTTTGCAAACGGCATGATTCCTGTTTTTGCGTTTTATGTCAGTGCTCTAAAGTTATCCTAGCCTAGGTGCAGGAATAGGTAAAGGCCCCTTAAACAAAAATGGAGTTAGTTATGTTAGTTCTTCTGCTGTTTCATGGTTACAAGACACAGAAGAGAACCCTTGCATCAAAACAGGATGAGATTAGGTTGTTGTTCCTATAAAAAATCCATGTGGTTGTTTTTTGGCCCCCTCTTCAATATTCGGGGTGTGCTGACGAAGCGAGCAGCAGCTCTGGAGCCATAAACCACCATCTCATCTCAGCCCAGGGCATGCTGGGAGAGGCCAGGAAAAGTCACTTCTCTTCTTTGCTTTAACTGTCTTTTCTGTGGCCTCAAAGTCTTCAAAGGGGAGACTTGGTGTTCTCAGCACTGCTCAGCCTCCATGAAGCCCTCCTTCTCATGGCCCGAGGGCTCCACCTCCGCATAGGTGGAATGGTCAGGGTGGCTGCGAAACTTCATGGCTGGCCAGTGGTGAGGTCTACGCTGCAGAAGGCACAGAGGCAAAGTCAGTGGGCATGCCCCCGCCCCCATGGGGACCCCACACTCCTGAGCGACAGAGCCAACCAAGACTGTCTCTTATAAGGGCCCTGGGGCACTTGGGCCTACCAGGAGCCACACAACTGACCTTCAGGGACCCTCTCCCTAAAATGTTCCGTGCTGTGATCCCCCAACCACTGGGAAACCTGCCGAAAGCTAGAGTGTGGAAGGAGGACACTTTATCCTTCACTGTGTGGTCTGCAGAACTCACAGCTGAAAGGTTCAGCAATACACCAAGTGGAGACCTAGGACTGCAATGTGAGGGAGTGGCTCAGAGATGGCTGGCATGATGCTTGAGGCTCTGAAAATGCCAAGATAACCCTCCAAGGTAGCACAGGATCCACATCAGAGTCAACAGGGGGCTTATTAAAATGCAGATTCTGGCCTGTGCAGTGGCTTATGCCTGTAATCCCAGCACTTTGGGAGGCCAAGATGGGCAGATCACTTGAGGCCAGGAGTTCAAGACCAGCCTGGCCAACATGGTGAAACACTGTCTCCACTAAAAATACAAAAATTAGCTGAGTGTGGTGGCACGTGCCTGTAGTCGCAACTACTCAGAAGGTTGAGGCACCAGAATTGCTTGAACCCAGGAGGCGGAGGCTGCAGTAAGCCAAGATTGTGCCACTGTACTCCAGCCTAGGCGACAGAGTGAGACTGTCTCGAAATAAATAAAATGCAGATTCCTGGGCCTGCCTTAGACCTGCCCTATCAGAATCCCTGTGGCCCAGGGATCTGCAGTTCCCAGGTGTTACCCAGGTAGGCTAAGACTTCAGAATGACTAAGCCTCCTAAGAAACTGGGGGAATGACCTAGGCCTGTGGGTTAATGAGGCTGGTGGGCTTGTGACCCACGTGGAAGAAACTAGGGTCACAGAGGCACCACTGCTGCACTCTGTGGGGAACTCGTAAGAAGCCAGAAGTGGAGGACTGGGGGCAGGAGCTGCTGAGCTCTGCAGCCCCGAGTGAAGGGGGCTGAGCCTCACATCCCATGCTGCCCCTCAGGCTGGCTCTTCAGAATTGAGACATTCAAAACTTAGTATCCTCAATTAAAGCTCCCAGAGGGCAGCTCTTATCATTATTTGGCTTGTCTATTTTATTTTTATTTCTATTTTAGAGATGGGGTCTCCTCTATTGCCCAGGTTGGAGTGCAGTGGTATGGTCAGGGCTCACTGCAGCCTCAAACCACTGGGCTCAAGGGATCCTCCCACCTCAGCTTCCCAAGCGGCTGGGACCACAGGTACGTGCCACCACGCTGGGCTAATTTTTTAAATTTTTGTAGAGACGGGGTCTCACTCTGTTGCCCAGGCTAGTCTCAAACTCCTGTGCTCAAGTAATCTTGCCTTGGTTTCTCAAAGTGCTAGGATCTTAGGAAGGAGCCACTGCACCTGCCCCTCAATTTTAGCCTTAAAAGCAGGTATCAGTAGGCAAAAGAGGCAGAGACCCTGGTTCCCTCATGGCTTTGAGTAAGTACTGAGCCTGGCATTTGGGCATGAGAGACCATAAATCACTGGAGATAGGCTGCACAGCCACTAGATGAGCACTATGTGGCACTGTGGCCTTCTTTCTTTCCTCTGGGGATTTTTTCTGATTTCACAAATGGGGGAACAAAAGCAGAGGGGCTGTTCCACAGGACAGGAGGGCCGAGGGAGTTCTGAGGTGCTGATTTATCAGGGTGCAGGACTTAACGGGCGCCAGCCATCTCGAAATGTGCCAGGATGGGGTGGATGAAGTTTTCTCAGGTATGTGGCAGGGGAGAGGGAGAAGGGGAGAGGCAGGGACCGAATGGCCCAGGAGACGCCGACGCAGAAGCAGACAGGAGCCCTGTGGCCACAGATGACACGGACCTCGATGAAGAAGAGCGCAGCATTGGATGTGGGGTGGCCATTGATGTAAATTCCAGCCAGGATGATGGCCGCCACGAGGAGGACTGCCAGCACGATGCCCACGATGGTGCCCAGGTGCACAGGAGTGCCCTTTGTCTTGGGGGACAGGTTGTTCTGAAGGCCTGTGGAGAGATCATTAGGGCAGACAGGGGCTGCAGGGGAGCAGGGAAGGTCGAACCATGGGGTCTTGGGTTCTAACAAAGTCTCAGAGATGAAAGCCGACAGAGCCTTTGGGTCCACTTATCCAATACAGGAAGAGGTTGGGTGGGAGTTGGAATCATTATGAGTAAGGCATTCATGTTCTTGACACCATCTGGGTAGTTTTCCAAAATCATGTAAAAGTTGCCCCAAATGTCTAATAAGGATCATAAGAGAAGTTCTCTCTGATATCTGTGCCACTACATAAGTGCTATTAAGGAATTCACAAAGGGCATCGGAGGGTTAAGAGTTTGGGATCTGAAATCTGGCTGCCTGGGTTGAAATCTATGCTCTGCCACTTACTAGCTGTGTGACCTTGTGCAAATTATCTAACCTCTCTGTGTCTTCATTATCATTTCTTTTGAACAAGGATAATAACACCCACCTAATAGGGTTATTGTGAAGGTTAAAATTAGATGATCCATGTCAAGCACTGAGGACCATGTCTCCCATTTTGGATGACTTCAATAAGTATTAGCTATTATGATGGCAAATGACCATAGTTTTTCCTATCACTGTCCACTCCCAGATTGTGACCTCTTGCAGGGCAAGGATGATGTCTTATTCAACTCTGTGTCCTCAGCTCTTAGAAAAACTGGCAGGGGCTGGCCGCAGTGGCTCACCCCTGTAATCCCAGCACTTTAGGAGGCCGAGGCAGGCAGGTCACCTGAGGTCAGGATTTCAAGACCAGCCTGGCCAACATGGTGAAACCTTGTCTCTACTAAAAATACAAAAATTAGCCAGGCATGGTGGCACGCGCCTGTAGTCCCAGCTACTCAGGAGGCTGAGGCAGGAGAATAGCTTGAACCTAGGAGGCGGAGGTTGCAGTGAGCCGAGATCGCACCACTGCACTCCAGCATGGGCGATAGAGTGAGACTCCGTCTCAAACAAAACAAAACAACAAAACTGGCAGGCCCGTCAGAGAAGCTCAAAGAAAGTCTATGGGATGATCTAGGTCCTCTGGAAGCTAATAAGCCAACAGTCACCCTCTGAGAACATCCTAGGCACTTGAAATACGTCCCGGGGGAGAGAGTATTTTCCACAGAGCTGGAAGCTCAACCCCTTTTGTGCATGACTGAGGTAATGGAAATAACAGAGAGGTTAAGTGATTTCCCCACAGACACACAAATTCAGTGCCCACCACTAAAAAACCTAGTTCCCTGACACTACCTTGGGTGGCTATTTGCCTCTTCACCCTATCCTAAAAGAGATAATGAGGTAGAGAAGACAGATGAGCAGGTTGGCAACAAAAATGTTGCATTCTTCCTACATAGCTAGTGGGTGGGTTGGGAGGGAACTAGGGGTGGCAAGTTTTAATGGGATGTTGCATGCACTCAGAACCATTGTCTTCCCCATCCCCTTTGCTCTGCTCTGCACTCTGTAAGCAGAGGACACCCAGGAGAGAAACTATCCTGGGGCACTCCAGGGCATGGCTAGGGCCTCTGTCTGCCAACAGGTGGGAGGACTGAGGTGAAATGCCCCAGGTGAGCCTCCCCTGACCTGGATGGCAATCAGCCCGCAGCCTGCAGTGGCTCTGATGATTTGATGATGAAGGCTTCTGCTGATGAGCACATGGTGCACAGCGAGGGGATTATGGCCCAGCCACCCCCACAACACACACACACACCCACTGCCTATGGAGGAGCAATGGCTCCACCTCTGCTGGGGGACACCATCACACTGTGCTGCATTAATAATCTTTCCTCTCCTGCTGGAAGCCCTGATGACAATCTCCAGCCCCCGGAGCTGGAAGGCACTTTCATCTCTACTCTTGCACAGGTTGCCGCAAAGGCCTGAGCTGGCTCTGGGCAAAGGGCAGGGGAGGTGGGGGCAGCTCCCACCCTCAGAAAGGAGATTATCCTTCTAGGTAATCCTAGGAGGCTGCAGGGAGTCCCACCTTCTGGCATCCTGCAAAAATTGTAGCGGACAATTTTATGTCCTCTGCCAGCCTGAGTGAGGAAAGAGAAGCTGCTCTCCACCCCTTGCTGACTATGAGCCCATGGGGATCAGAGGGGATGGCCACAGGCCCCACCTATACCTGCCCTGGCTCAGTCCTTCCCCTCCTCCCACTCCTTTCTGGGCAGTGAATATTCAAGGACAGAGAGCCAGGAGAAGAACCACAGGAGGTTCAGGGCTGAGATGAGAAATGTCTAGGGTAGACATGTTCCTTCGATCTAGGGCACCTGTGCCCAGAAGCCCCCCTGCCTCCCCACCCAGCAGGAGGTCTGGGATGCTCAGGCTGCCGTTGCTCCCTCTCCGCACTCATAAAAATAGCCCAGGCGACTGCTGCACCCTCTTCTGGGGTGGGTCCAAGAGGCGCTGGGTCTGACGCTGAGGGCAGGCAGTTCTGTACTCACCGTCTCCTCCTGCATAGGGATTCAACTTGGTGTCATCTTCAAAGAGAGAAGACAGAAGGAGCAAGATTAGTGGAATCATTACAGCCTTTGTCACTCTGAGTCCAGATGGGATGAAAGTTCAGCCCAAACTTTCATTTTAGAGGTAAGGAAACTGAGGCTCAGAGAGGGGAGGAGACTTGCTCAAGTCACACAGCAGTTGAGTGTAGCTGGAGGCTGGGGAGTAAATGAGCGGGGACTGGTGAGAGATGAGGCTGGGAGTGGAGGGCCGGCTGCCTGGAGAGCAATAGGAGGCCATGCACGTTCTTCTGTGGGGCGACAGAGAGATGTGTAAGGGTTTGAAGAGGGGCTTTATGTGTCACAAGGTCAGATCAGCCTGGAGACTCCCTGGGGCTGCAGTGTGCAGGAGAGAGTCCCAACCCACTTTCTGTCTATACCTCGAGGCCTGTAGCCTGTGGCTTTCTAAGTAAGTTTCAAGGGTCCACCCTTCCTGTGGTTCCTTCCCATGCAGATTTTTATGGGGAAAGAAAAGCAAGAGTTCCATGTCAGGAGAATGCTGTAAATGACTGAAGATTCTTGCCCTAAGCACCTGAACTTTATTTATTTATTTATGTATTTTAGAGAGAGGGTCTTGCTCCGTCACACAGGCTGGAGTGCAGTGGTACAATCACAGTTCACTACAGCCCCGACCTCCTGAACTCAAGTGATCCTCCCACCTCAGCCTCCCGAGTAGCTGCGTCTGGCTAATTAAAAAAGATTTTTTTGAGATGAGGTCTCACTGTGTTGCCCAGGCTGGTCTCCAACTCGTGGGCTCAAGCAATCTTCTTACCTCAGCCTCTCAGAGCACTGGGATTACAGGCGAGAGCCACCTCACCTGGCCTAACAAGGTATTTAAACACAACTTTGAATCTATTTCGTTACTGCAAATTGAAAACAATGAATTGATTCATCAAAACTAAGCAAAGGAACTTAAATATCACTGGGCAAATTAACTTGATTTGAATCAACTTGTTGCAAATCTAGACCATTGAAGATCAATTATGGCTCAGTCTGCACCTACCACTGGTAGACAAAAGGACACAGTGCCGCCCACTGCCAGTCCCTCCCAGAGTGACTGAAGGTGGCCACACTGTGCCCACGCAGCCTCTCTCCCACTCACCAAGGGCTGGTTCCCAGCTGCCATCTTGCTGGGGCTCCATGTAATGCACATTGGCTCCTGAGTTAGTGGATCACATGAGAACTCACACAGGAAGAAATGCATGCAATGTTGATCAAATGAGTGGTCATTTTCTGTTGTTAGTTGTCACTTCTTGTGGCTATCAAGGTGTTCTGTTCTGTTGCTTATAAGATAAGCCCTTCTGCACA
Source organism: Homo sapiens (assembly GCF_000001405.40). Lineage (NCBI taxonomy): Eukaryota > Metazoa > Chordata > Mammalia > Primates > Hominidae > Homo > Homo sapiens. The sequence goes on from NC_000017.11 coordinate 39,073,812, forward strand.
CAGTTGTTCTGGGTGAGTGCCTGTCTCTCTTTGCAATCAAATGCATGGGCTTTGTGACAGCTACTTGCCACTCAGAGGTCATCTGGTTCATTTAAGTGAGTAGCGTTTGACTGCAAGTGAACGGCTCTTAAATCCAGGCCCCATGTCTCCCACTCCTCCTGCCCTGCTGCTTTCTACTTCTGCCTGCCCAGGCAGGCCCCTCTGGCTGGAGTGCTGGGTCCCTTCATTCAATCTCCCTGTTAGAGCCTGTACCCTCATAGAATGTATGGGAAAGACTCTATCCCACACCTGCCTCTGCAAGTCTCCCTGTGTGGGCTGTAACCACACAGGCAGGAGAGTGACTCAAACTCTCCTGCCAAGATGCCTTGCAAGTTGGGCATGTGGGGGGAAGTCATCATTAAAAATGTTTTTTCTTATAAACCAGGCACAATGGCATGTACCTGCAGCACTTAGTAGGTTGAGGTGGGAGGATCCTTGAGCCCAGGAGTTCAAGTCCAGCCTAGGTAACATAGCAAGATCCTGTTCCACCCTCCAAAAAGTTTTTTCTCTTATAGATGTAACTTCAGAATCTTTGCCACCTCTTCCAGGACTGGAAGGACATAGAGCCCTAACTGTCTTCACTTTTTACTCTAATGAATGTTTTCTGTTGGGAACCACTACACAAAACATGGAAATGAGACCCATTCCTTAGCTGGCAGGGGATGCACACAGATAATAAAACTGGCAAACAGAACTCGCTACCTCTGTAGGACAGAGGACCTACATGGTGGGCTGTAGGACAGCCCAGGGGGCTCAGTAATAACAAGTCAGGATTTAGGCTTGGCCCCCAAGTGCTGTGCCCTGGGCTCCCCACGCCACCACAGACCCCCTTCTAGCCTCTGACACTGTGCCTCCACCAGACACTGTCTGGCTAAACCCTCTGGGTGGGGCAGGGTATGTTTGCAGCACCCCTCCCCGCCCTGGCCCAGTGCTGGGCTCAGAACATGCCCTCAGTAAGCCTAGGGGGTTAACTGGCAGTAACTAATCAGGGACTACCTCCTTGTAGGAGGAGCTTTCTTTGACTGGAAGGTTAACCCTGGACTCTGTCACCAGCTCCCCAAAGGGCAAAGTTTCTTTCTGCTTCTTTTTCTTTTCCTTTTTCTTTCTTTCTTTCCTTTTCTTTTTTTGAGACAGCGTTTCACTTTGTCACCCAGGCTAGAGTGCAGTGGTGCAATCATAGCTCACTGCAGCCTCAACCTCCTAGGCTTAACCAATCCTCCCACCTCAGCCTCCTGAGTAGCTGGGATTACACATGTGCGCCACCACGCCCAGCTAATTTTTGATTTTTTGTAGAGACATAGTTTTGCCATGTTGCCCAGGCTGGTCTCGAACTCCTGAGCTCAAGTGATCTGCCTGCCTCAGCCTCCCAAAGTGTTGGGATTACAGGCGTAAGCCTCCTCTCCCAGCCTCTGCTTCTTTTTCATTGAATCCCCTGCAGCACCACCACGTGCTCTGCTCTCAGTGCCAGCTCCTTGTTATTCCAGAGCAACTTCAGAGTAATGGGAGCTGTCGGAATCTGCCTCACTTTTTCACACTTTGCTACTCTGCCCTGACCCTGAATTCACATAGACCCTTTTCCATTTCTTTCAGCACCAAGAGAGGCAGTGGGGTTGAGGGGAAAGATCTCTGCTTTTGGAGCTAGATGAAACCTGACTCTATCCCTTCTTGGCTGTGTGACCTTGGGAAAGTCATCTGCCTCTCTGAGCCTTAGTGTCTCCTTTATAAAACAGGGATATAACAGTATCAAGATCCAGGATTGTTGGGAGGACTGAATGTTAATTTATGCGCTACTTTAGCATCCTACTGGGCATATAGTTGGTCCCCACAAATGCTGATGCTTTCTATCATTCATTCATTCTCCTCCACAACCTCCCCCCAGCCAGGTCCATGGGTCACTGACTTTGTTCTCTAGTTTTCTAGGTAACGTTTAGAAAGGCAGGGGACACACCAGGTGCAGTGGCTCACGCCTGTAATCCTAAGACTTTGGGAAGCCAAGGTGGGTGGATCACATGAGGTCAGGAGTTTAAGACCAGCCTGGCCAACATGGCAAAACCCAGTCTCTACTAAAAATACAAAAATTAGCTGGGTGTGGTGGTGTGCACCTGTAGTCCCAGCTACTTGGGAGGCTGAGGTGGGAGAATTGCTTGAACCTGGGAGGCAGAGGTTGCAGTGAGCTGGGATTGTACCACTGCACTCCAGCCTGGGCAACAGAGCAGGACTAAGTCTGAAAAAAAAAAAAAGAAAAAAAAAAAAAGAAAGAAAAAAGAAAGGGGACATTGTGGAAAGAACATCTCACCACTTACCCCTCCCATAACCCTGAATAACCTACTTTGCCCCTTTACGAGCCTCTTTCCTTATCTATAAGAAAGGACTATGGGCCAGGCATGGGGGCTTAGGCCTGTAATCCCAGCACTTTTGGAGGCTGAGGCAGGAGGATCGCTTGAGCCCAGGAGTTTGAGATCAGCCCGGGCAACATAGTGAGACCTCATCTCTACAAAAAATTTTTAAAAATTAGCCAGGTATGGTGGTACATGCCTGCAGTCCGAGCTGCTTGGGAGGCTGAGGTTGGAGGATTGCTTGAGCCCAGGAGTTGCGGGCTGTGGTGAGCCATGATCACTCCAGTGCACTCCAGCCTGAGCAAGAGTGAGACCCTGTCTCAAAAAAAAAAAAAAAAATCCTAACATAGGGCTAGAGGGGGAAGAAAAACGTGGCTGAATAATGTTTTAAAATGTTAACTTTTTTCTTCTTTCCTTTCCTTCTTGCCATTATTCCTTTCAAGCAGATATTTGGTTCAGGGGAGGCTGTAAAGAACCCACAAGTCTTTCAGTCTTAGCCTAAGGGGAAGGGGCTTTCAAAGCTGGATGCAGGGTTTTGTTTTGTTTTGTGTTGTGTTGTGTTGTTCTGAGACAGGGTCTTGCCCTGCCACCCAGGCTGGAGTGCAGTGGCACAATCTTGGCTCACTGCAACCTCCATCTCCCAGGTTTAAGCAATTCTCCTGCCTCAGCCTCCCGAGTAGCTGGGATTACAGGCGCCCACGACCATGCCCAGCTAATTTTTGTATTTTTAGTAGAGATGGGTTTCACTGTGTTGGCCAGGATGGTCTCGAACTCCTGACCTCGTGATCCTCCCACCTCGGCCTTCCAAAATGCTGGAATTACAAGCGTGAGCCACCGCGCCCGGCCAATTTTTATATTTTTAGTGGAGACGGGGTTTCACCATGTTGGTCAGGCTGGTCTCAAACCCCTGACCTCAAGTGGTCTGCTCACCTCAGCCTCCCGAAGTGCTGGGATTACAGGTGTGAGCCACTGTGCCTGGCCGAGATGCAGGGTATTGAAAAAGGATAAGGGAGAGGAATGTCTCAGACATAGCTACAGAATCCTGGAGGGGGCATGGGAGAAAGGGAAGAGATTTGAGGCCTAGGACCGGAGGAGCCTGCACAAGGCTTCCTGGGACACCGCCTGGTGCATTCACGGGGATGGACCTCTGGCAGCTTCAACCAAGACCCCCAGGCCTCCAGGTAGCAGGGAAGCCCCTAGATTGCAAGACCTGAATAGTCAGGGTGGATGGACAGCTGAGGTGGAATTCCCCATCCATCACTCCAGGGCCTGAAAGTGAGAAGTCAGGTGATCATACAGAAAAACAAGGCAGCCTTTCTCTCACGCCTGAGTGTATGGACTGAGTTCATACCTGCTACAGGGATGAGCCTTTTCAGGTTCTGTGAGGACTGCTATTAAGATTAGCTGAGATAAGGTATATAAAATACCTGGCACTGGCCTGGGCTATTAATTTTTCCCCTCTTCACAGTGAATTGTCTGTAGCCCTGATGTGGGCCAGTACAGTGGTTAGAGCCCAGGAGTAGAGTTCAAGTTCTAAATCTGGCTCTGCTTCTCACCAGCAAGTGACCTAAACTGTCTGAACTTCAGGCCCCCTTAGCTATAAAAGGATGGGGCAGTTCCCATCCCATGAGATCATCCCTGTCAGGGACAGAGAGGGGGCCCCAGAGGGGTGGGTAGCTCTCCTTCCTGGCCTCCTCTCTGCTCCCCTCCTGGGCTCAGAACTTACCTTCTGTGGTGAGGCTGTCGATGAAGAGGGAGGAGGAGGTAGTGGTGAGGTCTCCATCATAGGGGCTGAAGGAAGTGTCAGGGGAGGCTGAGTCGTGGTCCTCATCCTGGAAGTCCTCGCACATCCTGCCCTCTGCCTGCAGGAGAGAGCCAGTGCTGTGTCTTGAATGCATTTACACCTTTCCCTTCATCCTGAAAGCATCTTCTCTTACAGGGCAATTTATCTGTCAGCTGCTTCAAATCCTTCCTCAAGGAAGGGGCTGAGATGCCAATCTTAAATAAATAGAGCAAATCTGAACGGTCACCAACAGCTAACTTCAAAAGTAGGCGGCTGGACAGGGTTTTTTTAAAGCCCAGACTCAGACTAATAAATAGACTGTGGTAAGTGTATGGCCACAGGGTCTGGAGAGTTGATATTTAAATGCTGGGCCCGTCACCTTCTAGCAGCGAGATGCAGGCCAATTCATTAAACTTCTCTGAGCCCCAGTTTTCCCCTGTGATCGATCAATGGGGGCAATGGCCCCCAGCTTTTGGTTCAGGTTAAATAAGAGCGAGGGTAGGGCAACTCACAGTGACATGCTTGGCACATGCAGCATGCTTGCTTTGCAAGAAGATATAAAGGGAGGGGGCAAAAAAGAGGGCACAGATGAATAGACCCATCTATGTTAGTCTATGGTGTGAGAATAGGATGCTTTCCACCTAGAATCAGTGTTGAGTGTACTGGAAAATTCTTGCAGTGAGAAGGAACCTGGATGGGATTCTAAAGAGGAGATGCCTGGAACCACCCTTCTCACTCCCAGAATGACTGCCTTCCTCAAAAGCCAGAGGACCAGAGGCTTAGCAGGTGCATCATTAAGGTCAGCAGGTGCACAGTCTCCCAGAGGAGCCAGCAGTGGCTGAGGCCATGCCCAACATCCCCTCTGCATGCACCAAAAGAATTCCTTGAGAGCTGCCCACTTAAGGTCAAGGCATCAGAATGCTCGTCTCAGAGACCCACAGAGCCCTCTGAAACCTTCCAAAGTGGGTCTGATTGGCTCAAGGCAGTCTGGAAAACAAATCTTAGATGGAAGGGAGGATATTGCCAAGAGCTAATGCCACCTTGAGAAGAGTTTCCAGGGGCAGGCCCTACTGGCTGCCCTCCTGTTCCCCACCACCTGGCACAGGAGTTGCAGCAGATACTTATGCTTCTCACCTCCTGTGCACAGCCATAGTCCATCCACTCCTGGCGATAGCGGTCAAAGCCACTGGAGCATCTGCAGGAGGACCAAAAGGACAGAGTTATGATGGGATTGACAAAGAAGCCTTCCCCTTTCACTGTTCAGTAACAGCTCTCTGCTGATAGTGAGAAGAGGAGCCAAGGTCCCCAGGCTGAGGTAGTCAGGCACTCCCATTCCCTCTACTTCCCCGGAAGATGAAGGTATTTGTGGCATCCCTGCCTTCCTTCCCACCCAGCTCCCCAGGACCAAGGCCACATCTGCCCATGTGAGTAGGTGTAGGGGCTAGCAGGACTGCATGAGCTCCAGTGATCCTCAAGGTCGCCTTGACTCTGAGCTGCCGTGACACTGCTGAGAATCCAGGCAATTCACATACGTGTTTTCATCCTGGTTGTTGAGGGACCTAAACTTGGGAAAGAGAGTAGGGCTAAAGGTAGGCCTCAGCAGACTTAGTCAACACCTCCCCATGTGATCATTCAAGGGCATTTCTGACGGTCCTGCCAGAGAGGCTGGGAGACAACTGGCTGACAAGGGTCTCCGGAGAGGGCATTGGACAGCTCAGCTGGGCTGGAAGACACCAAGCGCCCCTGTAGGGAAAGGATGGGGGCATGACGATGCACCAGAGAATGTTCTCCATGCATCATTCCCAACTTTTCGTTCTTTACTCTTTGGTGCTAGGGGAACCCACCAAGCCCTACTCAAGCCCAGGGATGTCTGCATGGGAAGAATAACATCATGAACCACCAGTGCCAAGAAGGAATTCTCAGCAGGTTAACTGCACCAGCACCCACTGAGGTTTGGTGAGGCCAAGGGCCAAGGCTTGCCAGGAGCTGTCAGTCTTTCCTTCTGCAGATGCCTCTGGGCTCTGAGCTGCTCCTCCTGCAGCAGGGATGGCTGAACTGAGCCAGCCACACTCTCCTTCTGTCAGGTCCTCTATGCCCACTACTTTGGGGGATGGAGGATTAGGAAGGCTATTGGAGGCTGAGAACTAAAGTTTCTTTTAGGGCTGGGTGTGGTGGCTCATGCCTGTAATCCCAGCGTTTTGAGAGGCTGAGGCAGGAGGATTGCTTGAGCCCAGGAATTTAAGGCTATAGTGAGCTATGATGGCACCACTGCACTCCAGCCTGGGTGACAGAGCAAGACCCTGTCTCTTAAAAAAAAAAAATAGTTTCTTTTAGACTGTGCTAACTGATTCTTTCAAAGATTGAGCCTTTGGTATGGGTTTATGACCCCCATTTCTGGAGCTAATCCTGGAATTAACATTACCCTTAGACTCCAGAGTGGGTCATGGCGGGGCGGGGGCAGGCAGGCATCTGCCGTGAGAGACGAAATTGTTTAAATCCATTCCAGCCCAAGAGCAAGGAGAAAAGCTCTGGGAGGCTGTGAAAGGCAAAGTGGGTGGAGGGGAGGGGAGCAGAGAACCATGCAGGGACTGACTGCAGCTGTTGGCAGAGAGACCATGTCAGCTGGCCCTGCCCTCCGGGTTTTTAGGGACCTAGGTTCAGCTCTCAGTTGCAGCTGAGGCTCCAGAGAGCTTGTAAGAAGGGACAATGTGCAGGAGTGAGCCCAGGCCCATGGGGCGCCTGGGGATGGGATGATTTTCAGCCTGCACCAGCCATGCTCCCCCAGGTGGAGTTTCTCTGTGCTCCTCTTTGCTGACACAACTCCTGCAGATGCACACAGTCAGAGGCCTTGCCCTTCCCCCAGCCTGACCAACCTCCTAATGTTGAGGAGGGCTCAACCCTCATTTAACTCATAGTCTCTGAATTTGGGCATATGCTTTAAATGGGGGTTGTGTTGATGGGAGAGTTTGGCTGTCATCTGACCCATTTTGCAGTTCTCATGGCTCAGCGCTTGTGAAAGCTGAGTCATGTGGTGGCAGCCAGCCCCAGGATCCCAGGGCTCATCTGAGGCCATCTCTCCATTGCTTAGACCATGGTTCTCAAATTTGAAAGTACACAAGAGGGACCACTTCAAAAATCAGATTTCTGGGATCCTGGTTCCAGAGGATCATATTCAGTGGGATGGGGCCCAGGAATCTGCATTTTACAAGCCCTCCAGGTATAAGGAGAGCCTCACAGTCTGCAGACTATTCTGCAACGCTCTGCTCCAGGAAGAACCAACCTGGGGTCTATCCTACATATTCTTTCTGAGGCTCTGTGAGTCTCATGCGAAGGATGCTGAATGCTTTGTAAAAATGCTTCTTGCGGCTGGGCGTGGTGGCTCACGCCTGTAATCCCAGTACTTTGGGAGGCCGAGGCGGGCGGATCATGAGGTCAGGAGATCGAGACTGTCCTGGCTAACACGGTGAAACCTCATCTCTACTAAAAAAAAAAAAAAAAATACAAAAAATTAGCCAGGCGTGGTTGCAGGCGCCTGTAGTCCCAGCTACTCGGGAGGCTTAGGCAGGAGAATGGCCAGAACCCGGGAGGCGGAGCTTGCAGTGAACCGAGATCGCGCCACTGCACTCCAGCCTGGGTGACAGAGCGAGACTCCGTCTCAAAAAAAAAAAAAATGCTTCTTGATATCTTGATAGCCTGGGTGCAGTGGCTCACACCTGTAATCCCAGCATTTTGGGAGGCCGAGGAGGGCAGATCACTTGAACCCAGGAGTTCAAGACCAGCTTGGCCAACAAAGTGAGACCCCATCTCTACAAAATATTAGAAAAATGGCCGGGTGTGGTGGTGTGCACCTGTGGTTTCAACTACAGGGGGGACTGAGGCAGGAGGATTGCTTGAGCCAGGAGGTTGAGGCCACAGTGAGCTGTGATTGCACCACTGCACCCCAGCCTGGATGACAGAGCAAGACCCTGTCTCAAAACAAAACAAAAACTGCTTGAGGAGTTTAAATAACAGTGTGTTTGTTCCCACATCTTCCTGAATCACATGACCCCAGCCCATTTTACAGGGTAAACAATCTGAGGCCCCAAGAGAGTGAATAAAAGCACAGCTGGTGGGAAGAACACCTGGGAGACCTGATGGGCACACCCCATCCCCTCTGGGCCCAGAGCTGTGTCCTGTGTGCTAGGCAGGCTGCCTATAAAGGCGAGAACTTCTACATTTGCAGCAGGATATTGGAAAGGAGCAAAGGAATCCTGGAATTAATGTTACTCTTAGACTCCAGAGTGGGCCATGGTGCAGAGGCAAAGGAAATCACTGGGGCCGGGGCAGTGGCTCACGCCTTTGGGAAGGCCGAGATAGATGGATTACCTGAGGTCAAGAGTTTGAGACAAGCCTGGCCAAACTCTTGGTTTGGTGAAACCCCATCTCTACTAGAAAAATACAAAAAAATTAGCTGGGTGTGGTGGTGTGTGCCTGTAATCCTAGCTACTCAAGAGGCTGAGGCAGGAGAATCGCTTGAACTCAGGAGGTAAAGGTTGCAGTGAGCCAAGATCACACCATTGTACTCCAGCCTGGGCAACAAGAGCAAAACTCTCTCAAAAAAAAAAAAAGCACTGGAAAGGAGCATTGGAAAGGAGCAGCACGACAGCTGCACAGGAACTCAGAGACTATAATTTAGCAATTTTCAAGATTGCCTTAAAAGCCCTTGGAGTTCATAGGACTTCCCACTCTCATGAGAACTCTAGTCCCCAAGGAAATCTTTTTCTTCCCCCTCCTCCTGTCATTTATTTATCTTGGACAGGGAACAGAGCTTGAATGCTGAGTCTAATCTGTGAGGAAATGATTTCAGAACAAGGAGTGGAAGAGGAGATGGATTTAAGAACATTATCACTGAAACTGAATCTCACCCAGAATTTTCTGAGCTTCTAAAAGCAAGCAAACACAGCTTTTTAGCTCTCCCAACTTTCCATGGATGCCTGTAGTCCACACCCCTGGTCTTCAGAAAAATCCCTTGCAGCCCAAGAAAGATCTTGAGGTGGTGTTTTGGGGTCATGGGTCTTTGGACCAGACTTTGTCTCTGAACTGGCAGTTCTCACACTTGTTTGCAGATGAAGCATGATGTTAAAATGCAGCTTCCTGGGTTCTCTCCCAGAGATCCTGATACAGAGGGTCTGGGATGGGTCCCAGGAATCCAGTGTGTTTAACTGGAGCCCAGGGTCTAATGCCCACAGCTGTGGAACACTCCGAGAAGCCCTGTTCCAGGATGAACCCTCTCCTCCTGGGTGTGAGGAGGGAGCCTGAGTAGCTGGAATCCCTAAATGGTCTTCCAGAAGCCCCCAGGCCATGTTCTTGTCCCAAGAGTCAGAGTGGTACTGGCCAGAGATACTCTCATGTTGGCTGACTGTGGGCAGTGAGGCCAGGACGGGGCCATGCCACCCTCTTCCCCTCCACAGTCGGCCAGTGGGAGTCAGCAGGTAACCCTGGGCACAAACCTCTGGAGGACATGGCACCAGCTGCAGTTGAAGGTCAGGTCTGAGGACATGCAGGCGTCACAGCTCCTATGCTGCAGGCAGGCTGCAAGAGAGAAGGCAGTGGCCGCTCAGCACCGAGCCTCTCCTTGGGCTCCAAAGGGTGCAACTCTGAATTCCTGGTATTTACAGAACTATGGAGCCCCTGACTTTGAGGAGACCTTTAAGGTCATTAATGCCACCTCCCTTGGTCCAGTCTAGCCCCAATTCCTAACTTCTTTTTTTAAGGGATGAGGTCTCGCTGTGTTGCCCAGGTTGGTGTGTGATGACCTGATCATGGCTCACTATAGCCTCGAACTTCTGGGTTCAAGTGATCCTCCTGCCTCAGCCTCCCCACCATCTCTTCCTCCCTCCCTACCTACCTTCCTTTTTTCCTTCTTCTGTCCCTCACTCCCTTGTTCCCTGCCTCCCTCGCTTCCTCCCTCCCTAGCTTCCTTCCTTCTCACTAGAAGGTCAGGCCCTAAACTGGGTGCTGGGGATTCAGCAGTGAGACCTAGTCCCTGCCTTCTTAGGGCTTAGACTCATATGGGGACACAGACACTAAACAGATAATCAAAAATCACTACAGAATTAGAACTGTCACGAGGTCTATGACGGCAAATCACAAGGTGCTGTAAGTGTGTACAAAGGAATCTCACCTAGTCGGAGACATTATACTTTCAGGTGTGTATCCCACAGTCAAAGGGTTGAAAGGGATTTTTTAAAGGTCAGAGCATACAAAGTAGCAGGTATGTAGGATGAACAAGGCTAGAATCTACTGTATAACATGAGGACTGTAGGTAATAAAATTGTACTGTATGTGGAGTTCATGCTAAATGAGTAGATTTTAGCTGCTCTTGCCACAAGAACAAAAAATCTAAGGGAACTGTGAGATGATGGATATGTTAACTGCTTCATCATGGTAACCATCTCACTGTCTATATGCATCCCATAGCATCATGCTGTATACCTGAAATATGTACAATAAAAGTTATTGTTTTAAAAGATGCTCTGGTTGCCCCCAGTGCTTGTTGGGGGCACTCACTGCCCACTCCTGATGTTCGGTCCATGGGGAGAAAACAGCTCTCCTGGGAGAGAAGAAGTCAAGGCAGAAAGGTCCCATGTGCAGAGCCGAGAGGGGAACGGCCCAGACGTGATCCCAGCAGCAGCCAGAACTGCTACCAGGCTGCACAGAGTGAAGGGGCTGGAATTAGTACGAATGAAGAGGGAGCGACAGCTGGGGCCCAGCCTGGGCAGGACAGAGCCAGAGAACAGAGAGATTAGTGGGACCAGGTTGCTGGAGGGCGCGTGAACCCTTCTGGCACAGGCCAGGCACAGGAGCAGCAGGGCAGGGGGCGCAGTAGGCACGGGGGCTGGATTTAAGAGCTGTTCACTTGCAATCCAGTGCTACTCACTTGAATGAACCAGATGACCTCTGAGCGGCAAGTAGCTGTCACAAAGCCCGTATATTTGATTGCAAAGAGAGACAGGCACTCACCCAGAACAACTGTGTGCAGAAGGGCTTATCTTATAAGCAACAGAACAGAACACCTTGATAGCCACAAGAAGTGACAACTAACAACAGAAAAATGACCACTCATTTGATCAACATTGCATGTGTTTCTTCCTGTGTGAATTCTCATGTGATCCATTAACTCAGGAGCCAATGTGCATTACATGGAGCCCCAGCAAGATGGCAGCTGGGAACCAGCCCTGGGTGAGTGGGAGAGAGGCTGCATGGGCACAGTGTGGCCACCTTCAGTCACTCTGGGAGGGACTGGCAGTGGGTGGCACTGTGTCCTTTTGTCTGCCGTGGTGTTGAAGGCCCTGGGAGAGTGGATGGAAAGAGCCATGGGCAGGAAAGAAGCAGGGGCTGCCCTGTGCAGGAGGATGAGCACTCTCTGGCTGTTTTGTTCCCTGTGTATCCAGAGGGTCTGGAACAGTGCCTGGCACATGGTATGTCGAATCAATATATAAGTGCTCTTGTTATCCCCATTTTATGGAGGAGGGAACTGAGGCTTGGAGAGAGTCGTGGAGCTGACAGTGAGAGGTCTGGGTTTGAACCAAGGTCTGTTTGAACATAGAGATCGAGCTCTTAGCCTTGAGGTCTCACTGTGGGTTTCCCCTGCCCCTTCCTCAGCTCTCACTCCCACCCCAGGCCACTTTTTTATGGGTCTCTCCTAGAAGAGGGACCAGGAGGGACCAGCTACAGAATACGATGGCTTGGAGATAAGCCACTCACCCCTCTGAAGTAATCTGGACAAGTCCTTCCCACACCCAAATGGTAAGGGAGAAGCCAGGGGATACAGAGAGTTTTCTCCCTATCTGGTTTCCCAGGGGCTCAAATCACAGCCTTGATAGCATTACCCCTCCTTCACCAGCTGCTTCCAGGTGGGAGCCCTGCCCTTGCCTTTCCCAGTGACTTTGGAGGCCCCTTAAAAGACTCCAGTCAAACTGGCCACAGAGAAACTCCTGGGATCCTCCTGGGGTATTCATAACACCTACTGACCTTTATTTCTCATCAACATTTCAGATGGCCTGAATGCTATTAAATGCTCACAAAATTCACCGGAGGGGTGAGAAGTACCTTAAATGTACAGTGTCCCAGAAATGCATTCCCAAAACATTTCACTGCTTCCACCCAGGCAGTCAGCCCTGCCCTTGGATGTCCTTGCTCCTAAATGCAGTTTTATCCACATCATAGAGGCTAAGGTTTGCTCTCACCAGTCCTCGAGGAACCCTGGTTCTCAGGCCCTGAGCCTTCTGCCCCGATGGAGAGTGATAGGGTTGGGGTATGGCTGTGACCTCTAAAGTGTCCCAGCCCTGTGACCCCTAAAGTGTCCCAGCCCTGTGACCCCCTGGTGTCTGAGTCCTTTCTGTTGTCCAGGGAAAGACACCTGCTGAGCCCTGTCTGAGACATGGCCTAGCATTTGAGAAGATCCTCCCTCCTTCTCTTCCTCTTCCTTCTCCACCCCCTGCTCTCAGGACCTCCAAGGAAGAGGAAGCAGGGGTAAAGAGAGGCAAGAAATGCCACTGAAGACCGGGCATGGTGGCTCATGCCTGTAATTCCAACACTGGACATGGTGGCTCACGCCTGAAATCCCAGCACCAGGCGTGGTGGCTCACACCTGTAATCCCAGCACTTTGGGAGGCCGAGGTGGGTGGATCACTTGAGGTCAGGAGTTCAAAACCAGCCTGGCCGACAGAGTGAAACCCTATTTCTATTAAAAATACAAAAATTAGCCGGGCATGGTGGCGGGTGCCTGTAATCCCAGCTACTTGGGAGGCTGAGGCAGGAGAATCACGTGAACCTGGGAGATAGAGATTGCAGTGAGCCGAGATCACACCACTGCACTCTAGCCTGGGCAACAGAGTGAGACTGTCTCAAAAAAAAAAAAAAAAAAAAAGAAGAAGAAAAAGAAGAAATGCCACTGAGGCAGGGAGAAGGCCATGGCTTCAGCAGGAAGCTGGGGGCACCACAAGATGGGAGAGGAAATGAAGACCTTCATAAAACAACAAGAAGGAAGATGCTGTACTCCTTCCCGCAGTCTCAGCTGTCCCAGCCCCATCCCGAAGAGCATCCACCGCGGATCCTGTGGGCTCCACAACAGCAGGTGGCTGCCTTCAGCATGGGTGAGTGGGGTGCAGAGGGCCAGGGTCCCATGGTTTATGGAGGCCACCTGCTAAGTCCCTCCATTGCCTCCTGCCTGTGGACCGCAGCATCACCTCCTCTAAGGAGAATACAGTGACAAACTGAGGCCCGTCTAGTTCCTGGATCACCTTTTCTGGGGGCTCAGTCTAGGCGTTCTCAGAGGTACAGCTTTCCCGGGTTTCAATTATGTGGGAATAACAATAGCTGTCCTAGATCAAGCCCTAACCCCCACCCCAAACCCAGAATGGACCCATCAATGTCAGAGCTGCGGCCGATGTGCTCAACTCCACCTAGGTGGTTCTCACCCTTACCCTATCTCTGGGAGGGAGGTGGCATCAGGCTCGGGTTACAAAAGAGAGATGGAGGGCCCCGAAAAGTTAGGTGGCTGCACAAAACAGGAGTCAGTCATGGGCCTGGGACATGAAGCCAGTCTGCTTGACTCCAGAGCTCTTTCTGGGATGGCGGAATGACCCCTACTCACTCGGCAATGGGGTGAACTCCACGGCCGACATGCTGGTGACCTTGCTGGGGTCCAGCTCTATGCGGTGATATTCAAAGATGCTCCTTCGCCGAGATTCTGAAACAGAGGCAGAGCCTGTTGTCAGGAGCATATCACAGGCAGAGGGCATCGAGGCCTCTTCCCGGACAGTCTGACAGGTCAGCCTGCTGCACTGAAGGCAGTAAGTGCACCCAGCAGCCTGGGACAATGATGTTGGCGCTGCTGGAGACAGGGACAGGTGCGGACCTGGAGAGGAGAGTGTTGTGGTGTGAGGCTAAGTGACTCAACGCAGAGACCTGGCTGCTCTTGGGGGCAGGACAAATGGGATCCCATGCTTGCTTCTCCTTGCCTCTGCGCCTTCACAACTGCTATTCCCCTGACCCAAGATGTTCTTCCACCCCTTCTTCCTGTCTAGCTCATCCTTGCAGATCTAGCTCAAGGGCCACTTCCCCTGAGCAGCCCTCCTTGGCCAGCTCCCTCCTCTGCCTGGCTCAGGCCAGGTGCCCCCCTCCCACTGCACTCACCACACTGTGGACATGAGGGTCTATTTGGAGGCTGGGGATGTGTGAGACCATGATCATCTGGTCCTGAACCTCGCTGAGTGCTCTGTGAATGTCTGCAGATGGACAGGCTGACTTTTGCATGTTGCTGTCCACCATCCACCTCACCCCTCCTGGACAAATCCCCCAGCAAGGCTCAGGGCTTGCAGCCAGGCTCGAGTCCTACTTTGGTCCCTGCAGAAACTTCTCACAGGACCTCAGAGTCAGGAGATCCAAGTTCGTTCTAGTTCTGCTCACGACTTGCTGGATAACCTCAGGCAAGTCATTTGGACCTCAGTTTCTTGTCTGTGGAGTGGAAAGACAGAAACACCTACCACAACACCCTTGGGAGGAAAAAGCTGGAACTGTACATGAAAGGCTTCTTTTTTAAAATGACAATCTGAGGTGCTCTGATACTTCTCTCTAGGCCACGATACCCACCCAGGAACCATGACTTGGGGTTGGTTTTCTTCAATTTTGAAAGGCAGGCAGCCCAGCCAGGCATGGTGGCTCATGCCTGTAATCCCAGCACTTTGGGAGGCCGAGGCAGGTGGATCACTTGAGGTCAGGAGTTCGAGACCAGCCTGGCCAACAGGGTTTTTAGTAGAAACCCTGTCTCTACTAAAAATACAAAAATTAGCTGGGTGTGGTGGTACACGCCTGTAATCCCAGCTACTTGAGAGGCTGAGGCAGGAGAATCGCTTGAACCTGGGAGGCAGAGGTTGCAGTCAGCTGAGATTGTGCCACTGCACTCCAGCCTGGGTGACAAGAGCAAGACTGAAAAAAAAAAAAAAAAAAAAAGAGAGAGAGAGAAAAAGAAAGAAAGAAAGAAAGAGAAAAAGAATAGAAAGAAAAGAAAGAACGGAAAGAAAGAAAAGAAAGAAAAAAGAATAAGAAGCAGACAGCCAGGAATTGAGCTTTGAGAATGAGTTACCCCACAAGAGGAAAGAACCACTCAGTGTTTGGTCCGCCCAACACCCTTTCGTCTTCTGGAAACAGCAGCATTCCCCTTGGGGTACTGTGCCTGGCCCATTCCTACAGGTGGGCTGAACCACAGCTGCCATCTTCTTCCATGATCCTGCCTCTCTGGCCACGCTGTGATTGTTCCAGGCCTGGGTATCGGCTGTGAGCTGGACCAATCAGAGACCTCCCCTGGGACTTTTCAACTGTAACCAAGAGGCCTTTTGCTGTCTGGTAATGAAGCTGAGAAGATGCAGGCTCAGAACCTGTGAATGGCCACAGTACCGGGCTCATGGGGAAAGGCAGAGAATGAAGCCACCTCATGGAGAGAAACAGGAAGTGCTGGTATGTTCTGGGCCCTGGGGTTCCAGGACCTGCCCCACTATTCAGCTCTTCTTTTGGTTCTTTGGGCTACTTCAGTATCCTCCGTGCACCCCCCTTTTCCATTTAAGCGAGTTTGAATTGGGTTTTCGTCACTAGAAGTAGGTGGGGACATACGTTTCTCGCTCGGCTGAAGGTGGTTTGGAGGAAAATTTCCCAAGGTGGCAGAAGAGCTGAGTAGGGGCATCCACAAAGGGGTGGGCGTCCCGTGCCACTGCTGGGTGCCCCACCCCCACATCCCCTCCTATGTAAGGAACCTAGAGGAGCTTTGTCCATGGTTCACATAGTATCTCATTATTTATTTACTTATTGAGACTGAGTCTCGCTCTGTCACCCAGGCTGGAGTGCAGTGGGATGATCTCGGCTCACTGCAACCTCTGCCTCCCAGGTTCAAGCAATTCTCCTGCCTCAGCCTCCCGAGTAGCTGGGATTACAGGTGCCCACCACCACACCTGGCTAATATTTTGTATTTTTGGTAGAGAGGGGGTTTCACCATATTGGCCAGGCTGGTCCCAAACTCCTGACCTCAGGTGATATGCCTGCCTGAGACCCCCAAAATGCTGGGATTACAGGTGTGAGCCACCATGCCTGGCCTGTATCTCATTATTTATTTATCCTTAACGTTGGAATTAGTCCCTCCTACTTAACCCAGGACTGCGCCCCCGTGGGTCTGGCACCAAAGCATGCTCTCTTCCCAACACAATGCCCTGCTGCAGGACACTTCAGCCCCTGAAACATTCAAGACCTTGGAATGTCATTCCATGCAGTGAAAAGAAGACTACTCTGGCATTGGTGTCAATAAAGATTCCCTGGAGCTGAGCAGCATCTACATCCCTGAGGCCTGTCTGAAATGCTGGTGCCCCCCACTCCCATGCCACTAGGAGGGTGCACCTGCTACCCACAGGCCAGATGCTGCTCCAGGCCGAGTGGAAAGGGGAAAGCAGATGGGGGCACTGATGAGAGCATGGAGGAAAAGAAGCTCGGCCCCCGGAGGGTGACCACACAAGGAGAGGAGGCTTAGGGTTGCCGCAGCTGGGCAGACAGGCTCTGCCCTTACCGCCTGTGTGACCTTGGACAAGGGACTCAGTGAGCCGCATCCACACATGGGGCTGGTGATGCCATGCAAATGGTGTTGTCCTGAGAATTAAGGGAGACACTCAACGCACAAGGACCCCAGGAGCCCTCGAAGCATGTGAGCCCCTTTTCTCTCTGCCCCGACTGCTTTTTTGCTGTTCTTCTCATGGCTGAGACTCTAGGGCATTTTCAGCCTCTTCTAACCCCTCAAAGTCCACCTTAAGCAATGTTTATAAACTTGAACATGAGGAGGAAGGATGGCACGCATTGCTTTCTCTTTCCTGTCCTTACTCTGTCTTTCTCCCTCTGTCTCTCTCTCTCTAGGACGGCATATTTCTTGTCAGCAAGTCTGATGGGTCCCCCAGTTCCCCGCTGCTGTGGAGAGAGAGGAGGCCCACAGAGGCGGCCTGACCGCGGTACTGTGCTGGCACTCCAGACGCCCTGTTCCCACCCGTCATCCTGCAGGCCTCTCCTCTCTTCTGCTGCCCCCACAGTCCAGGCTGCCTGCTTCTCCTGCTGTGGATGCCACTGCCCCCACCCTAGCTTCCCCTTGTTTCTTCCTGATTACTGTTTCTTGCTTTTGCCACCACTGGAGAATGAGGTCATGGGAGCAGTGGGGGACGGCAGTGCTCAGGTGGTGAATGGACTGGGGACCCTGGAGACTGAGGTGAATTTCCCACGCCCCCTCTGAGGGCTGCTCAGAGAGTACTTATCTTGGAATCCATCTCCCCGCAACACACACCCACTGACTCCCATGGGGAGAGGCAGTGGAGAGGACTTTAGCCTTGGTCTTCCTTTCCTACCAGGAGGATGACAGCTCCAGCCCTGCAGCTCCTTCCTTCGCCCGACTCCTGCACTGGAGCCGGATGGTTTAGAATGAGATCCAGGCCTCCTCCCACGTCTCCCTCCCTTCCTTCCATCCCAGGCAGATCAGGGAACTTGCTCCTCCTCAGGAAAGCAGCTGGACAGAGTGGGTGGGATGAGGAGTCCAGGTGGTCCCCAAGGCGAGCACTGCGCAGGTGTGGGCTTTATGAGAGAGGAGATGAGCTACAGCTGCAGAGACTCAGACATATCAGGTTGAGAGAGCAAGGGAGTTAAGAAGTCAAGTTGGCTGTACACCTGTAATCTCAGCATTTTGGGAGGCCGAGGTAGGTGGATCACTTGAGGTCAGGAGTTTGCAACCAGTCTGGCCAACATGGTGAAACCCCGTCTCTACTAAAAATTTAAAAAATTAGCCAGGCGTGGTGGTGAGCACCTGTAATCCCAGCTACTTGGGAGGCTAAGGCGGGAGAATTGCTTGAACCCGGGAGGTGGAGGCTGCAGTGAGCTGAGACTGCACCACTGCACTCCAGCCTGGGCAACAGAGTGAGACTCTATCTCAAAAAAAAAAAAAAAAAAAAAAAATCAAGTTGTCTTGCCATTCATTCATAAGTGGGGAAACTGAGGTTCAGACAGATTAACCCATAGACAGATACAACTTTGTATAGCACTTTACTTTTTCATTTATTTATTTATTTAGAGACAGGGTCTCGCTCTGTCACCCAGGCTGGAGTGTAATGGCGCAATCACAGTTCACTGCAGCCTTGACCTCCCAGGCTCAGTAATCCTGCCTCAGCCTCCCAAGTAGCTGGTATTACAGGCACACCCCATCATGCCTGGCTAATTTTTGTATTTTTAGTAGAGATGGGTCTCCCTGTACTACCCAGGCTGGTCTCCAACTCCCGGGCTCAAGCAATCTGCCTGCCTCAGCCTCCCAAAGCGCTGAGGTTCTAGACATGAGCCACCACACAGGCCACATCTCTTTACAATTTACCAAGCCTAGCCATTAAGTAGACGGAAAACATCTACTTAAACGAGAAAACTACAAGAGCACAGCGCCACCATGCAGCACATTTGTTGACTCCTTCAGCATGTCGGTGCAGACACCTGCTCTGTGCAGGGGCTGTGCTGAGTGCAGAGCACTCTGTTAGCTCGCAGCCTTGCAGGTTCCCTGGAGCTGCACCATCTCATTTCCCCTTACAACTTCCTGAGGTGCACAGACAGACATCGCTGCTCTCCCCACTTTACAAAGGAGAAAAGTGAGATCGGAGAGGGGACGTTATTTGCCCAAAGCCACACAGTCTTTGTTTTAAAATCAGAGGCTAGACTTTTAAAAAACCTCAGGGCTGGAAGCCACTGTGGCTCCAGAAAGTCACCAAAGTTGTGAGTGCAGATAAATATTTAACAACTGCCTGGGGGCTGGGGTGCAGGTAGGGGCAGAGGAGTCCTGAATTGCCGTTGTTGCCAATTTCTGTGGTGTAAATACTTCCACGGTAGCTGACTTCCAGCTACCCTTTCAAAAAAGTTACTGAACATGGAGTTAGGAAGAGACATGTTCAGTTGCCTCTCACCCAGCTGCATACATGATCTCCAGCACACCCCTGCTGAGAGCTTCCTGATTTGTGTTTCTAAAAGAGTCAAAGGGAAACATTTACATTTCTTTCTTTTTTGTTTTGTTTTGTTTTGTTCGAGACAGGGTCTCACTCTGTTGCCAGGCTGGAGTGCCGTGGTGCAATCACGGCTCACTGCAGCCTTGGCTTCGTGGGCTCAAGTGATTCTCCCACTTCAGTCCCTGCCCCCAGCTCCACCTCCCCCACCAAAGGCTCATGCCCTGGTAATTTTTTTTTATTCTTTGGTAGAGACAGGGTCTCCCTATGTTGCCCAGGCTGGTCCCAAACTCCTGGCCTCAAGCAATCCTCCCGCCTCCAATTCCCAAAGTGCTGGGGTTACAGGCGCGAGCCACTGCGTCAGGCCACATCTCTTTACAATTTACCGAGCCCAGTTGTTTATTTAAAAATAAAAACATTTATTTAAAAATTACGGGCACAGTGGCTCATGCCTGTAATCCCAGCACTTTGGGAGGTCAAAGTGGGCGGGTCACCTGAAGTCAGGAGTTTGAGACCAGCCTGGCCAACATGGTGAAACCTCATCTCTATAAAAATACAAAAATTAGCCAGGCATGGTGGCACGCGCCTGTAATCCCAGCTACCCGGGTGGCTGAGGTAGGGGAATCGCTGGAACCCGGGAGGCAGAGGCTGCAGTGAGCCGAAATTGCACTATTGCACTCCGGCCTGGGCGACAGAGAAAGACTCCGTCTTAAAATATATATATATATATATAAAATTAAGCCAAAATCCAAAAGATGGAATGACTGTGTGTTTGTCTCCTAAAGAACCCTAAGTCTGAGAGAGGAGGCCCCGTGGCAAGCCTCGTAAATATCAGGCAGTAACTGCCGGGTGTCTACAGAGTCACTGTGGCTCTAAGAGGAGGGAACCCTCCATGGAAAGCTGAGGTGGCGAGGGGTTCACAGAGCCCCGCACACGCATGTGCACACCCCAGCCCTCCAAGACACACACACACCTGCACATGAGCACATACTCATATGCACACACATATGCAACCCTTTGACACAAGAAAGACCCTTTGCCAAGCCCGAGTGGGATCTGACAGAGATTGGAGGATGGGCACCTTTTTGTAATTCACATGCCCAGAGGTGGCACCAAGGCCACCTGTGCTGCAGGTGCCCCTGAGTGATGCCAATGGCCATGAGAAGGTGGCCTGGGCTCTGAGTAAGCCTGGGGGCCTGGGAATATCTAGATGAGGATGGAAAGTTTGAAGCAGACTTTCACACACCATCCCCACTCATTACTCCCAGGGGCCATCTCTCCTTCCCCTTCAGCACCAAAACGCAATGGGATCAAAAATAAACATGAAACTCCAAGTCTCCCATGTCCTGACTTCCAGGGTGCCTGAGGCCATAGGTTCTAGAGTCCAATGTCAACCTTTCTTGCTTCAACTGCCTCATACTTCAAGACTCAGCTCAAATGACGTCCCCTCCTTGAAGACTTCCCCCACTCTCAGGCAAAGTGACTGCCCCCCGACCCGGCCCCACTCTGAGTCTACAACTCCCTGAGCAATGTCCAGTGTCCCCCATTACATCGCTTGGTCAATATCTGCTCTCCTGGCCACTCCCGCAGCCAGACCACAAGCTCCGCTAAGACAGAGTCTGCATGGAATTTATCTCTGTACCTCATCCCCTAGCACCAGGCCTTGCACTTAACAGGACCTTAAGAAATGACTGTGAGTGAATGAATGGGTTACAAATAGTCATGAAAACCTCAGCAACTTATAACGTCAGCCCACAGCCCAAAGGAAGCACGCCCTCCCTCCCCAGCCCACCACAAATTACTGCCATTCTCAAAAGGACAACCCTGAAAGACCACAGTAAACCAGACATGCCGCCTCCTAAGCTAGATCTCAAAGCGGGAGGAGAGCTGGCTTTCAGGATTTCTCCACCTGCAAGGCTGCAGGGCAGAGCTTTCCCTCATCAGAAGGAAGGGGAAATGGGAGGGACAAAGGGACTCAGGGTGGGGCACAGATAGAGACTCAGACTTTTCAAGGGAACTGAGTTCGAGGATAGAGACACAAGTGGCAGCCAGGGAAGCCAAGTCTCCTAGAAACTTCACACCAGGCTCTAGGGATGGGTTTCCCCACCATCCGGGCTGGGGGGCAGAGTTGGGGATGTGCCCCAAGCATGGGTGCAGCCAGGGATGCCAGCTGTCCTCTGAAAATACAGTCCTTCCAGCGGAGTGGGGGAGGCTGAGTGGTGGCAGAAAGGGGGATGAGGGTGGGGGGTGGAACTATATCTCTAATTGAAACTATTTGCTCACTTCAACTGCCAGCTTGTACTTGTTCGAGTGTGGGTTTGGTAATATTTTTATTTTTTTAATAAAAGAATCCTTACGCCCCGCCCCCCCCCCCCAACCCCCCAAGCCTGGGTTATTTGTTTTGGATTGTTTCACCAACATCTGGAGCTTGCCCAAGACAATGACTTCCATCTCCATGACCAACAGATCCTTTCTGGAACCAAGACGCAGGCTTCCCCAGAGCACCATTTCTGGCAGTTTAAGGTGTTCTGTTTTATCTCTGCTTCCAGGCATCAAAGATTCAGAAATACTCAGGTCCAGACTTGGCAAACACTGCTGCCCAAACAAGAAATGTTTTTGTTTTTTGTCTTTTTTTTTTGGCGGGGGGGTTGTTTTTGTTTTGTTTTGTTTTTGTTTTTGAGACAGGGTCTTGCTCTGTCGCCCAGGCTGGAGTGCAGTGGCACAATCTCAGCTCACTGCAGCCTCCACCTCCCGGGTTCAAGCAATTCTCCTGCCTCAGCCTCCCGAGGAGCTGGGATTACAGGTGCCTGCCACCACACCTGGCTGATTTCTGTATTTTTAGTACAGATGGGGTTTCACCATCTTGGCCAGGCTGGTCTCAAACTCCTGGCCTCAAACGATCCACCCGCCTCGGCCTCTCAAAGTGCTGGGATTACAGGCGTAGCCACCATGCCTGGCCCCAAACAAGTAATGTTAATGGTTCAAGTGAGAGGTTTGCATGTCCCTTTGTGTTTCAATGCCAGATGCCCATGGGAGAGTGCTGGCTTGGCCAGAAGAAGTTAGGAGATGACAGGTCGATCCACAAACTCCCACCTGGAATGGGTGGTTACCGTATAAAAAAATCTAAGAGGTTGGGTTGGGAAAAAGTCTTCATGCATTCTTTTGTTCCTTGGCTCATGTGATTATTCATTCAATAATCACGAGTGGAGCCCCAGCAGGGGACCCTGCCCCACGGGGGAGAAGTAGGGGGGTCCCTCAGCATTGAAGCAAAGCAGAAAAAGGCAGAGAAAGAAGAGGCCAGAAATGACTCAGGGAGCAGAGTAGTGGGAAAAACAGAAGTGAGAAGGGAAAAGAGGGAAGGATGGGCCCCCAGATGGATTAAAAACTTCCAACGAAGGGCACTTTAAAGGATCCTTTATCAGAAAAGGCAAAATTGGCCAGATCCTCAGCTTCTCCCTGCACCCACTTCCTCACGTGGCTGCCCCTAGATCCCTTCTGTAGCCTGCTCTGGGACCCACCCCTCCCTTACCTGCAGCCTGGCAGGAAGGTACACACAGCTCAGGCCCTGACATATATCTGGACTCAAGTCTGCCTCGGAAAGGACAGGAAAGTTCCGGTAAAGGAGGAGGACCAGCATGTTGGGGCCGTCCAAGGCCATTCGGGGCCAGCCAAGGGGCAGGCTACATTCTGGAGCTCTTTGTAAGAAAATCCTCACTAACTGATCCCACTAATTCAGAATCCCTGTCAGTTTCGATGTTGGCAATGCTAAAGTTGCTTTTATACTAACCATGAAATAAAGAGTTTCTTAAGCAAATGAACAGAGGAAATAATATTGACTTCCGGCGGTCTCCCCAGCCACATAGCGGATACACTGTCCTGTGTGTTTTGAGTGCCTCTGCAAACAGATGCTGCTAATTGCACATGACTTTTCTTTTCACCAAAGATGCTTTGCAGACTCTGCTGAAAAGCCTGCGGAAGAGTTTATACGAGGAAGTACTGGTAAGAACTCTTGTGGTTTTCAGCCTCTTCTACCCTCTCCCCCAGGAGTGAGGCTGTGAGGAGTCCTCCCCATTGCACCTCCCATCCCCTTGCCTAGCAGGGGTGGGGAGGAAAGTGTTTAGAACCTGGGGGAGGAGAGTTTTCCCCAGACAGGGTTCAGTGGCTGGGGATTCCTAAATAGTGAGGAATCAAACTCCCCTCCTCACACTGCCCCAGGCAGGGAGCAGTCAAACCTGGGCACAAGGACAGTGACGCCACCCATTCTGTATGATCAGGTGGGCTTGGTCAATAGGATTATCCATGGTGATCATAGGGTCTGCAGACCAGATGGCTCTTCCTGAACTTCTGTTTCCTTTAAGCCATGATCATTTGGGGTTTACTATTACCTGCAGCTCAACCTAATCCAAACAAATTCCCTGCTTGCCGGATTGAATGTGAGACCCAAAGTCATCTGACCCCTTAGCCACATAAAAGCCATTTCTCCCCAGGAGCAGAGGCTGTGGCCCATTTTAAACCCCAATGAGGGCCATGGATACTGTCCCAGAAAAACGCATGGATGTGAACATGTTCCACTTGCATTTCAATACTCCACATACAGGCCTTACACGGTGGCTCACATCTGTAATCCAGTGCTTTGGGAGGCCAAAGCCAGAGCATGGCTTGAGCGTAAGAATTCAATACCACCCTATTTTATTATTTGTCTTTACAAATAATAAATAAATAAATAAATAAATAAATAAATAAATAAATAAGCTGGGCATGGTGGTACACATCTATAGTCTCAGCTACTCAGGAGGCTGAGGCAGGAGGATCGCTTAAGCCCAGAAAGTTGAGGTTGCAGTGAGCTATGATTGTGCTACTGCACTTCGGCCTGAGCGACAGAGCAAGACCCTGTCTATAAAAAAAAAAAAAAAAAAAAGGCCAGGTGCAACGGCTCACGCCTGTAATCCCGGCACTTTGGGAGGCCAAGGTGGGCGGATCACCTGAGGTCAGAGTTCAGGACCAGCCTGGCCAACATGGTGAAACCCCGTCTCTGCTAAAAAATACAAAAATTAGTCAGGCGTGGTGGCGGGCACCTATAATCACAGCTACTCCGGAGGCTGAGGCAGGAGAATTGCTTGAACCCAGGAGGTGGAGGTTGCAGTGAGCCGAGATTGCGCCATTGCACTCCAGCCTGGGCAACAAGAGTGAAACTCCATCTCAAAAAAAAAAAAAAAAAAAAAAAAAATCCGTATACAATTTTAAGATTCCCAGACTTCCTGAATTTTATGCTTGTTCCCGTAAGCTAAAAACCTCTGACAAAAAGGGATGCAATTTCCAAAACACTCAACTCCCAAACTCAAGTGGTGTCAGACCCCTGTTCTCACCTAGAGTCACAATAGAGCAGAGGACAAGGTCTATGCTATGTCCATTCCCTTCAGCGGTGCCCTAACCCCAGCAACTAGGTCCACTTTCTTGTAGTTACTCATTTTCTAAAAATGTTAGTGCCTGCCCACTGGGCTCACTGCTGGGGGCCATAGAGAGCCCCCAAGGAATTCACACCTAGCTGGGGAGGACAATAAGTTCTATGTTAAGAGTATCAGCATTTGTTCTCGCCACCACTAGAAAGAAAAGAAGAAGAAGAAAAAAGTATCAGCGAAGTGCCGGGGGGAAGAAGAGGAAGCCGTGAATTCCACTGCATGGCGGAGTGGTTACTTGCACAGCATCTGACCTGGGCCGCTGGAGAGGGAGAATGGTGCCAAGCAGTAAAAAAGATTGGAGTAAGAGGCGTTTTATACAAGGGGACTGTGTCATACCGATGTGGACAGCCCTTAGCATGTTCAGGGAACCCAGGGGACACAGACCAGAGCTCCCCAGGCAGAGGGCGGTGAGCGGAGGGAGGGTTTGGAAATGCGCCTGCGTGGTTGACTGCACCCAGCTGTGCCCGGCCTTGAATGCCACACTGAGGATTTTGACCTGACCTGTGGGCAGCAAGGAGTCAGAGAGTGATGTGATCGGATCTGATGGTGACAAGGAGGAACAGGAGACAGAGGGAAGGAGGACGAGGCTGGGAGCTGCTGGCAGTGTCTGGGGGTCAGGTGCTGGCTTTCACCTGGCAGGTAGACCCAACACCTCAGCACACAGCACCTGGAGTCAGACTCCAACCGCTCCCACCACCGAGATTTCCTCCTGATCCTGCAGAGCAGACATAGCCTCCCTGCTCTTTCAGGTGGGTTGTGCTTCCCCGCCCCCTTCACCCCTCATCTCTCTGGTTTGCTCTAAAGGGGCTTCTCATTCCAGAATCACAGAGGAGCCTCAGAGGCAGATGCTACCGGGGATCTGACCCCCTCTAATTCACCCTCATTCCACAGCTTGATCAGGCACACGTTTCCTGAGACTCTGCCTGGAAGAAGCCCTTGAGGGAGGTGCAGATGAAACAGACACATCCCTGCCCCGACAGTGGGCTCAGTAATGTACATGGGATGCAGGATAGGGAAGGAAATAAGGCACAGACACCAAGAACAGTCCCAAGAAGCAGCCTGGGGAGTTTGCACACCCCACTCTGTGGGTGTTTGGGGGAGCTGAGGAGGAAAAGATTCCCCTGGGTGGAATGGGAGTGGGTCAGTCTAAGAAAGGCTCAGTGGTGGACTCCAGGATTTAAATGGAGAAGATCTGGACTTGAATTCTTCCTTTCATAGCTGTGTGACCAAGGATAAGTCACTCTACCTCTCTGAACATTTGTGTCCTCATTTAGAAAGGGACAAATGTACAAACTCACAATGTTTGGGGAAGATCCAAGACACTGTCCAGCTTAGTGCATGGGAAAGAGGATTATAATCAGTGTGGTAGGCAGACGCTAGCATGGCCCCCAGAGAGCCTCTACGGTGGCTGCCTGGTATCCACACCCAGGTGCAATCCAGTCCCTGAGCGTAGACTGGATCTGTGACTTGGTTCTAGCCAGCGGAATGTGGCAAAAAAGATAGGATGTTACATCTAAAATTAAGCTATAAAAAGACCCTGGTTTGCGTCTTCCTCGCCCTCTGCTTTTGTCTCGCTTGCCTGCTCTGATGGAAGCCAGCTGCCATATCATGGGGAAGTTTACCAGGCAAGGAGCCAAAGAAGGCCTCCTTGGGGAACTGAATCCTGAATTCTGAATCCTGAATCCTGCCAAACCACATGAAAGCTCTGAAGCCGGTCCCAACCCTCCCCACCTGCCACCCCATCACGGGGGTAACTGTGACCCTGGCTAACACTTTTTTTCTTTTTTTTGAGACAGAGTTTCACTCTTTCACCCAGTGAAATCGTGAGTGAGTGGTGTGAGGAGTGAGGTGGTGCGATCTCAGCTCACTGCAAGCTCCGCCCCTCGGGTTCAAGCGATTCTCCTGCCTCAGCCTCCCAAGTAGCTGGGATTATAGGTACCCATCACCACACCCAGCTAACTTTTGTATTTTTAGTAAGGATGGGGTTTCGACATATTGGCCAGGCTGGTCTCAAACTCCTGACCTCAGGAGATCCCCTGCCTTGGCCTCCCAAAGAACTGAGATTATGGGCGTGAGCCA
Source organism: Homo sapiens (assembly GCF_000001405.40). NCBI lineage: Eukaryota > Metazoa > Chordata > Mammalia > Primates > Hominidae > Homo > Homo sapiens. The sequence continues at coordinate 39,100,543 of NC_000017.11, forward strand.
CCGTGCCTGGCCGCTGGCTAACACTTCAGTCGCAGCCTGTGAAAGACCTTGAATGAGAGGTCCTGGCTGAATTGTGCTTTGCTTCCTGATCCATAAAAACTCTGAGATAATATGTTGCAGTTTTAAGCCACTAAATTCTGGAGCAATTTGTTATACAGCTGTAGCTAACTAATGCAACCAGGTGATACGGAGATGATTTAACAACTGGCTCAACACAGGCGTTTACCAACCAGTCAGAGCAGATGCTGCCTGCAGCCATGGAGCCAGGTCCTGGAGCCCAGGCTGTAATACTTGATAGAGGACTGGGAGCGCAGGGGGCTAAGGGGAGGGCAGGAGGGGTCGTGGGAGGTACGAGGGGGCTCAAATCAGCAGCAATTTGCCAACAAGAATGCAAGTATTTCAATATTTTGACAACTGATACAACTGTAGTGGGGTGCACTGACTCTCAGCCCAGGATCTAATATCTAGGGTTGGAAATGGGCCTTAAAGGATAAGGTGATATCCACAGGGCCCCATGGCATGGAGCAAGGGAAGCCACACATTGGAGCTGAAGGAAGAGTTTTCTGCTGTCGCCGCTTGTGTGCAGTTTCAAAGACTGCTCCATACACATATGGCAAAGACAGGAAAACAGCTCTACTAGCTTAAAAACAGTTCCTCGTGTAGCAGCAACATAACAGAGGCACTGAAATATCAGAAACGCGCAGAAGAGTTCAAGGCCGTGTTTGAGAAAGGGAAGGAGGGAGGGACATTCACACGTATCACGTATCGAGTAGGTGCCTGCTGTCTGACAGACACCCTGCCCGGCTTTATATCCAAGTCTAGGCCACTGGGGCACAAAGGCCTCATGAGGAGCCATGTGGTATGGGTGGCAATGAGCCACAGCATCCAGGACAGTTTTGTGGAAGAAAGGAGACAGAGGGCACGGGGCCCTAAAAAGGGAGACGGAGAAGAAGGGAAGGGAGGGTGAGGTGCGAGCCCCACACTTCTGTGGCAGGCTAGGCCTGGGGTACAGCCACCAGCCAACGGGCCCATGGATCAAGACTATAACCCACCCAAATGCTGACCAGGGAGGAGGGATTCCTTATTTGCCGCTTAGCAGTGGGCGCTTTGCCCTCAAGCCACCAGAGCCATTTGCTCCCAGAACCATAAGCCGGGACCACCCTAGTTATGCTGAGAGCTGAATTAGTCCCAAGTAGAAGCAGCAAAAACTTGACCACAAAACTCCTTTCTAGTAGCATATGCAAATCAGATGCCCCTCCACTCCGATGCCCTGCCCTCTGCCATCTCCCTCGATATCATGCAGTGTTGCGTGGGAAGGGTGTCTAGCGGCTGGCCCTACCGAGAGGTGGTATGCTTCGGGGAGCAAGTCTATGCCTGCTTACCAGCTGGGAATGCTGCAGGCAGGCAGATATTGGGAAGAAAGAATAGAAAGGGAGGTTGTAGGAAGGTGGAGGAAGAAGAAGCTGGTGAATTTCTGAAGAGGGGAAAGAACTCCTGGCCTGTTGGGAATTAACCAGGCCCCATTCACCAGCCCCTTGACCCTTGAGTGCCACCCACCCCACCCACAGATCTGCCCAGATGAAGGTGTGGACTGGGGCGAGATGCTTGGTGGGTGCTAACCAGCCTTTACTGGGCACCCCGCCCAAGCCAGGCACAGTGCCTGGTGCTCTGTGCATGGATATCTCAGCTAATCCTCACCACAGCCCTTGAGGTAGCTCGAGGCAACTCATTAGATGGTGACAGCTACAGCCCAGACCTTGCCTTGGGACACACGGCAAGCGAAAGAGTAGGTGACAGGCATGCCCACCTATGAGGAGGGTAAAGTGCCAGAGTCTCCGTGGAACCCACTTTGGCCACAGCTATCAAAATTGTAAATGCCCCTGCCCTTTGACCCAATGATTGGACCACTGAGAATATAGCGTACGGAAATACTCACACGGGGGCATGAAAGTACCTACTGTATTATTTGTTATAGCCCAAGATTTAAAACAACTGAAAAGTCTACCCCCAGGGGACAGGTTAAATTAAGGTCCATCCATGGAATGGACTATCAGGCAGCCATTAAAGAGAAGAATGAGGCAGCTCACTGTGTGCTGAGACAGAACAGTGGGCAGGATGTACTCTGTTCAAGTGCAGAAACACTGACATCGTATGCTATCAAATACACACACACACACACACACACACACACACACACACTCACTCACCTGAAGGCTTGCAGCTCTGGAGATAACCCAGAACACTGGTTTCCCCTCCCTTTGCCTCCAGGGAGGAGAGCTGAGAGATGGCGAACTGAGAGACAGGGTTCAGGGGCAGGTGAAAAACCTAATCTCTGTACATCCTTTTATATCTTTTGCATTTTAGACCAGATACACTTATTCATGAAAAAATATAACTTTATAAATGAAGATAAAGAAATGCATTAGTACTTTGGGAGGCCAAGGAGGGTGGATCACAAGGTCAGGAGATTGAGACCATCCTGGCTAACATGGTGAAACCCCATCTCTACTAAAAATACAAAAATTAGCCAGGCGTGGTGGCAGGTGCCTCTAGTCCCAGCTACTCAGGAGGCTGAGGCAGGAGAATGGCGTGAACCCGGGAGGTGGAGCTTGCAGTGAGCTGAGATCTCATCACTGCACTCCAGCCTGGGCGACACAGCGAGACTCCGTCTCAAAAAAAAAAAAAAGACATGCATTACTAAATAAGCTGGGCTCAGTGACCCAGGCCAGTAATCCCAGCACATTGGGCACTGGGAGGCTTGCAGGGGAGGTTAAGTTGAGCCCAGGAGTTTGAGACCACCCCAGGCAACATGGGAAAACCCTGTCCATCTCTCCAAAAAAAAATTTAAAAATTAGTTGGGCATGGTGGCATGTGCCTGTGGCCCCAGCTTCTTGGGAGGCTGAGGTGGGAGGATGGCTTGAGCCCAAGTGTTTGAGGCCGCAATGAACTATGATGGGGACACTGCGCTCCAGCCTGAGACCCTGTCTCTAATAATAATAATAATAATGAATAGTAATTCATGGCTGGGCGCGGTGGCTGACTCCTGTAATCCCAGCACTTTGGGAGACCGAGGCAGGCAGATCACCTGAGGTCAGGAGTTTGAGACCAGCCTGGACAACATGGTGAAACCCTGTCTTTACTAAAAATACAAAAATCAGCCAGGCGTGGTGGCCGGCGCCTGTAATCCCAGCTACTCAGGAGGCTGAGGCAGGAGAATCACTCGAACCCGGGAGGCAAAGGTTGCAGTGAGCCAAGATCGTGCCACTGCACTCCAGCCTGGGCAACAGAGCGAGACTCTGTCTCAAAAAAAAAAAAAAAAAGAATAGTAATTCATGGAAATGGCAAAAATCTCAAAGAGGGATGTGCAAACAAGTAAAGGTAGGGAAACTCTGCGCCACTATAGCATGTGACTTTTTGTCCCTAGTCACAAAAGCTGCATGAAAGTGTGAAAGTGCTGTGGCGGCATCTGACCTGCGACACCAGCATGAGGACACTGCTTGTTCCTAGTCCTGCACTGTTCGCTACAGAACAAGGTGTCCTGCTGGATTATAAAATGCTGAGTTTTAAAGTCTACTGTAGTGAGATATTCTTATACCGGACTCACAGACCTGATGTGCCAGACATTAGGCCCAACACTTTACATACACTATCGCCTGCGTGTTTGCAGCAGCTGTAGGGGCAAAGTATCACTCTTATCCCTATTTTACAGATAAAGAAATAAACGCAGAGAGGTTGAGTGACTCACCAGAGGTCAGATGCTTGTGGAAAGTGTGGACTCCAGCTCAGGCTTCCAGTTCCAGAGCTGAGCCCCTAACACTCCACTGAACTTTGCATATAGAAGGTACTGGGTAAGGCCTTTTAACTAAGCCCTGGTCCTTTCCTTCAGATTAAAAAAAAAATAGATTAAAGGCCCCATTGTTCCCCAACCCTTAACATTTCTGTTAAAGACAGAGGTTTGGGGTGGGGCATGGGGGCTGACGTCTGTAATCCCAGCACTTTGGGATGCCAAGATGGGAGGATCGTGTGAGTTCAGGAGTTTGAGACAAGCCTGGGAAACATAGCAAGGCCCTGTCTCTACAAAAAATAACAAAATTAGCCAGGCATGGTGGCATGTGCCTGTGGTCCCAGCTACTCGGGAGGCTGAGGTGGGAGGATCACTTGAACCTGGGAGGTGGAGGCTGCAGTGGGTAGAAATTGCACTACTGCATTCATCCTGAATGACAGAGCAAGACTTTGTTTAAAAAAAAAAAGGCTGTGCTCAGATACTGAATGCCTCAAGGGCAGATGCCCTTCCTCTTCACTGTATCTCAACAGTGCCTGGAACATAGTGGCCCAGTGTGTAAGCAGGAACTCAGAACACGTGTACTGATGGAACCGAACAGAAATAGGCAATGATGCCTCCCCCGGGAAGCCCTGATTTCACAGAACGGCGGTACCTTGCCCTTCTACAGGAAGGTGACTTGGGGGCTCCCAAGCGTGTCCTTCCGTCCAGCCTGGCATGGCAAGAGTGGAGTTGAGAATGCCCCCAGGCCCCATCAAAGCCCAGGTGGGGTGGGAAGGGCAGACAAAGGCTCCTCCCCAGACCTCCCGGGGTCCTACATGGCAGAACTTGTGCATACGGCTCAGCAGAAGAGGTCAGGTTAAAAAGTCTCTGAGACAAGGGTCTAGAAGGAGCGGCAGTGCATGGGATGCCTGCCGCGCTCCCCAGGAGTACAAATCCAAGACCCTCGTGAGCACGCAATGGGGGTCGGGAGCAGGGGAGAAAGAGCTATGACCTCCTAAAATGTCAGCACTGGAGGAGGGCCTGGGAGGGAGAAGCACTCCTTCAGCTACTATCCCATTTTGTAGATGAGGCAACTGAGGCTAGAGAGATGATGTGGTTTGCTGAAGGACAGGGAGGTAACAGCATGGCCGAGGCTGGATTCCTGTCTCCTGGCATCCTATGATGCTCCCTTTATCACCTGGAGTGGGAAGGCCACAATGGTTGTATTCTGGGAGGACTCAAACCCCTTACTAGGGCATCTTTGGAGGTTTTCTACATAGAACAGGGGCTGAGTGGAAGGGCTGTGGCTCCCTTTCACCTTAACAACCAGAGCAGTGCCTCCCATTGGAGATTTTGCTGGAGAAAATGGTCCCTCTGCTATAACAAAGAAAAGCTGGAAGTCACTGGGCATCCTTTCCTGCCTGGTTTCCCTCTCAACTCTCTGCCCCTTGTCTACTCCCTGCCACTGCCATCCCCCCAGCAGCTCAGGTTCAGTCTGAGCGGAGTCCTACCCCCATCAAGGCCTCTGCGGGGTCCCTGAAGACTCACCTGGCACATCCGGGGATGGATTGAGAATCATGAAGGCATCCGATAGGCCGGTTTTGACAGGATGCTGGGAGGAGCTGATTTCCGGGACAGACATAGGGATCTGCGGCAGGGAGAAGAGACTCCGTCCACCTCCCAAACGCTCTGGGGCCCACCCAGCCCTCCCCTGTGAGCTCCAGACCCATCTTTCTGGATGGCACCACCTCCTGGAGGACTCCAAGACATTGGAAGCCCAGTGGGACCCCACCCAAATTCCAAGTCCTCTCCACACCACCTCCAAGCACATTTTCTTCTTTCCTCTGTCTCGGTGAATGGCACTCCATGCAGGCCGGAAACCCGGGACATACCCTTTTCCCTTCCCTTTCTTTCATTTCTTCCCTTCCCCATCTAATGCATCTCCGAATTCTGTTGCTTAACCTGCTAAGTGGCTCTCAAATCTGTCTGTTTTCCATTTCCCCTCATCCTACTCTAAGCTGCTGTCACCCTTCTCCTAAATTACTTCCCAGTATTCCCTCTAAGCCCCCAACAACCTGTTCTCCACTCTGAAGCCAGAGTGACTTTTCTCAAGGGCAAATCTGTGGTTCCCTTGCCCTGTCCTGCCCCTCACTCTCTCCCTTCCAACCATGCTGCCTTCTTCTATTTTTTTTTTAATAGAGGTGTGTGTCTCACTATGTTCTCCAGACTGGTCTTGAACTTCTGGGTTAAAGCAATCTTCCCGCCTCAGTCTCCCAAAGCGCTGGGGTTATGAGCCACCACCCTGGCTCATCATGCTGCCTTCTTTTTTCTTTTTTCTTTTTCTTTCTTTTTTTTTTTTTTTGAGACAGATTCTCACTCTGTTGCCCAGGCTGGAGTGCAGTGGCACGATCTCAGCTCACTGCAACCTCCAACTCCTGGGTTCAAGCGATTCTCCTGCCTCAGCCTCCTGAGTAGCTGAGATTACAGGTGCCTGCCACCACGTCCGGCTAAATTTTTTGTATTTTTAGTAGAGATGGGGTTTCATCATGTTGGCCAGGCTGGTCTCGAACTCCTGAGCTCTGATGATCCACCCACCTCAGCCTCCCAAAGTGCTGGGTTTGCAGGTGTGAGCCACCGCACCTGGCCCATGCTGCCTTCTTTCAGTGCTTTGTGCCAGCCGTGCTCTGTCCTGCCTCAGGACTTTTGCATGTGCTGTGTGCTGTTGTCTCTCCTAGAACATACTTCACTCTCCTCTTTGCTTCCTGAACTCGTATTTATCCTTCAGATTTCAACTCTTTTCCTCAGCAAAGCCTCCCCTGGCCTCTGCCAAGGTTAAGAGGTCTGTGAAAGGCTCAGCTAGCACCAGGCACCTCTACTTGGGAGCGCTTGTCACAGTGGTGATTCTACATTTGTCCCTGTAATTATTGTCCACCTCCGCAACCAGACTTACTGCTCCAAAAGGGTAGGACCCGCAAACATCTTGTTAACTGCTGTATTACCAGCAGCAAGCCCCATGCCTGGCACATTGCAAATTCTCTAAATATTTGCTGAATGAAGAAAGGCTCCAAGACCCAGCTGTCTCTGCAGCTGGGCCCACTCACCTCTTTATAGGCAAAGACAATGCGGCCGTCATGGTGCAGAGCTGCCTGGAAGGTGAAACTGCCCTTGTCTTCCCAGCCTTGGAGATAAACGTGGTCCCACTGAACCACAAAGACTGTCCCTGGGGAGAAGAACAGAGACCCGGCTGGACGGGAGATCATGCAAGGAGCAGGGCCCTACAGAAATGCCAGTCGGAGGGCAGCGGCCACAGGTTGGGTCCCTTCGGGATGATGGGGAAGTTTGCAAAGGTAAGGAGGCAGGAGCTGGGCAGCTCACTAAAGCAGCGCGGCTTCCAAGCAGCAGAGGAGCCAGAAGATCCTGCTTCAGCCCCAGATACTGTACTTGATCATCTCTTTCCCTTTCCTTCTTGTCTATTCTGACTCCTTGAGATAAAAGAAGGAGGAATGTCTGTTCTCCTGGATTCAGACGGGGCTCAAGGGACATCCTGGTGAATGTAAGTAACAATAAAGGCCCCTAACATTTATTTTACCTCGACTAAGAGCCAAGCACTGTCGTTTTGTTATCTCATCAGATTCTTCTGGGTAGCAGGCATTTTTGCCCCTATCTGACAGGTCAGGAAACTGAGCAGAGAAAGGTAGGTGGCTGCTTTGCCGTGGGACTGTGGGACCCTTGCCCTCTCTAGGCCCTGTGCTCCTCTAAAGGACTGGACAAGGGATCCCTGGAGCTGGGTGACTTAAATTCTGAGATCCAGTCTCACCATTGTCAAAGTAAACAACTGTGGAGTTGTCGGAGTAGCCAGGGTTGAAGTTGGCCATCAGGGGCGCCACATACTGAGTAGCTGTGAGCATCCGATGGATCACGTCCCCCATGAAGATGAAGCCTAGGGTGGGAGAGGTGCAGAGGAGTCACCAGAAATGGCCCAGAGGGGCCGCTTTGGGGGCCTTTTCCCCAAGGGCAAGAAGGGCAGCGCAGGCAGAGCTGGAAGTGAGCCTGAGACCTCTGTCGCCCATCCCCATCTGGCGGGCTCTGGGTCTGGTGTGTATGGAGCCAAAGGACCCCAGATAGGAGAAGGTCCTCCCTGTCCCTTCAGCAGGGCACAGACTATAGGGCGAGGGGGCAGGAAGAGGAGAGGACTCACAGCTTTCCCCATCCCTGGGGAAGTGGGATGTGGAACTGAAGTGCAGGGATTAAAGACAGGTGCCTCCTATCAACAGGGAGCCTGGCCCCAGGAGCCCAAGCTCTCAGTGGAGTCTCCCTCTCCCTCTTATTCAGCAACTCCGGGACACAGGGCTGTCCACACTGACTCGTGCTGGCCCGAGGAGACACACACGTGCAGGCACATGAGCAGGTCAGCTAATGCAAGGGAGATGCTCTGACGTCCACTGACCCCCCTCCTGAGAATCAGACTCCTATTAGAGCCAAATGTGCCTTCCTCCCATTTCATATAACCCTGTCTCCAGTGAGCCACCCCTGGGAGGGCCCCTGAGTTCGGGCTGAGGTCTCCAGACTCTCCCCGGGGCCCCACGACGTGGCCTTACCTCCAGTTGCTATGGTGATCTGCCGCAGAGGATGCCCGTAGAAAGGGAAATCAAAGGACAAGACCACTCTCTGCAGGGGATGGGAGAAAGTCAGCACGGGCCAAGCTGCAGGCCAGGGGCCTGGGCACCCACACTGCCTCATGCTTGTTTGGACAGAGTGGGGAGCAGGCATGCCCAGGGCCACTGCTGGGCACCCCAACTCTGGCAAAGTCCCATGGGAACCCCTGGAAGGTACCTCCCAGGTCACAGACCTCGGGCCACAGCCATGCCCACTGACCAGGCAGGGTGGTTTGGCCCCCGGCCTCCCAGCACAGGGAAGCATGGCTGGCGACTGGGGCACTCACCGAAGCCTGCCGGTGGGTGTTGGAGAGTATTGTGTGGATCTTCACTTGGCTCCGGTTGGCCTCGGCCACATCTACCCACAGTTCCCGGCTGTGGGGCTCGCTGGGGCCATAGAGACGGGACACATAATAGCTGTGGTTGTCCTCCTGCCGGCACCCAAGATAAAGCCCACAGGAGGTGTGAGTAGTCAGCATGCCAGGACTGACTCTCCGCCCTTCCCCACTCAGATTTCTGGGTACAGGAAGTCACCACCCTCCCAGGGTGCTGGACCTGTGGCCCCAAGGGCTGATTTAGGCCTAGGACCCCCTGGACTCCCCCTTGGCCCCAGACAGCTCACTAGCTGGCCCCTAGTGGTGCCCCAACAGGCCTGGCCACAGCCAAATCCACGCCTGCTGCCCTCATGCTCAGCCCTCCTGTTCCCAGACAAGCCAGGAGGCCGGCAGCCCCTGCATCCCTTCAGACCAGGACCAAGGCTGAGCTTGGCATGGGGCATAAGGGAGGAACAGACAGGATGGCCTCAAACCGGGCCCTTGTTTTCAGGGAGCTCCCAGGCCGAGGGAGAGTCATAGTCCCTGCCCTGGAAGAGTACCCTATTTAATGGAAAAGGAAAATCTGGGCTGGACGCGGTGGCTCGCGCCTGTAATCCCAGCACTTTGGGAGGCCGAGGCGGGCGGATCACGGGAGGTCAGGAGTTCGAGACCAGCCTGGACAAAACAGCGAAACCTCGTCTTTACTAAATATACAAAAATTAGTGTGGCCTGGTGGCACACGCCTGTAATCCCAGCTACTTGGGAGGCTGAGGCACAAGAATCACTTGAACTCGGGAGCCGAGATCGCGCCACTGCACTCCAGCCTGGGCGACAGAGCGAGACTCTGTCTCAAAAGAAGGAGAAAAATCTGGATCTTAGAAGGCACCAGTCTAAAGGAGGAGGCTGCCTCTTGGTCCTGGGGAGTTTCCAGTCTGGAATGGGACTTATATAAACAGAGGAGCAGACACAGACCCTCAAGCAGAGCTAATACAGAACCCAGAGTCCACACAGCATCACCAGGGTGGTGGGAAGGGGAGAGAAGCAGCAAGGATTCCTTCGAGGCATATCTTTGAGCCTTTGCTGTGTGCCTGATGGAGATGAAATAAAGAAGTTAGAATGCTATGGGCTGGGGGTTCATTCTGCAAAGGCTCTCCTGCAGAGGAGCACTTGGGCCAGGGTTCAAAGGAGGCCAGGGAAATGGTTGGCAGAAAGACTTAAGAGCCAGAGAGGGGCGATGTGGAAGCCCTTCCTGGAGCCGACCCAAGAGCACCAGCCGCAGGAGGAATGGAGGCAGGGCAGGCAGGTTCCCTTGGCAGCCACCGCCACAGAGGTGGGGCCGCTGACCTGTGAGGAGCCCTGGGTCATTAATCAGGCTGCCCAGCGGTGGTGGCGGCAGACACAGCAGAGTAAACGACATTCTCCCTGCCAGGCTGCCAGCTGCCCAGCCGGCCCTTGCCCTGGGCGCAGCGTGAGCAGGGACAAGGGGTTCCTGCACTCCTCACCTGCCAGAAGGCACTCTGCTCTTACGATAAGCGACACAATCTGGAGACCTGGGGTTGGGGCAGGCTGGGGGACGATGAGCGGAAGAAGCATGGTTGGTTGGTGTCGGGGGCTATTCCCTCTGCCACTGCCCTCCCTTCCTGCCTCCAGACAGCCCATGCCTCCACCCATCCTCAGCACGGCAGTCAAACCAATCAAAAACACCTTGCTCTGTTCACAGGCTATCCAGGGCTCCCTGAAGACACTGTCCTCGAGACGAAAACCAAAGCTCTTAGGCTGGCATGCAAGATCCCACCATCAGCCAGCCCCAGCCTCTCTCTAGCTCCTTCTCTCTCCTCTCACCACCTTGTGCATCCTTGTGTGCCCACCCCCCAGACCAGACTCCCCTGACAGCCTCAAGCCACCAATGGTCACTCGTGCCACTGCCCACGCTGGTCCTCCTGTCTGGAATGGCCACCCTCGCCTTCTCCCCTTGACAGATTCCTGGTCATTCAACACTCGGCTTAAACTCTGCCTTCTTTTATTGTTGAGACAGAGTCTCGTTCTGTCGCCCAAGCTGGAGTGCCATGGCATGGCCTCGGCTCACTGCAACCTCCGTCTCCCGGGTTCAAGCGATTCTCGTGCCTTAGCCTCCCAAGTAGCTGGGATTACAGGCACACGCCTCCACGCCCAGCAAATTTTTGTATTTTTAGTGGAGACGGGGTTTTACCATGTTGGCCAGGCTGGTCTCAAACTCCTGACCTCAAGTGATCCACCCACCTGGGCCTCCCAAGGTGCTGGGATTACAGGTGTGAGCCACTGCGCCTAGCCAAACCCTGCCTTCTTATCAGCCTTTCACCCCTACCTCCCCAATGAGGACCTCCACCCCCTGCAAGTGGCCTCCACCATCCCTTATTTCAGGGAGTCCTCAAGGGGTGACTCATGTGTACTATTTGCAAGAGTTACATGGGGCCACTCTTGTTGGATTCTTGGTTTTACTCACAAAGCCACCTGGTAGGGGGGCTGCCCTGATGCCACGGCCCCTGGGGTGAGGGCTAAGGATGCTGCTTCCCATTGCTGCCACAGCCACCAGCCCTGGAGTCTCGGGAGGGTACCCAGAGGGGGACGCACTGCTCTCCAGCTCTGCCCACAGGCACTGAAGCCACTGCTTCTGCCCAGAGCTCTTAGCCTCCCTCGGGAAAGCAGCTCCCTCTGTTTCTGCCCCTTTCCCCATCCTCCAGGAGAACTAATGCTTCATGTTTTTCCTTGGTGTCTGTCTCTCCTATTTCCACCCATCTCTGCTGGAGACCCCTATCTCAATTTTTAAAAAAATCACCCATCAAGAAACAAAGCTCCGTGCGTGGCACTCTGTGCAGAGAGATCTGCACAAAGGAAGAGTCCGATGGCCGCCTCCCAGCCTGCTTCCTGGATTCACAGGTGAGCAGTTTTTATTCCACTTCCAAGCAAAAAAAATATAGGGGGCCCTGCCCAACACTGTACATCTGATAGTCTGTAGGACTCCAACTCTGAAGCTGGTTATGGTTCACCTGGGACCACCTGCCACGGCCGTAGCTACAGCCTGCCCTCTTCCCCCCAGTTCAAACAAAAAAGTGGCTTATTAAGAGACATCAGTTAGCCTAAAATTTTGCCTGAAGAAAGGAAACCAAGTTTAGATGCTATTCAGCCCATCTTTTTTTTTCTTTCTTTTTTTTTTTTTTTTTTGAGACGGAGTCTTGCTCTGTCGCCCAGGCTGGAGTGCAGTGGTGCGATCTCAGCTCACTGCAATCTCTACCTCCTGGGTTCAGGCAATTATTATGCCTCAGCCTCCCAAGTAACTGGGATTACAGGTGTGCGCCACCATGCCCAGCCCAGCCCATCATTTAAATGTTTGTTTGCCCCTGAACTACGAGCCCCTGACACGCAGGGATGGGCAAGGTCACCTCTGTGCCTATGGCTCAAGGTCCCTCACTTCCTCCATGCTTAGGAAGTGTTTGCTGGAGGTGGGGGTAGGGGGACTGGTGCTTTGCAATGTGTTAAAATTAGGGAAATAAACCTGCCTCCCTAAATCCTGGGCTATCTTATGATCTGTGGGTGAGGGGAAAACGAGTGGCCCACCTTAGCCCAGCCAGCACCAGATAGCCTTTCCATCCTTTTGCATGCTGTAGTGAGTTTCAACTGTGTTACCCAAAACGATATGTTCAAGTGTGAACCTCTGGTACCTATGAATGTGACTTTATTTGGAAATAGTCTTTGCAGATGAAACAAGTCAAGATGAAGGCAGACCGGATTAGGGTGGGCCCTAAATCCAATGACCGGTGTCTTTATGTAAACGAAGAGGGAGATGTGGATACAGAGTCGCAGAGGAGACACAGGGAGGATCCCTGTCACAATGAAGGCAGAGATTAGAGTGACGCTGTTTACAAACCAAGGACACCAAGGATTTCCAGGAGATCCAGAAGCTAGGACAAGACAAGGAAGGCTCCTTTCCCAGGGCCTTGAGAGGGAGCGTGGCCCTGCTGACACCTTAATTTCAGACTTCTGGCCTCCAGAACTGCAAGTGAATAAATTTCTGTTGTTTTCAGCTACCAAAATTGTGGTAATTTGTTCTGGCAGCCCTAGGAAATGAATATCTGTGCCACAGGTGTGTGTTACTGTGGCCCAGTTGGGACAACCTGAAATTGTTTTCCCTGTTCCACATCATCCCCTTGCTTAGGCCATTCTGTGGCTCCCCAGTTGCACTCAGAACAAAGGTTACGCCCCTTCCGCCATTCCCTTCTCTTCTTTACTAATAGAAAATTGATTTTGGATTGAGCACAGTGGTTCATGCCTGTAATCCTAGCACTTTGAGAGGACGAGGCTGGAGGATCACTTGAGGCCAGGAGTTCAAGACCAGCCTGGGCAACATAGTGAGACCCTGTCTCTACAAAAAATACAATAAAATAAAACAATTCACTGGGTATGGTGGTGCATGCCTGTAGTCCCAGCAACTCAGGAGGCTGAGGCAGGAGGATCCCTTAAGCCCAGGAGGTCGAGGCTGCAGGGAGCTGTGATTGAGCCACTGCACTCAGCCTGAGTGACACAGTGAGACTCTGTCTCAAAAAAAAAAAAAGATTGATTCTGTAGCAACCAGCAATGATGTAGCCATCTAATAAACCTCATTCCCTGGATGTCTTAAGGATTACCATGTGACACAGGCTGGCTCATGACATCAGCTGAAGGTTCTAGTGGAACCTTCTGAAAGAGATCAAATTTGACTGCTTGTCCCTCTTATCTTTGCCCTTCTTCTTCCTGCCTGGAATGCAGACATGATGGCTGGAGTTCCAACAGCCATCTTGTGAGTATAAGGACAAGAGCCACACCCTAAGGATGGTGAAGTGGACAACTAGATGGAGACTTGGTCCCTGATGACATGCTAGAGGGCTGCTTCTTAAGTCCCTGGGTTTAGCTCTCTGTTAAACGGAAACACAAATCCTTCCCCACGTGTGGTGGTCTGGCCCCAACTCAGCACCTCCTCCTCTCCCCTGCTCTCTTGTTCTGGGAATCACCACACAGTTGTCTGCCTCAGGACCTTGGTGCCGCCTGTGCCTCAAAATTTCTTCCCTTCCCTGTTCAGGAGCTGACCCTTCCTCACCTATCCAGCCTCAGCTCAGGAGTCACTTCCTCAAGAAAGCCTCTCTGATTCCCTGTTGCATTCCCATCACACCCTGTGCTTCTTTCTCCTGGTGTTTTGCACACTTGTGACAATTTACTTGGATTTTATACACATCTTCATGTCTGCCTTTCCTGTAAGATCGTAAGACCCCAAGAGTAAGGTCAGCCTTTATTTATCGTGTTTAAGCACAGAGTATGTGTTCAATGGAGGATTTGTTGAGCAAAGAATGACCACAAATTATAGCTGCCTGTTTTACAGGTACCACTACATATTCTGAAGTCCAGGATAGGATCATTTTACCAAACAAAGCAGGACAGCTGCAGATGCTAAACAGGTGCTCTCAGGTAAGTCTCAGAGTCAACTGAATACAGCTTCCACCTGGGAACCTGAGCGGGCCAGTGTTTAAGACGGTTGCTTTGAGGCTCGGAGAAAGGTCTGGTTTCAATCAGCCTGCTTCCTGGGCCCCGCACAGCGAGAGCTTTCCCCAAACCTCCGGGCGTCTGAAATGAGTGCCCGGGACAGAAGCCACGCTCTGCAGTTGTGAAGCCCAAACAGATGCTGACGTGTCTCTTGCCGCCTCAGCTAAGACTGCAAAGCGTGAGCTTCCTGGGAATGCATCTTCCTGGCCCGTTGCTCGGAGTTCTCTGCTTCACAGCAAAGACAAGCAGTCTGATCCAAACTAGTGCTGTTCTGCAGAGAAACCAGGCCCTGTGTCACGTGCCTCAGCTCTGACACCTGGATGATCCCTGGACTCATTCTTGGAGTTCCCGATGACCCCTGCAATGGCACCTCTTAACTGACAGAAAACTTCCATCTATTCTGACTCAAGGAAAGTCAGAAATGAAACGAGCTGCTGCCTCTAACTCCTAAGCTGATTCTCTCCAATGAGTCAGCAGATCCCAGGGAAGGCAAGAGCCTCGAAGCCTAACGATGCCCTACTCAGGCCAGCGAGGGTGAGGCCAAGCTCTGCTTCAGGCCTCAGAAGTGCCAAGTACAGCTGGCCTGCCAGGGGGAGGACTGGCTCAAGGGCAATGCCATGCAGAATCTGCTGCAGGTCCCAAACAGGCCCAACAGACTGCCCTCCTGGCACACCTGACTTTTATTACTCCAGGACAGTGAAGCCAGGAGCCATATCTACTCAGCTCTGGCTGAGGGTGGCCACACAGTGATGGGTGAGGCCAAATTGCACCCTGGAGGGAGGGGGCGACTTGCAGGGGGATCACTCCTGGGCAGAGCCAAGCACAAAGCCTGCAGGGGAGCATTTGGGAGCGTGGGAGGAAGGAGAAGGGAAGCTGGCATTTGCTGAGTGGTGATGGGAGAGTGCTGGGCATTTCATATTTGTTACTGCAGGGCAACCCTAGGAGGTGAGCACTAATATTAGTCCCATTTTCTCAGTGGGGAAACTGAGACTAGAAATCATGTAACTAGGCCAGGCATGGTGGCTCATGCCTGTAATCCCAGCACTTTGGGAGGCTGAGACAGGGCGGATCACCTGATGTCCGGAGTTCAAGACCAGCCTGGCCAACATGGTGAAACCCATCTCTACTAAAAATACAAAAATTAGCTGGGTGTGGTGGCGCATGCCTGTAATCCCAGCTACTGGGGAGGCTGAGGCAGTATATTCAATTGCTTGAATCCAGGAGTGGAGGTTGCTGTGAGCCGAGATTGCGCCACTGCACTCCAGCCTGGGTGACACAGTGAGACTCCGTCTCAAAAAAACAAAAAATAAAAAGAAATAATGTAACTGTATGAAACCAGGTCAGTTCCACTCAAAGACAGTGACCTTTCCTCTATCCACTGTCTCTGAGATCTTTAAGCAACAGCTCTCCGGGAAGGTGACTTAGGCTACCTACCAGTCATTGGTTAAACTCTCAATCAGAAGGACCACTGTCTGGAGGCTGGAGCTCAGGGATGGTGGCACATTCATCTCCGCCCCCAGCACCTCCCTAGCGCAGGGGTTGGCACCTGGCATCTGGTGGGTGTTCAGCATCTGCTTGCCAAATGAGCTGAATCACAAGGATTCTGCAGCCAATGGTGTCAAGACTGTGCTGAGAATGTGCAGTGTGGCTCTGACAAGGACAGCATCCTCCCCCATCTCCAGTGGCAGGTGACACAAAAGCCACTTGTGGAGGAACCAGCTGCCTCCTCTGGGAATCCAAGCCCACAGACAGCATTCCCAAACCTGGGACATCCTGGACACAGGAAGGTGTCTCTGGATTCCTCAATTTCTTCTCTGAGGAAGTAAAGCCAACAAGGCAGATACCTTCGGGGGCAAGGAAGAGAAACCCAGCTTCAACACGGAGGACATGTGTTAGACCAAGCGTCTGAGAGCCTGGCAGCAGGCATGGAACATGGATGATCCTCGTGTCATCAGGACATTGTCCTAAGTGTGACTGCCTCCTGGTCCAAAGAGGGCTGCCTATAGCCACTGAGGCAGCATGCTTCCTTGTCGGGTTCAAAAGGAGAAACCTCGCACCAAGAGTGGAACACAAGATCTTCCCTTCAGTCTGATGTGGCCCCCGATTATTACAAGGGCCAGGGCGTGCCAGATTGGTTAAACCAGTCTACTTCCCCCAGGAACTGGGGATCATGGCTCCGCTAGGAATGGGGAATGGAAGCTGGGTGAGCAAAGGCCTGACATCAGGGTTGACGGGGAATGTGGCTCAATGACCAAGACCAAGCTCTTTCAGTCTTTCTTCTCTGCCACTTTCAGTGTGGGCTTCATTGTAAGGCTAGGCATCTTGTAGTGACGGGATGGCAGACAGTGGCAACTAGCCCTGGCTCATGGAAGCAAGACAGGCACAGCACACCTCTCCCCGACCACTGAATGAACACGTGTGCTTCAAGATGGCAGGGTCAACCTGGGTCCCCTGCCACCTCTGGACTAGGAAGCCCTAGATGCTAAACAGCTTCCACCTAAACCAAACACCAGCTGGGGGGTAGGATTATCATGGAACCCAAGATCCCATTCCTATTGTACAAGGCTGTAAGGTAAAATATATGTTGAAAAGTCAACCGCAATGTCCACTTGCCATCTGAATCCAACCAATGAACCAGTACTCTCAAAAGACAAGAAGCACTTTGGGAGGCTGAGGCAGAAACATCGCTTGAATCCAGGAGTTCAAGACCAGCTTGGGCAACATAGTGAGACCCTCCCCCCAAGTCTACAAAAAAAAAAATGCAAAAATTAGCTGGGCATGGTGGCATGCACCTGTAGTCCCAGCTACTTGTGAGGCTGGGGCAGGAGGATTGCCTGATCCCAAGGGATCAAAGCTGCAGTAAGCCATGATCATGCCACTGCATTCCAGCCTGGGCAACAGAGCAAGACATTGTCACAAAACAAAACCAAGAGACATGCCTTTTACTTTCTGGAAGCAGAGCTGAGTAAAGGGTTTGATTGGCCAGCATCCTCCAATCTGTCCACATGCCCAGGGAGGTGCAACAGTTCTGCCAACCACTCAGGCCTTGTGGAATGAAAAAGAAGAGACTTCAGCTGGGGCAGGGCTGCTCCATTGCCTGTATTGATTGTCTCCATCCAGTTCTTTATGAGGCCAGAGTTTACCCAGGTTCCTCAGGGCTGAGCATCAGTGATGCAATGAAAGCTATTGCCACCTACCCGCGGCGTTCTAGAGCCAGTCCTTTTAGTCTAGAATTCCTTCCCTCCCTCCCTCCCTCCCTCCCTTCCTTCCTTCCTTCCTTCCTTCCTCTCTCTCTCTCAATCTCTTCCTTCCTTCCTCTCAATCTCTTCCTTCCTTTCTCTTTCTTTCTTTCTCTCTCTGTCTGTCTGTCTCTCTCTCTTTTCTTTTCTTCTTTTTTGAGATGGAGTTTCGTTCTTGTCGCCCAGGCTGGAGTGCAATGGTGAGATCTGGGCTACTGCAACCTCTGCTTCCTGGGATCAAGCGATTCTCCTGCCTCACCCTCCAGAGTCTCTGGGATTACAGGTGCATACCACCACACCCAGCTAATTTTGTATTTTTAATAGAGACAGGGGTTTTACCATGTTGGCCAGGCTGTTCTTGAACTCCTGACCTCAGGTGATCCACCCACCTTGGTCTCCCAAAGTGCTGGGATTACAAGCATGAGCCACCATGTCCGCCTAGTCTACAATTTCTGATGCTCCTGAAACATCAATGTTGTATGGAGCCCTGCTAACTAAAATTTCAGGTGTGACATTATATTTTAAATAATATCCTTGTACCAGACATGTTTTAGGATGCTCCATCCCCATCCCAATGACGTTTGCCCCCAGACCCGTAGGCCCTGCTGAGTTGACTACACCCATCACAGTCTCCTACATGACCCTGTGCTTCCTCAGACTGATTGGACATAGGTAATCACATGATTCAAAAGCAGCTCATCTATTGGAAGCCTACAATCTACAGCTTGTGCAGCCTGAGCCAATCAGATCACCACCCGGGAGGGTGAAATTGGGAAACTGAGAAGCTGGCAGCAAGAGAGCTGAGTTGAAAGATCTTGGAGACTTAGGAACTGAAACCATTCAAGATGAACAGAGTCTGTGAGAAAAAAAGAAAAAAAGGAACCGAAACCATCCTGAGCTGTCTGCAGAAGACTTCTGATCCACAGAAAGGAAAGGCAGACCTTATATACATTTGGCTTCAATAAACATATGATGAATTAATGAAAAGGAGGCAAGAACTGGGGGAGGGGACCTGGTTCCCAACAGCTTTCCAGCTTCCTTGAGGTCTGGCTGTCCTTCATGTCCAGCCCTTGGGTCTCCCATGATCGTCTTCTGCACCCTCACGATAATCCTTCTCTGTGGGACAGCTCAAATAGCTCCTCAGAACCAAAAGGACCTTAAATAGAATAGCCTTGCTTATGAGGTGATCAGAGGAAAAACCTCCAGGGTGAGCCCAGGCAGTCCTTCACTGGTACAGACAGCAAGAGTGTGAATGAGCCCACCACAAAGCAAGGGTACGTGTTTGAGATTATGAATGTGCAAATTACCCTGATCTGATCACTATACATTATATGTATTGAAACATTACTATGTACCCCATGAATATGTACAATTATTTGTCAATTAAAAAATTAAATTAGATCGGGCGTGGAGGCTCAGGCCTGTAATGCTGGTACTTTGGGAGACCCAGGTGGGTGGATCACTTGAGCTCACGAGTTCGAGACCAGCCTGGGCAACATGTTGAAACCACCATCTCTACAAAAAATACCAAAACTGGCCAGGGGTGATGGCGTGCTCCCATAGTCCGAGCTATTCAGAGTCTGAGGCAGGAGAATCGTTTGAGCCTGGGAAGTTGAAGCTGCAGTGAGCCAAGATCGCACCACTGCACCCCAGCCTGGGCGACAGAGTGAGACCCTGTCTCAAAAAAAATTTTTTTTTAACTTCATTTTTAAAAAGAATATGAATGAGAAGAGAGAACTGAGAAACTAAATTTCTGGGAGAACTTTTCCCTGGCAACACATCAGCCACTGTAAACTAAAAATAAAATCCTAAGTCCCCCAACCAACTGAATGGACCCCCTCTTGGCCAATGAGACCCCAGAAAAGCTGAGTTCCCAGCCATAATGGGATGGGAGACCAGACACACCTCATTGTAACCCCTCCCTTTTGCAGTTTAGACACAACTACCAGCATTAATATTAAAATAGAGATCAGAAGACAGACAGAATGGACTCTGTGGCAATATGATATCAAATTATAAAGAGGACCTAAGGCCATGACAGGCACGGGTTAAATCACGCACCCCTGCAGGCCACTCTGACCCAGCGCTTTTTTGTTTTGTTTTTTGAGATGGAGTTTCGCTCATGTAACACAGGCTGGAGTGCAATGGCACCACCTCGGCTCACGGCAACCTCTGCCTCCCAGGTTCAAGCGACTCTCCTGCCTCAGCCTCCCAAGTAGCTGGGATTACAGGCACCCGCCACCACGCCCGGCTAAATTTTGTATTTTTAGTAGAGACCGACCTCAGGTGATCCACCCTCCTCGGGCTCCCAAAGTGCTGGGATTACAGGTGTGAGCCACTGCGCCTGGCCTGACCCAGCATATTGAGTCTTGCTCTGACATATCACATGACATATCAGATAAGGCATGAGATGATGTGACTCTGGCAGATCATACGATACATGGCATGATATGATTGGCAGATCACATGATGATTAGCAAACTTCTTTATCTTAAACATTCTTTTCCACTGACTCCAAGTTTTCTATTTTTATTTATTTTAGGTTTTTTTTTTTTTTTTGAGACAGGGTCTCACTCTCTTGCCTGATCATGGCTCACTGCAGCCTCAGTCCTCGACCTCCAGGGCTCAAGTGATCCTTCCGCCTCAGCCTCTTGAGTAGCTGGGATCACAGGCATATGCCACCACACCCAGCTAATTTTTTTTTTTTTTTTTTTTTTGAGACAGAGTTTTGCTCCTGTTGCCCAGGGTGGAGTGCAATAGCACAATCTCGGCTCCCTGCAACCTCCCGGGTTCAAGTGATTGTCCTGCCTCAGCCTCCCAAGTATCTGGGATTACAGGCATGCGCCATCACGCGCAGCTAATTTTGTATAATTTTGTATTTTTAGTAGAGACAGGGTTGGGATTACAGGCATGAGCCACTGCACCTGGCCAAACACCCAGCTAATTTTTAAATTTTTTGTAGAGTCAAGGTTTCACCATGTTGCCCAGTCTGGTCTCAAACTCCTGGACTCAAGCGATCCTCTCACCTCGGCCTCCCAAAGTGCTGGGATTACAGGCATGAGCCACTGCACTTGGCCTCTACTGACTCCAGGTTTTTGAACAAAGCCTTACTCCTTTAACCAATTGCAAATTAAAGAATCTCTGAACCCACCTATGACCTGTGAGCTCTCACTTCAAGATAGCTCACCTTTTTTGGGCCAAAGCAACATATAAACTCCATATATTAATTTATGACTTTGCCGGTAACTTCTGCTTCCCTAAAATGTATAAAGCAGAGTTGTCACCTGTCTCAGGATCACTTACTCAAGGCTTCTTGGGTTTGTGTTTTCTCCAGGCTGCAATCGCTCATAGAGGCTCAGAATAAACCTCCTAGTTTGATTTCTCTGCCAACACCACTGTGATTCTTCTTCTCTAAAGTCAATCACTGCTAGCTTCTTGGCTGGCCATTGGGAAAAAGAGTCCCATGGCTTGAAATTCACCAACTTTGGGGATACTTCCCAACTGCCACCATAGGCCCCTTATCACGCTGCCACCCACATGGGCAGTTTTGATGGAGGAACCCCACCCATGGCAAAGACTAATAACTGCCTCCCAATAACCACTCTCTCCTTCTTCCTTGAGTTGCAGAGGCTCCCAGTTATAGCTAGGCACACAGTCACACAGTTAAACCATATTTCCCAGCCCTCCTTATGGCTAGGTATGGCTACATGACTATGTCTGGCCAATGGAAGATGAGCAGAAAGATTGCCCGTAATAAGAATGGGTGACCGGGTCCGGAGGCTCACCCCTTTGGGAGGCTGAGGCCGGCAGATCACTTGAGGCCAGGAGTTCGAGACCAGCCTGGCCAACATGGCGAAACCCCATCTCTACTAAAAATACAAAAATTATCTATGTGTGGTGGTGGGCGCCTGTAATCCCAGCTGCTCGGGAGGTTGACACAGGAGAATCACTTGAACCCAGGAGGTGGAGGTTGTCGTGAGCTGAGATCACGCCACTGCATTCTAGCCTGGTTGACAGTTCAAGACTCTGTCAAAAAAAAAAAAAAAAAGGGGGGGGGGACTGGGTGCAGTGACTCACGCCTGAAATCCCAGCACTTTGGGAGGCCGAGGTAGGCGGATCACTTGAAGTCAGGAGTTTGAGACCAGCCGGGCCAACATGTTGAAACCCCGTCTCTACTAAAAATATTTAAAAATTAGCCAGGCGTGGTGAGGCACACCTGTAATCCCAGCTACTCAGGAGGCTGAGGCAGGAGAATCACTTCAGCCAAATCGCACCACTGCACTCCAGCCTGGGTGACAGAGCGAGACTCTGTCTCAAAAAAAAAAAAAAAAAAAAAAAAAAGACTGGGGTGCCCTCTCTCTGCCTGGCTGGGATGCAGATGTGATGGTGGGAGCTGAAATAGCCATCTTGAGCTACAAAATGGAAAGCACATGTTTTAGAAGGCAGAGCCGCAAGATAGCAGGAACCTAGGCCCCCAACACCAGGCCAGTCTATCCCAGGGTATGGTCACTATAATCCATATTGATGTGCCTCTTAAAAAGGATGCGGAGACCTTGCCTGGCAGTGAACCTTCCCAAGGAATTCACACAATTCACAGCCCATTGTAGAAGCTCTGACCAGGATGACTTGACATTACAAAGGAGCTCAGTGAGGGTTACACGAGCCACGCCGCTTGGCAAGTCCACCAAATGGAATGATGTTTCCTTGAAATGTGTGCAAGAAGCCCTGATCAATAATCCACATTTGTTTTGGGAGGCAGTGTGATATGGATTTCAAACATTTTTGGTCCTGAAATCATTTCTTCCAACAAATCTTTCATAGAAGCTCAATACACAAATCACATCAAAGTAAAGCCACATTGGGAGAAGGACAGAGAAGGGTTGGAGCCTAGCTTGCTGTGCTACTTCCTTTTCTGCCACCCTCACTCCCACAGCAGCCCGTGAAGCGCTCCTCAGACCCTCGGGGTTCCATGGAGCACAATTCGAAAACCATTGCTCTAGGATCAAACATATTGTCTGTGGAGTAAGACAGACCCAAGTTCCAAAATGGGCTCCATTATGTAATGGTTGGTGTCCAGCATTCCTCTCTTCTCTGAGGGTCAGTTCCCTCATCAGTGACCTTTCTTGCAAGGTTCCTCTTTTTTTGAGACGGAGTTTCACTCCTGTTGCCCAGGCTGGAGTGCAATAGCCGCATCTCAGCTCACTGCAAACTCCACCTCCTGGATTCAAGTGATTCTACTGCCTCAGCCTCCCAAGTAGCTGGGATTACAGATGTGAGCCACCACACCAGCTAATTTTTGTAATTTTAGTAGAGACGGGGTTTCACCATGTTGGCCAGGCTGGTCTCGAACTCCTGACCTTAGGTGATCCACCCGCCTCGGCCTCCCAAAGTGCTGGGATTACAGGCATGAGCCACCGCGCCTGGCCTCTTGCAAGGTTCTTGAAAGGGGTTTCTTGAAAGGATTAGACAAAACATATCAACACAAAGCTCTTAGCCCAGTGCCTGGCCCACAGGAGGTATTTGAGAAGTGGGAGCTATTACCCTGATTTGTTTGGGCCTTTCCAGGAAAGGGCTTGATTGTGGAGGCTGCCTCCTCAAAGCAACCCCCAGCTCCATCTGAAACGTCAGCAGTTACAGTATTTCTTCCGCCTCAATTAGTCATGCCCAGAGGCCCGACAGGCACTTCATTTCTGACAGCGGGGCAGCATTTACCTTGGCTGAGCTCAAGACATTTCTGGACAGGAACTCTGGCTAAGCTGTCACAGTCGGCCCATCACCTGCCAGCCAACTGGCAGGAGGAAATGCTGGGGCAAGCAACCAAGGACGTCCTGCAGGGCTGCTAGAGAGGCTTGGCTGGCCAGGCTGGTCAGGATGGTGCTGAGGCAGCTGGGTCCAACCCAGGAGGCGTGGATGGGATTACTGTGGGGAGGGGGACATCCCAGTCCCTGCCCTTCGATCGCAGGGCACATATACCAGGAAGCCTTACAAGGCCAACAGAAATGCATTCTAGATCCTGCTTTTCCAAGAGCACCCCTGGGCCGCAACATCAGCATCACTGGGAGCCCGTTAGAAATTCAGATTATTGGGCCCAACCCCAAGCCTGCTGAATCGGCATCTGCCTTTGGAAGCACTTCCAAGGGGATTTTTTGCAAAGCACAGTTTCAGAGGTCCTGGTCCAGAAGTACCTTCTGCATCAACACGTCACTCATTTTTGTCCCTGAAGAGACGGTGGGTAAGAGCTCAGACTGCCTGGGCACTGTGGCTCACGCCTGTAATCCCAATACTATGAGAGGCAAAGGAGGGAGGGTCACTTGAGGCCAGGAGTTCAAGACCAGCCTGGGCAACATAGGGAGCCTCCATCTCTACAAAGAAAGACAAAACTAGCTGGGTGTGGTGGAGCACATCTGTAGTCCCAGCTACTAGGGAGGCTGAGGTAGGAGGATCACTGGAGCCCAGGAGGTCAAGGCTGCAGTGAACTATGTTCACGCCACTGTGTTCCAGCCTGGGCAACAGAGCAAGACCCTATCTCAAAAAAGTTTTTAATTAAATTAAGTTAAATTGTGAGAAAGAGCTTAGGCTCTGAAGGCAAAGACCTGGGTTCTTGTCCTGGTTTTGCCACTTACTGGCTGTGTGATCCTGAATAGGCAACTTCACCTCTCTGTTCCAGATAGCTAAAGAGAGACATGCCTGCCTCATCAGGTAGTTGTGTGGATTAAACATAAAGCCATACAATGAGGCTGGCACTCAGGAAGGGCTTATTTATTTATTTAGAGACAGTCTCACTCTGTTACCCAGGCTGGAGTGCAGTGGTGCCACCTCAGCTTACTGCAACCTCCACCTCCCGGGCTCAAGTGATCCTCCCACCTCAGCCTCTTGAGTAACTGGGACTACAGGCACAGGCCACTACGCCCAGCTAACTTTTTTTGTAATTTTTATAGAGCCAGGGTCTCACCCTATCAGCCAGGCTGGTCTCAAACTCCTGGGCTCAAGCAATCCTCCCTCCCTCCGCCTCCCAGAGTGCTGGGATTACAGGCCTGAAGCGCAATTCCTTTTAATGTCCCCTGTTATTATTTTCTCTCACCTCATGTATCCATACAATAACCCCCAGCTGCCCTCTGGACATAGCCAAACCTCAGGTTGAAATAAACCCACACAGAACATTTGTCATCACAGAAATGCAGGAAGTATGTCCCCTGGTATAACCCTGCAAGGGGAGATCCAGGCTGGACAAAGAGCTCTGCCTCGCTGAGGGTCTGGGGTAGAGAGATGTCAGAGTGAGTGAGGCTGACCTAAGAAAGCCCTGGAAACAGGGCTTTGGATTAGGCTTGTACAGAGGATATGGACTGGCATTGGGGGTATTAAGCATTTCTTAATACCCCTAACAGTTCATGGAAATGGAAAAATCATCCTATCCTGGCAATGACCCAAATGTGGGCTTTTTGAGGGATTGTGATAGGGTAAATATAGACCATATAGCCACAGAGAATTAGGACAAGGACAGACAAAAACAAAAACAGGCCTTCCCCATCCCTCATCTGGTCCCATGCTGGCCTATTTTCTTCTAGTGTTTTTTTATATGTATGTTAATTTCACAGTCACAGTTCTGCTGATCATGCAGTTTCATGGACCGCTTCTGTCACATTTCATGATATCAAAAGCAGCTTTTGATGGTAAACAAGGTATTTCCAAACATCATTTGTAACAGCTGCATGACAGTCCACTCAGGAGAAAACTCACAATTTTCTTCACTATTTCTCTTTTATTGAGCATTTAGGTAGCTTCCAATTTTGATGCTTTTATAAATACTACTGTGATGAACTTGTTGATACATTTTCCATATCTTGGATGACTTCCTCTGCTTCGTAGCCTTTGGTATAAAGCAATGCTTCTCAAACATGAGTGCACATGGGCCGGGCGCGGTGGCTCACACCTGTAATCCCAGCACTTTGGGAGGCTGAGGCAGGCGGATCATCTGAGGTCAGGAGTTCGAGACCAGCCTGGCCAACATAGTGAAACCCTGTCTCTAATAAAACTATAAAAATTAGCCGGATGTGGTGGCGCATGCCTGTAATCCTAGCTACTTGGGAGGCTGAGGCAGGAGAATCGCTTGAACCCAGGAGGTGGAGGTTGCAATGAGCCAAGATCGCACCACTGCACTCCAGCCTGGGTGACAAGAGTGAAACTCCGTCTCAAACAAACAAAAAAAAACCAACATACAAACAAAAAAGAGTGTGCATGTGAATTACAGTAAGGCCTCACTCAACATTGTTGATGGGTTCTTGGAAACTTTGACTGTAAGCAAAGCAACGTATAATGAAACCAATTTTACCATAAAGTAATTGATATAAGCAAGAGTTAAGTTCCTAGGGCATATTTCCAGTTGCTTCTAAATAAAGTCAAACTACTAAATAAAGACCAAAACACTTCTAATATTAAACAGACATAAATGTGAGTTATGTAATACATACATTTAAAAAAGACTCATAAAAACAAGTTAGAATAATTATTTACACAATTATTCCAGTTCAGGGTCTCTGGTGGCTGGAACCTATCCCAGCGGCTCAGGGAACAAGGCGGGAACTGACTCAGAGCCCATTCTATCACAGGGCGCACTCACACATATTCACGCTCACTCATCCTGGGACAACTTAGACACTCTAGTGAACCTAAAGTGCACATCTTTGATATGTGGGAGGAAACCAGAGTACCCGGAGACGTGAAGAGAACATGCAAACTCCACATCAGTGGTGCCCCCAGCTGGGAATCCATTTATTTTTTTCTCATCAACACTACAACAAAACAACGGTGACCACAACGATGTCATTGGAGGACCTACTGTACCTGGGAATCGGATTCTGATTCTGCAGGTCTGAGGACTCCGACATTCCACATTTCCCACGAGCTCCCAGGCACTGCCAGTGCTGCCGGTCCCTTCCCACACCTTGAAGAGTATTAAGAATATGAAAGATAACACCTGAAGCTTCAAGGCCAGGAAATCCTCTTTTGTGACTACAATCCTATTTTTGTACTTTCAGGTAAGATCTGGGAGGGATCTTTCTAGTTAACTTTCTCAAGCAATCAGTGCATCTGATTTTTAGAACAACCCTATGAGAAATGATCAGTCCCACCTTACAGATGAGGAAACAGGTTTAGAGTTAAGGCCCAGCAAGGATACGCACGGTCTACCTCATCTGGGACCTGAGGAGGGTGAGCAACTGCCCCAGTTTACATAGAACTTAGGAATTTCCAGGATGCCAGACTCTCAGAACTAAAGCCGGGACCATCCTGGGAAACCCGGGATAGTTGATCCCCTAGACCAGAGCCGAATTCCAAGTCAGCTTATGCTTCCCACTCCCACTGTGTGCTAGGCCCTGAATGGACATTACCGCACAACACCTTTGCAATAACACTTCAGACAATAGCATCCCCATTAGACAATGAAGAAATGGGCTCCTCAGTAGAGGGGCTAAGAAACTCGCCCAAGACAAAAAGACAAACATTCTAATTAAAAAATTGGCAAGGGGGAAGAAACGGACAAATGACTTGAATAGATATTCCTCCAAAGAAGATATAAAAATAGCCCAAAAAGACATGAAAAGATGCTCAATAAGGCCGGGTGCAGTGGCTCATGCCTGTAATCCCAGCACTTTGGGATGCCGAGGCGGGCGGATCACGAGGTCAAGAGATTGAGACCATCCTGGCTAACACAGTGAAACCCCATCTCTACTAAAAATACAAAAAATTAGCCGGGCATGATGGTGGCGGGCGCCTGTAGTCCCAGCTACTCGGGAGGCTGAGGCAGGAGAATGGCGTGAACCGAGGAGGTGGAGATCGCACCACTGCACTCCAGCCTGGGTGACAGGGTGAGACTCCATCTCACAAAAAAAAAAAAAAAAAAAAAAAGATGCTCAATATCAGTATTCATTAGGGAAATGCAAATCAAAACTACAATGAAGTACCACTTCATACCCACTAGGACAGCTCTCTCTCTCTCTCTCTCTCTGTCTCTCTCTCTCTCTCTCTCTCTCTATGTGTATATATATATATATATGTATATATATATGTGTATATATATGTATATATATGTGTGTATATATATGTATATATATGTATATATATATGTGTGTATATATATGTATATATATGTGTGTGTGTATATATATATTTTTTTGAGACAGAGTTTCACTCTTGTTGCCCAGGCTGGAATGCAGTGGCGCGATCTCGGCTCACTGCAACCTCCACCTCCTGGGTTCAAGCGATTCTCCTGCCTCAGCCTCCTGAGTAACTAGGATTACAGGCACAAGCCACCATGCCCAGCTAATTTTTGTATTTTTTTAGTAGAGACGGGGTTTCATCATGTTGGCCAGGGTGGTCTCAAACTCCTGACCTCAGATGATCCGCCCACCCAGGCCTCCCAAAGTGCTGGGATTACAGGCATGAGCCACAGCACCCAGCCCTATAATTTTTTAAAAAAGGGAAAATAACAAGTGTTGGCGAGGATGTAGAGAAATCGGAACCCTCATACATTGCTGGTGGGAATGTAAAATAGTTCAGTTGCTGTGGAAAACAGTCTGGCAGTTCCTCAAAAAGTTAAACACAGAGTTACCATATGACCCAGCAATTCCACTTCTAGGTATAGATCCCAAGGAATTCAAAACAGATACTCGCCGGGTGCAGTGGCTCACGCCTGTAATCCCAGCACTTTGGGAGGTCGAGGTGGGCAGATCACGAGGTCAGGAGATCGAGACCAGCCTGGCTAACATGGTGAAACCCTGTCTTTACTAAAAGTATGAAAAATTAGCTGAGTGTGGTGGCACGCGCCTGTAGTGCCAGCTACTCGGGAGGCTGAGGCAGGAGAATGGCTTGAACCTGGTAGGTGGAGGTTGCAGTGAGCCGAGATTGTGCCACTGCACTCCAGTCTAGGCAACAGAGCAAGACTCCATCTCAAAAGAGAGAAAAAAACAGATACTCATGCCAGATGCGGTGGTGCACGCCTGTAATCCCAGCACTTTGGGAGGCCAAGACAGGTGGATCACTTGAGGCCAAGAGTTCAAGACCGGCCTGGTCAACATGGCAAAATCCCATCCCTACTAAAAATACAAAAATTAGCTGGGCGTGGTGGCACACACCTGTAATCCCAGCTACTCGGGAGGCTGAGGCACAAGAATTGCTTGAACCCAGGAGACAGAGGTTGCAGTGAGCCAAGATCATGCCATTGCACTCCAGCCTGGGCGACAGAGCGAGACTCTGTCTCAAAAAAAAAAAAAAAAAGAGGCTGGGCACAGTGGCTCAAACCTGTAATCCCAGCACTTTGGGAGGCTGAGGTGGGTGGATCACGAGGTCAGGAGATCGAGTCCATCCTGGATAACACGGTGAAACACCGTCTCTCCTAAAAATACAAAAATTAGCCAGGCATGGTGGCACGCGCCTGTAGTCCCAGCTACTTGGGAGGCTTAGGCAGGAGAATCGTTTGAACCCGGGAGGCGGAGGTTGCAGTGAGCTGAGATTGCGCCACTACACTCCAGCCTGGGCGACAGAGCAAGACTCTGTCAGAAAGAAAGAAAGAAAAGAAAGAAAGAGAGAGAGAGAGAGAGAAAGAAAGAAAGAGAGAGAGAGGGAGAAAGAAAAGAAAGAAAGAAAGAAAGAAGGAAAGAAAGAAAGAAAGAAAAGAAAGAAAGGAAAGAAAAGCAAGAAAGAAAGAAAGAGAGAAAGAAAAAGAAAGAAAGAGAAAGAAAGAAAGAAAGGGAAAGAAATTTAAGTACATTTACACATGTTCACAGCAGCACTATTCACAACAGCCAAAAGGTAGAAACAGCCTAAATGTCTATCAATAAATAAACGGATAAACGAATTATGGTACATTCATACGATTAAATATTATACAGCCATAAAATGGATAAACCTTGAAAATATTATGCTAAGTGAAAGAAACCAGACATAAAACATCACATATTATATGATTCCATTTATATGATATATCCAGAATGTGTAACTTCATAGAAATAAAACACAGATTGGTGGTTGCCAGGGGTTGGGGTGGAGGAGTGAACAGGGAGCAACTGCTTAATGGGTAAAGGGTTTTCTTTTGGGTAATGAAAATGTTTTGGGGCCAGGCACGGTGGCTCATGCCTGTAATCCCAGCATTTAGGGAGGCCAAGGCAGGAGGATCACTTGCGTCCAGGAGTTCAAGACCACCCTGGGCAACTTAGTGAGATCTTGTCTCTACAAAAAATTTAAAAATTAGCCTGTTGTAGTGGCATATGCCTATAGTCCCAGTTACTTGGGAGGCTGAGGTGGGAAGATCCCTTGAGCCCAGGAGGTCGAGGCTGCAGTGAGCCATGATCCCACCACTGCATTCCAACCTGGGCAACAGAGCAAGACCCTTTCTCAAGAACAAAAACAAAACAGAAAAGGTTTTGGAACTGGATGGGGGGTTGGTTGCACAACATTGTGAATTTATTAAATGCCACTGAATTGTTCACTTTAAAATGGTTTATTTTATTTTACTTTATTTTATTTTTGAGACAGTCTTGCTCTGTCGCCCAGGCTGGAGTGCAGTGGCGTGATCCCAGCTCACTGCAACCTCCACTCTGGGTTCAACCAATTCTCCTGCCTCAGCCTCCCAAGCAGCTGGGATTACAAGCATGCCACCACGCCCGGCTAATTTTGTATTATTTTAGTAGAGACGGGGTTTCACCACGTTGGCCGGGTTGGTCTCGAATTCCTGACCTCAAATGATCCACCCAACTCGGCCTCCCAAAGTGCTGGGATTACAGGCATGAGCCACCGCACCCAGCCTAAAATGGTTAATTTTATATTATGTGAATTTCATCTCAACAAAAAAGAAAAAAAGAAACTAACCAATCAACCAACACACCACCCTGCCCAAGGAGAAAGGAAAATGGCCTGCAAGAGGAACCGGACCGGGAGAAAACCACCTGGGGCTGAGTAGCCGGGAGCAGTGTTGTGACCCGAAGCGGAGGGGAGACCACCAGGACCAAGAACCATCATGGGCCTCATATTCTGCTCTTAAATCAACTCTGTGAGATTGGTATTTACCACCCATTTGGGAAATGTGAAGCTAGCAAGGGCTTGGAGGGGCTCTAAATGTCAGGTTTGTTAACTGAGGGGTTAAGTATCCAGCCCAAGGCTATGCAGCTGGTCTGTGTCAGGACCAAGATCGAGGGCCAGGACTGCCGGGCTCCTCCACAGCACTGGAGACGACATCTGCACTCCACCTCCTGCCTCCCTGGACATGCTTTCTTCTCACAGAATCTCTTCTCTCTTTTTCTTTTCTTTTTTTTTTAGGCGACAGAATCTCGCTCTGTCGCCCAGGCTGGAGTGCAGTGGCATGATCTTGGCTCACTGCAACCTCCACCTCCAGGTTCAAGCGATTCTCCTGCCTCAGCTTCCCGAGTAACTAAGATTATAGGCGTGCACCACCATGCCCAGCTAATTTATGTATTTTTAGTAGAGACGGGGTTTCACCATGTTAGCCAGGCTGGTCTTGAACTCCTGACCTCAAGTGATATGCCCTCCTTGGCCTCCCAAAGTGCTGGGATTACAGGCCTGAGCCACCATGCCCAGACAACCTTTATCTTCTCTCTCTTCAAAACTTGGCTCCTAACTTTCCCCTCCCTCCACCCACCCCCCAACTCTGCTCCCAGAATCTTCCGGGATTGGCCTCCTTACCTCGTTCCCTTGAGCACCCTGGTGGGGCCAGGTTCTTGGAGGAGCACTGCTTGCCCCCTGTGGTTTGTGCGAGGAGTCTGACTGGCTTCCTGTCTCCCAAGGCCCTGCGTTCTGAAAACCTTCTTTCGGGAGCTGCCTCCTTTGGAAGGTTGTAGAAACCAGGCAGGTCTTGCACTCTCCCTGCCAACTGTCTTGGATGATGGGGTCCCTGCCCTGACACAGGGTCCCTCGCATTCCTGGGGCCTGCTATGGTGATGTACAAGCCAGGAGGTTTTGCTTGAGCCAGAGAAGAGAGAGGAATTCAGGGATGCTGGGCCATGGGGGAGATTGGGAGGTAAGGGGGGTGAAAGGGAGGGGCACCTCCTCAAATCTAAATGTTCTTATGCTTGATTTCCCCCAAACTCTGGCTCTAAACCTGAACCATGGAACCAAGTAAACATTGGAGTAGAATTTTGAAATCCTCAAAGGAAGAGAACCTTTGCCAAGACCTCCCCTTTCCAGCCTCTTTGAGAATAAATTGTGGCACATCCCAGGGTCTCTGACTCAGCACATCCCAGGATCTCTGACTCAGCACATCCCAGGATCTCTTGACTCAGCACTATGGCTTCCCCAGTTCTCCTGCTCCCGTCCCCGAAACGCCCAGTGTCCCCAGGGCCTCAGAATTGGTCTTGGTGGAAAATCTCCGGAAATCTTGAGTCTGGACAAGAGTCCTGTTTCCACTGTGATGTGGTGGTAGATTGGGTGTGGGAATGCATTTTAGGGAGGAGATGGTTCTGACCAGGGTCCTCGGAGCTGCCAGCTCACCCTGGGACTGGGAGGGCAGGCTAGACGCCTCGAGGCCTCCAAAGCAAGAGGTTCTGAATTGGAAGGAGCATTGTGGTGAGATGGCCTGGCGGGGGGTGCCTGGCAGAGGCACTGGGCAGAGAGGGCTGAATGGAGGCAGCTGGGCAGAGGGTCTGGATGGAGGAGCTGAGTCAAGGGGGCTGAGCCAGAGGGGAGGTCCGCAGCCAGGAGGGTTACTGAGGAACGATGGAGGAAGGTGATGGGGCACTGGGGTTTGTGTAGGGGGAGGCAAAAGGCATGGCAGCCCACCCGCCAGCCCTCAGTCCCTTGATATGGCCCCAGAGCAGAGGGTCCCAGAGCCTGGTTGCTGTTGGCCAAACCCAGCTGTGATACCAGATGAACAGAGGAAGTGTTCCTGTTGAAACCCAAGAAAACTCTGTGAGACAGACCAAATCAAACTTGCTGAAACAGCCCCTTCCCGCCACTCTCCTCTTATCTTGCCCACCCTCTGCCGCCAACCCATCATCTAGATGAGACTTCCTTAGGCCACAGTGATGCTGAGCTGTCAGAGGCATGGGAGAAACAGGTGACTCTGGACACCTGTGCCGGACTCCCAGCCAGGGCCACCCATTCTCCAGGTTGGGGGTGGGCAGATAGTGGGAAAGGGCGTTTGCGGTCTGGCTGCTGGGGGTATCACCAGCATTCTCAGGTGAACACCACCCAGAACAAGGCCTAACAGGACGAGGGCAGGGTAGAGTTTGGGTATGGAGCCACCTGAGTCTCGGGCGTGTGCAGACACCCTGGTGTGTGTAAGCACTGACATTCTCTCATGTGTGTGGGAATCCAAGTTAGCAGAGTTGGGGTCCTTAGAGGCTCCTGTGTCCAGTGACTCACACCAGGGACAATCACACCAGGCAGAACTCTTCCCTTCTACAACCCTGTTTTTGGAGACTAGGATGTCGAAAACCCTACTTCCTTTGTTCATTCAAAGGAGTGCTTGTCATGGACCAGGCACAGTCCCGGCTCTCCTGTGCTTACATTCCAGGGGGAAGATAGGCAACAGACACCAATACATGGATCATTCTTTTCTATTTTTTTGAGGCTGGGTCTTGCTCTGTCACCCAGGCTGGAGTGCTGTGGCGCGACCATGGCTCACTGCAGCCTCCAACACCTGGGCTCACGCGATCCTACAGCCTCAGCATCCCAAGTAGCTAAGACTACAGGCGTGCACCACCATACCTAGCTAACTTTTTAAAAATGGATTTTTTGTGGAGATGGGGGTGTCACTGTGTTGCCCAGGCTGGTCTTAAACTCCTGGCCTCAAGCAATCCTCCCACCTCAGCATCCCGAAGTGCTGGGATTACAGGCGTGAGCCACTGTGACTGGCTGATACACATAATTTGATGCAGGAGGTGATAAGTAATACGGAGAAAAATAGGCCAGGTGCAGTGGCTCACGCCTGTAATCCCAGCACTTTGGGAGGTCAAGGTGGGTGGATCACGAGGTCAGGAGATCAAGACCATCCTGGCTAACACGGTGAAACCCCATCTCTACTAAAAATACAAAATAGCCGGGCGTGGTGGCAGGCGCCTGTAGTCCCAGCTACTTGGGAGGCTGAGGCAGGAGAATGGTGTGAACCTGGGAGGCGGAGCTTGCGGTGAACCGAGATCGTGCCACTGCACTACAGCCTGGGCGACAGAGCAAGACTCCGTCTCAAAAAAAAAAAGAAAAGAAAAGAAAAAAAAATAAAGTCTATTCCCTGTGCCCCAGTCACAGCCCTGCAGCTGCTGGAAAACCACCACATTGGCGGGGTGTGGTGGCTCACGTCTGTAATCCTAGCACTTTGGGAGGCCGAAGCGGGTGGATTGCCTGAGCTCAGGAGTTCAAGACCAGCCTGGGCAACACAGTGAAAGCCCGTCTCTACTGAAATACAAAAAATTAGCCGGGCTTGGTAGCATGTGCCTGTAGTCCCAGCTATTCAGGAGGCTGAAGCACGAGAATTGCTAGAACCCGGGAGGCAGAGGTTGCAGTGAGCTAAGATCATGCCATCACACTCCAGCCTAGGCCACAGAGCAAGACTTTGTCTCTAAAAAAAAAAAAAGAAAAAGAAAAAACAAAGAAAAGAAAAGAAAGAAAGAAAACAACCACATCTAGAACCTTCTCTGTACCAGGCTAAATACCCCAAACGCCTTCTACCATTCCTCCAGGGACAAGAGTGCAAGCCTCTTCACCACCCCAGCTGCCCTCCCCTGGACTCTGCTTGTGTCTGGGAAACCACTTGAAAGGGGAGCACAAGCCCCTCAATGGTAGTCAGGCCCAAGAAATAGCCCGCAGGACCCCCAGAGCCCCAGCCCCAGTCCCCAGGTTTCCATCATGCAGCTGGCTTTCCCACCTCCAGCCTTGGCAGCCACTTTATGCGCCTGACTCATCCTAGCCCACAAGAAGTGGGGATCCCCAAATCTTTTCCTCGTGAGCTGCTGCTAAACCACATCTCTCCCAACTCATTCTAAACTTAAATGCCAGGATTTATATTTATCCCAGTAGTTTCATCTGTTCCGAGGCAGATGTCATTCCAGCCTGCCCATGAGGCCTTCGGGTTCCTGACCTGACATCTGCACTCTCCAGATAAGTTATCCCTTAAAGCCTGGTCCTCCTGTCTTTAGGCAGAGCCGGGGACAAGCCCTATGGCTGTCAGAGGGACCTCCTTCCAGGTGGCCTTGCTCCTGTGTGGACCCTCGATGTGTAGCTGCAGAGGGGATCACAAAGCCCCTGAGATGGTGGAAGCCTCATGTTCTGACAATCGAGCGGGTCACCAATTATAAAATTGGTTTGAAATCTTATAGATCGGAAGTTCCTGGCCAGGCATGGTGGCTCCCGCCTGTAATCCCAGCACTTTGGGAGGCTGAGGCGGGTAGATCACCTGAGGTCAGGATTCTGAGACCAGCCTGGCCAACATGGTGAAACCCCATCTCTACTAAAAATACAAAAATTAGCTGGGCGTGGTGGCGCATGCCTGTAATCCCAGCTACTTGGGAGGCTGAGGCAGGAGAAACACTTGAACCTCGGAGCCAGAGGCTTCAGTAAACCGAGAGATTACACCACTCATTCCAGCCTGGGCAACTGAGCAACACTCCGTCTAAAAAAAAAAAAAAAAAAAAGTTCCCACACCTACATGACCATCAGAATCACATTTTTAAATCTCTGCAACTTCGCCAGGAACACATGGGGAACTTGAAACAACAACAACAACAACAAATTCCCAAAATCCATTGCCCCAGTGTTTCTGAACCAGTCCATCCAGGGTGGAGCCTGAGAATTTGTGGTGTTTTTTAAGCTCTGGCGTTATTGAATCCATACTGGCTCTTAATGAACCCCACTGTCCTTTCTGAACACCCACGAACAATTGCTTCCAGAAATCTAAGTCTCCATGGCTCTTTTCTGAAAGGTCCTCTTTGTGCAGACTGGGACATAATCCTTCTGACCTGTGTGTCTGGTCCTGAGCAGGTTATCAGTTATTCAACCAATGGCCCAATAAAGCTGTGGGGTCAGGGATGAACTGCCAGGTGTCTCCTTAATCAGGGGCCTCTCCTACTCTGTCCTTCCACTCCACCATCTCACCATGGCAGTCCTGCTCCTTGCTCTGCAGGATCAAGAAGACAGGGCAGATTGGGAAGGGAGTGATGCCATGTCCCCTGAAGTTCCACCTCAAACTAGGAGCCCAAACTAGGGTGAGGTAAGGAGGCACCTACCTGGGGTACAACATCTAAGATGGCACCAAAACTCAGGAATCAAGATAGAGAATACTTCAATGCAATATTTTAAAAAATCAAAATGAATACAAAAAAATAATATTTTGATGAACAGAATATCAAAAGTTTATTATGTTTTTTATAGAGGCAAGTTCTCGTTATGTTGCCCAGGCTGGTCTCCAACTCCTGGCCTCAAGGGATCCTCCCACCTCGAGCCTCCCAAAGTGCTGGGATTACAGGCGTGAGCCACCGTGCCCGGCCCAAAGTTTTAAAGAAATACAGGTTTAGTCATGGTTCCAAACCATTTCAGAGCCTGAGATACAAGGAAAAAAACAGTAACAGAAACAATGCAGAGAGCAGAGGGGAAAAAAATCTCAAAATTGTTCTAATATCCTCAGAGAGAGAAGATATTACATCCACAAAAAAAGAACAGGATGCTTTTTTGTTAAAGAAAAATAAATCTGAAAATAAAAAAGAGCTCTTAGAAATTAACAATACGATAGTAGAGAAAAAAATCAGTGACATTATGAAAATAAGATTGAGAAAATCCTCCAGAAAGAAGAACAACAAGCACACTAACAAATAAACAACAAAAAATGCAAAAGAGACGCACAGCAGAAGAGAGAAGAAAAAATTGAAGGATCACTTCCAGAAATGGACATCTAACCATGAGGAATTGTAGAAAGGAGAAATCTGAAAGAAATAAAGCAAAAACGCTTTCCAGAACTGACAAATGTAAGTCTCTTGATTGAAACAGTCCCCCAACGTCCAGCATGGCAAACAAAAACAGCCAGAGAAGGTCATGTCACTGCAATTTCAGAATGCTGGAGTTACAGGGAGTACCCTGAGAGCTTCCAGAAGTCAGGGGAAAACCGGCATACACAAAGGTCAAAAATAAGAATCACACCAAGCCTCTAACAGTGAATCAGAAGCCAGAAGACAATGGAGAGATGCCTTCAAACTTGTGAAAGAAAACTATTTTCAAGGCCTTGAGCGGTGGCTTACACTTGTAATCCCAGCACTTTGGGAGGCAGAGGCTAGCAAATCACTTGAAGTCAGGAGTTTGAGACCAGCCTGGCCAACATGGTGAAACCCCATCTCTACTAAAAATACAAAAAATTAGCTGGGCATAGTGGCACACACCTGTAATCCCAGTTACTCAGGAGGCTGAGGTAGAAGAATCGCTTGAACCCAGGAGGAGGAGGAGGTTGCAATGAGCCAAGATTGTGCCACTGCACTCCAGCCTTGGCGACAGAGCGAGACTCCATCTCAAAAAAAAGAAAAAGTAAATTATTTTCAATCTAGAATTCTATATTCAGCCAAACCACTAGTCAAATGAAAGGACAGAATAAAGATATCTTCAGACATGCACGTTCTCAAGGGAATTTTTCCCTCTGTGCAACCTTTCCCAGGAAGCTAAACAAACAAAAGGATGAAGCAGGAAAGAGAAGACACAGGGTCAAGGGAACAGGGGATCCAACACAGGAGGGAGACAAAGGGGTTCCCAGGACGAACAGAAAGGGAGGCCCCAGGATGGCACCCGTGGTACCAGCAGGCGAGTGGCTGGGCGGGATTGGAGTGCAGGACAGGAGAGAAGTTTCTCGGGGGGATAAAGGAACTGACAGGTTTGACCACCCTGAATTATCTTATTTTCTTTCTTTTATATTTTTTCGGAGACAGAGTCTTCTTCTTTTTCCCAGGCTGGTGAGGTCACAGCTCAGCACAGCCTTGACCGCCCAGGCTCAAGCAATCCTCCAGCCTTAGCCTCCCAAGTAGCTGGGACTACAGGGGCAAACCACCACATCCAGATAATTTTTGTTTTAATTTTTTAGAGACGTGGGTCTCACTATGTTGCTTAGGCTATTCTGGAACTCCTGAGCTCAAGCGATCCACCCGTCTGGGCCTCCCAAAGTGCTAGGATTACAGGTGTGGGCCACCATGCCCAGCCCACACTGGAATTACATTTGAGGCTAGGGGACGTGTAGGAAAATGTAGCTACGGTAGGCACAGAAAACTAAGTAAGCAAGGGCAGGAGAGGGGGCCAGGATCCAGGAAGAGCCAAAATCATACAAGAAAAGAAACAATGTTATGACCCTGCCTGGATTAGAAGTGAACACTATGTACATGATCGTCACAATCCACAACCGAGCACACGGATTGAACAGGAAGATTGGGCGGCAGGGTGAAAGGTTGCTCAGCGGGAGTATACAAAAGCCAAATCTCCCTGAGCCGCAGCAGGCCATGAATAGGTACGGCCTAAAACCAGTGCACAGAGAGGTAGCAGTACAGTATAAGCAAATCCCTTGGAAATATGGAAGTAAACTCCAGAGGAAACAGCCCAGACAGAGCCTTCTGAGAAAGGGAAGGGGGCAGGCCCCAGGGGAGAGGAGGGGCAGGACTGCTGTTTTGTTTTATGATTTTAGCACTATTTAACCTTTTTTTTTTTTAACTGTCAGCACATACTAATTTAAGAAAATAGTTATTAAAATATAAAATAAATCTATACTGAGAAGAAGGTCCTCTTGTTGCTTCTTGCGTCCTAAGAATCCACCCTCATCACTCCCAGCCGCAGGCACCTACACACACAGCCACAGGCACACTCACACTTACACATGCTCATCACAGACACCCACAAACAGCCCACAGTGACAGACAGGTACACATACATAATATACAAAATCATCTGACACAGGTGCGAACCCAGCGTCCATGACACACACACCCATTCCCAGAAACGCACAATTATATTAATAGATTCACCCCCAGACACACCGAGGCTTCCAAGAGCCTCCCGGAAACCCTGAGAGAAGAGCACTCCCTCCAGGCCTCTCCTCCCTGTGCCAGCACCCCAGAACTGCCCCAGGCCAAGGAGGTTGTCTCCAGGAGCTGCACCCTAATTGCTTTCTCTACTCAGCCCCCTGCTGAGTGCCCAGCCCTTAGGCTAAGCAGCCATTAATCCTCTTGCGCCCCAGTCTGTAGATGGGGCAGAAATGGGGTGGGGAAGGGCCCCATCTGGCAGCTGAGATGTGACTCATAAGGCCACTGTCAGCTTTTTCTTCCCTAAGTCATGGGAGAGTCCAGTTTCAGGAATGCTGTGGTCAGGCTGTGCATCCTGATACAATCCATTTGATGTCTCTGGGTCCAGGAGGGAGTAGGCAGCCTATGAAACGCTGAGATGCTGTGATTTTATGACCCAGTCTGGGCCCTGCTTCCATCCCCTCCCCGGGGATTCTTCTCTCCACCCTGTCCTCCGGGGCCAACCCCAAATGATATGTGATTTGCATGTAGGACAAGCACACCTGGGGCAGCTGGTGAGACCTCCCCCACCCCCACTTCGCTCCCCCTCCATGTTCCTCCAGCACTCACCACCACCCTGGTCCTGTTATCTGGCAGCGTGTCCATGGCCAGGGTGCCCCCACCCAGGTCCTGGCTCAGCTGGGTCCTGTCCGGCTCTGACACATGCCCAGGGCTCTCTCGGGCTCTCCGGTTCCAGCCCCGCACGGTCCCTTTGGCAGCCCATCCAGAGCCTGGGCCCTCATCGTGACCTGGGAGAAGGGGACAGAAACCTGAGTGCCAGCAGTCCGGAATGAAGATCAGGAGGGGAATCCAGCCCAGTTATTCTGCAAGGGCCCCAACACCATGCCACTGTAGAATTTGCAGACACTTGACTGACTACCAGGACAGGAGACACCCAATGTGTACTGAGAGTCACGTGCCCAGCTCCAGGCCAAGCACTTCGCACATATCCTTTTAATCCTCATGCCAGCTCTCCGCAGTAGTTAGGATGTTCTCCATTTTGCAAACAAGAATCAGAGGCTCAGAGGTTAAAAGTCACGCAGTGGGTTAGGCATGCAGGTAAGTTTCAAACCCAAGCTGATCTGCCTCCAAAGGGTGATTATTCTCAACCTCAGCTATACACTGGAGTCACCTGGACAGCTTCAAAAGTTCCTGATGTCTGGGTCCCACCCTAGAGATCTCTTGTAACTGGTCTATGGTGTAGCCTGGGCATTCAATTTCTTTTTCTTTTTCTTTTTTTGAAATGGAGTCTCGCTCTGTCACCCAGGCTGGAGTGCAGTGGCCCGAGCTCCGCTCCCTGCAAGCTCCGCCTCCAGGGTTCACGCCATTCTCCTGCCTCAGCCTCCCGAGTAGCTGGGACTACAGGCGCCCGCTACCGCGCCCAGCTAATTTTTTGTATTTTTAATAGAGACGAGGTTTCACCGTGTTAGCCAGGATGGTCTCAATCTCCTGACCTCGTGATCCACCCGTCTCGGCCTCCCAAAGTGCTGGGATTACAGGCGTGAGCCACCGCGCCTAGCCTCGATTTCTTAAAAGAGCCTCAGGGGAGATTTTGAGGAGTCTTGGACTTAACTCTGCAGGCAAGGGTGAGAACCATTGCCGTTGAGCCTTCCAAACCAGTTTCTTATTTCTCTGGCAGAAATGGCACATAATCCTATTTCCCAGTGGGGTCAGGGGACTAGAAGCCAGAGTTCTTTTCGTTCAGGGCTTCTCAACCTCGGTACTATTGACATTTGGACTGGATAATTCCTTTTCCAATTTTTTTATTGTGGCAAAATACACATAACAAAATTTGCCATCTAACCATTTCCAAGTGTACAATTCAGTAACATTAAATACATTCCTAATGTTGTATGACCATCACCACCATCTATCTGCATAACTCTTTTCACCTTGTAAAACTAAAATTCTGTACCCGTTAAATAATAACTCCCTATTCACCCCTGTTATTTTATTTTATTTAAGAGATGGGGCCTTGCTCTGTCACCCAGGCTGGGGAGTAGTGGTGCGATCATAGCTCACTGCAGCCTCCAACTGCTGGGCTCATGCGATCCTCCCACCTCAGCTTCCTAAGTAGCTGGGACTATAGGCATGCGCCACCATGCCCAGCTAATCTTTTTACTTTTTATAGAGACAGGGTCTCACTATTTTGTTCAGGGTGGTTGGTCTTGAATTCCTGGTCTCAAGCAATTTTCCTGCCTTGGCTCCCAAGGTGCTGGGATTACAGATATGAGCCACAGCGCGCAGCCTGTATCTATGATTTTGACTACTCTAAGTATCTCATATAAATGGCATCATACTATATTTGTCTTTTTGTGATTGGCTTATTTCACTTAGCATAATAAATTCAAGGTTCATTCATGTCGTAGCATATGGCAGAATTGACTTCCTTTTGAAGGCTGAATAATATTCCATTGTGTGGATATACCACATTTTGCTAACCCACTCAACTATCAATGGATGTCTGTTTTGCTTCCACGTTTTAGCTATTGTGAACAATGCTGCTACAAACATGGGTGTACAAATATCTCTTTGAGACCTGGCCTTCAATTCTTTTGGGTATATACCCAGAAGCGGAATTGCTGGATTGTATGGTAATTCTATTTCTAATTTTTTGAGGAATTGTCATACTGTTTTCCATATAAAATGTTTTCCATGTAAAATGACTGGACCATTTTACATTCCCACCAACCGTGCACATGGGTTCCAATCTCTCCACATTCTTGCCAATACTTGTTATTTTCTGTTTTTTTTATAGTAGCCATCCTAACAGGTATGAGGTTATATCTCATCGTTTTTATAAATTGGCATTTCCCTGATGATTAGTGATGCCGAACATCTTTTCATATGCTTGTGGGCCATTTGTATATCTTCTTTGGAGAAATGTCTATTTAAGTCTTTTTCCTGTTTTTAAATTGGATTGTTGGTTGGACTGGATAATTCATTGTTATGCGGGAACTGTCCAGTGCTCTGTAAGATGTTTAGCAGCCGCAGCCTTGGCCCCTGCTCACTAAATGCCAGTAGCACCACGCTCCTCCCCATCCCAAGCTGTGACAATGAAAAACGTCTCCAAACATTGCCAAATATCCCCTGGGGAATAAAATTAACCCCCCCTTGCCCCATTGAGGGAGGGGTAATTTTTTACTGTTTTACTCCTATCACTACCTAGATACTGTCTAGGATGGCAAATAGGTTTCATATCACATGCCATCTGCAATCCATTCGTGACAGCCAGAGGCACTCCAACTGAGAATGCAAAGGCTCCTCTTGTATTTAGCAGGAAGGACTGTGAAGATCAATAAGCAATGTCTGCCATGGGCACAGGATTGGAAAGTGACTACACACAGGCCATTTCGCGGCCATGCGAACCTCCATTTCTGGAGGTTGCGAAATGGCTTTAGGTTCCATGATCTCCTCTCCAGTTCCCTCTAGGTTGTTAAATGCATGCTTTTTTTGAGACAGGGTCTCACTCTAGCATGCAGGCTGGAGTGCAGTGGCACAATCACAGCTCACTGTACGCTTGACCTCTCAGGCTCAAGCAATCCTCCCACCTCAGCCTTCTGAGTAGCTGGTACTACAGTTGCATGCCACCACACCCGGCTAGTTATTATTATTTTATTTTGTATTTTTCGTAGAGGCTGGGTTTCACCATGTTGCCTACACTGGCCTTGAACTCCTGGGCTCTAGCGGTCCTTCCACCTTGGCCTCCCAAAGTGGTGGGATTATAAGCGTGAGCCACTGCACCAGGTCTGTTAAATTAGTTCTAACAAAAGGCCGGGCGTGGTGGCTCACACCTATAATCCTAGCACTTTGGGAGGCTGAGGTGGGTGGATCACCTGAGGTCAGGAATTCGAGACCAGCCTGGCCAACATGACGAAACCCCGTCTCTACTAAAAATACAAAAATTAGCCGGGCATGGTGGCGGGCACCCATAATCCCAGCTACTCGGGAGGCTGAGGCAGGAGAATTGCTTGAACCTGGGAGGCAGAGGTTGCAGTGAGCCGAGATTGCGCCACTGTACTCCAGCCTGGACAAAAAAGCGAAACTCCTTCTCCAAATAAATAAATAAACAACACAAAAACCATCCTTTTCCACTTCAAAAAGATTTATGCCCCCCAAAGCTGTGGCTTTTATTGTCATTCTAATGGTCACACCTACTATGGATGTATATATGAGAACAGACCATCAGATAGGTGGATCTGACATTCCCCACCTATGACCCTCTTCCATTTCAGGCCCACCCTGTGTCAGATACCTGTCTCAACCTCTGCCTTCCCCCAGCCCACTCCCCAGAGCTCCTGGATGTGGCTCTCCCTCTCCTAGAGCACCTACGTGTGCGACTATGTGCCTATCTCCCTGGTAGATTTGAGTTCCCCCAGGATTCTCTCCACCTTCTTCAAATTTGGCATGTCCAGCAAACAGCAGGTGCTCCATCACTGCAGAATTGAGGACGCAGTGCATAGGGTAGCTCCTGGGAGCCAGCAAGGACAGAGGTTGAGACCAGGCTTGGCCAGGCCCAGGCCTGGGGCTGAGGCCAGAACTCCGCTGTGGGGCCCTGCTTTGTCATTAGACATTGTATCCAATTAAGTCATTCTTGGCTGCTGGCGCCTACTGGACCCTTGCCGGCCCCCT
Source organism: Homo sapiens (assembly GCF_000001405.40). Taxonomy (NCBI): domain Eukaryota; kingdom Metazoa; phylum Chordata; class Mammalia; order Primates; family Hominidae; genus Homo; species Homo sapiens. The sequence continues at coordinate 39,143,716 of NC_000017.11, forward strand.
CTCACTTCTCTGCCCCTAATAGCAACCAGATGCTGCTGGAGCACGTGGGGAGGAGGGCAGTCCCCAGACCCCTTCCCCAAGATGCCCACTGGCTGCCCACAGATGGACATGAGTCCAGGGCTGGGAAGGCAGCCTGCCCACTGCCCAGGCCCAAGCCAGGGCTGTCTGGTCTCTCTTGGGTGGGGCCCACAGCTGCTTCTGGAGACAGAGCTGTTTGTGCTGGGCTGGTCTGCCCAGCTCCCCAGGTCTTCCTGCAAGCAGCCCTGGGGCCTGGGCAGGAGCCAGAACAGGATAGAGCGGGTAGTGAACAAGTGGAGGGGCTCAGCGGCCCAGAGAGGAGTGTTGGGGATCTTCAGGATTCACAAACCTGGAGCCGAGACAGGAGGCGGGATGGTGGAGGCCTGCAGCCCGGGGAAGGACAGGGAGGGGGCCCAGCTGGGGGTGGCCAGGGAAGAGACACTGGGTTGACCTCCACACCCAGTCTTGCCACTCACAAGTTATGGGACCTTAGCCCCATCAGTTTTCCTCTCTAATCCTCAGCTCCCTAGTGACTCAAATGGATTTGACGATGGTGCCCACAGTACAGGCTGCCATAAGCGTCAAGTGAGAAACACAAATGAGGTTTTATAGAGAGCTCAGGCCAGGGTAAGAGGTAAAGAGTCCATGAAAGAGGGCAGGGCGAGGGATGGAGAGGGAGCTTGACCAGGACCCTGGCCTACCCTGGCCTAGCCCTGAATCTTACTCTTCCAACCCATACTACATCTGTTTCCTGGCCACCCTTCCTTCCCTGTTGCCTGGGACAGGACGTCATCCCCACGACTCATGAAAGAAGCCAACACAGCTGGTTGCTCACGTGTATGTGCAGGGGCCCACGTGCCTGTGCACATGCCCACAAAGACTTTCCTGAAAGCCTCGGCCTTCCCGTATGTGCTCACACACAAGTTGGACACCTGCCCAACCCTCAGCCACTCCTCACCCCACCTGCCTTCCACTGGAGAGAGCTCCATTTTCCCTGGACCCGTTCCCCGCCTGCATGTGTTGCCAAGGAGCTTCCGGAACACAAGCTGTTCATTCATTGATTCACTCACTCATGGCCCCAAGTAGTGTGCAGTCCAGTGGGATGCCATAATAATCACCCTAGTAATAAAAATGATAGCTGACTTTCAGAGAATGCTGCTCTGTGCTAGCACTATTCCAGGGGCTTTAAACACATCCACCCCCTTAATCCCCACAATAATCCCATGAAATAGTTACTAGTTTAAAATCCATTTTACAAATGGAGAAACTGAGGCACAAAGACGTTAAGGAACCTCCCAAGGTCACAGAACCAGTCCATGGCAGGATCTGAACTCAGGCAGGCTGGCTCCAGAGCCTACTCAGAACCACAGAAAGTGCAGTAAAAAGTGACCGACAATCCCCACTGTTTCCCAGGGTGCAGGGGCAGCCCCGGGGTGGGGCTGGCATGTGGGCTAGGTTCTTGGAGGGCCCTACTCAGGCTGCCATTGGGCCTGAACCTGAGAGCTTCCCTGGGAGACTGTGTCCCCCAGCATGCAGGGTACAGCCCAGCAGTAGCGTCCCAGTCCCCTCAGCTGGCACTGGTCCCATTTCAGGGCAAGGGGGAATGGGGCTGACCTCAGGAGGCCAGGTTGTGCGGCCCCAGAGCCTGGGCCAAGCCATCCTCATCTCACCCAACACCCAAACTTGGCATCCCAGCCCTGGGCCACCCCATAGCTCAGGTTACCACAGCCTCTATCCTGGGTCAGCCTCCACCCTTAATGCCCTAGAGCTAATCTCCCCCACCATAGCCAGGACAAGCCACCTAGAGGGTGAACTTGATTCCATCTCTCTCCGGCTTCCAGCTCACCTGTCCCTGGCTCATCCTGTCCCACAGGCTGAGAAAAAGAGGAGAAGAGAAAGGAGGCGAGGGGAGGGGAGGGAAGGGAGAGCATCTTTAAATGCCCTGAGTACCTGAGATACACCGAACTGGAAACACCCTTCCCTTGGAACTTCATTGTAGTATCAGAGCAGTAAAACAACACAGGTTTGGAATCAGACAAGCTAGACACTGAACCCTGAATCTACCACCTACTAACTACAACATTGGACAAATTACACACACTCTCTAAGACTCAGTTTCCTCATCTGTGAGATGGGGCTGATAAAACATAAACTTGGTAGGTTTGACACTTTAACAAAATCATATACACAGAGCACCCAGCAAGTCGCCCTGCCTTCCCTGGGTTTCACATGAGGACTGAAACCGTCTTCTCAGGGTTAACAAGAATTACATGCCGGGTTCTGGGCAGAAGTATAGGAGTAATTAAGCATTAATCAGGCTGCACTTCGGCCCATTCCTTTTTTTTTTTTTTTTTTGAGAGGGAATCTCGATATGTCACCCAGGCTGGAGTACATTGGTGTGATCTCAGCTCCCTGCAACCTCCACCTCTCGGGTTCAAGCAATTCTCCTGCCTCACCATCCCAAGTAGCTGGGACTACAGGAGTGCGCCACCACACCCAGCTAATTTTTATATTTTTAGCAGAGATGGGGTTTCACCATGTTGGCCAGGCTAGTCTTGAGCTCCTGACCTCAAATGATGCTCCCGCCTTGGCCTCCCAAAGTGCTGGGATTATAGGCATGAGCCACCACGCCTGGCCAGCTTTTATTTAAGAATTGTTTAAGGCCAGGTGCAGTGGCTCATGCCTATAATCCCAACACTTTGGGAGGGTGAGGTGGTGGGATCACTTGAGTCCAGGAGTTCGAGACCAGACTGGACAACATAGCAAGACCCCATCTCTACTAAAATTTTTTTTAAAGTCTGGACATGGTGGCTCATGCCTGTAGTCCCAGCACTTTGGAAGGCCAAGACAGGAGGATTACCTGAGCCCAGGAGTTGGAGATCAGCCTGGGCAACATGGCAAGACCTTGTCTTTTTTATAATAAAAAAAGGTATTATAAAATTTAATTTATTATTAATAATAAATTTTAAAAAATTAGCCAGATGTGGTGGTGCATGCCTGCAGTCCCAGCTACTCAGGAAGCAGAGGCAGGAGGATCACTTGAGCCCAGGAAGTTGAGGCAGCAGTGAGCTATGATCACACCACTGCACTCCAGCCTGAACAACAGAGTGAGACCCTGTCTCAAAAAAGAAAAAAAAAAAAGAAGGATTAAGATGGTTTTCGGATCCTGAATTCCAGCAGAAGGGCCAATTCGAAGACCCTCAGACAGGAAATGATTTTTTTTTTTTTTTTTTTTTTTTTGAGACGGAGTCTCGCTCTGTCACCCAGGCTGGAGTGTAGTGGCACGATCTCGGCTCACTGCAACCTCTGCCTCCCGGATTCAAGCAATTCTCCTGCCTCAGCCTCCCAAGTAGCTGGGATTACAGGCATGTACCACCACGCCCAGCTAATTTTCTTGTGTTTTTAGTAGAGACAGGGTTTCACCATATTGGGCAGGCTGGTCTCGAACTCCTGACCTTGTGATCCACCCACCTCGACCTCCCAAAGTGCTGGGATTACAGGCGCGGGCCACCGCGCCCAGCCGAGGAACTGATTTAACATGAGAATGCAGTTTCTTTATTTCTTCATGCACTCTTCAACCAATTAACAATTCCCACACGTTGGCCACCCCACCCCAAACCCCATAAAACCTCTAGCCCCAAATGCTGCCCCACGATGATGAAACTCTTTCTCTGCTGCCCCCTCGGTGTTGGTGTGTCAACTTGCTGCACCTTGGGCAACACACCAGTTAGGGTCACAGGACCAGCTTTCAGAGGGGCCAGGGAAGGCTCCAAACCCTAAACTGAAATCCTGCCTCCAAGTTACAAAGCCCCTAACCATACCCTCTCCCTTTCCTCTGGCAGGTAGGGACCCACTGAGGACCCTCACCTGGGGAGAGGGAAGGAGTCAAAGGAAGTGCAGGGAGGGACCACCAGGTAGCAGAAGGGAAGAGGGAGGGAGGGAAGGGGAGGGGAGGGGAAGGGAGGGACAGCAAGAAGAGTTCAGCTCTCTATGTGTGTCCCTTGAGGGGAGAGTCTGGGATCTGTGCCACCTCTGATATACTCACTCAGTCACTCACTCATTCATTCAATACACTTTTATTGAGTCGCAGGCACTGTGCTGGGTGCTGGGGGGACACAAGCCCTGTACCCAGGAAGAGTCTAGTTTTCTTCATGGAGACATACAAAATGAATCATTTGGTAAGGGCTATGAAGAAAATCAGACAGAGGAAAGGGTTGGGGTTGTTGCTACTCTACACAGAGCCATGAGGTGGGGCTCTCTGAGGAGGGTCCCCTTGAGCTGATTAAGACCTGAATGAGAAGAAGCCAGTTAGTTATCTGTCGATCGGAGGGGACGGCAGCTGGAGTGGGTTAAGGGGTGAATCTGGGGAGAGCTAGAGAAGATGGTGGGATGAGGGAGGGGCTGCCTGACCTCCATAAGTTCGCATTTTAGTCTCAGGTTGTTGGAGCCCTAGAGACAATCTGGTCCAACCTCCTTCCCTCCTTTTTTTAAAAAAAGATGGGACCTCGTTATGCTGCCCTCACTATGTGGCATGATCATAGCTCACTGCAGCCTCCAGTTCCTGGGCTCAAACGATCCTCCTGCCTCAGCCTTCCGAGTACCTGGGACTACAGGCGCACACCGCCATGCCCAGCTAATTTTTTATTTTAATTTTAATTTTTTTTTTTGACAGAGTCTTACTCTGTTGCCCAGGCTGGAGTGCAGTGGTGCGATCTCAGCTCACTATAACCTCTGCCTCTCGGGTTCAAGCTATTCTCCTGCCTCAGCTTCCTGAGTAACTGAGATTACAGGCATGCACCACCACGCCTGGCTAATTTTTACTAATATACTAATATTAATAATATTAATAACAATACTAAATATACTAATTTTTGTATATTTAGTAGAGACGGGGTTTCACCATGTTAGCCAGGCTGGTCTCAAACTCCTGACCTCAGGTGATCCGCCGGCCTCGGCCTCCCAGAGTGCTGGGATTACAGGCATGAGCCACCCTGCCTGGCCTAAATCATTTATAGACATGGGGTCTCACTATTTTGCCCAGGCTGGTCTCAAACTCCTGGTCTAAAGCTATCCTCCCACCTCAGCCTCCCAAAGTGTTAGGATCACAAGCATGAGCCACCGTGACTGGTGCAAGCCCCCATTTTATAGACGGGGAAACCTTCCTCAGAGAAAGGAGGAAGCTGTCAGGGTCACCAGTAGTTGGTATTGAGCCTGGCCTCCTGCAGGACTCCCAGGCCAGGATGCCAACTCTCGCTGCCTCTTCTTTATCTGTCATATGCACCTCTGGTTCCATCTGACCAGACTGTCAGTTCCCTGGGCCCCTGCTCTGCACCCCAAGGCCATTTTCCTGTCTGTCATCCTGGTCTCCCCTGCTGTCTGACTCTGTCTTTGGGCCACTCATCTCTCTGCTGCTGCTGTTCTAATGATAGATGAGGTTTCAAGGCTCTACCAAACAAGCCTGTCCATCAGGAGCGAGGGGAGATCTCAGCTACTTCCCAAGGCCCCCCACCAGCCCCACAAACCCAGAGCCTTGGGGAAGGATGCTAGCATCTCTTCAGGTCCTGCTCCCAGCTGCCCTTCCACTGGTCACAACAACTCCGCCATCAATCAGGTCAGGCTGCCCCTCCTTAGCAACTCTCCCCCAGAACGTCCTTCTCCTACATCTGGCCTCCCCAGACACCCGCTTCCTCCTCATAGGTCCTCCTGCCTGTGAAATCCCACCTGGCCTGTGAAAAGGGCACCGGACTGGGAGTCAACAGCTGCCGCCTCTGGCTTCTTACAGATTCCTTAAGTCTAACCTCTATCCCTCCTGCTGCAGAAAAAGTGCATTTCTCCTGGCTCAATCTCTGTCAAAGCCAAGAAGACAGGATAGCCTCTACTTAGAGAAGTGATTCAAGTCTCTGCCTGCCCCACTCTTCCTGGTCTCCTCAACCGTCTACTACCCCAACCCTACTCTGAAGGGGCCGCCCTCAGCCAGGCCCGGGTCTGGCCACTATCTCCCAGCCCATCCTTGTTACCTCCCAATTCCCCCTTCCCCAGCCCTCTCCGTGGTTCACACAATCCAGCCAAAGGTTCAGATCCTCCCCTCATAAACTCTGTTACACCCAGAGTTCAGAAGATCACACCAGGTTGAGGATTCAAAGGAGCCCAGAAATTATTCATAACATATCCAACTCTCTCCTGTTTACCTTGATTTTTTTAAAGTATCAGTTACCCATAAAGACCCTAACAAATATGAAAAGGAAAGGCAATTATAAAAGATCCTTCATTATTCCACGCACAAGAGTCAAAGATTTTGCCAACAGCCTCACTTTATAAATGCAAAAATAGGTCCAGAGAGAGAAAGTAACTTGTCTAAAGTCACACAGCAAGTGAGATGGCGGGACTAGAAGCCACGTCTCTGGCCACCCTCTGTGTGGTCTCCCTGAAAATTGGTGGTTCTCACCAGCAGCTTCTCGGTTCGTCAGCTCCACTGCCCTCTGCCCATACTTCCCACTGTCAGCCTCCTTCCCCTCCCACCCCCAACATACTCTTCTTCTCAATAGGGACCCAGGTCTGTCTCAGCTACATGCTGGGACCATTAAAGTCAAGAACATTGCCACTGACACTGTGCCTGGTGCCAGCACACTCCTGAGACACAGCAGGTCAACCACAGCACTCACCTCAACAGCGCCTCCCTCACCCCACCTGAGGGGCACCCATGCCAATGATGCACAGGTATCTATCTTCTTAATCATCTCTGCTGAGGGGCCAGGCTGCAAATTACCCATCTCCCCAACCCCAGAGAAAGTCTAGGTGCTTAGGGGAGAACAGAGACTATGAAAATTATACCATGAGGGATTCCAGGTAGATCTCAGAAAGGACTTCCAGGTGGGAGAGATGAGTTTGGAGAACTGGTAGGGGGGAAGAGGAGTGTGCAGAATGGGACGCCTCCCTCCACCCCCTACCCCAGTGCCCCATCTAGAGCCAGAGTAGCTGAAAGCCAAAGGCTGCCAGGGCAAATGGGAGCAGGTGTGAGGAGGGGGACTCTTGAGGCTGGGGGTGCAGAAGCAGCAAGTTGCTTCTTCCTGGGCCCACTGCCTCTCTACTGACACCAAATAGGCAAGGGAAGGTGACCGAATGGCTGCTGCCTTCCCAGGCAGAGACGCTGTGTCCCCACCATCCCCCTGGCTGCTCCCACCTATCCCTAGCCTGGATCAGCTTTGGGGTCGGGGGTGTGGCAGAGAAGAGGAAAAGAAGGCATGGCTGGGGCAGGGGCCTCCCCAGGCTCCCATCTCATCAGAATTCAGCCTTGCCTGGGGTGATCAGGGGTCCTGATGACTCTCCCGCTGTCCCCTTTCAGAGCCCATGGCCACATAGAGCCCCCTCTCCTAAGGTCCCTCCAGTATCCTTCCAGGAGAGAAGGAGAGGTCCGGGCATCGGTGTCTCCACCGTCACTCACACACCCTATGTGTTTGGGAAAGTGGGGTCCCTATCCACCTGCCCACAGCCCACAGCTCTCCTGGCCTCCTGCGGACAATGCCCCCCTCGCGGACATCGCCAGGCCGTCCACACCTGCCCATGCCCACACCTGACTGCCCGTCCCTCCCCGCCCCCGGCCCACCCGGGCCGGCTCCCGCCAGTCCTACCTGCTCCGGGCTGGGGGCTCAGCGCCCGGGCAGCCTCCCTGAGCACCAGCACCAGGAGCCAGAGCTCGCCTCGCATGGTGGGTGCCCGGACCTGCCCCCGGCCTGCTTGCTGCCCCGGTCCTGACGAGGGAGGGGGCCCTGGCTCAGGCTGCGGCCGCGCGGTCCCCGGGGCTGGCGGAGGGGCGGGCGGCGAGGAGACGGCGGAGCGCGGGGCCGGGCGAGCCGGCAGGAGCGGCGAGAGCGCGAGCGGAGCTGGAGGCTGCGGCCTCCGGGAGCAGGCGGGGAGCTGGGGGGGCCGCTGGGTCGGTGGGGGTGGGGGGGAGCTGGGGCAGGGGGCGGGGCGGGGGGCGCGGCGTCGTTGGGGGCTCTCCCGGCGCCTGCCCTCAGCCCTAACGGAGCGCTCCCCTAGAGCTCTGCAGCCGCTCCCAAGGCAAGGGGTGCAGAGTAGGGGACAGGGCGGGAGCCCCTCGGGCTGAGAGAACCCCTAGAAGCATCAGCCGCCCCGCGCTCCTCACTGAGCTCCTGGCTCCCTTTCCCTCCTCCGTTCCGCCGGGAAAGCTGCAGAGAGAAGGCCCGAGGACTGGACCCCTGGAAGGGACAGGCGCCCCATCCCTGGGTCACGGGCCCCTGACTGTTCCCCGCCCCCAGCTCCTCCAAGCTCTGCGACTTCCTGAGCTGTTCTTCGGAATTCTGTGCGTCTCTGATGCTTTGTCCTCCAGCCCCCACCCCCAGAAATCTCCCCCTGCAGCAAAGACCCCCAGCTTTTCTCCCCAAGAGGGGCCTGAATCCCACCCCCCTTCCATGACTCCACCTTATCCCTCCACCCCCCATTTCCAGCACCGATTTGCCCCCCAAGCCTAGCAGACGTGAGGGTGGAGGGGGCCTGGCTACCCCTTACTCTGCAACAGTCTGGACCCCTCCCCACGAGTAGGTAACCCAGGCCTCCTGCCTCTCTGGGGCCTCCAGGCCTACTCAGGGCCAGACCCAATCAATCTTCAGAGCCAGCCCCAGACGAGGAAATGGCTCACCCCACCTGTCACCACCTTCTGACAGGCTCTGGGGATAGATAATCTTTTTATTTTTTCTTCCAGGACAGAATAAAAATACCCGCAATGTAGGATATTTAATAGACGGCAAGGAATCAGGTCAGGACACGAAGATGCCTCTTCCCTCCCCTGACCTACTTCGTTCTTGTGACGGCAAGGAGCTGGGGCGCTGGAGAGTGGGAGACGGGGTGAGGGGGCATCCTGGCTTCTAGTGGGCTGGGGCCTAGGGACTAGAAAACCGCGGAGAGGAAGGGTGCGAACGCTGAGCGCCATTGGAGAAATTTTCCAGGAGGAGGGATATGGGCGGGGACAGGAGAAGGTACACTGTGGGCTGGAAGAGACGGATTCCGTGGCACTGAGGTTAAAAAAAAAAAAAAGAAAAGAAAAGAAAAAAAAACACCTAAGAAAGGAAACAACTAAAGGCTCTCTAATCTCTTAGAACGCCGGTTCCTCCTTCCGCCGGGCCCAGAGTCCCAGAGACTACCTCCTCCAGCCCTAAACCCAATGTCCCCTTACCGTGGAACAAGGCAAGGCCGGTCTGTAAATTCTTCTTGATGTCTAATTTAAATCCCAACTTGGCGGACTCTCAAACAGAATCAGATAGGCAGCTACCTCCAGCTGCAGCTACTTGCTGCCCTCAAGTGGCCACGTGACGAGCCACAACCCTCTTGTCCTGCGGGTTTCCTCTTTCCCCAGCCTGCCCACCCCCTGTCTCCGACCTCCTGCCTTCCTCGAGGTCAAGGTGAGAAGTCTCGGGACGGATTCCAGCTCCAGCCCCGGCGTCTTTGCACATTCCTCCATCTGGGGTACCTCGTGGTCTGTCTTACAAGAAGAGCTCAGGCTGAAACATAAACTTGTAAATAGTAGAAGCAAATGTGTAAATTTTAACGTAAGCCTCTAGAACTTGAGATCGTAATCACCTGCAGGGTGTGTGTGTGTGTGTGTGTGTGTGTGTGTGTGTGTGTGTGTGTGTATTTTGTTTGTTTTTTGAGACAGGTTCTCGCACGTTGCCTAGGCTGGAGTGCAGTGCTGCGATCATAGCTCACTGCAGCTTCCAACTCCTGGACTCAAGCGATGGGGAGCGTATATGAAAACACAGATTTCTGGACTCCACCCTCAAGTTTCTAATTCATTAGGTCTGGGATGAGGCCCGAGCGTACCCAGGTAATGCTGCTGGTCCCAGGACCACATTTTGAGAGCCACTGCTGTTGAATCCCCAGTTCCTTTCAGTCCCTCACTGCTCCTCGTCTGCCAGTAGGAGTAAAAGCAAACAGCTTAGGAAAAATCGACACCCAGGACAAAAACAGTATCTCGAAAAGGCCAAAGAGGGGGCACCCGGATTTGAACCGGGGACCTCTTGATCTGCAGTCAAATGCTCTACCACTGAGCTATACCCCCTCTGCCGGCAAACCGACCGCACGTAGTCGTTTAGTGGTATTGCTGCGCAGGCGCTGTGTGGCGTTCCCGAAGGGAAGTGGAAGTGGGGTAAGACGTTTACAAGAGATGGAAAAAATACAACTCCCAGAAGAATTACTCACTTGGAAGCAGGGGTTGTTCCCTGAAGCTCTGAGCTGAAGATCCCCACTGGCAGTATAAGAAAATATATTCCTGGGGTGTGGAAGGAGAAGTCTCTCGAAATATTTCACTTCGGGGGCGTCCCACTCTCCTGCCCTGCAGAAGACCCCTTGCCACGTCTCGGAGCTTCTTTCTCCCTCCCACATGCTCACGCGGCTTCTCCCGACCTGTCTTCCCCAGCCCAGCCCTTAGAAACTCAGCCTCCTTCCCGCCAAGAAAGAGCCAGGCTGACCTGGGGGTGCGCTCGCCTCCGCCCTGCCATTGCGAGGTTGAGCCACCCGTACCGTGTTCCAAGGGTCAGCCCGGAGCTCCTCGCCCTCACTCGCATTGCATTCTACCCTGGGTACACACACAGGCTGAGCCACTGGCAGGGGCCAGGACTCCATCCTCACTCGCCTGCGAAAGCAAAAAGGGTGGCAGGGCTCGAGACTCCCTCCCATTCCATCTGTGCGGGAACTCTTTAGAGGACCTCCGGAGACCAACAAAACGAGGTAACTCCGGAGCACAGAGGGGGCACCCGGATTTGAACCGGGGACCTCTTGATCTGCAGTCAAATGCTCTACCACTGAGCTATACCCCCGCCACGCCACTACGTTGTCATTAGAGTTAATTTCTATGGAATAGGGGTGTGGTCTTCATTTTCCCTTAAAGTTTTAATCTGAGGGTTGCGTCGGGATACCTACTGAAAAAAACACAAAATACAATGGGAATGGCTAGAACTCCTGAGTTCTTCCTTCATAGCCACGCTTTCGGAAAACCAACTAGATTAAGGAATCTTGGGCCGAGAGCGGTGGCTCACGCCTGTAATCCCAGCACTTTGGGAGGCCGAGGCGGGTGGATCACAAGGTCAGGACATCGAGACCTCCTGGCTAACACAGTGAAACCCCGTCTCTACTAAAAATACAAAAATTAGCCGGGTGTGGTGGCGGGCGCCTGTAGTCCCAGCTACTCGGGAGGCTGAGGCAGGAGAATGGCGTGAACCCTGGAGGCGGAGCTTGCAGTGAGCCGAGATCGCGCCACTGCACTCCAGCCTGGGCAACAGAGCGAGACTCTGTCTCAAAAAAAAAGGAATATTGGGTCCTCTATATCCGTGCCTAGACTCTCCCCCAAATGTCCACTGACTGGCTTGAGAAAAGGACTGTCCCCAGGACCGCCCCAGGTCCAGGGATGTACAGATGAACAGACTGGATCTCCATCTTGTCTCCTGGGCTTTTCCAACCCCAGGGTCGCTCCTCCCCTTCTCTCAAACCAAAAGCCAGTTTGAGGAACAGACAGAGGAGAAGGCTGAAATAAGAGGTAAGCATTTTTCAATAGCATTTACTACAGCCTTATAAAAATCCTAATACAGTATTTTTTTTAAAATCCTGGCCGGGCGCGGTGGCTCGCGCCTGTAATCCCAGCACTTTGGGAGGCCGAGGCGGGCGGATCACGAGGTCAGGAGATCGAGACCATCCTGGCCAACATGGTGAAACCCCATCTCTACTAAAAATACAAAAAAATTAGCAGGGCGTGGTGGTGCGCGCTTATAGTCCCAGCTACTCGAGAGGCTGGGGCAGGACAATCGCTTGAACCCGGGAAGCGGAGGTTGCAGTGAGCCGAGATCGCGCCACTACTGCTCTCCAGCCTGGGCGGTAGAGCGAGACTCCAACAATAACAACAACAACAAAAATCATTACACAAAGACAAACAAGCAGCCCCTTTAGGAATCTGGTATATTTGGGAGGAGTGGGATTCAAATTGGAAGGACACTAGAAGTAAAGGGGATGCTGTGGGGTGGCTTAAAGTCCAAGAGCTGTGGTCAGAGTCAGCATCTCAGAGGGAATGGGAAGACGAGGAGAAGTGGAATCCCTGCAGTGCAAAGGGCTGTCCCTATCTGGGACGTCCTGTCCTCCTCCATTTCCCCTTCCAGTTTTTGCCTCTGCCCTCCTCCCCTTGAGCCCACCTTCTTCACCTTGCTAGAATCTCCTTTGCCCAAAGGGAATGGGACAAAAATGGCTGAGGGGCTAAAAAGCCTGAGGGTGGAAGGAGGTTTGAGGAAATGAAGAGCAATTCCAGGGTTTTTTGTTTTTGTTTTTGTTTTTTTTTGAGTCGGAGTCTCTCTCTGTCGCCCAGGCTGGAGTACAGTGACCCGATCTCAACTCACTGCAACCTCCGCCTCCCAGGTTCAAAGGATTCTCCTGTCTCAGCCTCCCGAGTAGCTAGGATTACAGACGCCCGCCACCACGTCCGGCTAATTTTTGTATTTTGCTTTGTTTTGTTTGAGACGGTGTCTCGCTCTGTCACCCAAGCTGGAGTGCAATGGCACAATCTCGGCTCACTGCAACCTCCACCTCCCGGGTTCAAGCAATTCTTCTGCCTCAGCCACCCGAGTAGCTGGGACTACAGGCGTGCACCACCACCAAGCTAATTTTTATATTTTTAGTAGAGACAGGGTTTCACCGTGTTAGCCATGCTGGTCTCCAACTCCTGACCTCAAGTGATCCTCTTGCCTCAGCCTCCCAAAGTGCTGGATTATAGGCGTAAACCACCGCGCCCAGCCTCAGGGGTCTCTTAATCTGCCCCCCCAACACACACACACATTATTCCTACGGAGAGACTGAGGGCTGAGGAGAGGGAGAGAGTTCCACTCACTAAATCTGCAACATATCCAACATTTCCCTGACGTCTCCAAGAAGGATGCCTGCGGCCATGGAGTGAGGAGCAGCTTCTTCTGCTGTGCTGTCTGCAGGAATCCAAGGTATGCAGTCCAGCTTCTCAGCAACGGGTTGGGAGAATGGTGTCAATCTCACTGTCCATAGCAGCCACTGCTCCCACTAGAGAACCATAGAAAAGTAATAAATAGCCACTTGATTTTCCACCCATGTTGACCATGCAAAACCCCAAAGTTTCTGGTTGACCTCAGACTGGAACATCAGTTAGCAGCGGCCTGAGATTCCATCCACTGAAGTCTGGCAGGCAGCCTGCAGGGAGGAAGGAACAGGAGGGGTCAGCCTAACCCAAGAGAATGATGGCCTTCAAGTCTCCAGCCCTTGCCCAGATCGGACTGGGTGCAGGAACCAAAGTTACATCCAATAATTCAATTAACAGAGATGAACTGGCTTGAGTATCTGCTGTGCATCAGGTACTGTGCAAGGCTCTGGAGTTACTGGTGAAAATGCAGACATGCCCCTGAGGCTTACTGTCTAGTAGAAGAGATGGATACTAAATAAATGGTCAGACACATAATTCTGTAATTACATACTGTGATAAAGGAAATATACAGAGGCCTCTGGATGCCTGAGAGTCAGGGAGGGCTTCTCTGAGGAAGGAGCCTGGAGACTCACCTTGCTGGGCCCCTTAGCTGTGTCTCTGGGCAAGGATTCTTCACGGTGATCTGTGCCAGAAAGAGGTTCCCTACGCAAGTTCCCCCATTAGATTGTAAGCAACTCCGGCGCATGGGTGGAGTCTTGGTCATCTCTGTATCATCCTCAGCCTTGGTCTGGCACCGCACAGGGAACATGGGGGGTACTTAGAAAATGCTGATTGGGCCAGGCGCAGTGGCTCACGCCTTTAATCCCAGCACTTAGGGAGGCGGAGGCGGGTGGATCACCTGAGGTCGGGAATTCGAGACCAGCCTGACCAACATGGAGAAAGCCCGTCTCTACTAGAAATACAAAAATCAACTGGGCATGTTGGCGCATGCCTGTAATCTCAGCTACTTGGGAGGCTGAGGCAGGAGAATCCCTTGAACCCGGGAGACGGAGGTTGCAGTGAGCTGAGATCATGCTATTGCACTCCAGCCTGGGCAACAAGAGTGAAACTCCACTCAAAAAAAAAAAAAGAAAAAAGTGGCCGGGCACAGTGGCTCACGCCTGTAATCCCAGCACTTTGGGAGGCCGAGGCGGGCGGATCATGAGGTCAGGAGATCGAGACCATCCTGGCTAACACCATGAAACACCGTCTCTACTAAAAATACAAAAAAAAAAATTAACCGGGCGTGGTGGCTCACGCCTGTAATCCCGGCTACTCGGGAGGCTGAGGCAGGAGAATGGCGTGAACCTGGGAGGCAGAGCTTGCAGTGAGCCGAGATCGCGCCACTGCGCTCCAGCCTGGGCAACAGAGCAAGTGGCCGTCGAAGAAAGGGAAGGAGGGAGGGAGGGAGGGAGGGAGGAAGGAAGGAAGGAAGGAAGAGAGGGAGGAAGTGAGGGAGGGAGGGAGGGAAAGAAGGGAGGGAAAATGCTGATTGAACTGACTGTGGGTTGTGGAAGAGGGTTCTCCTGACCCAGCGGGTGGCAAGGACACTGCTAGAAACGTGTGGTCCCTTGGACTGACTTGCCTAAAGTCTCCCCTTCTTCAAAAAACACATCTGCGCCAGGCGTGGTAGCTCACTCATGTAATCCCAACACTTGGGGAGGCCAAGGCAGGAAGATCATTTGAGCTCAGGTGTTTGACACCAGCCATGGGCAACGTGGCAAAACCTTGTCTCTACAAAAATACAAAAATTACCAGGGCATGGTGGTGTGCGCCTGTAGTCCCAGCTACTAGGGAGGCTGAGGTGGGAGGATCGCTTGAGCCCAAGAGGTTGAAGCTGCAGTAAGCCATGTTTGCACAACTGTACTCCAGCCTGGGGGGTGACAGAGGGAGACCCTGCCTCAAAAAAAAAAAAAAAGATACCTGTGTGCCCAGCCTGCCATGATTCCACTTGACAGGTAAGACGAAAGGGAAGTTTTCCAGGCCTGATGTAAGGCCCTTTCTACGTGGCCCAGCTCCTTAAAATCCTCCAGGTGATTACTCAATATCTACCTGCTTAGTGTCCCTTGTCAGATAACTTACCTAAAATTGCAACATTCCCTCCACACACTTCCACTCTCCCTTTTCTTTTCTTTGTTTTTGCTTTTGGAAATGGGGGTCTGGATATGTTGCCCAGGCTGGACTCCAACTCCTGGCCCCAAGCCATCCTCCTGCCTCAGACTCTCCAGTAGCTAGAACTACAGGCATGAACCACCATGCTGGCCCAATCTCTGTTTCTTACTCTTTATTCACCTTATCATTTATCACTTGTTTTTTTTTTTTTTTTTTTTTTTTTTTGAGACAGGATCTTGCTATGTCACCCAGACTGGAGTGCAGCAACATGGTCAGAGCTCAGTGCAGCCTGGAACTCCTGGGCTCAAGTGATTTTCCTGCCTCAACCTCATGAGCAGTTAGGAATACAGGTGTGTGCCACCACATCCAGCGGTTTTTTTTTTTTTTTTTTTTTGTAAAGACAGAGTCTCGCTCTGTTGCCAAGGCTTTTCTCAAACTCCTGGCCTCAAGCCGTTTACCATTTTCTTTCTTTCTTTTTTTTTTTTTTTTGAGATGGTGCTTCGCTCTTGTTGCCCAGGCTGGAGTGCAATGGTATGATCTTGACTCACCGCAACCTCCGCCTCCTGGGTTCAAGCGCTTCTCCTGCCTCACCCTCCCAAGTACCTGGGATTACAGGCATCTGCCACCACACCCGGCTAATTTTTGTATTTTTAGTAGAGACGGGGTTCCTCCATGTTGGTCAGGCTGGTCTCGAACTCCCGACCTTGGGTGATCTGCCCGCCTTGGCCTCCCAAAGTGCTGGGATTACAGGCATGAGCCACCGCGCCCCGCCATCATTTTCTAACTGACTATATATTTTTCTTGTTTATCATCTGCCTCCCCTACCGGAAAGTAAGCTCCGTGAGGGCAGGGATTTTTGTCTGTTTTGCTCGCTGCTGTTTCTCCAGTGCCTAGAACAGTACCTGGCACAAAGGAGGTGCTCAAGAAAGATTTGTGTACTGAATGGTGTCATTTACTCTACAGAAACTCTAGGAGGTATAATGATCCTCTTCCTTACAGTTAAGAAACTGAAGTCAGAGTGAGTCAATGATTTCTGCCTGGAAGGCTTGTTCCCCAGGTCTCCCCATGGCTGTCTCCTACTCTTCACTCAGGTCTCAGCTCAAAAGTCATCTCTTAAGAGAGGCCAGCCCTGACCACCAGAACTAAATCAGACCTATCCTTCTCCCTTCCATTTCTGGTAACCAGTGGGATTCTTCACATCACTTCTCAGCACCTAAGATTATTGCGGCCAGGTGCAGTGGCTCATGCCTGTAATCCCAACACTTTGGAAGGCCGAGGCCGGTGGACCACCTGTGGTCAGGAGTTCAAGACCAGCCTGGCCAACCCCATCTTTACTAAAAATATAAAAATTAGCCAGGCGTGGTGGCGGGTACCTGTAATCCCAGCTACTCCGGAGGCTGAGGCAGGAGAATTGCTTGAACCTGGGAGGCGGAGGTTACAGTGAGCTGAGGTCATGCCATTGCACTCCAGCCTGGGCAACAAAGAGCAAAACTCTGTCTCAAAAAAAAAAAAAAAGAGAGAGAGATTATTGCATTTAGGCGGAGTGCTACCTCTTTCTCCACTAGAACAAGCCCCTGAGAGCAGGGATGCTGTCTGCTTGTGGCTTACCCACCACATCTCACCTGTGGGGAGATGCCAAATTGGCTTGGCCCAGGAGCCAACTGTGAACCAGATTCTCACAGGAGAGAGGCAGGAGAAGGGTTCTGATGGTCAGTCATCCATTGGTTCAGCCAGGCCCTAGAGATCCAGGTAGGGCAGCCACTAACCCTTCCCTGGTGAGGGCACAGCAGCCTTGTATATGCCACGAGTGGTCTTTGATGGTGCTGAGAGTAAGGAAATGGGAGATCTCCACCATCCTCATGGAGTCCTTCACGTCCTGCTTATTGGCAAATATCAGGACTGAAGCATCCTGTAGAGCCTGTGGACAGAGGAGCCCAGCCCCAGTCAGCCTGCTAGTGCCCAGCCTTCCTTCCTACTGCCTCACAGGCGCTCTCTGGCTCCCTCTCCAGCTGTCCCAGGAAGAGAGGCCCATGCCTGGATGGGGCAGAGATGGGGGCCCTGCCACAATGGTAGCAACCGTATCAAATAACATCAGCAGCTCAAGGAAAGCCTCTTTATGACAATCCCATAGGTGGGAATTGATGATCCTCCTCATTTTATACTTGGGGAAACTGAGGATTAGAGAGGTGAAGTCACTTGTCCAAAGTCCTACAGTGAATGAAAGATGGAGTTAGAACTTGAACCAGCAACTCTGGCTTCTATAGTCAATTGCACTGAGGGTACTGATGCCCTTCATCAGGCACAAACCAGCCCTCCTCATGCTGCTGGTATAGAGGCTCTCAGAAACTGGGACAGCAGGAACGAATCTCAGAGAAGCTAAGTGACCAGCCTGAGGGCACACAGCTAGTACCACTGGGCCCTCTCCCAACTGCAGGGGGCTTACCTCATGGGCCAGCATTTTATATAGCTCCTCCCGAGTGGTCAGCAGCCGATCCCGGTCCGTGCTGTCAATCACAAGGATGATAAACTGGGCAGCAGAGGGGAGCCGTGAGAGACAGGCTTTCTCTTTGGTAAATGTGTTTCCTGCCCTCTTTCTTTCCCCACTGGTCTCTGCACTGCCCAGATGTCAGCCCCAGAGAAATGAAAGCATGCAGCCTCAAGATTTCACCACCCTGCTTCCATTATAATTGTCTTTTTTTTTTTTTTTGAGGCGGAGTCTCGCTCTGTCATCCAGGCTGGAGTGCAGTGGCGCAATCTTGGTTCACTCCAACTTCTGCCTCCTTAGTTCAAGCGATTCTCCCACCTCAGCCTCCCAAGTAGCTGGGATTACAGGCGCGTGCCACCACACCCGGCTAATTTTTGTATTTTTAGTAGAGACGGGGTTTCGCCATGTTGGCCAGGATGGTCTCAAACTCCTGATCTCAGGTCATCTGCCTGCCTCAGCCTCCCAAAGTGCTGGGATTACCACCAGGTGTGCTGCCACACCTGGCCTGTAATTGTCTTTTCTATCCAGACATGGGAATAGCACACCTCTGACTGTGTGGCAGAGGCTGTGCTACATAAGCATTGGGTGTTCATGACTCCATTTAGGCCTTACCACAACGCTGTGGACTTGGTACTGTTAGTATCCCCATTTTACAAATGAAGAGACTGAGGCTCAGTGAGGCTATGTATCTTGCTCTTGACCACACAGCTGGTGAGTAGCAGTGCTGGAAATGGAACCCAGCTCTGTCTCGGTCCAGGAATTATACCACTGAATTCTACTCCTGCTGGAGTAAGAAAGTAAGGCCCCTAGAGAGAAGGGGCCTACCCATCCAGTGCATCAAACAGAAAGCTGCCAGCAGCTGCCAGGAAGTATTCAAACACGTTAACAGGCAGGCACTGCACTGTGTTGAGTATCTGACATATATGCATTACATATTGGTTTGTTATTTAATTTTCACAACAACTTAGGGAGATCATTATATATATGTATATATAAAACTTTTTTTTTGAGACAGAGTCTTGCTCTGTTGCCCAGGCTGGAGTTGCAATGGCGTGATCTCGGCTCACTGCAACCTCTGCCTCCCAGGTTCAAGCAGTTCTCCTGTCTCAGCCTCCCGAGTAGCTGGGATTACAGGTGCCTGACACCATGCCCAGCTAATTTTTGTATTTTCAGTAGAGGTGGGGTTTTGCCATGTTGGCCAGGCTGGTTTCGAACTCTTGACCTCAGGTGATCCACCCGCCTTGGACTCCCAAAGTGCTGGGATTACAGGTGTGAGCCACAGGAACCGACCATTATAATCTCTATTTCACAAGTTGGGGAACCAAGGCTCAGAAAGGTTACATGACAGTCTGATATCACACGCCTGCCTTGGAGACCCTTCAGCCCTGGTGCCCTCCTCACCTCAGTGTTGGAGTAGTATGTGTTCCAGATAAAGCTCAGAGCCTCAGGTCTCACTATGTCCCACATGAAGAAGTGGGTCTTCGGCAGAATGATCTCCTCCACGTTGCTGCCAATGGTGGGACACATATGGACCACCTCATTGGTCAAGCTGGGGAGGTAGGAGTGGGCACCAAGAGCTCAGTCCAGCCTACTCCCAACTCTG
The DNA here is from genome assembly GCF_000001405.40 of Homo sapiens. NCBI lineage: Eukaryota > Metazoa > Chordata > Mammalia > Primates > Hominidae > Homo > Homo sapiens. The sequence goes on from NC_000017.11 coordinate 39,162,913, forward strand.
GCCCCCAAATGCTCTACTCCCAAAGCAGTCTGAATCTAACTCAGAACAAGTCCACCCAGGTTCACCAAACACCTGCTCGGAGCCAGGCCCCGTGCTGGGCCCTGGGGAATGAAGACAGGAGTGAGACTAAGCCCTGCCCTGGCTTGGACCCCAGAGAAGGGAAACATCTTAGAGGAGGCTCCTCAAACTTTATCTCTTTTTTTCTTTTTATAGAAACAGGGTCTCACTGTGTTGCCCAGGCTTACCTTGAACTCCTGACCTTGGGCTCCTGTCAAGAGATCCTCCTGCCTTGGCCTCCCAAAGTGCTGGGATTACAGGCATGAGCCACAGAGCCCAGCCTCCTCAAACTTTAATATGCAGTTGAATGACCTGAGAGTTTTGTCAAAATGCAGATTCTGACCCAGTGAGTCTGGGCAGGGGTCCAGGCTTTTGCCTTTCTTTCTTTCTTTCTTTCTTTCTTTCTTTCTTTCTTTCTTTCTTTCTCTCTTTCTTTCCTTCTCTCTCTCTCTTTCTTTCTTTCACAGAGTCTCACTCTGTCGCCCAGTCTGGAGTGTAGGTACGATCATGTCTCCCAGGTTCAAGCAATTCTCCCGCCTCGGCCTCCTGAGTAGCTGGGATTACAGGAGCACACCCCCACGCCAGGCTTATTTTTGTATTTTTGTAGAAACGGGGTTTCGCCATGTTGGCTGGGCGAGTCTCGAACTCCTGACCTCAAGTGATCCATCCACCTTGGACTCCCAAAGTGCTGGGATTACAGGCATGAGCCACCGCATCCGGCCACAGTTTTGCTTTTTTTTTTTTTTTTTCCTTGAGATGTAGTCTCTCTCTGTCGCCCAGGTTGGAGTGCAGTGGCACAATCTCAGCTCACTGCAACCTCCGCCTCCCTTTGTCGCCCAGGCTGGAGTACAGTGGCGCAGTCTCAGCTCACTGCAACCTCTGCCTCCCGGGTTCAAGTGATTCTCCTTCCTCAGCCTCCAGAGTAGGTGGGATTACAGGCATGTGCCACCACGCCCAGCTAATTTTTATATTTTTTTAGTAGAGATGGGGTTTCGCCATGTTGGCCAGGCTGGTCTCGAACTCCTGTCCTCAGGTAGATCCACCCACTTCAGCCTCTCAAAGTGCTGGGATTACAGGCGTGAGCCACCTTGCTCAGCCCTTTGTTGTTGTTGTTGTTGTTGTTGTTGTATTTTTAGTAGAGACGAGGTTTCACCATGTTGGCCAGGCTGCTCTTGAACTCCTGATCTCAGGTGATCCGCCCGCCTCGGCCTCCCAAAGTGCTGCGATTACAGGCACTTTGAGAGCAACAGCGCCCGGCCATGGTTTTGCATTCCTAATAAGCTTTCAGGTGATGCCTGTGTGACTGGTCTGTAGACCACACTTTGAGGAGCAAGAGTTTAGAAAAATGAGACAGACACAGTGAGGGACATCAGAGAGGTGCTTTGTTTAAAGTGACATAGAAAATATACACATGCTTTTATATGTAAATAATGCTTCTGAAAAGTTACGCAAAGTTACAATAGGAGGAAAACTAGGAGCCAGAGGCAAGAAGGAAACTTACTTTTCACCGTGTATTCCTCCATTGTTTGAAATTTTCCTTTATAATTTTTTAAAATCATTACATGTATTACTTTTTCATGGAAAAGCTTCTCCTAAGTAAAGTACTTTGGAGGCTGTAAAATGGGAGAGGTGCCATCCAGAGAGCGAATATCGGGGAAAGCTGCGATCGGTATTTACTCAGCACCACCCATATGTGCCAGGCTTGCTAGACCAGGAGCTACAGAGCCTCAGTGAGCCTTTGGGTTTGAAGAAGGGGAAGAAAGTTAACTGGCAGAGGGGACAGGGGTGAGAAAGGAGGGACCTGCCGCTAGAGGGAGCGAAGAGCAGGGAGGCAGTTTGGGACACTTGGCAGGCCTGGAGCTGGGTTTGGCAGGGCCCCCGGGAAGATGGAGGAAAGCAGTGGGAGCTAGGGTTGCCTGTACGGTGCAGGATTTGAATGCCAGACCGAGGAGCCGCAGTACTAGGAAGGTCCAAGCAGCGTGCCCAATCGCTCCTCCGGACTACAGAGGAGCCCGGGAACCCAGGGAAGAGCTCCAGTGATTGGTCCCCCTGCCTGTCAGTCTGGTGGGAGGCCCAGCTCTCTACCCTCCCCGCCCGAGAGTCACTTACAACCGGTAGAGAATGGTGGTCTTTCCTTCATTGTCCAGTCCCACGATGATGACCGTGTGCTCTGGAAGCGTCGGAGGAAGGGCAGCGTCAGGGCCAAACCCGAAGACCAAGGGACTGTGTGCCCCCACCAGACCTCCCAGGAAGGAGATAGCGCTCCCCGCAGGCTGGGGACCTCTGCCCACCGTACCGCGTCTGCTTCCCACCCAGCTCCGACACCTGCCCCACTCCGGGACGGTGGAAAAGACAGCTGAGCCCCCACCTCCCTTCACATTCCAGAAAAGTGTCTGAAAGGCCCGGGGCGCTTCGGGGCTTGCCAAGAGACGGTGTTTAGAGAAAGAGCATAACGCGAAGTCACAATCGCAGGAAACTCGCAGCAGCCCCCCATCCCCGCCGCTGGCTCCGTTTAGCGGGGAGAAAGGAGGGTCGCCCAGCTTTGCGTCCTGGGGCGCACCGAAGCGCCGGGACCCAAGAGGAGCAGGCAGGGACGGGGGCAGGGGAGGCCGCGGGGCAGTCGAGGAGCGCCCATATACGACCCTCGGAGCCCGAGGTCCCCCCGTGCGTCCGACCACAGATCAGAGGAGTCCCAGAAGAGGGCGAGATCAAAGCGCTCGCTTGGATGCCCTGTGCGCCCCTTACCCTGGTTCCCGAAGATGCTCATTAACTTGGCGATCAGCTGTCCCATGGCACTTCCCGGGCCGGACAGGTGCAGGAGGGCTCAGCGGCCTCAGGAGCGGAGTCGGCCCTGGTATTCGGAGCTCCGCTCCCCCGGGAGGGTCTGGCAGATTTTGCCTACGAAGTTAGGGAAGCCCCACACGTCACCAACCTGACCTGGGAACCCTCTGGGACGCTGGCCCTTCGTGGGCACTATGGACACCCCAGTGACTAAGGGCTGCCTGTCCCGGGCCCAAGAGGTGCAAGGAATATGGGGGTTCCAGGCTCCAGCCCTCCCCCTCGCCCTGCGAAAACTCCTGAGTTCTCCGGGTGGACTGCTCCACTACCGCAAATCAGGGGAGACTCAGCACTGCGCGCGGAACCGGATCCCAGCTCTCCCTCCTCTGAGTGCCATGTCTAGGGCACTAGACTGAAGCAAAACCCCAGGCGACCCACTTTCTGTACCTACCAGCTGTGTAGTACAGACAGGGCTCACCGATCCTCTCTGAGCTGGGAGAATATTCCAACCCTCCACAGATGTGCAGTTGGTTCACTAGCGTGGGTCTTGTGGGCCCACTCAAATTGCATTCCCCTGGGGAAGGGCAGGGTCTCCCCTTGATGCTTGGCAACTTCTAGGATAAATCAGTACTCCTACAATTCACGGACAAACCTACTGCCCAGGCACAGCTTCCTGATCCCCAAAAGTGGGCGCCTGAAGACAAGGATGGAGCATGAAGAGAGATCCTCCGGCTGGAGACCCTGCAGAGAGGCCCCAGATACCTGGCAGAGGAGTACATGGGCCAACAGAGAACCAGGAGGCCAGGCCTGAGGAGGGAATGGAAGGTGGAGTTTCCTGCTGTTGCTTGTGAATTTCTTTCTTTGCTTAAGCTGGGGGGAAAAAAACAAAAAATCAGATAACAAAAGGAGAAGTCCAAAAGGCAACGTGCCCTCAGGCTGCAGGAATGGTTAGCAGGAGATCCAGCCAACACACCAGGGAGCCAGCTCCTTCCACCCGACTGTACTGCCTTCCTGCAGCCTCCACTAAGGTAACAACCCTCCATTAAGGTAACAACTTTCTAACTGGTCTCCCTGCATCTTCCTCTCCTTTCCCAAGGCATCCTCTCCATGGCCCCTATTAACCTTCCTAAAGCACAGCTCAGGGTCTGTAACTCCCCCAGCTCATAGATCTTCAATGGCTCCCTATTGCTCACTGGATTCAGATCAGTCTCCACTTGACATTCAAGAGCTTCCACGAACAGCCCCCACCTGCCTTCACAGGTTTATCTCCCAGGCTCTGTATCTACTGGTTCCTGCCTATACATGCCTGGCTCTTTCTGATGGTGCCTTTGCTTCTGCATTTCCTCCTTGAGTGCCTTTCACCTTCTCAGAAAGGAGAATGCCTGAGACCCATTAGCTGCCCTGCCATAAAAGCCACCTGCTTCCCCAGCCCTGACTTGGTTCTCCAGCCACATGGGGCTTCTCCCTACACTGGGCTTATAGACGGGCAAGTCTGTTTCCTCCCATCAACTGTGAGTACCAGGGTGGGATTCATATATTGTTAACCAGCATATGACCTCCCCCGCCAGCCCAATCACTCCCTGCCTGGTCCAGAACCCTGCACACAGGAGGAATGTGTTGCTGTCAGACTGATGTAGAATGAGTTAAGCTACAGCCTGAGAAATGGCACTTGGAGTATTAAAAAAGGAATGTGAACACAAGTTTAAGAGGATTGAGGAAGGCTGGGAAGTTTGCGGGAAGAAGAAGGAAAATAGCTGACTAAATACAGACTTTCATCCCACCCTGCTTGGTGCCCAGAGTTAGAAGGATAGAGTTGACTGCCAGAGCCCATCTGGGCTGATTGCATTTCAGCCTTAGGAGAGAAGGAGCCAAGTCTGGGGCTGGGGGGTGGGGCACCAAGGGTGCTGAGGGAAGCAGCAGTGTCTTAAGCATTTTACCATCTGTTTCCTGGGGTTAGTGGGATGCGGGGAGGAACATCTTAGTGCATGCTGCCCTCCCCACCTCCTCTTTGCAGAATTGAAAGTAACACTCTGCAAGCTGGAAACACATTCAGTAAACAGACAAGGAGAGGGCATCTCTCTGAGCATACTCTGGCTCTGGAAGCTGCCTGATTAAAAAAAATAATAATTAAAAGAGAAAAGAAGAAAAAAAAAAGAAAAGAAAATAGAAAAACAGACGAGAAGATCTGCCTCCACTTTGAGGCCCAGGACCTGGATCTTAAGAAGCATTCATTCGTTCATTCATTCATTTGACAAATATGAGCCAGGAAATACATGAAGTAGACAAAACAGACCTAGTCCAGGTGTTTATGTTTTTGTTTTGTTTTGTTTTGTTTTGTTTTTTTGAGACAGAACCTTGCTCTGTCACCCAGGCTGGAGTCCAGTGGCAGGATCGCGGCTCACTGCAGCCTCAACCTCCCAGGCTCAAGTGATCCTCCCACCTCAGCTTCCTGAGTAGCTGGGAGTAGAGGTGAAAGCCACCACTCCCAGCTATTTTTTTTTTTTTTTTTTTTTTGTAGAGATGGGCTTCGCCATTGGTCTCCAACTCCTGGACTCAAACAATCTCCCGCCTCAGCCTCCCAAAGTGCTGGGATTACAGGTATGAGCCACTGCTCCCATTCCCAGTCTGGGTCTTTATGGAGCTTGTGGTCTAGAGAGAGAGACAGATACACACACACACACCCCTCTGAGAGACAGTAGGAAGGCCTGATTTAGAAAGAAAGCAAGGCACCCTTCTCTGAAGAAAATGAGAGGTGAACCTAGCTGGACTTCCTGGGTCGAGCGGGGACTTGGAGAACTTTTCTGTCTTACAAGAGGATTGTAAAACGCACCAATCAGCGCTCTGTAGCTAGCAAGAGGATTGTAAAATGCACCAATCAGTGCTCTGTAAAAACGCACCAATCAGTGCTCTGTAGCTAGCAAGAGGATTGTAAAATGCACCAATCAGTGCTCTGGAAAATGCACCAATCAGCACTCTGTAAAACGCACCAATCAGCAGGATCCTAAAAGTAGCCAATCACAGGGAGGATTGAAAAAAAGGGCACTCTGGCAGGGTGCAGTGGCTCGGGCCTGTAATCCCAGCACTTTGGGAGGCCGAGGGGGGCAGATCACGAGGTCAGGAGTTCGAGACCAGCCTGACCAACATGGTGAAACCCCATCTCTACTAAAAATGCAAAAATTAGCTGGGCGTGGTAGTGCCCACCTGTAATCCCAGCTACTCAGGAGGCTGAGGCAGGAGAATTGCTTGAACCCGGGAGGCAGAGGTTGCAGTGAGCCGAGATCGCGCCATTGCACTCCAGCCTGGGCAACACAGTGGGACTCCATCTCAAAAAAAAAAAAAAAAAAAAAAAAAAGAAAGAAAAGAAAAGAAAGGAAAAAAAAAGAAAAAGAAAAAAGCGCACTCCGATAGGACAGAAACAGAACATGGGCGGGGCCAATAAGGGAATAAAAGCTGGCCACCTCCCAGCCAGTAGCAGCAATGTGCTCGGGTCCCGTTCCACGCTGTGGAAGCTTTAGTTCTATTGCATTCTTTTGCTCTTTACAATAAATCTTGCTGTTGCTTAATCTTTGTGTCCGTGCCATCTTTAAGAGCTGTAACACTCACCGCGAAGGTCCGCGGCTCCATTCTTGAAGTCAGCGAGACCACGAACCCCACCAGCAGGAACCAACTCCGGACACAAAAAGATTATTGGAGCTAAGACAAAATTTTTCTCTAAGATACTGAACTGGGACAGCCCCTTGTCCCTGGACCATGGTGGCCTCAGCCTAGTTCTCTTTAGTGTAGAACAGTGGAAACCTTAAGCCACATGTAGGACCTGGGCCTCTCCCACATCACCTCATTCTGGGACAGAACCCACTGCAAAAACAGGAGCAGCTAGTCAGGGAAGGAAACAAAGGGTCCCAGGTAGCAGAAGTCCCCAGTCCCTCAGTTCCTGCCTGGTCTCAGCTGACTTCATGGTTGTCGAAATCCTCACACATGGACAACCACTAACTTGCTGATGGTGTAGCCAGAGTTAATTGAGAGCTTCTGATTACCAAGAAACAAGAATCTGCCCCCATCTCTCGCTATCTCCAAGCCAGCTAGAAATGCCTTTCCTGCAAGTTCCAGGCAAATGCAATTTCTTTTCTCTCTTTTTTTTTTTTTTTTTTAGACAGAGTCTCCCTCCATCGCCCAGGCTGTAGTGTAGTGGCTCCATCTCAGCTCACTGCAACCTCCCCCTCCTGGGTTCAAGCGATTCTCCTGCCTCAGCCTCCCAAGTAGCTGGTATTACAGGCACCCACCACCACGCCTGGCTAATTTTTGTATTTTTAGTAGAGATGAGGTTTCACCATGTTGGCCAGGCTGGTTGCGAACTCCTGACCGCAAGTGATCCACCCACCTCGACCTCCCAAAGTGCTGGGATTACAGGTATGAGCCACCGTGTCCGGGCTGCAAATGCAATTTCAGGCAGAAGGCACATGGGGCACAAATACACTCAGACACCTGCTTCCTCCTTCTCAAACCCCCAGCCCCCGCTTGCAGAAGCTGATGCATCCTGGGACAAGGGAATTAGCACTGAACTTGGGGGTCAAAGGCACCACAGAACTTGACATCTATATATCTGAGTTCAAATCCTTGCCTCATGGCTGTATAACTGTGGTCAAATAGTTTAACCTCTCTGAACTTTGTAAACTGGAGTTAATAATACCTGACATTGATTCAAAACATCAGACTCTACTCCAGACCTCTCTGTGGAGCTCCAGACCATGTACCCAGCTGTCTTTTCCTCTTCTCTCTCTTTTTTTTTTTTTTTTTTTTGAGATAGAGTCTCGCTCTGTCACCCAGGCTGGAGTGCAGTGGCGTGTTCTCAGTTACTGCAACTTCCACCTCCCGAGTTCAAGCAATTCTCCTGCCTCAGCCTTTGAGTAGCTGGGATTACAGGCGCCCACGACCACACCCAGGTAATTTTTGTATTTTCAGTAGAGATGAGGTTTCACCATGTTGCCCAGTCTGGTCTCGAATTCCTGACCTCAATTGATCTGCCCACTTGGTCCTCCCAAAGTGCTGGGATTACAGGCACAAGCCAGCACGCCCAGCCTCTGCTTCTCTTCTTGAATGTCCCACAGGCACCTCAAACCCACTTTGACCAAAGATGGACTGATCACTTCTGCCCCTAACTTCTTTGTTTTTTTTTACCTGCTTTTGCTGAGAAGACCACCATCAGCAGTCACTCCCTTTTTTTTTTTTTTTTTTTTTTTTTTAAGACAGAGTCTTGCTCTGTCACCCAGGCTGGAGTGCAGTGGTGTGATCTCAGCTCACCACAGCCTCGCCTCCTGGGTTCAAGCGATTCTCCTGCTTGGCCTCCAGAGTAGCTGGAGGCGTGTGCCACTGCACCCGGCTGATTTTTGTATTTTTAGTAGAGACAGGGTTTTGCCATGTTGGCCAAACTGGTCTTGAACCCCTGACCTCAGGTGATCCGCCCGCCTCGGCCTCCCAAAGTGCTGGGATTACAGACATGAGCCACCACACCTGGCCACCTCTCTTTCTCTCTCTTTTTTTTTTTTTTTTCTTTTTTTTTAGACGGAGTCTCCCTCTGTTACCCAGGCTGGAGTGAAGTGGTGTGACCTCAGCTCACCACAACCTCCGCCTCCCAGGTTCAAGTAAATCTCCTGCCTCACCTCCCGAGTAGCTGGGATTATAGGCGCCGCCACCACGCCTGGCTAATTTTTGTATTTTTAGTAGAGATGGGGTTTCACCATGTTGGCCAGGCTGGTCTCAAACTCCTGACCTTGTGATCCACCCACCTCGGCCTCCCAAAGTGCTGGGATTACAGGCGTGAGCCACCGTGCCCGGCCTCACCTTCCTTTCTCTTATCAGCCGCCTCCACTTGCTCTCCAAGAGCTCAAGATGCTAACATTTATTTATTAATTTAATTTCTTTATTGAGACACGGTCTCGCTCTGTCATCCAGGCTGGAGTGCAGTGGTGTGATCATAGCTCACTGCAGCCTTGACTTCCTGGGCTCAAGAGATCCACCATACCTCAGCCTCCCTATCACAGCCTCCCGAATAGCTGGGACTACACACGCAGCTAATTTTTAAAATTTTTTGTAAAAAGGTGGGTCTCACTATGTTGCATAAACTAGTCTAAAACTCCTGGGCTCAAGCATTCCTGTCCCCTTAGCCTCCCAAAGTGCTGGGATTACAGGCATAAGCCACCAAGCCCGGCCATCTAACTGCTAGATCTCTCTGGCCTCTTTGCCTCCCTTCCAGTCCCACTGCTGTGGCGTAAGGCAAACCCTCCTTTCGCACCTGGATTATCACAGCTGTTTCTAAGCTAGGCCTTCCAATCTATGCGCCAAACTGCAAACAAAGCAATCTTGCTAATTGCTTACAATCCTTCCATTTCTGCATACGAGCTTCAGGACAAAGCCCAAACTCCTTAACATGACTCAAGGCCCACTGTGACCTGCTCCTGCCAATTCACCTTGAGAGCACACTTTGGTGGTGAGGTGCCAAGAATATGTCATGCATGTCCCCTGCTTTCTCTGCCTTGAACACTTTCCCCATTTGTCTGCTAACCATGCTTCCAGATTCTACTCAAGCCTCACCTCTGCCAGGAAGCCTCAGCTGACCTCCCCAGGTTATGGGACTAACCCCTCTTTCAGGTTCCCACAGTACCCAATGCTCCCACAGTACCCAGTGCTCCCACAGCAGAGAGCACATTATGCTGTGCTGAAATAATCTATGGCCCCTACGTAGACTTGTGCCTGGTACATAGGAGGTGCTCAATAAACATTTGTTCAAGGAAGAAACACAGGAATGAATGATTCTGTAGGAAGGCAGTGGGAAATGCACTATGCTGGGAGGCAGAGACTAGGCTCTCATCAACTTTGCCATTGGCTCCCCCAGGGAACTGGGGTCAGCCACTTGACCTCTGGGCCTGCCCAGTTTCCCTTTCCTTTGATCCACTAACTCCTCATCTGTAGGGTCTTGGGGGATGTCTTTTGCCCTACACACACACACACACACACACACACACACACACACACACACTCACTCATGTTGGGCCTCAGCACTCAGGTAGCGGACTCAGGAATTTTAGTCCTCCACGGCGACCAGCACAAAAAACAAGAACCAGGGTGGGCACAGTGGTTCATGCCTGTAATCCCAGCACTTTGGGAGGCCAAGGTGGGTGGATCACCTGAGATCAGGAGCCTGGCCAACATGGTGAAACCCTGTCTCAACTAAAAATACAAAAATTGGCCAGGCGTGGTGGCAGGTGCCTGTAGTCCCAGCTACTCGGGAGGCTGAGGCAGGAGAATCACTTGAACCTGGGAGGCGGAGGTTGCAGTGAACCGAGATCGCGCCACTGCACTCTTCAGCCTGGGCGACAAGAGCAAAACTCCATCTCAAAAAAAAAAAAAGAAAAAGAACCAGGAGGGAGGGGAAATAGTTTGAGGGTACTGTGTGAGGCAGGACACAGGTGGTTGCAGTAACTGTCAGAAGTCCACATCCTGCCAGCTGGGGATGGGAGGAATGGGTACACTCACCTGCTGACTTTCAGTCTGGGACTGGCAGAATCCCTGATTTTCTCTGACCTGCCCCCACAAGTAGTCTGCCTCCCTGTCCCCAAAGCTGGTTAGCAGGAACGAGGGGGGCATTAGTGGAGCCAGAAGCTCAGCCCCTCCCTCTCCTGAGGTGTTGGGGCACAGTGATGCCACAAGAGCAGAAAAACAGTCATGTGTATTTAAGACATTGCACCAGTGGGTCTGGATCTCACCCACTGAGCAACATTGAGCTTCCCATTGCCTTTGGCTCTACTTGTGGAGAGACAGGTAAGTGAAGGGGCTCAGGGCCAGTGTGGAGCTGGGACTGCCCAAGCAGCTCCTGGCTTGGGCACAATACATCAGAGGGCCAAAATCAAAGGATCATCTTTTCTTTTGAGTCAATGACTCAGGGCACAACATCTTCAGGCACCCACCCTTTCAACTCCCCGTGCATATCAGCAGCTCCCAGGTGCCTACGCTGACGACTATGTGGCGAGGACAAAGAAGCAGGCTTGGGAGGCAGCCACAAAGGACAGGACAGTGGTTTTATATATGGCAAAATACTTCTCCTAGGGGAGTACAGACAAATATAGACAGACAGATGGGGGCACAGGACACCAGACAGGGAGGGGGGAAGGGAGGGCAGTGGTGTCTTCTAATCAGTAAGTGGAAGCTGCACCCCACCCCCAGGTGGAGGGTGGGACATTGGCACAGGAGGTGGCGAGACAGGCATGAGGTGCCCATCCCTGAGGCGGGCAGCCGGGCAGGCCCCAGTCCTTGTTGGCACACTCGGCTCTCTCTGGCCCAGCTGGGATGCTGGGGAGGGGCAGGGTTGCTGGGCTACAGGGATGCCAAGGCAAAGGGATGCCCCAGGGGAGAGGGGGTACCAAGGCCTCTCCTGGGGGAAGTGAACATGGGTAACAAACAGAATCACGAGAGGCAAATACAGAGCAGCAACAGCAGCAGCCAAGCCCCCCAGAGGAGATCCGAGGTCCCAAGGCAACCCCTGGGCACCATCCCACGGGTCCTCTCCCCTGGGGCCTCAGGGTGAGGGTGAAGGAGCAGTTTTTTGGTTTAAAATGAGGCGGACCAGAGTGTTCCATGGGCTCCACACCCAGGTGGCACAGGGATGGGGGGCTCAGATGCAGAGGGGCCCCCTCTACTAATGGCAGCAGGCAAGGGATGTTGGAGGCCAAGCTCATTCCTGGGGTAGGCAAAGGCTGAGGCATGGAGGTGGGGGGTGGGGAGCAGCGTCTCGGCCGCTCACTCCTCAGGGTTCTGGGCCCTGGACGTTGCCATGGCCACGGAGGGTAGAGGGTGCTGTATGCCTGCCAGCTTCCACCCAGAACCCTCCCCAAGACAAGCTCCCCATGGGGTGTCCATGCTATGGCTTTCACCGACCAGACGATGCTGCCAGGAAGCTGGGAGGAAGGGGCAGGCAGGGTGAGGGACCTTGGATCTGGGGTCTGGGGAAGAGAGCCCCCATGGGAAAGAATCTGTGGCCTCCCTTTCCAGGAAAAGCGCCCAGCCCTTCCCCAGTACTGCAGCTTGGGAGAAGGAGAGCCATCCCACTTAGGACCGTCACTTAGGGCCCCGAGTAGAAAGAGTTAAGGAAGTGCACCTTTTCTCTAGGAGGGTGAGGGAGGAGAGCCCCTTAAGATGGGAGAAAGGGGACACTTCAGAAAGGTGGGTATCCCCCATCCATCCACAACAGGCAGGTAAAAACCGACAGCTGGGGCTTAAGGGCCTCCCGGGAGCTGGGATGGTAACACCAAAGAAACCCCAAGCTTTGAGCAAAGGCATCTGAAAGGAGGGAGACAGCGCCCCCTGGAGGCGAATACATGTCAGGTGTGAGCCCCTCGCTCCCTCCCCTCCCCTGGGCTCAGAGCCCTTCCTCCCGCCGTGTGGCCCCTGCCTCTCAGCGAATGTAGACGCCTCGTCCCCAGCCCTCCAGCTCATTCTTGTTGCGCCCCAAAACTGGACCCCCACCCTCAGCGCAGTAGCGGGCCTTATTCCGGCCCCGGTTCCGGTTGTCGGTCAGCTCTTCCTCATAGTCTTCTTCCTCGTCCTCCCAGGATCCCTGTCGGGCTGGGGGCGTGCCGCCCCCTGCAGGGTCTCCAAGCCCTGGCCCCTCTGAGGGGTCAGTCTCCATGTCCACACATGAGTCTCCCAGCTCCGTGTAGGCAGAGTTTCGGCTGCCGGGGGTGTCGGCATCAAAAGTGTCTTGGCGGGACAGTGCCCGTAGCGTGCCTGCCCGGCCTGGTGGGTGGCTGCTGGGGTAAAGGCCTGGGGGCTGGCCCAGCTCCCCTGGGTACTCGTGCATGCTGGCGTGCTCCCCGGTGGCCCGTTCCAGTGGCTGGTCCCCGGAAGCAAGGTAGGGTCCCTGGTTAGCAGACGGACAGCACACACCATGCAGATCAGGCAGGGGTGAGAAAAACACAACAAAGCAAGGCAAGTTAGTGACAGCATTAAGAGGTCCGGCCTGGATGAAGAGGGTGCTGGCTCTAGAGGAGGGGCCCCGGGGACAAACGGCTCTGGAGCCCAGCCAGAGGACAGACCTCAGGGCATTTGCTCCTCTCTCGGGACAGGGGGCACCCGACCTTCAACAGATGTGAGGACATATGAACTCTCAGGGCAACTATGGCCAACAGCCGTGAGCCATGAGTCACCGCTTCCTCAGTGCAGGTCATTAATGCTATCTTGGGGCTAACTGTCATTAACAGCTCAGTATTGCCACTCATTAGCGGTTGATTCGGTTAGTCATTGCCTTTGGTTTTCCAAATATATTAACGGGATTTCAGCTCAAACCTGCTGACCCTGGCTTCTTCGACCCACACCAAACCCCAATCTCAGGCTTCCAGAACCCCATGCTTCTCCCACCATTCCCTAGTCGGATGACACCATCTCCAAGGCTGATGGGATTCCTCCCTTGCCCCCAACAAGCACTCAAAGCAGCAAGCTGGGGAAGGCTGCTGGGTCTCCCCCTCCTACTGAAGATGAAGAGGTGGCCCAGTGTCCTTATCATCAAATGTCACGTGGAGGTGGGGCACAAGAGGGGTTCCAGTCCCTCCCCTGCCATGTCAAGCTGTGTGACCCTAAGCAAACAGTTCCCCTCTCTGTGGCCTCATTTCTTGGTTGTAATGTGATGGGGGTTAGACCTGAGTAGCAGTTTCCAAACTGTTACCTAGAGATCTGGGGTGGCATTGGGTGGGAAGGGCACAGAAGTGCTTCAGGGGTCCCCATGGAGGTGGAGGGGAGGCCATTCCCCTGGCTCCCTCAGGGCAGAGCAAGGATGCATTATCTAACATCCTCAGCTTCCACGTAAGATTCATTGAACAAATGGGCTCTGTTGCTGAAAACAAATTTGAAAGCTACAGTCTAGAATGATTTCATGGGTTTCTTCTGGCTCTTAAGACCTTATACTTAATGGTGTGCCATCAAGAGGTGGGCTGTGGCTCCCATGGGAGGAGGGCAAGGCAGGATGGGTCTCCCATGGGAGGTCCTTTCCTGGACTTTAACTGGGAGAATGGTGGAAGGTTCAGCATCAAGTCATAGAAGATGCCACATTCTTGGTCCCTCTTGAGGGGCCTTGTGGAGTCAGGGCTCCAGGGAGGGAGAGTCCAGGTTTAACGTAGGTTTCCCTGGCTCTGAAGGCCCCTGCTCTGTTGGGTCTAAAAAGGGTGTGGAGTCCAGCGAATCAGTTTATCAGTCTTCCTCGCATGTCCTTCCTAGTCCCTTGTCTTAAAAGCGCTCCCATCAGGCCTCATATCCAGCGGGCAGCAGATGCGCTCCTATGGCACCAGGCCCAGGAAGACAGCACCAGAAGCCCCAGACCCATCAAAAACCACAGACACCAGAAGCTGCCGCTCATCTTATTTTTTTACAAAATAAAGCTCTTCCCTTCCTCCTCCATGTTCCCTGCACTCCAGTTCCGACCCCAGAGCAGGAGGGAAGACGGGCAGGGCGCCCACTACATGGCATGTTCCTGCTCCTGGGGCACCACACTGCCCCGCTGTGAGGACTCCAGCCCGCCCCAGAAGCCGAGGTTTCTCCTGAGCGAGGTGAGCACCTGTACCTGGAGGTTGGAGACAGGGGCAGGGCTGGCAGCCAGGGCTGCGGTAGCCATGGTGCGGTTCAGCAGCGGATTGGGTGGCGTGCTGCTGGGCGGGTGTGTGGCCTTCCAATAGGCTTCCAAGTACTCCGCCAGATGCTCGCAGGCATCCTCCAATTGGTTCTCATCCAGGATGATGTCAAACATTTCCTGTGAAGGCGGGGTTAGGGGGCAGGGCTGGGATGAGTGGGGCATGGCCAAGGGGGTTGAGGGTGTGGCCTGGGTGCAGTGGGTAGAGTCAAGGGATTGAAGGACAAGGTTAAAAAGAGGCCTCTGGATGTAGAAGGGAAGGAGAGCTCTCAGATCTACAGATTGGCAGAACTGCAAGAAGTTTTGGCACTCAGTCCAACTCCCTCATTCTAGAGATAAGGCAACCAAGGCTGGGAGACAGGGCTTGACTCTCCACGCAGAAGGGTGCTTCTGGGGCTTGAACCCAGTCTTTGACTGACGGGACCTGCGCTCTTCCCAGAAGACCAGTCTGCACCCACAGGCCTGACCCAGGTGTTCCTGGTCACCCTGTCTCTCATGTAGGCCAGAGGAAACCAGGACAACCCAAATGTTCTCCCTCCATTCCCTTCCCTGGGATCTAGGCACTCACAGGGGGGCACTGTGCCAGCTTTTCCGAGGCCGCTATTTGGACATTGAGGTGTTTGGACTGAGACTTTCCTCGGGACTTGATGAGCCTTTGAAGTACCTGGTTTGGGGAGAGAGAAAAGGAAGAGGAGCTAGAGGGACTCAGGCAATGCACCCAGTCAGAGAGGCGGGTCCTGGTTGGATCAGCATGGAGAGCCAGTGTCAAGACCCTTGAATGCTCCATAACTCTCAGCCCTGGGCACCTCTGCAGAAAGGACCTCAGCAGCCCTGTGTCTACCCTATGCAAAGCTCAGGCTCTCTCCTGGTGTTATGCCAGCCTTCCTTAGGGGCTATATGAAGGGCAGTGATTCTCCTTCTCAACTTCTCTAACATTGTTTGTAGGCCCGCCCACTCTCCTTTTTTTTTGTTTTTTTTTTTTTAAATTTTAGAGACTGGTTCTCGCTCTGTCACCCAGGCTGAAGTGCAGTGGTGTGAACATAGTTCACCTCTACCCTGGGCTCAAGCGAGCCCCCAGCCTAGCCTCCTCAGTAACTAGGGCTACAGGCACGTGCCATCATACCCCACTAATTTTTTTTAATTTTTTTGTAGAAACAGGGTCTTATTATGTTGCCCAGGCTGGTCTGAAACTCCTGGCCTCAAGTGATCCACTTGCCTCAGCCTCTCAAAGTGCTGGGATTATAGGCGTGAGTCACTGAGCCCAGCCACACCCTCTATATTAACAACGGCAACAACAACAGTCTTCCTTTATGGGGCACTTGCTACATACCAGCATTGTTCTGTGCTTTTCACATGATCAATTGAGTCCTGACAACAATCCTGTTAGATAGCTGCTATTATCATTCTCATCTCAACAACAAGAACCATAATTATAATAATGCAAAACCGGAAACTAATCATGAGGAACAATCACACAAACGCACACTGAGGGACAGACAGTCTACAGAATAGCTGTCCTGTACTCTGCCTAAATGTCAGTCTCTGGAAAATTCAAGAAAGGCTGAGGAAGCCTTCCAGATTAAAGAAAACTATACTGGCTGGGTGCGGTGGGTCACACCTGTAATCCCAGCACTTTGGGAGGCCAAGGCGGGCAGATCTTGAAGTCAGGAGATCGAGACCATCCTGGCTAACATGGTGAAACCCCATCTCTACTAAAAATACAAAACATTAGCCGGATGTGGTGGTAGGCGCCTGTAGTCTCAGCTACTCAGGAGGCTGGGGCAGAAGAATGGAGGCAGAGCTTGCAGTAAGCCGAGATGGTGCCACTGCACTCCAGCTTGGACAACAGAGCAAGACTCCGTCTCAAAAAAAAAAAAAAAAAAAAAAAGAGGGCCGGGTGCAGTGGCTCATGCCTATAATCCCAGCACTTTGGGAGGCCAAGGTGGGTGGATCACGAGGTCAGGAGATCAAGACCATCCTGGCCAACATAGTGAAACCCCGTCTCTACTAAAAAAATTAGCCGGGCATGGTGGCAGGTGCCTGTAGACCCAGCTACTTGGGAGGCTGAGGCAGGAGAACGGCGTGAACCTGGGAGGCGGAGCTTGCAGTGAGCTGAGATCGCCACTGCACTCCAACCTGAGCGACAGAGTGAGACTCTGTCTCAAAAAAAAAAAAAAGAAAGAAAGAAAGAAAGAAAACTAGGCCGGGCGCAGTGGCTCACACCTGTAATCCCAGTACTTTGGGAGGCTGAGGCGGGTGGATCACCTGAGGCCAGGAGTTCAAGACCAGCCTGGCCATCATGGTGAAACCCTGTCTTTATTAAAAAATAATAATAATACAAAAATTAGCTTGGCGTGGTAGCACATGCCTGTAGTCCCAGCTACTCACGAGGCTGAGGCATGAAAATCACTTGAACTTGGGAGGCAGAGGTTGAGGTGAGCTGACATCATGCCACTGCACTCCAGCCTGGGCGACAGAACAAGACTCTGTCTAAAAAACAACAGGCAACAAGTGATCCTGGGTTGGTTCCTGGATTGGGGGAAATGTTGCTATGAAGGGCATTCTATACCGGCACAGTGGCTCACGCCTGTAATCCCTACACTTTGGGAGGCAGGGGTGGTGGTGGATCACCTGAGGTCAGGAGTTCGAGACCAGCCAGGCCAACATGGCAAAACCCCGTCTCTACTGAAAATACAAAAATTAACTGGGTATGGTGGCAGGCGCCTGTAATCCCAGATACTCAGGAGGCTGAGGCAGAACTGCTTGAACTAGGGAGGCAGAGGCTGCAGTCAGCCAAGATCGCATCACTGCACTCCAGCCTGGGCAGCCAGAGTGAGACCCTAGCTCAAAAAAAAAAAAAACCAAATATGGACTATATTTTAGAAATAATTCTTGAATTTTACAATTGCATCATGGTTGTGTAAGATAATGATGTTGTTCTTAAGAAACACAATATAGGCCAGGCATGGTGGCTCACGCCTATAATCCCAGCACTTTGGGAGGCTGAGACAGGTGGATCTTTTGAGGTCGGGAGTTCGAGACCAGCCTGGCCAACATGGTGAAACTCTGTCTCTACTAAAAATATAAAAATTAGCCAGGTGTGGTGGTGGGCGCCTGTAATACCAGCTACTTGGGAGGCTGAGGCAGGAGAATCACTTGAACCTGGGAGGCAGAGATTGCAGTGAGCCAATATTGTACCACTGCACTCCAGCCTGGGTGACAGAGCGAGACTTCGTCCCCCCTCAAAAAAAAAAAGAGAGAAAGAAAGATAAAAGTAAATGTTTCAAAATTTGTGAATCTGAAAAAAATTAGACTGTACACTTAATTTATTTTTTATTTTTTAATAGAGACAGGGTCTTGCCATGTTGCCCAGTCTGGTCTCCAACTCCTGAGCTCAAGTGATCCACCTGCCTCAGCCTCCCAAAGTGCTGGGATTACAGGTGTGAGCCACCAAGCCTGGCTTATAGACTTTAAATGGCTGAACTTAATGGTATGGGAATTCTACCTCAATAAAATGTTAAAAAGTTAGTGAATCCTGGTGAAGAATATTCAAAAAATAAGATTTTTTTGATACTATTCTTGCCACACTTCTGTAAATCTGAAATTATTTGAAAATGAAAATCTTCTTACAAAATGGAACAGATATAGTTCTGGGATACCAAGCGTTTATTTTTATTTATTTATTTATTTATTTTTGAGACAGAGTCTTGCTCTGTCACCCAGGCTGGAGTGCAGTGATGCAATCTCGGCTCACTGCAACCTCCGCCTCCTGGGTTCAAGCAATTCTTGTGCCTCAGCCTCCTGAGTAGCTGGAATTACAGGTGCCCACCACCATGCGCAGCTAATTTTTTGAATTTTAGTAGAGGCAGGGTTTCATCATGTTGCCCAGGCTGGTCTTGAACTCTTTAGCTCAGGCAATCCGCCGGCCTCGGGCTCCCAAGGTGCTGAGATTACAGGTGTGAGCCACCGTGCCTGGCCCAATACCAAGCATTTTTCATGGTTAACCCATTTATTTAATCTTCACAAACCCAGTATGCCTATGCTGCAGATGAGGAAACCAAGGCATAGAGATGTTTGGCCGCTTGCCAAAGGAACACAGAGCCAGTAAGTGACAGCCCTGGAGTAGAAGGTCCAGGCTGCCTGGTTCCAGAGTCCCTCCTCTTAACCTCAGTGGGGGAAATGGAAGCATTGGTTACTTTCTAGTTCAGTGTTTTTGCATCCATTATCTCATTTGGTCCTTTCAACTCCCCTCAGGAAGTACTTAAATCCCATCATCCCCTTTATCTCATTAGAAACAGAGGACTCAGAAAGGTTAAGTAGGCTGGGCGCGGTGGCTCACGCCTGTAATCCCAGCACTTAGGGAGGCTGAGGCAGGAGAAATCACTTGAGGTCAGGAGTTTGAGACCAGCCTGGCCAACATGGTGAAAACCTGTTTCTACTAAAAATACAAAAATTAGCCAGGTGTGGCCGGGCACAGTGGCTCACACCTGTAATCCTAGAACTTTGGGAGGCCGAGGCCGGTGGATCACGAGGTCAGGAGTTCAAGACCAACCTGACCAACATGGTAAAATCCCGTCTCTACTAAAAATATAAAAATTAGCCAGGTGTGGTGGCATGCACCTGTAGTCCCAGCTACTCAGGAGGATGAGGCAGAGGAATCACTGGAACCCAGGAGGCGGAGGTTGCAGTGAGCAAGATCGCACCACTACACTCCAGCCTGGGTGACAGAGTGAGACTCCTTCTCAAAAAGAAAAAAAAAAAAAGCCAGGTGTGGTGTGTGCCCGTAATCCTAACCCCAGCTACTCGGGAGACTGAGGCACAAGAACCACTTGAACCTGGGAGGCGGAGGCTGTAGTGAGTGAGATCGCACCACTGCACTCCAGCCTGGGTGACAGGGCAAGGCTGTCTCAAAAAAAAAAAAGGTTAAGTAACTGGTCCAGGGAGCCCAGCTCATGGGATGATAATGGTTACCACTATTGGCTGCCCTCATAAATCAGAGAGTAGGCTGGGTGCGGTAGCTCACTCCTGTAATCCCAGCACTTTGGGAGGCCGAGGTGGGCAGATCACGAGGTCAGGAGATCGAGACCATCCTGGCCAACATGGTGAAACCCTGTCTCTACTAAAAAATACAAAAAATTAGCCGGGCCGTGGTGGTACACTCCTGTAGTCCCAGCCACTCAGGAGGCTGAGGCAGGAGAATCGCTTGAACCTGGGAGGTGGAGGTTGCAGTGAGCTAAGATCGCGCCACTGCACTCCAGCCTGGTGACAGAGCAAGACTCTGTCTAAAATAAATAAATAAATAAATAAATAAATAAATAAATAAATAAATAAATCAGAGAGTATACTGGGCTCCTTACAGCAATCCTCTCAACAATAACACGAGAGGGATTACAACCCCACTTTATAGGTGAAGAAATAGAGAATCAGAGGCTAAATAATTCCCCCAAGATTCCAAGTTCAATAAAAAACAACCAACAATAAGAATAAATCAATACGTAAACCAATCAGAGCTTGAATTTCAAGCCCATGCTGTCTTCTAACTTCAAATCCTCCACCTCAACTCTTCCTCCGTGTTTCTCAGATCCCCACTGGCATCTAGAAGGGAAAGTTAATGGTGCTGCAATACAAGGAAAAAGTAAGGCGGCCTTCCTACCGATTTCCCCTCTATCAAAGTCCAAATGAGGACACTGCAGCAAAAAGGGCTGATATCAAGAGAGGAAAGCAGCCTGGGCAACACAGCTAATCCCATCTCTAAAAAATAAAAATATTAGCCAGGCATGGTGGTGGACACCTGTAGTCCCAGCTACGTGGGAGGCCGAGGTGGGTGGATTGCTTTAGCCCAGGAGGTAGAGGCTGCAGTGAACTATGATTGCATCACTGCATTCCAGCCTGGGTGACAGAGCGAGATCCTGACTTAAAAAAAAGAAGAAGAAGAAGAAGAAGAAGAAGAAAGGAAAGACCTCCCAACTGCCAAGTAGCTGGGTGGCACTGGAACAAAAAGCACAGAATTCTTTCAGTCCAAGGGTGGGAAGTCAATCAGAGTGGAGACAGGGGACTGGTCTGCATGACCCTAATAATAGTAAATAATAGCTAACATGTTGTATCAGACCATTTGCTAAGTGCTATACATTCATATGAGGTTGAAACACTTGACAATACGATGGAGCTTTACAGAGAAGGAAACTAAGACTCAGGCAGATTAATTCACGTAATTAGTAAGCAGTGGAGCTGGGATTTAAACCCAAGCAGCCCTTTCAAACCACGCTGTCCTGGCCAGGGTCAGGCTCCTGCACCCACCTTGGGAGAGGTGATCTTGATGTAAACAATGATGGGGGCCAGCGAGGTCTTGGACAGCTGGGCTGGGTGATTGATGGTGTCAGCATCCAGAGCGACCAACTGAAGGGTCCGGGCCAGCTCGAAGATTCGCTCGATTTCACTCTGCACCTCAGCTGGGGGCATGGAGTCATGTGGATGGGGGAATGTCAGGTGGCCTCCCAGGAACAGCAGGTGGAGGGAACACTTCTGGAGATGGCCCTGCCCACTACCTCCCACACCTCCCACCCCTCCCACATCCGGCCCAGAAAGGGGGAGTGAAGACAGCAGGAGTAGGCTCACCCAGGCTGGAGCGTGTGTTGGAGCGCTCAATGATGATGTGTTTGCTGGGGTTGTTGAGAACTGAGCGCTTAGCCAGGGAAATATCTGCCGTCACACGAGTGATGGAGATCCTGGGGAATGGGGCAAGAGGGGAGTCAGGGGTCAGGGTGGGCTGGAATGCCCTGCCCACTCCCCAGTTCCAGGCCCGCCTTCTGTTCCTCAGTCCGAGTCCCAGGATTGTGATTCGAGGCATCCTGCCCATCCCCAGCAGCAGAGAGCAACGGCAGGTGCGAGGAGCAGCTCCCAGGATCTTACCTGCCATCAAACCGATGCTTCAAGAAGTCAAATAAAGCTTTCTGCATCATGTCTGTAACCTGGGGGTGGGGGTTTGTGGGGAGGGAGGGAGGAGAAGGCAGGCATTTAAAGCCGCTCAGACTCTGAGTCGCTGGGTATTTGTACCCTCACGTTCCACTTTCTTCTGGACAGGCCTTTACGGCGGGCGGGGGTCTGAGTCTGAGGGGCCTCCACTGGGGTCTCTGGTTCCAAGGTCCCTGTAAGTGGCATCTCTGGGAGGGCTCTTCTGAGGGTTTCTTTGGGGGACGGGGCTCCTCTGAGTGGGTCTTTCTGTGGATTGGGCCCCCTGGGGGTTGTCTCTGAAAGTCTGTAGCCCTCCTGGGAGGATGCCTTGGGATCGGGCCCTTCTAGGGGATCTCTCTGGGGTCTGAAGATCTTTCTAAGGCCCCTCTGCATCCACTCCCCTCTAGGAAGTCCTACCTCGTAGCCCTTGAGCGACGGTCCCACCAGGATGATGGGCCTCATGGAAGGCACCACGTCATAGGGGGGCACATGCTCTGTCTGGGGGGGGAAGCAGGGAGGGGAAACCCCAGAGTGGAGATGACATTAGATCCTCTCCCCCAGACTCCAGGCTCCCCCATGCAGCCTTCCCCCACCCTGGTCCCAGAGCCCAGATGTAGGGATCAGGGTGGGGGTGGGGAGGGATGGCCAGGGAGAACCAGG
Source organism: Homo sapiens (assembly GCF_000001405.40). NCBI lineage: Eukaryota > Metazoa > Chordata > Mammalia > Primates > Hominidae > Homo > Homo sapiens. Next base: position 39,185,027 of record NC_000017.11, read on the forward strand.
AAGGGTGGGGGAAATGGGGGACAGATGTGGGAATGGGTGTTAGAAGGTCCCCCTAGCTCATCCCAGGGAGTGGGGAGGAGGACACAGAAAGCTGTGATACTCACCGACTTCTGCTTCTGTTTGGCTGGGTCCAGAGATTGCCAAGAGAGGGAAGGGGGAGGAGAGAGGGAAGGGGACCCAGGCAGGGGCAGAGGGCAAGGCAGGAGCCAGGACAAGAGAGGGAGGGAGAGCCGGGCAGACGAGGAGAGATAACAGGGCATGCGTGTTAGTGACAGACAGAGCCAGAGACGGGGAACGGGACCCCACGCCAAGGGGGAGCCAGAGGTGGCCCTGGATCAGGGCTGGGAGCAGGACTGACAGTCAGTCCAGTGGATGTGGGAATATTCAGACATATCCTACCCTCTTCTGGGTCTTGGAAAAGAGCTGGAGAGGGTGACAGCCCCTATCTTGTTGCCCATCTCCTGCCCCCAGTGCATGCCAACATGCCCATTTTAGGGGTTCCCTTAACTGTCTTGCTTTGCAGCCAGCAGCCCCCCCCCACTATGTGCCCACCCAGAGAGTCAAAAAAGGGCAAAGAAGGAATGCCATCCCATGTCCTGCTTCACATGCCAAGGTAGACACCAACACCAGAGCAGGCCCCTGGGAGTGAGGGGAGAGGTCAGGGTTCATGACCACCAAACCCTGCTGCCCCAGGTGTGGGGGCAACCTTCCAAGGGCAAGATCTCCTTCCTGGAGATCGGGCCAGGGTGGAGTTGTGTGTGGAGGGGGATGTGCCCATGCTACCCTTCCCTCCACCTCAGCAGGAAGCCCTGATGCCCACAGAACAGGTTGGTACCACATCTGAATCCATTACAGCCCCCTTCCCTCCACCAAAGTGCTGGCCCTGACTCCCCCACCTCTTGCAAGAACACAGCGAGAATTACCTTCTTAAAGAAGGGGATGCGTTTGCCATGGGGTGGCGGGGTGGTGACACTGCTAACACTAGTCTTGGCAGAGCCACTCTGCTCACCAAGCTCAGCCTCTTCCTCCTCTAACTCTAGGGGGTCTAGTTCAAAGGCTAAGTTAGTCATTTCATTACCTGGACCGGAGAGTCAGGAGAGAGGGAGGAGGGAGGCGAGGTGGGGAGAAGGAGTGAGATGAACGTGGAGACACAAGTACAGAACGCAGGGATGGGGATGGGGAAAAAAGAAAGAAGAAGAGGTGAATGGAACAGGGCTGGGAGAAATGAATGGGGGCAGGGCAGGGGAATCAGGCAGAGAGATGGAGCTACCAAAGAAAAGGGAGAGGAGAGACATGACAGGCCCAGCTTGAGGGGTAGCCTACTCTTCATGGAGGGGGAACCACTGCATGTGCTTGGGGGACTCAGGATTGGGGTGTTTCCTACTGCAGGGAAAGGAGGATTCAGGGAGTGGGGAGACCACCCCACCCAGGAGCTTCTTCCCAAACCCCTGCATGGCGATGGCTCTTACCACTGGCAGGGGGTGTGGGGCGGCGGGTGCCAGTCACCACATCTCCCAGACTGGAACTGGAGTTATCGCCTGATTTGCTGTGTGGGCAGAGGCAAACCGAGCTTGTGAGCAAAGAGGTGGGCGTGGGGGGCTCTCATCCTCTCACATGCGGCACCCCCGGAGGTGCTCCAGCCCCACTGGTGATGCCACAGGCAGCTCTGTGCCCTCAGGGCCAGGGACAACCATTGAGGCCTAGTCCAGGCTGTATGGCCTCTCCTGGGGTTGGCAGCATCCCCTTCCCCTGCCCCACCCAGACACCTGGAGCCGAGGCGGTTCTGGCGCAGCTTCTGTTCCTGCAGCAGGCGAAGGCTGTCCAGTTTGACGGGGCTGGGAATGAAGCCAACCTCACAGCCCTCCTTCACCAGCCGCCCGATCCACCAGTCATTATTGTATTTCTGCAAAGAATATGGCAGGTGGGTGGAAAGAGCAAGAGGGAAACTGCAGGGGCAAGCTAGCAGTCACTCTCTAGGGGAAACGCCCAGACTCACCTCCCAGCCCAGGGGTGGCACCCTCAAAAATCCCCAGCCCTGGCTCCAGCCTCTGAGTGGAGCTGCCAATTCTCAGGACAACTCCAGGACCAGCATGCTTTCTGGCCATGGACCACCCTGCCACCGGCCCAATGCAATTCTGAGAGTCCTTCTCCCCATGTGCCCACCCTACTCTACAAAGGCCGCTGGAGTAAATGCGGATACCTACATGTCCCTGGCACACCGCCATGCCAGTTCAGGCCCCCTAACAAACCCTCCCAACAACCTTCTGACCTAAGCATTACCACCTCATTTTTCCAGTAGAAAATTAAGAGGCTCAGAGAGGTGGAGAGATTTGTCTAAGGTCACACAGCAGATTCAGCCTGGCTCTGCTTGGCTCAGAAGCCTTTTGTCCACTAGCACTCTGGCTGCCTGTCTCCTGGCACCCACTTCCCTGCCCTCCCTCCAGATACCCACCTCCTTGATGTGCAGGAAGTCTTTGGGCTCGAAGGTGATGGCCACTCCCTGCACAGGCACCTCATCCCCTGGAGACGGATTGTAGCCAACATTTGTCCGCACAGCAAATGCCACTGGCTTGGTCTAGAGGAGGCACACAGGGGAGGATGGCAACTAGAGGGCAAACCACAATGTAATGTACAACTTCCTGACAGTAGTGGTGGTTACTTGGATGTTTACTTTATAATAGTTCCTTGAAATGTGTATGGACATGGGCAGGGTGTGGTGGCTCACACCTGTATTTCCAGCACGTTGGGAGGCCAAGGTACGTGGATCATCTGAGGTCAGGAGTCCGAGACCAGCCTGAACAACATGGTGAAACCCCGTCTCTACTAAAAATACAAAATTAGCCAGGCGTGGTGGTGGGTGCCTATAATCCCAGCTACTCAGGAGGCTGAGGCAGGAGAGTTGCTTGAACCTGGAAGGTGGAGGTTGCAGTGAGCCAAGATTGTGTCACTGCACTCAAGCCTGGGCAACAGGGCAAGACTCCATTTCAAAACAACAACAACAACAACAAAATGTATACTGACACTTTGGGAGGCCAAGGCAGGTGGATCGTTTGAGACCAGCCTGGCCAACATGGTGAAACTCTGCCTCTACTAAAAATACAAAAAAATTAGCTGGGCATGGTGGCACACACCTGTAATCCCAGCTACTCAGGGGGCTGAGGCATGAGAATCATTTGAATTCAGGAGGCAGAAGTTGCAGTGAGCCAAGATGGCACCACTGCACTCCAGCCTGGATGACGGAGCAAGACTCTGTCTAAAAAAAAAAAAGTCTGGGCGTGGTGGCTCACGCCTGTAATCCCAGCATTTTGGGAGGCAGAGGCAGGTGGATTCATGAGGTCAGGAGTTCAAGACCAGCCTAGCCAAGATGGTGAAACCCTGTCGCTACTAAAAATACAAAAATTAGCTGGGCGCAGTGGCAGATGCCTGTAATCCCAGTTACTTGGAAGGCTGAGGCAGGAGAATTACTTCAACCAGGGCAGCAGAGTTGCAGTGAGCCGAGATCATGCCACTATACTCCAGCATGGATGACAGAGTGAGACTCCGTCAAAAAAAAAAAATGTATACTGAATTGGCTTGTGTGGTTTTCTCCATGTATATTAACTTTTACAATAAAAAACAAGAAAGCAAAATGTGGAATTCAGCCCTCTCAGGGTAGAGGCGGGGCACTCAGGAATGAAAAGGGTTGGGGGTGGGGAAGCCCACAATGATACCCAGAAAAAATAATAATAATAGCAGGCCGGGCACGGTGGCTCACTGCTGTAATCCCAGCACTTTGGGAGGGCAAGGCAGGTGGATCACTTGAGGTCAAAAGTTCGAGACCAGCCATGACTAACATGGTGAAACTCTGTCTCTACTAAAAATACAAAATTAGCATGGTGTGGTGGCACATGCCTGTAATCTTGGCTACTTGGGAGGCTGAGGCAGGAGAAACACTTGAATCTGGGAGGTGGAGGTTGCAGTGAGCTGAGATGGTGCCACTGCACTCCAGCCCGGGCAACAAGAGCGAAACTCCGTCTCAAAAACAAAACAAAATAAATTAATTAAATAATAGTTATAGGCCGGGCGCAATGGCTCATGCCTGTAATCCCAGCACTTTGAAAGGCTAAGGTGGGTGGATCATGAAGTCAGGAGTTCGAGACCAGCCTGGCTAACATGGTGAAACCCCGTCTCTACTAAAAATATAAAAATTAGCTGGGCGTGGTGGCACGCACCTGTAATCCCAGCTACTCAGGAGGCTGAGGCAGGAGAATCACTTGAATCTAGGAGGCAGAGGTTGCAGCAAGCCAAGATCGTGCCATTGCACTCCAGCTTGGGTGATGGAGCAAGACTCCGTCTCAAAATAAAATAAAATAAAATAATAATAATAATAATAATAGCAGCCAGGCACAGTGGCTCACACCTGTAATCCCAATACTGGCTTGAGGGAAGGAGTCTGAGACCAGCCTGAGCAATATAGGGAGATCCTGTCTGTTTTGTTTTGTTTTGTTTTGAGATGGAGTTTCGCTCTTGTTGCCCATGGTGGAGTGCAATGGCGCAATCTTGGCTCACTGCAACCTCTGCCTCCTTGGTTCAAGCAATTCTCCTGCCTCAGCCTCCCAAGTAGCTGGGATTACAGGCATGCGCCATCACACCTGGCTAGTTTTGTATTTTTAGTAGAGATGGGGTTTCACCATGTTGGTCAGGCTGGTCTCAAATGCCCGACCTCAGGTGATCCACCCACCTCAGCCTCCCAAAGTGCCGGGATTACAGGCGTGAGCCACCGCACCCAGCCAGCCCTGTCGGTTTTTAAAAAATAAAAGGGGCAGCTGGGCACAGTGGCTTACGCCTGTAATCCTAGCACTTTGGGAGGCCGAGGCAGGCAGATCACCAGGTCAGGAGTTCTGAGACCAGCCTGGCCAACATGGTGAAACCCCATCTCTACTAAAAATACAAAAAAAAATTAGCCGGGCATGGTGGCGGGCGCCTATAATCCCAGCTACTTGGGAGGCTGAGGCAAGGAGAATCGCTTGAACCTGGAAGGCGGAGGCTGCAGTGAGCCGAGATCGCACCACTGTACCCCAGCCTGGGCGGCAGTGCAAGACTCCATCTCAAAAATAAATAAATAAATAAAAGGGGCTGGGCACAGTGGCCCATGCCTGTAATCCTAGCACTTTGGGAGGCCGAGGCAGGAGGATCACTTGCACCCAGGAGTTCAAGACCAGCCTGGGCAACATAGCAAGATCCCATCTCTACAAAAAATAAAAAATCAGCCAGGTGTGGTGGTATGCCTCTATAGTTCCAGGTACTCGGGAGGCTGAGATGGGAGGTCAAGGCTCCAGTGAGCTGTGATCACGCCGCTACACTCAGCCTGAGTGACAGAGAGAGACCCTGTCTCATAAAAAATAATAAATATTTAAATTTATTTATTATTATGTTTTTTGAGACAGAGTCTCGCTCTGTCACCCAGGCCGGAGTGCAGTGGTGCGATCTCAGCTCACTCCAGCCTCCGCCTCCTTAGTTCAAGCGATTCTGGTGCCTCAGCCTCCCGAGTAATTGGGATTACAGGCGTACACCACCACACCCAGCTACGTTTTGTATTTTTAGTAGAGACGGGGTTTCACCACATTGCCCAAGCTGGTCTCGAACTCCTGACCTCAAGTGATCCGCCCAACCGGGCCTCCCAAAGTGCTGGGATTACAGGCGTGAGCCACAGCACCTGGCCTAAAATTAAATTAAAAAAAACAATAATGACAGTAATGACCATTTAGTGTTCCAGGTACCATGTTACACACTTAACACATATTCTCTCATTTATATTCATCACAAAAATAAAAAATCCTCTGAAGTTAAGTGGTATTATTATCTTCCTTTTAATGTGACTTTCCTAAGATCACACAGCTATTAAGAGTCAGGACCAGGTCAGGCACGGTGGCTCACGCCTGTAATCCCAGCACTTTGGGAGGCTGAGGGGGGCGGATCACAAGGTCAGGAGATCGAGACCATCCTGGCTAACATGGTGAAACCCCGTCTCTACTAAAAATACAAAAAATTAGCCGGGCGTGGCAGCCAGAGCCTATAGTCCCGGCTACTTGGGAGGCTGAGGCAGGAGAATGGCGTGAACCCGGGAGGCGGAGCTTGCAGTGAGCCGAGATCATGCCACTGCACTCCAGCCTGGGTGACAGAGCAAGACTGCAACTCAAAAAACAAAAAAAAGAAATTTTTAGCACTTATCAAGCCCTTATTATGTGTGGAAACAGTATAATAACACGCACTTATTATACTTATTATACTGTATAAGCAGGCAGGTATTATAGCCCACATTGTGCAGGTGAAGGACAGAGGAGCAAGGTTCAGGGGTACTAGGAAGTGGCTGGGTCAAGACTTGGCCCTGGTTCTGTCTGGGCTCTCTCTACAGCCCAGGACTGGGGGAAATCATGCCAGCACAGCCCCTCCCCACATCTTTCTCACCTTGGCCTTCTCGAGCTGCGCTAATGCCTGGCGCTCTGCTTCCTTCCTTAAGGCTTCCCGGTCCTCCTCCAGAGATACATCAGAGTCTGATGGACGGCTGGTGTAGGACTCCGCTGAGCCCTGAAAATAGAGAGAGCCAGATCAGGGCCATTGCTGCCCCTCCCAGCTCCTGGGCCTGGGAAGGCATGGAGGTGCCACCCATCATGGATGCCTCGAGCCCCAGCCAGCCCAGCATGACACCACAAGGGCTAAGACAAGGTGGTATTAGGTGGAAGGGACCAGGAGCTGAGATTTCTCAGGCCCCTGGGGAAAGTGTGGCCCTAGTGAGGGTGACAGCAGCAAGCAGGAGATGAAGGCAGGCCCAAGGACAGCTGCTTGGGGCCCAGGGAGGGGTGGGAACCTGATAGGGGCACAAGGCAAGGGAGGAATGCCAGGGACGAGTCTCTACTCCCACTGCTCCTTCCCTCCCCTGCCCCCAGCACCCGCTGAGATAGACTCAGCTGAGGTCCAGTGGCATCCATTCCAGGGACTGCAGCCACCAGCTTCGGCCTGAGCTCTCTGCACTATCAGCCGTGGACGGCCTGCTCCGCAGGATGGGGCCACCACAGATTTTGCCAGCTTCTGTTCAAGGGTAGAGGGAGACAGACTCCTACCTCCCCTGCTCCTCTTAACTGGTACTGCCAGAATCAAACTTCACTACTTACAGCCCCAGTCCTCAGGCTCTCCTAGGACACAAGAGAACCCAAGAGTTCCAGGCTGGTACAGACCGAAGAGGCAAGTTAAGAGCAGGATATGGGACAGGGCTTTCCCTGAAATGAGGGCTGCTGGGTGCCAGACAGCTGGCTTTGACCACAATGACCAACCCAGAGCACAAGGGACTCCTTTAGGGATGCACACATATGTGTAAGACACATGTTGCCCGTACAGACCTGGTAGTGGGAATGCACGTGCTTCTTCATGTGTGTGTGTGGATGTGCAAGTACAAGTGTGTGGAGGAGGGTGTGCTCTATAGTTGGCTGCATATGACTGTGTGTGTACAGCCACATGTGAGTGTACTGGGGGGGAGCTCCCAGACATCTGTGACCCTGAGGTTGGGGGACATGTGAGGGCAGGAGGCAAGAGGTGTGGATTTGTGTGACTATGCAGGGGTGGTGTTGGACAAGGCATAGGAGGTTATGTGGCAAAAGAGGAGGACTGCAGGGATGTAGGGGTTCTTTCCTGAGGGCAGAAAAGGGTCACTTGGCCAGGAAGGTCCATAAGTTTGGCATGGAGGGGACCTGGGAAAGACAGAAACAAAGTCCCACCTCTCCCCAGGGGCCTCAGGTCATTAGCTGGTGCAGCTGCCCATCTCTTTCCCAGACAAATAATGAAAATGGGAGACCCGCGGAGGAAGGGTTGGGGTGGAGCGGGGGTCACTAACAGAAGTGGGGAAAGAGGCATGAAGGAGAGAAGGAGAGAAAACCAGCGTAGCTCCCCCTCTCCCCCCTGATGGGAGCACGCAGAGTCAAAGAGCCAGGGAAACAGACAGGGAGACAGACTAGCAGAGAGGCACTCACCGACCCCAACACACACGCGGGCATGCGCGTGCACACACACACTCACCAACCCCAACACAAATGCAGGCATACGCGCGCACACACTCACTGACCCCAACACACATGCAGGCACGCGCACGTGTACACATACACACACAGTTACATGCACACACACAGACACACATGCAGACGCACATGTGCGGGCAGACACACACACATATGCAGACACACAGGTGCACACAGACACACATGTAGGCATGCGCACACATACACACACATATGCAGACACATGTACGCGCATACACACGCACACATCAGAAATGGCAGAAGACAGGAAACAGTGAGGAGGCATGGAGACACGCTGGAGTAAAGGCTGCCCTCCGTCAGCTTTCCTGAGAGGCTGTTCTACCCGCTGCCACCCCACTCCATCCCCAGCTCACCACCACCACGGTCCGGCTGGGCGCCTCCATCCCGGCACCCTCAGTGCCTGGCCCTGCTGGCCTAGGGGGTGGCCCAAACTGCCCGTTCCCTTGGGGGCTCGGGTTACAAGCAGAGTTGCTACATGTGCAGACTGCTAGGGTATATTTAGCTCAGAGATGTGGCAAGGACTGCCCCCCTCCACCACTCCCCACCACCTACCGGGGATCAGAGCTGGGGAGCTAAAAGGAGGAAGAATTGGAGGCTGGGGTCTGACTCCCTGGGTTGGCAAACACTGAAGGAGCCAAGGTCCTTTTCTGCCAAGAGGGGCAATAAAAGCACAGCGTCATTCTTCCCAGCCCTGGCCATGTCCTGCAACAGGAGGGATGAGGGGGTGATTGAAGAAAGGACTTCCTGTCTGTTCCTATACTTAGAAAAGGCTAGAATGAAGCCTCCCCTTCCTGAACCTCCCAAGTCAGACTGAGGCTCACATGTGCCAAGTGCTGTAGAGACAGAAGAAACGGAAAGAAGGGCCTCACTCTAATTAGTGGTGGATCTGCCTGGCATCACCCTCGCTCCTGGCCCAAGGTGGAAGGGAGGGGCTCATCTCCAGAGGACCCCTCCTCTGTGCTGTCTTCTGCCCTCAAATGCCCTGCCCATTTCCTCTTCAATACACGCCTTTTCCTTGTCTAATCCCAAGCCCCTCTCGCCTTTTTTGGGTACCAGGCTTTGGTGAGATGCTAAGTAGTCATAGCAACCACATGCCTCTCTCAGTCCCTCACCCTGAGCCTAAGATGGCCCAGGGTTGACAGATGAGAGCAGCCGCTTACTGACTGAGCACAGAAGACCCCAGAAAGCTATTCTCAGTTACACCCTTTCAGGCAGGGGTGCTGGGCTATCATCTTCTCTATTATAAAATCAACAGCCTCATGCCTCAACCACCCCCACCCCCGTCACCATCACCCTTTCTCTGTGCTTCTTAGACAGTCATGTCTCGAGGTGAGGAGCGTGTTTCCCTGGCCAGGACCTCACCAGGACTACAGGGACCCAAACATCCTTGCTCTGCTTTTCCTAGGACCTGCCTCCACCCAACCCTGTCACAGATTCTGGGGGAGGACATGGAAGCAGACAGCCGGCAGGGGGAGTGGGTGACAGCCCGAAGCAAGCTGGAGGGAGGCAGGCCAGGCTGTCCCTGAATGAGATGACGCAGGCCAGCAGGCAGCAGGGGAGGGTGCCTGGTGCTGGGGGAGGGGCCGGGCAGGGGCGGGGGCTGAGCGAGTGGGTGCCGCTGACAGCACATCCAGAAGAGGTCATGGGGTGTCAGGGTGATGGGGTGGCTCCAGGCAGGTGACAAATGGCACAGGGAAGGGTGCCTGGACAATACCGCAGACCTGGCTCACCAATGCTGGTCTCCACCAACCAGCCACCTCCCTCCTCTCCGCCCAGCCTCCCCATTACCTGGCGGACAAAGCTGTTGGATGTGGTATCCGAGGACGTGCTCCCATCTGACCGTTTGAATCGCCCTTTCCTCTTGCTGTATTTGCCCTGAAGAGGCCAGGAAAGGAACAAGAGTAGAATCAGAAGGGCCCTTTCCCAACCCTCATCTTGCCAGCCCCAGAGCTACAGCCAAGCTTGGGAACAGCACTCCCAGCCCCACCTCCACCCCCCTGCACATTCCTCCTGAGGTGGTACGACCCAAGGGGAGGGAGGGTCTCCCATCCTCACGGAGAGGGCCCAGAGCACAGCCAGGAGTGGGGACCAGTGCAAGAGAGCCCCAGAAGACCCACACGGAAACCACCAAACCAAGCCAGAGAGGCTGGGAAGGGGGGAGGCGCGGAGAAGCTGGAGGCTCATTAGGCAGCAGAGCTAATTAAGATGCTGGGCAGGCTGCAGAGGCCTCCGAGGAAGGGAGAGGCAGCCGGCAGTGCTGGGTGTTGGGTGGGGAGAGCGGGAAAGTCACCCCCACTCCCCCTCCGCAGGAGCAGAGCAGGGCTGTTTGTGTTGGTGGCCCCCAGAGAGGAGGAACTGCCAACCCAGGGCCCAGCCTGGCTTCTCCCCTGTGCCCAACTCTTCCCTTCGCTATTCACAGAGTAGGGAGGGGATGACAGCTCTCTTGGAGACTCAGAGCCAGATTTCTGGGGAGGGAGTAGGGGCATGGAACTGTATTTGGAGAGTAAACATCCAGCCTGATCCCTGGCACCATGGGGGCAAATTTTGCTCCCCACTCTCATCCCTTGCCCAGACAGGACTTTTTCTCAGCTCCCTCTCTCACAATCACAGTAGCTACAATCCTCCCCAAGGGGGCAAGAGGGATCAAGCTTCTACCCTGTGGCCCCCAGCTGCCACTGCCCATGCCCCATGCCCATGGTACCCATCAGGCTACGTCAATCTAAATGTCCCTCGGCCCCGCACCACATGAGCCTAGGACACAGCCCCACAGATCTCTAGGGGGTAAGCTGGCTCAGTCTCAGAGACCGGGTGGAGGAAATACCGCCTGACCATTCAGGAAGCCACACGTTCAGGTTAAGGGCGTCAGGTATTTCCAGTCCTCTTGTAAGAAGAGCTGCTTCTGGCCCTCCCCAGCTTGTACCCACACACACTTGGCCTCAGCCCAGTTCAGAATGGGGAGAGTGAGTGAGGGCTCAGACTTCCAAGTCCCCGCCCTTGGTCTCCATCCTAGACTTTCTTTGGCCAAAGAACCTGGAGGGGCCATGACCAGACTGGGGGCTTTGGCTGCTGGGATCAGGGTACAAGAAAGAGGATGGAAAATGGGAGAGGAGGGCCCCTGGGGACCTTTCCAAGATCCTCCCCTCCCCGCCCTTCTCTCAAACCAGACATATACCCCAACTCAAGTTGTGATGCTCCCTACAAACCTAGGAGGATCACCCAGTGAATCCCAGACACCACCCTCCCCCACCACTGCCAGGCTGGGCAAAGGGAGTGGCACTCAGAGGGACAGGGGACAGCTGAAAGGAAGGCCCCAGTCAGCTGCCTCCCAGGCTCAAAGGGGCCTGGGGTGGAGGAAGGTATTTTTAGGTCTGACTTGACCCCTCTACATACCCATCAGTCACATTATCATGGTGGTTACAGCTGGTGGCCACAGTAACAGAAGAGTTAATGCTATCCTTGGAGAAGGACACTCCCAAAGAAATCCCCTGGCGCGACCATCCCAGAGCCTGCTGGTCACCCCATGAGAACCCACCGCGCCCAAGAATGCCACTTCCTGGGAGTAACCAGGGGTGTAGGAAAAGTGTGCGGGTGGGGATGGAGAAGTAGACCCCTCCCCCAGGTAAAACAGCTTCCCCCCCTCCTATGAGTTGGCATCCATCCAACTTTCCAAACTTTGGAGGCGTTTTTGGGGCGGGGGTGGGGGTGGGGTAAGTCAACGTGGGTGTGGGGGGAGGGGAGCAGGTCCGACATAGAGATGGAGCCCAGGTGGCTGGGAGGGGACCTCGACCGGGGTTGGCTCTTTCCCCACCCTCGAGAACCAGTGTCTGCGGCTTTGAAGGCCTGTTGGCATTTGGCACCGCCCTCTGACCATCGCCTCGGCCACCTCCTCGTGCCACCCCCGCCCCACCCACACCCGCCTGGCGCCCCCGAGCGTGCTCTGCGTCGCCCCCCTTGCCTGGCTCGCTTTCTAGCCTCTTTCAACCTCCCCTTCTCAAGGCCCAGATCCCCCTCCACCAGCACCCCCACGCTCAGCCCACTGAAGCTGGTGCCCAAGCGGCAGGAACCTTGACGCGGGGGAGATAAGGAGGCGAGGGTGACAGGCAGCCCACCCGCCCCCTCCCCGCTCCGCAGCATCGCCACCCAGCCCCAGGCCCAGCGCCCATCAATCACAACCTGCAAGGATGGGGGGCGCGCAGGCATCCCTCTCTCCTCCGCGCCCGGCATATAACCCCTTCCTCTCCCGCGCCTCTCGAGCCGACCTTAACACGGTCCGCGGGAGCGACCCCCTCCCGTTGGGCCGGGCCACCACGCCTCACCTGCGGGCTGGGGTCGAAGACCTCCATGGGGATCTCCTGGGAGGGTGGGTAAGGGCCCCGGGACATGCTGGTCTTCTGGACCATGGAGAGGAGCCTCCCCTCCCGCCGCCGGCCCGGCCCAGCCGGGCTCCCTCAGCGCATGGGAGAGGCCGTGGGAGCCGAAAGCAGCGCGGCGCAGCCAGCACCCGGTCCAGCCACCCAGCTCGGCCTTCGGCTGCCTCCTTCCTGCCTTCCCTCGCTCCTCCCGCTCTCTCCACTGCCGCCGCCGCCTCCCCCGTAGGCTCAGCATCTCCCCGCGCCCCTCCCTCGCTCCCTCCCTCCGCCCGCCCGGCCCCGCCCCTCGCAGCCCCTCCGCCGGCTCGGCGCACACAATGGGCGTGCGGCAGCAGGGAGGCAAGCCCCTCTCGGCTCTAGGTGGCCGCAGGTGGGCCTCTGACTGGCCGTGGGGTGCAGGCGGCCCGCTGGGGCGGGAAGGCAGAAACTAGGCGTGGAACTTGGGGGAGGGGTGGGGGGGCGGTCTACCAGTGGATGCCGAGCGCTGATGGGGATTGGCATGGCTGGCACCACCCCCCTTTTGTCCCAAACCTCTCTTCCTGCGGGTCCCCCCAACCCACTCCTGTTTGGACCACCGGAACTTCCCGGTCCCGGTGATCCTGGGACCTGGCTTTAACTCCTTTCTCCCCAGTGTGGGGCCCAGGCTGCCTCAAACCAAACAGAAAAGCCTCTCCCTCCAACATGGCTCTGGGGCTGCCGGTGGGAGGCTGAGGCTGAGATGGGGAGGGTGTCCAATAGAGACAGCAAAATAAATCCCAGGGGTCCAGGAGTTCTGCCCTAATCAGTCACTAGGATACACCGCCCCCCCAACCCCTGTTCTTCCAAAAGGCCAGGAATGGGGCTGGGTGAGGTCCCTGCTCTTGGATGAGAAAAGAGGAAGAAATATGGAGCTGAGAGAGGAGAAGCTGGTAAAATCAGATCTCATGACCTTTGACCTAGAATTGCGCCACCTTTACCCCTGATTTAGGGAGAAACATCCAAGATCTGGATGCCACCCACCATGACTGGTGGAGAGAAGAGGAATAGGAGATTCTGGGCAATAGACTCTGGCGCCAATTTGGCTCAGGCTGTTTCTGGTTGTATAGCCCCGGACAAATCACCTCTCTGAGCATCAGTTTCCTCCTCTCCTATAAAATGGGGTTGCTGGTACTGTGGAGTCTGTGTCACCTGGTATTATTGGGAGGATGAGGGAGAATTAAATGAATTGCTGGGGTGTTTGGAGAAGCTGTAAGTTTCAATGAAGGGGTCACTCATGACAGGAGGACCCATTCCCTTCCTACTCCACCCCTTCTCCTGCTCCACAGAAAGGAGAGATGGAGAAGACCCTCTCCAGGTCAAGTGACCTTACAATAAGGCCACCACCTTGCTGTGTTCCGCAGGACAGGAGACTATGGGACTCCTCCTCCTCACCCAACTCTAATAGCAAGTGAATGGTCAGTCTGTCATTCCTCTGATCACAACACCTTGGGGAAGGCGGAGCAGTGAGTGAAGATGAAGCCCATTAGAAACGTTCCAGGAGAGTTCCAACCCTGAGCAGGGTTTCCACCTGCCCCTTGGAGACAAGAAAGGCTGGCATAACCGCAAAAGTATGGGCTTTGCAATCAGAAATATCTGTGTTCTGAATCTGTTACCTTAGCTGTAAAATGAGGGCAACGCTAATCGTGTTGTTGTGAGGAAGTAGCATAAATGTTGCTTCCCTTTCTCTCTCTTCTACTTTCTCAGCCAGGAAAGTTGAGATGAAACGGATAGGGTGATCAGCAGGAACCAATCATGAGTTGGAGCCTCAATTCAGATGTAGACTTCTTAAACCCCAGAATGTTCTTCTTGGATTTTTACATTGGGTGTTCCAGATCAGAAGAAAAGGACTGCTTTTTTTTTTTTTTTGAGACGGAGTCTCACTCTGTTGCCCAGGCTGGAGTGCAGTGGCGCAATCTCGGCTCACTGCAACCTCCGCCTCCTGGGTTCAAGCGATTCTCCTGCCTCAGCCTCCCCAGTAGCTGGAATTACAAGCACGCGCCGCTACGCCCGGCTAATTTTTGTATTTTTAGTGGAGACAGGGTTTCACCATGTTGGCCAGGCTGGTCTCGAACTCCTGACCTCAAGTGATCCGCCTGCCTTGGCCTCCCAAAGTGCTGGGATTACAGGCATGAGCCATCGAGCCCAACCCAATTTTTTTTTTTTTTAATTTTACTTTCTGCAATCATTCATCCATTCAGCCAGTGCGGTATTTCTGAGGTGTGTTCGATCGCGGATCCATGCCTGCCGCAGTACAGTTGTGAGCCAAATGAGACTGAGACTAGTTCCCGCCCTCCAAGAGCTTGCAAGACCCGCAGTGGCGTAAAAACACTAACATCTTTTAGTGATCGATTCTGCACTCCAGGGGTTTTCAATCTACTACAAGAGTGAATAAGAGTTCGCCTTTGTCTGATATCTGTTGTCATTCTCTCTCGCTTCTTTAACTGATTTTTTCTCAGCTAATAAAACATCCACCCACAACCCCCCGAACGCCCGCAAACACCAGGCCACTCTAGCAAAACCTCTCTCACTCCGCCTGCGCAATCCAGCTGACTTCCGGTTACAGATAACCACGTGATTGGGAACCCTTGCTGCGCATGTCTAGTAGGAAGTCGGACTATACCACTTTCCCTACGGAAGGGGTACTTTTTTATGTTTTTAAGTTTAAAACCGATTTCTGATATTTGACTTTTATCATTTCAGGCCTATATGGAGGCTATGAGTGAGTTTAGTGTGGCAGAAGATGAAAGAACCGGACAGGAATACGGACGAAATTGGAGCAGGGTTTGGGCTCTCCCCTTCGCAGATAATGGGAGGAGCCGGGCCCGAGCGAGCTCTTTCCTTTCGCTGCTGCGGCCGCAGCCATGAGGTGAGGGCGAGCTGGTCTCCATCAGGCGCTGACGCGTGTCGACAAGGGACTGTCGGTCTTGGGACCGCAGCTGGGGTTGGGGGAGATGAAATGGAGGCCGCCCTAAAGCGGCCGGTCCCGGGGTTTGGGGTAGGCCGGAGCACTTTCGTCCCGGGCCTCCGGAGTGAGGGGGGGCGGGGAGCGTCGCAGCAACTGAGACCAGGAAAAGTCTGCCCCGGCTGGTGCCGCACCGCACACGTGTCCGGTCGACCCACGCGAGCAGAGCAAACGGAGCGAACAAGACCAAGCCGTGGGCCCTTTCTTGCTTGGCACACCCGGAGCGGAGCCGATCTCTGCTTTCACGTGATGTAGGGCAAGCCTAGTGTAGGCCCCAGGCCTCCGACTGCCGAGAGAGGTGATCTCTAACTCTTGACTCCATTCACTCCTTTGGCCTCTCATAAAGGAAATCTCTGCGAATAGCCGAACGAGGCTTGTTACTGTGATAAAACAGGGAAATAAGCCCAGAAAACAGAGTAACTTGCCTGCATTCCTAGACTAGAAATCAGGTCTACTCACCTCGAATATTCTTTAAACGCTGAGTACCAGAAATGGCATAACCCCCCTATTCAATCCAATAAGTCCTTGGCTTGACTTTCCAGAGGAGAAATGCGAACATGAGGCTCCGAGAGGTGAAGGCATAGCGTGGGTTTTGAAGTCTTAAACCCAAGGGGGCCAGCTGCATAGCCCAGAGCCTTAAAGATGATTTAGGGAAGAGTCTTATTTCGCGGCTGTGGTGTGGGTCACAAAGGGCAGGTCTTGATGGGGACGTTCATTCTTGCCCAGGATTGGCTTTCAGAGTCTAATCATGTTTTCTGTGTGTCTAGTATGCTCAGGCTTCAGAAGAGGCTCGCCTCTAGTGTCCTCCGCTGTGGCAAGAAGAAGGTCTGGTTAGACCCCAATGAGACCAATGAAATCGCCAATGCCAACTCCCGTGAGTACCTGGGATCTGTCTCTTCACCCTACTTCCTTCTTTTCTCCTGCGTCAGATTAATGATAACACAATTGTGTTGACTTTTTTTTTTTTTTTTAGACAGTCTTGCTCTGTTGTCCAGGCTGGAGTGTAGTGGTGCCATCTGATCATTGCAACCCCTGCTCCCAGGCTCAAGTGATTCTCCCACCTCAGCCTCCTGAGTAGCTGGGATTAGAGGTGTGCACCACCACACCCAGCTAATTTACTCTTTATATTTTATTTTATTTTTTTTGGGACAGAGTCTCACTTTGTCACCCAGACTGGAGTGCAGTGGTAGGATCTCAGCTCACCGCAACCTCTGCCTCCCAGGTTCAAGCGATTCTCCTTCCTCAGCCTCCCAAGTAGCTGGGACTAAGGCACGTGCCACCACACCCAGCTAATTTTTGTATCTTTAGTAGAGATGGGGTTTCATCATGTTGGTCAGGCTGGTCTCAAACTCCTGACCTCAGGTCATCCATCCACCTCAGCCTCCCAGAGTGCTGGGATTATCGACGTGAGCCACCACACCTAGCCTGGGTTGACTTGTTACAAACCTAGGAAAGTTCATTCAGAGTGTCTATAAAATGGAGGAGTCATTGTATCAGGCTTGTTCTTTTGAGTGTGCTTTCATATATTTAAAATGTAGAAATGGCCAGGCATGGTGGCAGGCATCTTTAATCCCAGCTACTTGGTAAGCTGAGGCAGGAGGATCATGAGCCCAGAAATTCAAGACCGGCCTGGGCAACATAGGGAGACTGTCTCAAAGACAAAGGGTATTTCTCACAACCTCTGTTTGTGAAGGAAAAAGAAAAGATAGAGGTTTTTTGGGTTTTTGAAGGCAAGAAATAAGTTCCAGTGTTTCCATCCTTTTTGAGACCGTGGGGCCAAGAATGTGAGCAGTGTCTCTGGCCTGGCCTATTTGGACTCTGTGATGTGCTTGGGCCCCAGTTGACTGACCAGGTGCATTATGCTTTCCCAGGTCAGCAGATCCGGAAGCTCATCAAAGATGGGCTGATCATCCGCAAGCCTGTGACGGTCCATTCCCGGGCTCGATGCCGGAAAAACACCTTGGCCCGCCGGAAGGGCAGGCACATGGGCATAGGTAAGTGTGGTCATCTTCTCCTTAAGAAATGATAGGTGCTGGCATCTATGCTGAAATATATTCAGGATCTAAGCACTCTGTCTCATCTTGAGCCTGTTTCTTACTCCTTGATATTTGATGTGTTTTCTGCCTGTGTGCAAATCAGAAAGTTGGTGCTGGTATTGGAATTGAGAGTATCCCTGGTAGGAGGTCACATTTACTAAGTCCCTACCTACACTATGCCAAGGATTCTGTACTTTCTAGTTTCAGAATGATCGAAGGAAGCTCCTTACAACGTGCTGTGTTGCCTTGGTGCACTGCCTGTTACACCCACATTCTGCATGAAGTGAATGGGGAATTATTGCTGTATTTGTGCTTCCTTTAAAATTGAGTAAACGAAAGAACTTACGTAGTTGGGATCATCATCTGGAAAATGGAAGTAATGCTACTTAAAATGAGGTTGTGAGGATTAAATGAGTTAAGGACCCTGACTTGAAACTATATTCACTTGGTGTACTTATACACAGTGGGCCTGGGTAGTGGCCCGTTCCTAACTCATCTTCTCCACAGGTAAGCGGAAGGGTACAGCCAATGCCCGAATGCCAGAGAAGGTCACATGGATGAGGAGAATGAGGATTTTGCGCCGGCTGCTCAGAAGATACCGTGAATCTAAGAAGATCGATCGCCACATGTAAGCACACCCTCTTGGGCCCAGTACCCATTTGCTGCTTTGATGGCTAGTTCATTTCCCAGAGATTTTTTTTTTTTTTTTTTTTTTTTTGAGATGGAGTCTTGCTCTGTCACCCAGGCTGGAGTGCAGTGGCGCGATCTCAGCTCACTACAACCTCTACCTCCCAGGTTCAAGTTATTCTCCTGCCTCAGCCTCTTGAGTAGCTGGGACTACAGGCATGTGCCACCATACCTGGCTAATTTTTTGCATTTTTAGTAGAGACGGGGTTTCACTGTGTTAGCCAGGATGGTCTCGATCTCCTGGCCTTGTGATCCGCCCGCCTTGGCCTCCCAAAGTGCTGGGGTTATAGGCATGAGCCACCACGCGTGGCCCACAGAGATCTGTCTTACTGGCCTTGGGTAGGGAGCTTTTTTTTTTTGGAGACAGAGTCTCGCTCTGTCACCCAGGATGGAATGCAGTGGCACGATCTTGGTTCACTGCAATCTGCTTTCGAGGTTCAAGCACTTCACCTGCCTCACCGTCTCAAGTACCTGGGATTACAGGCATGTACTACCACGCCTGGCTAATTTTTGTATTTTTAGTAGAGATGTGGTTTCACCGTTGGCCAGGCTGGTCTCGAACTCCTGGCCTCAAGTGATCCGCCCGCCTCAGCCTCTCAAAGTGCTCAGATTACAGGCCTGAGCCACCACGCCCAGCCATGGGTAGGGAGCCTTTCTAAGAAAGTTTTTCTATTCTGGTCTTTCTTTTTTTCCCTGTATGTCATCAGGATAGCCCAACAGTTTATTTGCCAGGCAAGTTCTATCTAGGAACTGCACACAAAAAAGTCATGGTTTAGGAAGTAATTCATGCAGCAATAGGAGAAAAGAAAGGAAGCTACAAGCTTAGTGACCTTGGGTGGAGGAACAGCTCACAAGGCAGCCTCTGATCCATCACCAACCAGCATCTCTTCACTCCGTGTACCCTGCAGGTATCACAGCCTGTACCTGAAGGTGAAGGGGAATGTGTTCAAAAACAAGCGGATTCTCATGGAACACATCCACAAGCTGAAGGCAGACAAGGCCCGCAAGAAGCTCCTGGCGTAAGTTTCTTTTCAGAGTCTTAGGGGAACATTCTTAGACCTTTGAGAGTTGTTCTTAGATACTTAAAATGTGCCAATGCCTAAGTCTTGACTTGCACGTAGTCTGTCTTAGGAATACAGCTGTTCCCTTAGAGGCACCCACTCCTCTGTCCTGTACACACCCACTCTTCCTGTCTCGTAGGGACTAGAGGTTAGTTGAAGCAGGAGCCTTTGGTGGGCCCAGCAACTCATTCCAGAAGCTGACTAGGCTCAAAGGGAGAGGTCTGGGGATGTGCTTCTGTCTCCCTAGCATCTCATCTCTTCCCAAACTGACCCGTCTTTTCTCTTCCCTGACCAGTGACCAGGCTGAGGCCCGCAGGTCTAAGACCAAGGAAGCACGCAAGCGCCGTGAAGAGCGCCTCCAGGCCAAGAAGGAGGAGATCATCAAGACTTTATCCAAGGAGGAAGAGACCAAGAAATAAAACCTCCCACTTTGTCTGTACATACTGGCCTCTGTGATTACATAGATCAGCCATTAAAATAAAACAAGCCTTAATCTGCCTTCCTCTCTGCTTCTTGCAAGGTTTACGGTTACTGAGTGAGGTTTTTTTTTTTTTTTTGAGACGAGTCTTGCCCTGTCGCCCAGGCTTGAGTCCGATGGCGCAGCCTTGGCTCACCGCAAACTCCACCTCCAGGTTCAAGCAGTTCTCCTGCCTCAGCCTCCTGAGTAGCTGGGATTACAGGTGCGTGCCACCACGCCCGGCTGATTTTTGTATTTTTAGTAGAGACTGGGTTTCACTGTTGGCCAGGTTGATCTCGAACTCCTGACCACAAGTGATCCACCTGCCTCGGCCTCCCAAAATGCTGGGATTGCAGGCGTGAGCCACTACACTTGGCCTGCTCACTGAGTCTTTTACCTTGTTTTAGTGGGATGTAGGGAGAAAAGGAATGGCTTTTATGCAAGCCTCCAAAATACTGTGCCTCAGAACTGCCCTTCGAAGCACGAGTGACACCTAAGAAGTGGTCTCAGAATGTTGGTTGGGACCAGTAGTTGTGACATCAGTTAAGGAATCAGTCTTTACAAAAGCCATAGGAAATACTTAGGGTGTTTATACTTCTCAGCTGACAAGTGGGGGTTACAAATGGGACCTGAGCTTGGACTACTGGCTACTACCTAAGCTGTCACTAAACAGCTTTATTGAGATACAGTTGAAAGTTTGAGACAGAATCACCCTGTCACCCAGGCTGGAGTGCAGTCGGCAACCCCTGCCTCCTGGGTTCAAGCAACTCTCCCTGCCTCAGCCTCCTGAGTAGTTAGGATGACAGGCACCCACCACCATGCCTGGCTAATTTTTGTATTTCTTTTTTTTTTTTTTTTTTTTTTTTTTTGAGACGGAGTCTCGCTCTGTTGCCCAGGCCGGACTGCGGACTGCAGTGGCGCAATCTCGGCTCACTGCAAGCTCCGCTTCCCGGGTTCACGCCATTCTCCTGCCTCAGCCTCCCGAGTAGCTGGGACTACAGGCGCCCGCCACCGCGCCCGGCTAATTTTTTGTATTTTTAGTAGAGACGGGGTTTCACCTTGTTAGCCAGGATGGTCTCGATCTCCTGACCTCATGATCCACCCGCCTCGGCCTCCCAAAGTGCTGGGATTACAGGCGTGAGCCACCGCGCCCGGCCCCCTAATTTTTGTATTTCTTAGTAGAGACGGGGTTTCGCCATGTTGGTCAGGCTGGTCTTGAGCGCCTGACCTCAGGTGATCCACCCGCCTCTGTGCCTGGCCCCCCAGCTCTTTTCTGAGGAACTCTTCTGTTGGAGTGATGAGCTGGCGTGCCTTTCAGGGCATGTAATGGGCTGATGGAAAAGGGCAAGACCTGAGTGGGAATGGCAGGTTGGCTATGGTGTCAGGGCCAGCAGACTCCTAGCTCTGCCTCTGGCGTCCTCATGCCATTCTGGGCAGGATGGGCAGGTGGGTAGCAGAAGGCAGGGAAGCCCACACTTAGAAATGTCCCAAGGAAGCCGGGCACAGTGGCTCACGCCTGTAATCCCAGCACTTTGGTAGGCCGAGGTGGACAGATCATCTGAGGTCGGGAGTTCGAGACCAGCCTGACCAACGTGAAGAAAACCCATCTTTACTAAAAATACAAAATAAGCTAGACATGGTGGCACATGCCTGTAATGCCAGCCACTTGGGAGGCTGAGGCAGGAGAATCGCTTGAACCGGGAGACAGAGATTGCAGTGAGCCGAGAGCCATTGCACTCCAGCCTGGGCAATAAGAGTGAAACTCCATCTCAAGAAAAAGAAAATGTCCAGAGGACCCCCCATCGTATGCCTCACAGCCTGGGATGAGAGGACACTGGCTTCTGGATCCCCCTGGCCACTGGAGCGGCCAGCGTGTTTCACCCATTAGCTCTTGCCCTTTGAAGTGGGGAAGCTGAGGCCTAGAAAGGGAAGGGTCTTGGCCAAGCTCCCAGCTTGGTGTGTGGGACACCTGCTTCCCAGGCCTGGCCCAGAGGAGGAGGGGTAGTGGAGACTGCCCACCCCCAACCCCTCCATGCAGTAGAGAGATGACAGGAAGGAGAAGCTGGGTGTGGTGGCTCACGCCTGTAATCCCAGCACTTTTGGAGGCCGAGCGGGAGAACTGCTTGAGTCCAGGAGTTTGAGACTAGCCTGGGCAACATGGCGAAAACCCATCTCTACAGAAAATACAAAAATTAGCCGGGCATGGTGGTGCACCCCTGTAGTCCCAGCTACTCAGGAGGCTGAGGTGGTAGGATCACCTGAACCCGAAAGGTGGAAGCTGCAGTGAGCCAAGATTGCACCACTGCACTCCAGCCTTGGTGACAGAGCCAGACCCTTCCCCCCAACCCCCAACCAAAAAAAAAAAAATGTCAGGAAGGAGAATGAGGTAACCCAATATGAGACCCTCCCAGGATTCCAGAGCCTGCAGCGCAGAAGCTGGTTTCCACCCTGGACCAGAAGATGGTGCTACTCGCTCACAGGTCAATGCAGGTGTCAGCTGCTGCCTCACTGGAGTTTTTTTTTGGTTTTGTTTTTGTCTGTTCTCGGGGGCGGGAGAAAGAGATGGGTTAGGAAGTTGTAGGAACCCACCTCTTGGAAGGCCTTGGGTTTCCCCACTTCTTTCCTAACCTCACCCCAGGCCTGAAGTTGGCCTCTTTCCACCATGGTCCTCCAACCTCTTCCCAGGCCAGTGCCTAGGAGGGATCCACTCCCACAGGAGCCCCAAGCAGAAAGAACCCCTAAAGTAACTGCTGGATCTTTTCCGGGTCCTGTAGCCTTGAGAAAATCTGATTAAAAGATGTGTCCTCTTGTTTCCTTACTTATGGAAAAAGAAAAAAGAAAAGATGTGTCCTGTCAGGCACATTGGCGTGAGCCTGTAGTCCCAGTTATTCTGGAGGCTGACTGGGAAGGGCTACGTGAGCCCAGGAGTTTGGGGCTGCAGTGAGCTATGACGGTGCCTGTGAATAGACACTGCATGCCAGCCTGGGCAACATAATAAGTCCCTGTCTCTAAAACAAAAATATCAAAAATAATTTGTTGGCTGGGCGCGGTGGCTCACGCTCGTAAACCCAGCACTTTGGGAGGCCGAGGCGGGTGTATAATTTGAGGTCAAGAGTTAGAGACCAGCCTGGTCAACATGGTGAAACCCTGGCTCTACTAAAAATACAAAAATTAGCCAGGCGTGGTGGCACGCGCCTGTAATTCCAGGTATTCGGGAGGCTGAGGCAGGAGAATCACTTGAACCCAGGAGGCAAAGGTTGCAGTGAGCCGAGATTGAGCCACTGCACTCCAGCCTGGGTGACAGAGAGAGACTCCATCTCAGGGGAAAAAAAAAAAATTGTAAAAAAAAATGTTTTTTCTTTCAAGAGCATACAAGTGTCCCTATCATATAATTCCACACCCTTTCAAGGAGCTCGTGACCCACACCCTTACCACGTAAAGAATCCCTGAGCAAACCCAATGCTTGATTTTCTAGAGGAGGAAACAGAGACCCAGAGGAGCCAGTGACTCTTCTGCTGTGCTCAGCAGTGCGGCAAACAGGCCGGGGGTGGGGGGGCTAGGCTGGCTACTGGCTGGTGGCAGACACAAGTGGGGTGTGCAGAACCTCAGTGCTGCACGAACACTGGCGCCTGACTCTGATTCCCAGGCTGCAGTCTCCCGACGTGGGAGGGTGTGATTCAGATTGGGGTGCAGCAGAGGCACTGAGCACAGCTGCTACTGCAGGGCTGTGAGCTGGAGAAGAGGGTACAGAGGGGCCTGGCCTCCTTCCAGTACTGCCTCTGAGGCTACGGCAGGGCTAACCTAGGCTGGCTTCCTGCAAAGCACAGGGAGGCTGAGGCTGCCTTCCTTGCACTCCTCAGCAGGTGCCCCCACCTGCCCAGGCATTGGGTGGACAGCGGGTAAGAATGGGGGTGAAGAAGGTTGAAGGGGCCAAAGGAAGCAGTGCTGGCAAAATGAGTAGGGTTGCACCGAGGGGCTCATTCTCTCTTCTCCCCACCTCCAGCATCCATCTCTCCAGACTCCCTCCTCTTTCTGCATCTCCCTGAAGTCCAGGGAACCTTCATCCCACACAGTACAAGCCAGGTGAAGCTCAGCTTCTGTGTAGGGGGGCATGAAGGGCACATGTGGGTCAGAGACAACAGAGCCAAATGGTGGGATTTGGGATCACCAGTAGCTTCCTAGGCACCCTTTGCCCCAGACCAGTAGTGTTGCTGGTCCGTCCACCCCCAGAGTGGGCACAGAGGAGGGCAAAGGCTACAGTGGGGCACCAACTGTTCCCAGGCCCTAGGCTGTGAGCATGCTGCATGGGGTTCAGCCACCCAAAAAAGCTGCTGTGCTCAGCAGTGCGGCAAATAGGCTGGAGGGGGATGGGCGTCCAGGCCAGCTGCCGGCTGGTGGCAGACACACAGCTGGGTGTGCATAAGGCGTGGCTGCAAGGCTCTCAGGCTCTTGATCCCTGGAGCCTCTGGCCCAGCGTCTCAGGGTGTCTCTGTCTCCATTTTGTTAGTTTAAGGCATTGAGGAAGCCAGGGCAGGGGAGGGAAAGAGCTGAAAGGAGAAGAAAAAGCCGCGGTTTCCAAGACTGGCTTGATCACTCATTTTGCTGTGTGACCCTGGACAAGTCATTAGCCCACTCCAGGCCTCAGTTTCCCCATGTATAAAGAGGGCAGTGTTGAGCTGGGTAATCTGTGTGACCTTAGATAAGCCACCTAACCTGGCTGTGCCTCAGTTCTTCCCTGTGAGAGGAGGACACCCCCACTCGCCTCACAGGATCCTGGAAAGGATTAAGTAACATCAAGTTCCTGGCACGGTTCCCTGGGCACAGTAGGTGCCTATTTATGAGTTCCCTCTCTTTAAGCATTCACACTGGTCTTGTGACCCCTTCTTCCACTCCCAGGGCTGGGGATCCTAGGAGGGGGAGGGTCACCCTCCTTTCCCGGCTCTCTCGACCCCCAACCTCCAGGGCCTTCCTCAAGTCAAGGAGCCCAAAGAAAGCTCAAGGAGGGGACCCAAGGTCTGGGCCCACCTGGCCTACCTGGCTCAGGGGGCGGGGGCTGTAAACCGGAACCGGTGGAGGAGGGGGCGCTCATCAGGAAAGGCAGCCCCCACTCTGCATCCGGGCAGCGCCAGCAGTGCCCCAGCACCCCCGCAGCCCGCCTCTCCTTGGCGCCCCGCTCCCCTCCGCCTATAAATAGCACAGGACGTGCTCGCCGTGGCGATGACGCGGCTGGGCAGGCGGAGGGGAAGGAGGCAGCTCTGCCAGAGCGGTGGGCGGCGAGCGCGGCGGCGGGAGGGGTGCGGCCCCTCCATGCTGGGCTCCGATGACAGGGGCGACTGAGTCATCCCGGGGACCCACGGGCCACGACTGTCCCCGCCGCCAGCGTTTCTGTCTCCGGCTTGGGGGACTGCGGGGACGAGGCTGACCTCGGATGGGTACTGAGCCCTCCCAGACCCCCGGCACGCCCGGTCTCGGAGGGCACCTCTGGGTGGGCAAGATCGGCCTCGACGGCCCTGGCGCGCAGGAGCATGTCCGCCCCTGCGCGACTCAGGTGCACATGGAGGCGGAAAGTGACCGCAGCCCCAAGCCGTTTCCCTCCAGCGTCCCCAGACCTCCTCCCACTTTCCTCAGGTCCCCTTTTGGCTCTCCCCAGACCCCACCCTCCTCGGGCTGCTGGAGGAAAGGGATGAGGCCTGGGACCCCTGCCATGTTGCCGCCTGCCCAGCACCCCTCCTTTCAGAGACGGAGGAATTCTTCCACCCTCAGCCTTGCCCCTCTCAGCATCCCCAGACCCCACTCCCCACTTCCCTGCCCCTTTCCTTCCTCTGTCCCAGTGAGAGACACAGAGCAGATGGGCTGGGACAAGAAACAT
Organism: Homo sapiens; assembly: GCF_000001405.40. Taxonomy (NCBI): domain Eukaryota; kingdom Metazoa; phylum Chordata; class Mammalia; order Primates; family Hominidae; genus Homo; species Homo sapiens. Next base: position 39,210,556 of record NC_000017.11, read on the forward strand.
TTAATTAGGGGTCTGGGGAATCAGCAAGGCCCCAGACCCATCATGCAGCCTCATGTACAGTGGGCATTGGGCCCGCCCCTGGGATATTGCTGGGGGGGGGGGCCTCATGGCAGCAAACAGGGCAGTGTGGCTTGAGACCCCGCTTTGTGGGGGAGAAGTGGGGCAGGGGCCTTTGGGTACGAGGGTCTGTGTTTCTCCCACTGCATGGGAGGGTGTAACTGTGCCCAGGATGGGGGTGGCATGGGCTGGCACAATCAAGGGCATAAGAGGAGGATCTGAGCTTGGGGGAGGGAGGTTGGCACCGAGAAAAGCAGCTGTATTAAGAGAGGGGTCCTCTCTGTGTATGCCCACCCCACCCCATTTCCTGGTGGCCAAAACAGAACATTCCACCTTCCTTGTCTGTCTTCCACCCCCTCTTTTTCCCAGGGCTCTGTGTCCAGAACAAGGGAGCAGATAAAGCCAGCAAAGGGGCTCCTGCAGCACCTGCCCTGTCCCCTGCAGAGCCTGGAGAGAAGCAGGAGAAAGGTCAGCCCAGAGGGTTGGGTTCCTGGGGCGGCCGGGCAAAGCCTGGGACAGGAACTGACAGTCACAGGCTCCCCTGGCGGGTGGTTCCTGTGTGACCGGGGGTCCTGACAGTGAAATGGGTTTGCTTTGACCAAGCACGGGCCAGGATTTTGTTCTCAGTTGGGTTTCCGTGTGTCCAGGCAGCTCTTGGGTTTCCTTTTCTTTCTTTCTTTTTTTTTTTTTGAGACGGAGTCTCGCTCTGTTGCCCAGGCTGGGGTGCAATGGTGCAATCTCGGCTCACTGAAACCTCCGCCTCCCGGGTTCAAGTGATTCTCTTGCCTCAGCCTCTGGAGTAGCTGGCATTACAGGCAGACCCCCATCATGCCTGGCTAAGTTTCGTACTTTTAGTAGAGACGGGGTTTCACCATGTTGGCCAGGCTGGTCTTGAACTCCTGACCTCAGGTGATCTGCCCACCTCAGCCTCCCAAAGTGCTGGGATTACAGGCATGAGCCACCACACCTGGCCAGCTCTTGGGTTTTCTACTTGAACAGATAGTCTCTGATTTGTTACACCTTCCAGGGACCTCAGCCTTCCCCTCATCTGTCCGCCCAGGTTTCAAGTAACGGGAGAGATTCCTGCAAAACTTTCCTGAGAATTGACGGAATGACAGAGGTGGAGACCAGGAGGTGGACTCAGGACCTTCCTATGGTCCTGGGTCCCCTCCCCACCAAGGGTGGAGGGCCGAGGACACAAAAAGGCCTGCTCCCAAGACCCCACTTGCAAAGGAGCAGATGCACGGTCACACACACATAGACCCAAGCAGAGGCTCTGTGGGGAGAGGGGTGTGCCAGGCATGCGCAGGTGGTGTGGGCAGGGGAAGGCTGGGAGAAGCAGCAAATAAATTCCCCAGGAATCTTCCCCAGGGCTGGACTCAGCCCAGCAAGTAGACTGGGGTGCCTGGGCGTTGGGTGGACCTACCTGTAGCTTCCTCATTCCCTCCCACCCCACCCCATCCCCGCCAAGTCCCAGAGGATCAACCCACTCAGGGCACCCCACCCAAGAAATAAAATCTTCCCCAGTACAAAAGGCTCCTAAGCCACGGTAAGTGGCACCTAGGAGAGGGACAGAGGGAGGAAGGGTATGGAGTGGACAAGGGGGCCTGATCCCCTCCCTGGCCAGAAGCAAGGTCCAGGCATGGGCAAGGGTGTCATCTGGGTTCCCTTGGCTCCTCTCAGATCTCAGTCAGGGCGTCGACTGGCACCAGGCCCCGCTTCTTGCCACTGCTGACGCGGATGAAGCCGTCAGCATCCTTGCTTCTGCCCACGCCCACGCAGATCTGAGCCAGAGAGACATGGAGCTGAGGCCTGGCATGGCCTGCAGCCCTGGCCCTGAGTCCTGCCCATGGCCCCCAGGGGACCCACCCTGGGGGATGATGGGACCAGTGTCAGATGTGGATGGAGCCCTTTGCTGGAGTGATGGGACCAGATCCCAGGAGTGTAGAGGCCTCAGCAGCAAGACCAGCACGTCAGCAGACACCCAGCAGCACTTCAGGGCTGACCTTGGAGATTAGCCGCTGTACTGCCCTGCCTCACCCCCATCACAGAGGAGGTGGAGGGAAAAGGACTTGCCTCAAATTACACAAAAAGCCAGAGCTAGCATTCAAACCTGAGCTTTAGACTCTGAATCCAGTGCTCCTGCGCTAACCCAAGCTCCCTCTAATGTCATTCAGTCTCCTGTCTCTGTTGGTCACCAGCCCAAATTCCCCAGCAGGGGCTGGTAGGAGGGCCCTGCAACCCTTTCTTTCTAACCCGCTTTCCCCTCAACTGCCAAGATCAGCCTCCTCCTGCAGAGCATTTACCCCCGCACCGCAGCCTGTCTCCCCCGCCCACTCCCTCCCTCCGCCATAGGGCCTGGGCTGGGCCTCAGGCACTCACCTGGTTCTCCTTGAGGCTCATGTAACCCTGTTCCTTGTTCCCGGAGAAGGGTTGGCAGCAGCGCCAAACATTCTCGCCTGGCCTCACCCGTTGCACAAAATTAGCTGGGAAGAAGCCAACCCGGTCGCCGATCTTGCCCTGGGGATGAGGTTGGCAATGAACACCCGCGCCACACCCCACCCCTGCTGCCCACCACTGCTTTCTCCAGACCCGGTTCCCACTCAGCACCAATGCCATCATCCTCCAGATCTAGGGCTCTCCGGATTCCAGCCCCCAGCCAGGTGGCTTCTGGGCCAGGAATAGCATAAGGTGAGCAGAGGGACAAAGCTGAGGCAAGGAGAGTCAAAACTGAGAGGATGTCCCAAGGGTTGGTCCTAGTTTTGGCTGGGACCAGTGGTTGGAGGAGAGGTTGTCTTTGGGGCCTGGAGAGAAGGTGGGGGCAGTGCCCATTGGGGGTGGGGGCTGCTGGGGTGCCTACCAGTGTCCCTCCACTCCCCACCCTGCCAAGTCACCTTCCACCAGTCCTCGTTAGAGTCATCCACCAGCATGATCCGATCTCCAGGCCTGGGGAGGACAGAGCTAGGGTTGCATATGGAGCAGGGAGTAGTGCCCCTCCCCATCCTAGCAGACCCTGGGCACCTGGGGGACACTGCAGTCCTCAGCTGGGAGAGACGATTCTTTTTTTTTTTTTTTTTTTTTTAAGATAGACTCTCACTCTGTCACCCAGGCTGGAGTGCAGAGGCACGATCTTGGCTCACTGCAACCTCCACCTTCCGGGTTCAAGCCATTCTCCTGCCTCAGCCTCCCGAGTAACTGGGTTTACAGGCACCTGCCACCATGCCTGGCTAATTTTTGTATTTTTAGTACAGATGGGGTTTCACTATGTTGGCCAGGCTGGTCTCGAACTCCTGACCTCAAGTGATCTGCCAGCCTCAGCCTCCCAAAGTGCTGGGATTACAAGGGTGAGCCACCGCGCCCCGCTGGGAGAGGATTCTTGATGCCCTCAGAGGACACCATGTGACCACAGGTACAGCAGGCACTCGCTGGGCAGCCCAGTCAGAGGGCGGGAGACACGACATTAGCATGAGTCACTCTTAGACCCTGGGCAGTTCCAGCTCCTGTCTGGGCTCAGCAGCCTCAAGCATGCAAGAAGGTTCCTGAAGGCCCCCCTCACACTGTGTTTCAAGGTCTGGGAGCGCAGAGCTGCCCAGCGGGGCCAGGTCACAAAGAGGACTTACTGCAGAGCCAGATCATTGTTCTCCTGGGGCAGAAACTTGTAGAGTGCAACGTAGGAGTACATGGGCCCCACATCCTTCCGCAGGGTGGCTTTGGGGAGCTGCGGGAGAATCTCTGGGTCGGTGACCGGAAAGCAGCACCCTCACTCCCCCCACTCTCCACTCGCTCTGAGTGTGCTACCCTGGGGGCTGTGAGGGGACACAGTGAGTCCTAGGTCAACGGCAGGGAGAAGTGAGACCCTCGTACATGCTATGCTCACCCACCCCAAAGCGCACTGGGACGGGAATGGAGAGGGGAGCCCCCTTCTGCCTGCTGTACCCTGGGGCTGCCTGCCTTTGGGAGAGAAGAAATGGGTGCAATGGGCAGTGGGCTGGGGGTGGGAGGGTAACTCCTCCTGCCTCCCATGCCCTCTCATCCTGGCATTGCCCATCCCTGAGGATAAGTGAGGAAGCAGTGAATCCCCACGCACCATGCTCTTGCCCCCCTATGAATCAATGGCAAGGAGAAATTACACCCGCTTCCCACCCTGACCTTCCGGGCCAATGCCAGTACAGGCTCACCTGCTGTCCAGGACTCTTCTCCTCTGGTCCTGGCCCTTCACTCTCTGCTGGGGCTGTGAATACTGGAGATGCTAGGGGCAGGAGAGGGAAAGGGTGAGAGGCAGCAGGGAGCACCCTCCATTGTACCCCATTCCTGCCCTTGATGCCCACCACCACTCACCACTGTCACCAGGCCCCTCCTCAGAGCTGCGGATGCTGCCTTCCCCATCCTCGGTCAGCTCATCCCGCTCACTCTAGGGACAGAGAGAGGAGAGGGCTCAGCCCCCGAGCCCACTGTCATGCTCAGACACCCCTCCCCAAAAGACCCCCCCTTTTTGCCCACCATACCAGGCTCCTTGTCGGGGACTCAGAGGTGCTGCTGAAACTGGAGCGGTTCATCAGTGCCAGGGAGGTGCCATAGCGCAGGGTCTCGTAGACAGGGTCCACCTTCCCACTGTCCCCTGCAGATTATCCACCCTCAAGGCCTGGCTCTGCCTCAAAGCCCTGCATCTCTAGTCCCGGCTCAGCATGCCCCAGGCTGAGCTTCCCAGCTGCCCCCTCACCTGTCCCTCCCAGGTCTTCCTCATCCCAGAGATGGCTCTGGGTCCTCCCATGGTGCCCATGCAGAAACTTGGAGCATCCTTGACTCCTCACTGTCCTCACTGCCCACAGCCACTCTGCCACCTAGTCCTCCCTCCTAGCATCCCTACAACCTATCCACATGTCTCCATCACCACTGCTAGCAGTCTAATTCACATCACCACACTCTCTTGGCAACTGTCATGGCCTTTCAACTGGTCTCCCTGCTTCCACTCTAGCCCTGCCAGTCCACACAGCAGCCAGAAAGCTTTTGTAGAAACACACAAATTACCCTTAGAAGAAAGTCCAAAAGGCTACCCTAAAATGGACCCCAAGGCCTCGTACCCATGGTCTCGTTTTTTCTTTTTTTTTCGAGACGGAGTCTCGCTCTGCCGCCCAGGCTGGAGTACAATGGCACGATCCTGGCTTACTGCAACCTCCGCCTCCTGGGTTCAAGCAATTCTCCTGCCTCAGCTGGGATTACAGGAGCCTGACACCACACCCAGCTAATTTTTTTGTATTTTTAGTAGAGACGGGGTTTCACCATGTTGGTCAGGCTTGTCTCAAACTCCTGACACTGTGATCCGCCCGCCTCGGCCTCCCAAAGTGCTGAGATTACAGGTGTGAGCCACCACACTTGGCACTTTGCCCTTTCTTTAACTCCCTGTCCTTCCTTTCTCAGGCTTCCCTCTGCCCCACACCAGTCTTTCCAGATCCTAAATGGATGAACCCCTCATGCCTCATCCTTCACATCTCTGGGAAGTCTTCCCTGATTTTGCAGATGAAGACAGCGAGCTTTTTCTTTTCTCTTAATTTAGAGATAGGGTCTCACCATGTTGCCCAGGCTGGACTCCAACTCCTGGGCTCAAGCAATCCTCCTGCCTCAGCCTCCCAAGTAGCTGGGATTACAGGTATGAGCCACCACACCCAGCTTTCAGCACACATTCTATGCTCTATTCCTTATCTTCCCCACTTAAGGCGCTCATGCTGATGGTGATTGATTGATGATTTGCATGACTGTCCATTTCAGTCCTATCTCCTTTACTAGACAATAAATTCCACCTTCTTCACTACTGTGTCTCAGAGTCCAGCACTGTGCCTGGCACTTAGTATGTGCTTAATAAAGTGCTTGTTGAAGGAATGATGAGTGAATGAATGAATGAACCCCAAATTCAGGACAGGAACATCCAGAGAAGGGAAATGGTAGGAACTGTCTGTGCCAGTGTGACTCAGGCACCCATCTCAGAAATGTTGATTTCTTTCTTTTTTTTTGAGATGGAGTCTCACTCTGTAGCCCAGGCTGGAGTGCAGTGGCGTGATCTTGGCTCACTGCAACCTCCGCCTCCTGGGTTCAAGCAATTGAGAGACGGGGTTTCACTGTGTTGGCCAGGCTGGTCAGGGATGTTGATTTCTCATCCCACCACAATGGGAGCAGGGACTGCGGCCAGGGGGGGCACTCACCAGTGGGTGGGGACTCTTTGCTTGTGGCACAGACTGGTGGCGGCTCATGCACCAGGAGAGGGGAACTGAAGTTGCGGCGGAAGGAGGTGGACTATGGCAAGAGAGGGCAGAGAGGTTTTGAGGAGGTCATGGCCTATGGAGAACTTGGTCCTTCCCAAGCCCAGGGCCCACCCCACAGGAAGGAGCAGCCCTGAGGGATACTCATTCTCCCATGTGACAGTACTGGCAGCACTCAGCTGGCCATCTCTGCCTGGGTCCCCGCTCACCGTCTTGCCTGGGCATTGCTGGTGGGAGATCTCCTCAGAGCACCAGAGGTGGACGCTGACTTTGCACATCTTACATCGCAAGCCCTGTTTGGAGTTTCCTAGGAAGAATTTGGGTTCAGCAATTGAGGACACCCCCGTGGGCAACAGGCAAAGGAGGGGCACATTAGGGGATGAGGAGAGCAGGGGTTGGGCATTCTCATGCCAGCCTTGAGGCCCAGCACCTACCCCTCACACAGTCAGGGTATGAGGGAGCACGGAAGCCAGAGTCGTTAGTAAACATGGCAGTGACACTGAGGCAGTGACACTGAGTATACCCCCACCCTTGGTGGTGCTCCTCTCTCTGCCTTGGGTAAGAGGCACAGTTGGGGGTGGGTGCAATGGCTCACATCTGTAATCCCAGCACTTTGGGAGGCTGAGGTGGATGGATTGCTTGAGCCCAGGGTTTGACCAGCCTGAGCAACATGGCAAAACCCCATCTCTACAAAAAATATTTTAAAATTAGCTGGGCATGGTAGTGTGTGCCTGCAGTCCCAGCTACTACAGAGGCTGAGGCAGGAGGATCCCTTGAGCCAGGGAAGTGGAGGTTGCAGTGAACCAAGATTGCATCACTGCACTCCAGCCTGGGAGACAGAGCAAGACTCTGTCTCAAAAAAAAAAAGAGGCACAGAGGCACAATTAGTATTGGGGCTCCTGAACAGCAAGAGCCCAATAATATTGGGCGCAACATGAGCCCACTCCCCAGTACCCACGCTGGCCCCTCCCCGTGGCCGCCTCAGTGCCCAGGCACCTACCTACGATGAGCTGGTGGCACAGCTCACAAGGGCTAGCTCGCTTGAAGACATGTTCCTGGAAGCTGTGCAGCCTCACTGGTTTGAGCGCTGCCAGGGGGCGTGGGACTGGGCATGGGGAGGGGGATGGGGTAGCCAGGCCCCTGTCCGAGGCTGTGGGTGGTGGGGAGGGAGGGGGCAGTGGGGTTGGGGGCGTCAGCAGCACCTCGGTGGGGCACTTGAGCTCAGAGCCCGAGCGAAGGAAGAAGTTCTCCAAGCTCTTACTTCGGAGGATGGTCTTGAGGGAGAGGGAGCGCTTGAATCGCTGGAGCTGGGAGAAAAAGAGGGAGCTGTGAGTGGGAGCCTAGAGGGGGCTGGCCAGGGCGGGCTTCCCTTCAGGGTGTCTCTGGCGGTAGGGGCGGCAGCAGCAGCAGCAGCAGCAGCGTGGGGGCTGAGGGCCAGAGCGAAATGAAACAGCAACAGAGAGGCTCCCCAGGTCCCGACGACACTTCGCAATCTCAGGTGCCACAAAAGCCAGGTGGTTGACCTCCATGGAGAAAGGAGTTCTGGCCAGGTGGGCAGCAATCAAGAGCCGTGGGGACTGTGGCAAACTGGATGGCCAGGGAGTAGCTGCAGGTCTCCTCAAGCCAATTGAGGCTGTTGCCAGGTTTTCTAGTTTTTCAAAAGAAATCTAGACTTTTATGTGAAATCGGATAGAAACAAGTTTAAGTGGTTTAATTCCATTTTTCTTTGAAGAAATGGTAGTATACTATATTTCCTGTGCCTTGCTTTTTTTCATAAACAGTAAATCTTGGAAATCATTCCATACCCATACATAAATAGATTCATCATTCTTTTTTATGGCTACAAAGTATTTTGTTGTATGGGTGTACCATTTACTCAAGTTTAGAAAAAAAAAAATAGGCACGGTATGGTGGCTCCTGCCTATAATCTCAGCACTCTGAGAGGCTGAGGCGGGAGGGAATCGCTTGAGCCAAGCAGTTGGAGACCAGCCTGGGCAACGTAGTATCCACCTGTGTTCTCGAACAGGCTGGTGGGGGGTGAGGAGTGGTCGTCCTGGACCCTCATCCTTGGGACTGATTCTCCCCGACAGAAAGTCTCTCTAGCCCTCCCCTCCCTCCCATTGACTCGTCACCTCACAGCCCTTAGTTCAGGCCCTGATGCCCCAGTCTGCTTCAAGGCCACAGCCTCCCCTCCAGCCCCCTGCTTCCACCTGTCCTCCATACAGCTGTTGCGGGGGTGATGCCTGATCCTGCTAAAAACTCTTCCTAGCTCCTCGGGACACCGTCCAAGGCTCTCGCCCCAGCCACGAGACTCTCCTTGCAACTTGGCCAAACCTGTCCTTCCAACCTGTGCCTTTGCAGCCCAGAAACTCATTTCTCAATTCATTGAGAATTGAGAATCCTCAATTCTCAAACTCATCCATGCTTTTATGCCTCTGAGCTTTTGACATGTTTGTCCTCTTCTCTGCCTCACTCAGTTCATACCCTCTTTATCCTGCCAATATGCTTCCACTGGTCCTTCCTCCTCCAGGAACTCTCTTCTGCAGGAATTCTGTCTCATGACCCACTCCCTCCTCTGGTGTCCACTGCATCCAGCCCAACTTCCACCACAGCTCCACTCGGGTGATGCTTGTTATTTATTTCTCACTCCCCCAGGAGATTGTGAGCCCCTTGGGGACGGACACAGTTGCTGGCTTCAAATCCCCACGCAGGCTCTCAACACATAGTAGGTGCTCAATCAGCAGCCTTTGGTGAATACATGAGCCAGCGGCTGGACTCTCCTTGAAGCCTACATTCTGGAGGGCAGGGTCGATTCTGCGGTGAGGCCAGAGCTATTTCCACCTCTCATTCAAACACACCCTACTGAGTCTTCCCAGAGAGAGGTCTGGAAACCTCTTGACCCAGAGCCTTGGCCGTCTCCCTTCCCGTTGAGAGGCGGCTTACCCCTGCCCACTCCTTTCTATTAGAGACAGAAACAGGGGCCAGCAGCCTGGCTCCAGGCAGAGGGACTTGGCCAGGGTTCCCAGCTGGCACGCTGGGTAGCCTACGTGCCATGGCTGCCTGCCTGGCCACCCTGCCAAGGGGATGGAAGTGGTGGCCCCACCAGCCTCCGGGAGGCCAGCAGGCAGCAAGACAGAGGGGGAAGCAGAGGGGATGTTTGGGCACAAGGCAGGCTCTGGTGTGCCAGTTGGGAGGCCAAAGCCCTGGGGTGTCTGGCACACTGAAGGGCTCAGTGCCTTCCAAACCCAGCTTCCTGGATAGCACTGTGGGCTTCTTTGTGTATCTATGAGAAGCAAGGCCCCAGGCCCCAGATGCCTGGGCCTTGGAGCATAGGTAGAAGGCTGGAGAGACAATTAATGAGAACACAAAACTCAGCCCAGGTCAGGCTCTGGGCCAGCCAGGACCAAGTGTGGCTCTGGGGGCTTGGATGGGCCCCAAGAGGCAGGTGAACCGTCCACTGTTCTGTCCAGGGACCTCAGGCATGGAGCACACAGGGTCGCCGGAGGATGTGCTGGGGCTGGGGGCAAAACTAAACCTACTGCCTGAAGGCAAATCACCCCACTTCTTCTCTCTGAGCCTCAGTTTCCCCACATCCAAGAGGGAAGCCTAGATACTCTTTTTTTTTTTTGATGGAGTCTCACTCTGTCACCCAGGCTGGAGTGCAGTGGCACGATCTCAGCTCACTGCAACCTCCACCTCCTGGGTTCAAGTGATTCTCCTGCCTCAGCCTCCCAAGTAGCTGGGACTACAGGCTCCTGCCACCATGCCCGGCTAATTTTGTATTTTTAATAGAGGCGGGGTTTCACTGTGTTAGCCATGATGGTCTTGATCTCCTGACCTCGTGATTTGCCCGCCTCGGCCTCCCAAAGTGTTGGGATTACAGGCGTGAGCCACTGCACCCGGCCTATCATTTTTATTTTTTATTTTACTTATTTATTTATTTATTTTGAGACGGAGTTTCACTCTGTCGCCCAGGCTGGAGTGCAGTGGTGCAATCTTGGCTCACTGCAAGCTCCGCCTCCCGGGTACACGCCATTCTCCTGCCTCAGCCTCCCGAGTAGCTAGGACTACAGGCGCCCGCCACCACGCCTGGCTAATTTTTTGTATTTTTAGTAGAGACGGGGTTTCACCGTGTTAGGCAGGATGGTCTCGATCTCCTGACCTCGTGATCCGCCTGTTTCGGCCTCCCAAAGTGCTAGGATTACAGGCGTGAGCCACCATGCCTGCCCTCTTGTTTTTATTTTTTTGAGACGGAGTCTTGCTTTGTTGCCCAGGCTGGAGTGCAGTGGCACGGTCTCAGCTCACTGTAACCTCCACCTCCCAGGTTCAAGCGATTCTCCTGCCTCAGCCTCCCAAGTAGATGGGATTACAGGCGCCTGTCACCACACCTGGCTAATTTTTTGTATTTTTTTTTAGTAGAGATGGGGTTTCACCGTATTGGCTAGGCTGCTCTCGAACTCCTGACCTCATGATCCGCCCACCTTGGCCTCCCAAAGTGCTGGGATTACAGGCGTCAGCCACCGCGCCTGGCCAAGACTGGACACTCTCTAACCAATAAAAGGCTCTAGGTCCAAATATCCCCAGAAACTTACATCTCTGAGGGGCTGTCATGGTCAGAACATTGGAATTGAGCTAGCACTTTATATGCAGCATCTCATTAATCCTGATGCTGCCCTTGGAAGTAGTGATAATTACTGTCCCACTTTTCAGATGAGGAACTGAGGCTTATAAGGGTTAAATCACTTACCCAGGAGTCCTCAGCTGGTAAACAGCAGAGCCAGGACTTGAACCAGCGGCTTCGGCTGCTGAGCCCAAAGCACCAGGAGCATCCTGCTGTGCTGAGCCCTGCATGGGCCTCACCCTCGCCTCTCAGCTGGGCCCTGCCTGGGCCTCACCCTCGCCTCTCAGCTGGGCCCTGCCTGGGCCATCACCCTCACCTCTCAGCTGGGCCAGGGGCTTGTCCACAAGGTCAATCAGAGAGTTTAGGGTGAGAAGGGACCTGGAAGACTGGCCACCTAGAGCAGTCCCCAACTCATCACCCTGCGATGGCCTGGCCACATCCCGTCTCAAGAGTTGGTCACCTCTTGTGATGGGAAGCAAGCAGTCTCTTGGGACAGTCATTCCATCTTTGGGCAGCTCCAATGGCTGCAAAGTGCTTCCCCATATAGAGCTGAAACCTGCCTCCCTGGGATTTTCGCCTATCAGCCCTCCTTCCTCCCTTGGCTCCAGAAAGGGCTACTCCCTCTCATACACTTCAGCCCTTCAAATATTTGAAGACACCATCAGTCATGTTCCCCCCATCCCCAGGCCCTTGTTTCCATAGTAATCCTCATAGGAGGAGGTTCCAAGTCTCCCTACCCTCCAGGCTGTGTCCTTTCCTGGTACCCCTTGGTCTCAGTGCCAAGAGCCACCTCTGCTAGGTACCGGAGGCCTCTGGAACAGAATGTTCCCGGGTACCAGGGCAGCCCCGACTCTGCCGGCCGACTCCCTGGCTTGGCTGTGGGCCCCAGATCCCAGGGGGGTGGAGAAGCGAGAAGGAATGACATGCCACCTGGGGTGGCTGGCAGAGATCAGACTGTGGCTACAGGTCTGGGTTGGGGCATCTCTGCCAAATGACTTGATGCCTGACCACTTCAGAGACATCGGGCTTGGCTACCCAAACCACATTTTGGCTCAGCCAGGCCAGGTATTCCGGCTCCTGGGGCTCCTCATTCCTGGAGAGGACCTTTGCCCATCTCTTCTCCCCACTATACTTTTGGTGCCCTCACTTCCCTGGGACCCATTCTCTGGCATGGGGAGAAGCTGCCATGTACCTTGGCAAGTGGGCCTGCCTGGTCACTCTTCCCTCCCAACGCATCCAGAGTTTGTCCAGCTAGGAGCCTGGACCACAAAGTCTGTTCTTCTGAATCCCCTCCCAGAGACAGGGCCTGGCCTGCCTGTTTCCTCCCCACCTCCCCATATCCTGGACGGCCCCTTATTTCCTCAATTCCCCACGGCGTCTCCTGAAAGGGCATGAGGCATCTGGCAGTGGGTGGTGGCAGACGTGGCACAAGCTGACTCACAGCAGAGATGGCATGGGGTGGTCCTCCCAGGGGTGGCAACAAAGGGTGATGGGCAGGCCTTATGTGATAAGAAGGGAAGGAGACCAAGAGAGGAGGAGGACTCGCTAGGAAGGTTGCTGGGTGGCTTGGGTGCAGGGCTGATTCAGCCTGGGGGCAAGCAGGAGGCTGGCCAGTGATTCCCAGGGGGCACCAACACTGATGAATAAGCCTGGAATGTTGGCATCACTGCCTGAAGGGCATTGGCCCCCTCTGTTGTACCTGCCTCACACTGAGCTTGGTGGGCGGCACCCAACTGTACTCTTCCATCTCCACCCACAGTCTGGAGACAGGAGCTTCTTTGGGCCAGGTTGAGGTGCAGGATGGAAGGAGGCTAGCAGGGGTCCTGAGTTCTCTCTCTGCCCACCTCTGCCCTGCTGAATACCCCCGACCCAACCCACAGCCCAGTCTGTGTTAGTGCAGAATCCTTCACAAGAGTGATGTATAGGGGAGGGGCGGAGGGCCGGGGCTCCAGCTGGCCTGACACAGAAGGGCCGGATCAGGGGTGTAACCCCTCCCCTCCCCTACTCCTTGAATCTCCAAGCTCAGACCCAGAGGTGACAACATTGGAGGGTCCCTGGCCTGGGAAGAGGGAGAGGTACAGACCTGTGGCCCTTGACCTTCCCTCCCCACACAGCTGAGCAGGCAGCTTGCTGGAGTACTGAGGCAGCACTACCCCACACTCCTGCCCGCCTTCCAGCACTCCCACATAGGAGGAGGCTGGAGAGGACAGGCCTTGGTGTGGGAAACAGGGCAGGGCCTGGGAGGCCCCCAAGCCCCTGGAGGCAAGCAGGGGGACTGTGTATGTCTACCCAGGTGACTAGAGGGCAACCGAAATCAGGGGCATTGGAACTCAGGGGAGGTTCAGCTCCTAGACCTTCTGCTTGACAGAAGTTGTCACAAATATTCCAAGCAATATCCTCCCACCCAAACATCTTAGTCCTTTCCCAGGAGAGACTGAGACTTGGCTCTCTAAAGGGGAGTCAGCTCTGGCCTCACAGACCAGAGTCTCATTTTTAGAAGGGGGCAAGAGAGAGTCAGGTGTGCATGTGAAGACTTGAATGTGGAGACCTGCTGGGTCCCCTGGTGCAGGATGGGGGCTCCCTGGGGTGCCTCTGCCAGACTCCACCCTGACCCTACGGCCTCCTCCTCCGGTCACTCCCTTGATGACCTTGACCTTGAATTAACCTCAGCTCCTGCGGGATGGTCAAGATGGAAGAAGGAGGAAGGGGGACAGTGGAAAGAAGCCTAGCGAACCCAGGACGCCTCCGGAGCCCAGGCTCCCATCATTTCTGGTCCTCACTGTCCCCTTTCGCCTCTGGAGAACAGGAGCAGGATGGGAACAAAATACCGGGTGAAGGGGGAGGGAGGAGGTCTTGGCCTGAAGTCTGGGAGGTGGCAGGGCGCGCCCTTGGCACAGCCCTTTCTATCCCAACCCCAGGCCCGCTCAGGTTGATCCCGCAGAAACAGAACTTCTCGCGGGCCAGTCGCCAGCACCTAGAACTTGGGAAGGGAGCAGACGGATTAGAGGTCGGGGGAGTGCTGAGTGTGAGCGGCGGCCTCCCCACACCCCTTTCAGCGCCAGGAGTCTGGGCTCCGCCTGCCTTCGCGGGGAGTAATTTATTCATGGTGACTCCCTCAGGAGTAACAATCATCCATAATTAGGGTTAATGATGACATTCATTAATTACGATGACTTCTCTTTTTGCTTCTACCCGCTCCCCCTCCTCTGGTCCCGCTCCCGTGGTGGGGCGCGGGGCTGCCTGTCTTTCTGGTCTGGAGCCACAACCGCAGGCCCCCGTCCTCGCCCGTGACCGACGGCCGGCGCTGCTGCAGGCCCCCTCGCGGACTCCGCAGCTGCGCACCCCCGGCCGCGGCCTCGCGTCCCCGAGCCCAACAGGGCTAGGAGCGGGGAATGCAGGACTGCGGAGGGGCAGGGAGAGACGCCCTGAGACGCGGAGATAAACACCCGGAGACGCCGGGAGAGACGGGGAGAGACGCACACAGAGACACCAAGACACAGACACGCAGGTTGTAGAGACAAATTCAGAGACACGAGCGAGGATAGAGGCGCGGACTGAGCCCGGGACTGGGACCCGGCGGCCGCTGGAGGGTGCGCCTCGCACGCACAGCCGGGCGCGTACCCCGCCCGCACCGCTCCACGCGCGCCCTCCGGCCTCGCTGCGCCCATCTCTCCAACGAAGACCAGTGGCCGCCTCCCCAGAAGGTCGCGATGGCGCGCGCGGGCGTGCGGTGCCGGTGTGATCGGGGGCTCCTTGTGGCCCCTCGTCGCCAACCCACTCCTACCCCCGGGAGCGGCGCGGAGCCTCAGTGGTCACGCGGGCCTCGCGACCGCGACCCTAGGACGCCCGGGCCCACAGGAGGACCCCGCCGGGAAGAGGGCGCCCGGGCCCGGGGCGCGGACAGGCCTTGCGCCCCCCAAGTTACCTTGGTTTCCTGGAGGGCGGAGACGGTCCCTGGGGGGCTGTGGGTGGCCGCGTCATCCGGTTCGTTCTCCTTCTCGCTCATCTCGGTCATGGTTCGGGGAGAGGGGAGGAGAGGGTGCCGAGATCCGACGGCAGGCCCACCGCGGGCAGGCTGCGGGTGGCGGGCGTCTCCGGGACTCTGAAGCCGTTCTCCAGAGGCTGCCCCCAGTTAGCCCCCGGCACGGCAGCCCCCAACCCGCGGGAGCGGGCAGAGAAAGTTGCCGGGGTGGCGGGCGAGGGGAGGCCACCACGCTGAGCCGCAGGAGCGGGACGACCCCGGGCGCGAGGACCGAGGGTCTGCAGAGGATGCTGCTCGCAGCGCGGGGAGGAGGGAAGTGGGGCCGCGGGGATGAGCCGAGGGAGGGAGCCAAGGAGCTGTCCGTGTCCAGCCGGCTCCGCCGTCCGCTGCGCCCGCCCCCCATCCCCTCCCCTCCCCCGCCGGCCCCAGCCCGGCACCCGGCGGCCCCTCCGCCCAGTCCTCGCCGCCCAACTTTGATTTAGGAGGTCGCCTGGTCCCGCCCCCTGCCCTACGCCGCTCCCCCGCGCAGCCCTGCAAATCAGGCTCTCAGCTATTGGCTGCCTCGGTGGCCAGGAGGGCGAACTGGGCGGAGTCTTGGGGGGCTCGACACGATGGGGCGGGGCTTGGCGGGGAAAGAAGCGGAGGAGGGAGTTTCACACTGAAAAACCCGGGATGGAGGGGCGTGACCAGATTGAGGGAAGCTTGGGGAGATCATAGTAGCGTCTGGATGGGTTGCAGGGAATAGAAATAGGTTGGGGCCGCAGCAAGATAGCGGAGAGTGAGATCGAAGCTAGGACTTCCAAAGAGCGAAGATTGATAGATGCCAGAGGTTGGTGAAGGAAGAATGGGGACCCATCTGTGCCATTAATTGGATGCCTTTATACCCTGAAAAGGCTCTCTCCAAATATACACACAACTGGACTATGGTGTATGTGTCAAAGGCCAGGCCGGACAATTCCTCCTTGTGATGGAAAGCCGGATGACTCTATCCCCTTCCAGTCTTGGCGTCTGAACTTCAGCAGAGATGGGGGCTCAGTCCTCACACCCAAAGTCCCCAAACT
Organism: Homo sapiens; assembly: GCF_000001405.40. Classification (NCBI taxonomy): domain Eukaryota; kingdom Metazoa; phylum Chordata; class Mammalia; order Primates; family Hominidae; genus Homo; species Homo sapiens. Next base: position 39,226,531 of record NC_000017.11, read on the forward strand.
TCTCTGAGACACGCTCCCCTCCTAAAGATCCTACCACAACTGGAGTTAGATCAGGGGATAATACAGAGAGGTGGGGGAAGAGGTCCTCACCATCACCTTCCAAGGTGCCCCTCTCTCCACAATAACCTTCTATTTTTTATTTTTTTATTTTTTTATTTAGAGACAGGGTTTCACTCTTTCACCCAGGCTGGAGTGCAGTGGTGCGATCATAACTCACTGCAGTCTCAAACTCCTAGGCTCAAGCAATCCTCCCACCTCAGCCTCTCTAGTTGCTGGGACCACAGGCATACGCCACCATGCCTGGCTAATTTTTAAAATTTATTGGTAGAGACAAGTCTTGCTATGTTACACAGGATGATCTCCAACTCCTGGGCTCAAGCGATCTTCTCACTTTGGCCTCCCAACGTATTGGGATTACAGGCGTGAGCCACTGTGCCCGTTCAAGATATTTCCAATATTTCTTCTTCTCCTTCTCTTCTTCTTCTTTTTTTTTTTTTTTTTTTTTTTTTTTTTTTGGAGACAGGATCTTGCTCTATTGGCCAGGCTGTAGTGCAGTGGCTTGATCACACCTCACTGTAGCCTGGACCTCCTGGGCTCAACCCTCCCAAGTAGCTGGGACCACAGGCACATGCCACTGCACCCAGCTAATTTTAAAATTTTTTGTAGAGATGGAGTCTCGCTATGTTGCCCAGGCTAGTCTTAAACTCCTAGGCTCAAGTGACCCTCCTGCCTCAGCCTCCCAAAGTGCTGGGATTACAGGTGTGAACCACCACACCTGACCAAGATACCTCTTCTAATGCATGTTGATTATCTGGGACCCATTTTCTCAGGTCCCCCTCCCTCACCTCCAGCCCTCTTTCCTTCTGCCCCTTCTGGCTCTGACCAGCAGATCTGGCTTCCTCTCTTGGTCTGCCCAAGAAAAGGGAGATGCACTGGTGGCTGAGAGAACCTTTCCCTGGTGTGGGTGGAGAGACTTCTGGGTTTAAGTCTCCCTCCTCCTCTGCTGTGGGTGGTAAGATTGTGGGTGGGGGGTGCCACATGGGGGGCCTGAGGTGCTGAAGGGGGCCCTTATGCTAGCCTGAAAGTTGAGGGGTGGGGTGAACACCTCCACCCCCCACTCACCTCCCCCCATGCACACAGCCATTCATAGGATCTCTGCCCTCCCAAGCACGAGCTCACCATTGGAGCCCTGCTCAGGTTACCCTGTCCAGGAATAGAGATTTATTTGCCAGTGGCAGAAGTAGGACAAGGGCACAGTGAGGGTTCATGGTTGTAGGGGCTCTGACTTCGAGATTTCCTGAGGAAGGTGGGATGGAGCCTGAGTGCCATCAAATCAGTCTCCCCAAAGGCCTGTTCATGGCCAACCTTCCCCCATCTCCCACTGGACTGTCCTTCTCACTCCTGCCCAGCCCAGGCCAGTCCAGCCTTCCCTCCCTGGGCAGCTCAGATGCTGGGATGCTTGCAGCATTGAGACAGCAACATCAGGCCCTCCACTTATCCTGGGCTGGAACACACAGGGCCTTCTTCTGAGTTTGGAGATCTTCTGGGGGAGGTGCCCCTGTCTCCTCCCAAAGAGCAGGGGCTTTGGGTTCCTTAGGGGCCAGTACCTCTTTGGTCACTAATTAAGTGTGTGACCTTGGGCAGATAACTCAATCTTTTAGAGATTTTGTTTGTTTTGAGACGGAGTCTAGCTTTTGTTGCCCAAGTTGGAGTGCAATAGCAGGACCTCGGCTTACCACAACCTCCGCCTCCTGGTTCAAGCGATTCTCATGCCTCAGTCTCCCGAGTAGGTGGGATTACAGGTGCCCGCCACTACATCCAGCTAATTTTTTGTATTTTTAGTAGAGAGAGGTTTCACCATGTTGGCCAGGCTGGTCTGGAACTCCTGACCTCAGGTGATCCACCTGCCTCACCCTCCCAAAGTGCTGGGATTACAGGCATGAGCCACCGTGTCTGGCCTATAGCCTTGGTTTCTTCATCTGAAAAATAGTCATCGTGCCTACCCCACTGCTAGAATGAATGAGATAGTGTAGAGTGGCACTTAGCCCAGACAAGACAGGAAGACAAGACAGGAAAATTTATTTTAAAAAAAAAAGTGTTTATTTTGGTAGGGATGGGGGTCTCACTTTGTTGGCCCAGCCTCATTTTGAACTCCTGACCTCAAGCCATCTTCCTGACTTGGCCTCCCCGATAAAGTGCTGGGATTACAGGCACACGCCACCACGTCTAGTCAAGGAAAGTCCATTATTTTTCTTTTTTTTTTTTTTGAGACGGAGTCTCGCTCTGTCGCCCAGGCTGGAGTGCAGTGGTGCAATCTCGGCTCACTGCAAGCTCCGCCTCCCGGGTTCACGCCATTCTCCTGCCTCAGCCTCCCAAGTAGCTGGTACTACAGGCGCCTGCCACCACGCCCGGCTAAATTTTTATATTTTTAGTACAGACGGGGTTTCACCGTGTTAGTCAGGATGGTCTTGATCTCCTGACCTCATGATCTGACCGCCTCAGCCTCCCAGAGTGCTGGGATTACAGGCGTGAGCCACCGTGCCCGGCCATTATTTTTCTTTCCCTCCTTTCTTCTGGGAAATTTGTCCCTTCCCAGTGCTTTCTCTGAGGCAGAGAGAAGAAAACCGCTTCCTTCTCTCACTTTCCTTGGCCATTTGGAGCCTGGTATTCTGTGGGGTAACCAACCCAGAAGTGGTGATTCCTGGACAAAGAGATGCTAACTAGATACAGAGAAGAATTCCCAGGGGAACCCGTAGTTCTGGCAACCGAGGAAAGCCAGGGAAGTTGGAGGACTGTGGGGCTCATCTAGTCTGGACATCAGAAGCCTGAGGTGGGGCAAGCATGGCGGAGGCAGGGGGATGGATGCCATGACCTCTCGATGTCCTTCCTGGCCTGCAGCCTTTGTGTTTCAGAGCGGTCTCTCCTGAACTAAGTCTGAGTCATTGCTCTTAGTACTGACAACTCCCACTGCAGTGGATCAGAGACGAGGCGGAAGCAGCCTGGCCAGCCTCTCCTGGGAAGGAAGGAGCATTGCCCCATCTCAGATTCGGAGGGTAGAAACGAGGGGCAGGCAGAGCGAGGGCCAGGTGCTGCCGGGGGGATGAATGGCAGCCACACTCTGGAGGGCTCCCTCAGAAGTGGCAATAGAACTACTGGGGTGCCTCTTGTTGGGAAAGTGGGCAGTGGGCTCTTGGGAGCCCTGGGACAGGGATGACTTCAAATCTGCATGCAGCACAATGTCTAGCACATGAAGAGAGACCAGTCCTCAGCCCAGCTCTGCCTTTTGCTTCCTGTTTTGTGACCTTGGGCAGAGAGCTGTCTATCTCTAAAGGTACTTGAGTTTCCTTCTTGTCAGACTGGCAGAATTGGATTAGATTAGTTTGAAATGAGGAGTTGGATTAAAATGAGGGCAATAATGATACATCTCTTAGCACTCTTTTGAGGATTACATGAGTTAATGTACGTAAAGAGATGGACAGGTTGGGTGAGGTGGCTCATGCCTGTAATCCCAGCACTTGGGGAGGCCAAGGCGGGTGGATCACCTGAGGTCAGGAGTTTGAGACCAGCCTGGCCAACGTGGCAAAACCCCATCTCTACTAAAAATACAAAAAATTAGCCAGATGGGGTGGTGGGCACCTGTAATCCCAGCTATTCGGGAGGCTGAGGCAGGAGAATTGCTTGAACCTGGGAGGCGGAGATTGCAGAGAGCCGAGACTGCACCACTGTACTCCAACCTGGGCAACAAGGGTGAAATTCAATCTCAAAAAATAAAAATAAAAAAATAAAGAGATGGACAGAATAAATGCACAGTAAATGGATGTTATTTTATTCATTTATTTATTTTGAGACAAGGTCTCACACTGCTGCCCAGGCTGGAGTGCAGTAGCACAGTCATGGCTCACTGCAGCCTCTACCTCCCTGGCTCAAGTGATCCTCCCACCTCAGCCTCCCAAGTAACTGGGTCTACAGGCATGTTCCACTGAACTCAGCCTGTTAATTCTCATGTTATTATTAGTTACTATTAATTACTACTAATTATTATTAATAGTAATATTATTATTGGGGATTTTTAACCTTGGACTTGTGAGTGAGCTTCAGGGAGTTCATGAACCACTCGAAGCTGTGTAAAATTATGGAAGATAATAAACATTTTCTGGGCAGAGTTGAGCTTTCAGCTGCTCCTCAGGGCATCTGAGATCCCCAAAAGATTAAGAGCCACTGGCCTATATGACCCCCAGGGACTCTCCTCTCTGAGTGGCTGAGATTCTCTGATGTGAGGAATTGCTTCTCCTCCCATGGTGGTGATCTTTGCATCAACACCTCCAGTCCAAGCCCTTTGCATCTGTGGCCTCTGCCCCATGGGTCACCCAGGACAGAAAACATAAGTGACTGGCCTTTCCCGGCAGCTTTAGAATCAGGGTGTCTAGTGTGGAGGTGCCCAATGTGGTTGGGAGCTGAGTCTGGGTTCCTGTCTCCCAGCTGGGGAAAGGAAGGGGGTCCAAGCCCAGCAGGGCCAGGGATGCAGAGACCACAGTGAGAGGCCTGGCCTTGCCCCAGCGTCCCCTGCCTCCCCCCACCAGCCCACCTGGGGGCCCGAGAGGCAGATACCACTCTAATGAGCTAAGGCTCATGGCAGGCAGCGGTAATTATGATTTTATGGAAATACAGAAGGCTCTTACGCAAGTGCCTGACATACTTCCCGGCTGTGGCATCTGGGACAGCCAGGTCCCCAGGGGCTGGAGAAGGCCCCCCCACACCCCCTGCTGCCTCCAGCCCCTGGAGCTTGGGACACTGGCATGGAGCCACCCTCCCACTGCCCGTGGCACTGTCCCTAACTCGCCCTGGGTGAGCTGTTCCCGCGCTCTGCACCCCAGGCCTCCTGGAGGGGAACAACATGGGCTCTGTGTATGCAATCCCTCACGCCCTCGCTCCTGCTGCCCCCTCTCCCTACCACAAAGCCAGGATCTCTGGGAGAGTTGTTCTGAAGGGATAATGAGGTTATAGCTGTTTCCTTTTCCTCAATGAAGAAAACCCCTCTCTCGAGGAACACGTCCTCTTCTGTTCTGTTTCTTTTCTCCTTGAGGCTGGGGACACGGGGCTGACAGCAGCCATGGTGGGGTGGGGGTGGGGCGTCCTAGCCCTTGGCTGCCCCTCCCCAGCCCTGTGCCAGTTTGTCTACACTGAGCCCCCACCCCTGTGCTTCCAACAGTGTCCTGAAGCCACTGCTCCTGTCCTCTAGTCTATTCCCCTTACCCACCCACAAAGCATCTGTTACCAAGGTAACAGCAAGAGCATAACTTTGGGGTAAGCAAGGGGGTGGAGCCCTGCGGAGGAGGGGCATGGTTGAGGGTTAGAATTTTGGAGAGATGAGCACTGTGGACCCCCGAATTCTTCATGGAGGATCTTTTGCTGGAGAGGAGGCCCCACGCAGGCTGGGGAGGGGCTGTGGCTGAGAGCGTATGGAAAGGAGGGAGGATGAAGTCTGGTCGCAGCTGGATTGGGTGTTAGCGGTGAGGGTGCCCATGGCTTACTGTGTGGGACAAGCGTGAGTGTGGTGATGCCGAGGAGACTTCGAGGCAGAAAGATTGAGCCTGCCTTTAACTGCTCCCTTGGGGTTAACGCCTGGGGAGAGATCCTGTGGCGGGGGAGTCTAGACCCAGCTGAAGCAGCCTGGGGACCTGCGGCTGGCCTGGGCCCACACTGCCCCCTGCAGACTGCACAGAAAGCAGCACCGGGGCAGCCCAGGGGTTCAGGCGGGGCCTTGGAGGGTCTGCATCGGAGACCATCTAAACCATGAGGTCCTACCAAGTGTATGGAATGGTCCTGAGCACCGGGGGCACCTAGTACCTGCATTCGAGGCCCTTCTGTAGATTCTGACCCAGAGAGGGGTAATACAGAGGGCCACATCAAGCTGAGCTAACGGGGGCCATCGAGTGGACTGGAAGGCAGAGGGGACTAGAATATCCTAAGCAGAGGGAACAGCCTAGGCAAAGGCTGGAGGTGTGAAACAGAACAGCCGGTTCCGGAGCTACTGGAAAGCCCAGAGGGAGAGAGATGGTGAGCACCAAAGGCAGGAAAAAGTGAACAAACGGCCTTGAGTGCTGGATCAGGAAGCTAGTTTTCTCTGCACAAAGGGGCTTCTCGAACTCATTCACTGGAGCCCTGAAGAGCAATTCAGAGATACCGTGGGGGGCGGGGCGGGGCGGGGAGTGGGGAGCAAGCAAAGTGGTTCACTCCAAACTTGAGAGGGATTTAAAGACAAGGCTCTATGTTAAACATTGGTGCAAGCCTTGCATTTGACTCCAAGAATATCTGTGTTAGTTTTCCTACCAAAAATATGATTTTTAGCACTAACCATTGTGTGCCATGGATAGCCTGGAATATGACCCATAGTTACCCAGGGACTCCACAGCCCAGCTTGAGGATGGCACTGAGGGTAACAGGAGGCCATGGAGTGTTCTCCATAGAGGAGTAATTGGGTAATTCCTGTGTCTTAGGGAAGTCTCTCTGGCTCCCGAGGACAGCATACTAGACACAGAGGACCAAGTAGTGGGCTCCTAGTATCCTTCTGGTGGCCAAAGCCTTCACAGTGAAAATAGATAGGAAGAGCCACCTCGCCTGGCCCAATATTTGTTTTTAAAAGGCTGGGCATGGCTTATGCCTGTAATGGTAGCACTTCGGGAGGCCGAAGTAGGAGGATCACTTGAGACAAGGAGTTTGAGACTAGACTGGGCAACATAGTGAGAGCCCATCTCTACAGAAAAATTTTGTAGGGCCGGGCGCGGTGGCTCATGCCTGTAATCTTAGCACTTTGGGAGGCTGAGGCCAGCAGATCATGAGGTCGGGAGTTTGAGATCAGCCTGGCCGATATGGTGAAATCCCATCTCTACTAAAAATATAAAAAATTAGCCAGGTGTGGTGGCACGTGCCTGTAATCCTAGCTACTTGGGAGGCTGAGGCAGGAGAATTGCTTGAACTCGGGAGGTGGAGGTTGCAGTGAGCCGAGATCACGCCACTGCACTTCAGCCTGGGTGACAGAGTGAGACTCAAAAAAAAAAAAAATGTAGTTAGCCAGGCATGGTGGCTCAAGCACATAGTCCCAGCTACTTGGGAGTCTGAGGTAGGAGGATTGCTTGAGTGTGGGAGGTCGAGGCTGCAGTGAGCCATGATCGTGCCATTACACTCCAACCTGGGAGACAAAATGAGACCCTGTCTCTAAGAAAAATAAATAAAAGCCCACACATATGTATCCTGACGAGTGGGGCATAGAGCAGTAATTAAGAGCAGGGACTAGCCAGGCTTGGTGGATTACGCCTGTAATCCCAGCACTTTGGGAGGCCAAGGCAGGTGGATCACAAGTCAGGAGATCAAGACCATCCTGGCTAACACGGTGAAACCCTGTCTCTACTAAAAATACAAAAAATTAGCTGGGCATGGTGGCAGGTGCCTGTAGTCCCAGCTACTCGGGAGGCTGAGGCAGGAGAATGGCGTGAACCCGGGAGGTGGAGGTTGCAGTGAGCTGAGATCGCGCCACTGCACTCTAGCCTGGGTAACAGAGTGAGACTCTGCCTCAGAAAAAAAAAAAAAAGAGCAGGGACTGTGACTCAGATGGCCTGGGTTCAAATCCTGGCTCTGTTTCCTCCTAGCTGTGTGACCCTGGGCTAGCTACCTAACCTCTCTGAGTCTCAGTTTCCCCATCTATAGAATGGGGATCAATAATAGAGTAACAGAAAAAAAATAGTATCTACTACGTAAGAAAGTTTGAAAAGTAGTCTGAAGTCACACTGAGCACTGAAGAACAGCCTACTAAAGAAACAGACCTGGCTGGGCGCAGTGGCTCACACCTGTAATCCCAGCACTTAGGGAGGCCGAGGCAGGCAGATCACCTGAGGTCAGGAGTTCGAGACCAGCCTGACCAACATGGTGAAACCCCATCTCTACTGAAAATACAAAAATTAGCCAGGTGTGGTGGCAAGTGCCTATAATCCCAGGTACTGGGGAGGCTGAGGCAGGAGAATCGCTTGAACCTGAGATCATGCCACTGCACTCCAGCCTGTGCAGCAGAGCCAGACTCCGTCTCAAAAAAAAAAAAAAGAAAAAAAAGAAAAAAAGAAACAGGCCCTTGGCTGGGTATAGTGGCTCACACCTGTAATCCCAGCACCTGCACTTTGGGAGGCCAGGGCAGGTGGATCACCTAAGGTCAGGAGTTCAAGACCAGCCTGACCAACATGGTGAAAACCTGTTTCTACTAAAAATACAAAAATTAGCCAGGCATTGTGGCGGGCGCCTGTAGTCCCAGCTATTCAGGAGGCTGAGGCACAAGAATCGTTTTACCCAGAAGGTGGAGGGTGCAGTGAACTGAGATCACACCATTGCACTCTAGTCTGGGTAACAGAGCGAGACTCTGTCTCAAAAAAAAAAAAAGAAAGAAAGAAAAAGAAACAGACCCTCTATACTTAGAAGTGTTATACAAATAAACCTATATCCTTAAGTGTTAAATAAACCTTTGATGTACTAGGCCCTGGGGAAACGATGGAGTAAAGGGGAATATTTATTGAGGGCTCAATTATTGTCTTTACTTCTGGGGTAAAAGCTCTCATCATCCCCCTTATGCAGTTGCAACAAGAGGCTCAGAAAGGTTAAGTCACTTGCCCAAGGCCACACAGCTGGGCTTGAACTCTCAGAGTCCATCTCAAGAAACATGCTCTGGCTGGGCGCAGTGGCTCATGCCTGTAATCCCAGCACTTTGGGAGGCCAAGGCGGGCAGATCACCTGAGGTCAAGAGCTCGGGACCAGCCCGGCCAACATGGTGAAACTCTGTCTCTACTAAAAATACAAAAATTAGCTGGGCGTGGTCCATGTGCCTGTAATCCCAGCTACCCGGGAGGCTGAGGCACAAGAATCGCTTGAACCCGGGAGGCGGAGGTTGCTGTGAGCTGAGATCATGCCACTGCACTTCAGCCTGGGCGACAGAGTGAGACTTGGTCTCAAAAAAAAAAAAAAAAAACAAAAAGAAGGAAGAAAAGAAAATAAACGTGCTCTTAACCCCAACACTAGTGCACGTCTCTTAGTCCCTGCCCTCTGGGAGATTTCACTCTGGTGGGAAAAAAGACATTAGACAAAGTACGCAAACCTTCACTGCACGTTGGATAATTACCATGAAGGACCTTAGTAGAGCACTGCAAAGCCCAGAGACAGACGGGGAGAACATGAGCGTCAGCTGGAGGGTCTGTGGGAAGGGCTAAGAAGCAGGCAGCAAGTCTGAAATGTGAGCAAAGAGTCTTCCCCAGGAGAGACTTAAGGTGGTGCTAGAGAGGACCTCAGGTGGAAAAGACTGAGGGTTTGAGCCAGCCCTACTCACGGTCTAACTCCAGAGGGCGCTGTTCAGGGCAGATGGTGCCCTGTAAACTGTACCCGGAGGTGCCAGGGACATTTAGCTGGGACGGGGACCCTTCATCTCACTTCTGGGGTGGAGACATTTGTGTGCACAGATGCACAGACCACACAGTGATTGCCATATGGTATTGTCAGCTCTGTGTGTGTGTGTGTGTGTGTGTGTGTGTGTCCTGTAAGCGAAAAACATCCTACGTGCTCCAGTCTACCCCTTTCGTCATAATTTTGCCTGGAACTCAGGACTCAGCCCTTTTGACCACCCGCATGCGGGGAGCACGGGGTGCCTGAGCTCTGGATAGGGCAGGATTCTACCCACCCAGGTATCCTGAGAGACAGCCTGGCATACGGTAGGCACTCGAGAACAGTTTGTTGAATGAATGAATGAATGAATAGACAGCTTCCTCTCCCAGCCCATCCTTTCTTTGAGGGAGGGGCAAACTTCACTCTCCAGCTCTCCAGGTTGGAAAGGTGCCTGGGAATAGGAAACAAAACAAAATGTTTTGGCTGGAGTAGAAAAAGGCTCCAGCCCTGCTCAGACAGGCACGACTCCCCCCAGGCCAGCACCAAGCTACACAGGGACCCCTCCTACCCTCCTCTCCCCGTCTTCCTGGGATCCTGCTCTGCCCTCCCCAAGGTCTTGAGGGTGCCTCCCAGCCTGGAATCCAACTCAGGGCGTGGGGTAGGTCCTCACAGCCTTGGGGATAATGTATGGAGGGGACCTCAGGGCCTCTGGCTGCTTCTTTGGCCCTAGCAGCAGGAATGCCTCCATCACCCTGCTCCCCCATCCTCCCCACTTGGATTCCATCCAGACTCCTGGGGGAAGAAAGCCCGTGGGACCAAGTGCCAGGTGCCTGGAGATGCAGGTGGCAGAGCAGGGGACAGGCATCTCTTTGGCTCTGCCGCCCCCCAGGCAGGCCCCTCAGAATCTGGGAGCCTGGGTAGCTAGAGTCCCATGAGTCAGCCACATTTTAGTACCCCATCTCTGCTCTCTGCCCTAGTTCTGTTTATATCAAACACAGTAGTAGGAGGTGGGCAGGGGGCTGGGGCTGTCTGTGTACAGTGACAACATGTGCCCAGTGTGGAGAAAAAGGCCCACCCACAGGCTGACTGTATTTGTCCATAAACATGGCCTGCTCCAAGCCCCAGGGCAAGGAAGGGGCAAAAGGACCAGCCCCACTGGAGCTCCTGGGCTGCTCTAATGGGGAGCCCTCCTGGGCAAACCTCCCTCTCCTGGAAGCGCCACCCCCTGGAGTGTTTCCACAACAAGCTGGGCTGTGTTCTGTAAACTCCAGTCCCCTAGCTAGGTAGCCCCCAGCTAAAGGACAGGTGTCCTGCCACCAGTGCATGTGTGCGTATGTGTGTGTGTGTGTGTGTGTGTGTGTGGTCAGGCAGAGGAGGGAGGGAGGGCAGTGGGCATCAGAGGCCCTTTTGCAGGTCCCTGTGACGCTGTGTCTGCCTGTCCTGTCCCCTAGAGTGGACAGGCTTCTCCCGTGGCGTCAGGGGAGGGGCCGATCCCAGGGGTCTCCAGGATTCTGTGTGGCTTATGGATCTGGGGCCAATCTTGAAACCTGAGGGTGCCCCTCATTGCCCCTGGGCCTCTTGGGGACCAGTAGAGGACTGGACATCCATCCTTGTGACTTTGTTTTGCTGTACCCTCCCCTTCAAGTTAATGATTGCTGGGGAGCCCTTGGGACCCAGATCTTGATTCCCCCCAACCTGGGCTGCCCCCACAGGTCCGGAGTGTGCTAGAGCCCTGGGTGCTCAGCCAATAAGAGGCCCAGGCCCCGCCCCACCCTTTTGCGGGTGTGCTTCTGTGTATAAAGGTAGAGGCCCCAGGTGAGGGGCCAGTGGGTGCAGCCCAACCCCACGCTGAGCTGTTTCACAGCCGGCCCTGCCCCCTCTCCAAGATGCTGTTTTGGCACAACCAGCCGGAGCATCTATGGCCCAGTCCTGGGGACCTATACCCTGGGCCCCCCAGCAGCCTGCTCAGGTAAGGGCTGGATCCCCCAGGTCCCGGGGAAAGTGCTGGTCTGAAGTTGGAGTGGACATCATCCATTTCAAGCTGAGGGAAGTGGGGCTCCCATTCCCGGGCTCCTCTGGAGATGGGGAAGTGGTCAAATGTACCTGGAGTTCAGTGTGTCCTGGGACATCTCAAAAACACCCTGATCCCACTTAGGACATTTTTGTTGGGAATTTACTCAGTATCAGGCAAGCTTTGAGGTTGCAAAGACAAGTAATTGATGGCAGCTGTTGAGTAGAACAGCCACAAATCTGAGATCAGCACCTTCAGGGAGGCCTCCTGGAGGCCTGAGGAGCTGAATGGGGGTCCCTTTGGCCCTGGCTGCAGCTTGGGGACCTGCTACAGGAAACTGTGGGTTCCCCAGAGGGAAGGTCTGGCATAGAGAGTCAAAGACCTTTAGAAAAGGGGATGGACAGGGCAGAAAGCTGGCAGAGCCCTCCTCTTCCTGGCAGGGAGCCCCTGCCCTTGCCCTACTTGAAGCAGGAGGAGCTGCCCAACATCCCTGGCACGGAGCTGCCCTGCCCCATGTTCTAGTACGTGCTCTGTGCAGCCACCTCGCCAGCCGTGAAGCAGCAGGAGGAGACCCTCACCTACCTGAACCAGGGTATGCTAGGCCTGGGAGAGGGGAGGAGCTAGTGGGCAGTGAGCTCGGGAAGCTGGGCTCAGGGTGAGCTGGAGGTGGTAGGTGCCACTCTGCCCCTCAGAGTGGGGCTCACGCAACCCCTTAATCCCTCCCACGCCAGTCCTATGAGGTCCGGATGCTCTGCAGCTCCAAGCCGTGTGATGCCACCCAGTGCCCCCAGCTGCTGAAGGTGGGTACACTCCTCCCCGGAAGTGGCAAAGGCTGGGTATGACTGTTTCTCTGGGCAAGAAGCCAATGTCATCACAGTGATATCATCGTCACGGAGAACCCTCTCACGTCCGTCATTTAATTGGACCCTCACAACAGCTCCGTGGTGGGCAAGAATTGAAGAAACAGGCACAGAGAAGTTAAGTGTTTTCTCAAGGACACAGAGCCAGCAAGTAGCAGAACTGAGATTTAGAAACACATTTACACAGTGTAGGCTGGCCACAGTGGCTCACGCCTGTAATCCCAGCACTTTGGGAGGCTGAGGCGGGCGCATCACCTGAGGTCAGGAGTTCAAGACCAGCCATGGTGAAACCCCGTCTCTACTAAAAATGCAAAAATTACCTGGGCATGGTGGTGCACACCTGTAATCCCAGGTACTCGGGAGGCTGAGGCATGAGAATGGCTTGAACCCAGGAAGCAGAGGGTGCAGTGAGCAAAGATCGCACCACTACACTCCAGCCTGAGCAACAAAGCAGACTCTGTCTCAAAAAAATAATAATAATAAAAATAAAATTAGAAATATATTTACACAGTGTTATTCACACACATGACCTTTTCTCAAAAAATTACCTATTTAGCCCCCATTCTATGCCAGAAAATGTTCCATGAGCTAGGGATTCATCAGTAATGAGACAGATGTGGCTCCCTTCCTCAGGAGGCTTGCATTCTACTAAGACAAACAAGTAATTACACATATTCTGTGAAATGACCAACAGTGACATGTTGCAAAGAAATGGGTGGCGTGCCTAGGGTGGGAAGGCATTAACTCCCCCTTTTTACAGATGAGGAAACTGAGGCTCAGGGTCTCTAGATTACTTCTCTGGTTCACAGTCGTGAGTGGCAGATGGGCATTTGAACACGCATTGGTGATTCTAAGTCCTAATGCCTCCTGGGGTAGGAAGGGAGGTGTGGGAAGGTCAGCCTACACAGGTGTGAAAACTGGGTCCTCAATGCTGGCGTCCTCTGACTGTGCGCCACGCCCTCCTGTGGCTGCAGAGTGTGGTGCAGGTGATGTTCCACGACCCGCACCTGCAGTACACAGAGCAGCAGCGGCAGCTGGCTGGGTGGAGGTGGAGCCGGGCCCAGGGACCGCATCCTGGACATCGATGAGTGGGGAAAGGCCGGGGGCCCTTCGAGCCTGAGCTCTGGCTCAGGAGTCCTTGTGGACTGGGAAGGCTGAGCCTGGCTCCCTGCTTGCCACCCTGTGCCTGCAGATGTGCCACTGTCCGTGGGAGTGATAGAACCCCAAGTGCTGCTCTCACAACTCAACATGGTGGAGTTTCACTGGGACCCAACAAAGAGGACATCTCTCTTCCTGCAGGTGAGCCTGAAGCTGGGCCTGGGAAAAGGCTGGAGGTCAGAAGGGGGTGGCAACCGTGTAGGTGGAAAAGGAAGGTGAGTTTGGGCAGGGGTGAGGGGAAAATAAGAATGACTCTCGGCCAGGTGCGAAAAAAAAGGATATATATTTTTTCTTTGCTTTTTTTTTTTTTTTTTTTGAGATGGAGTTTCACTCTTGTTGCCCAGGCTGAAGCGCAATGGCATGATCTCGGCGCACCACAACCTCCACCTCCCCGCTTCAAGCAATTCTCCTACCTCAGCCTCCTGAGTAGCTGGGATTACAGGCATGCGCCATCATGCCCGTCTAATTTTGTATTTTTAGTAGAGACAGGGTTTCTCCATGTTGGTCAGGCTGGTCTTGAACTCTCAACCTCAGGTGATCCACCCACCTCAGCCTCCCAAAGTGCTGGGATTACAAGACTGACCCACCGTGCCTGCCTTACCACTTCTTAGCATGGATCTTACCCAGGTCCTGTAGCCTCTGTGAGCCTTAGTTTCCTCACTCTAAAGTTGGACTCTTTCACTGTTTTTCACGGGATTATGGGCAGGCTACTGTGAGTACTGGGTGTGAAGAGAGAAGATGCTGCTTACCCTTAGAATCCTGGTGCCAGGCCAAACACAGAGGCTGCAGGCTGCTCGGGGTGGCAGGCCTGAAAGGCTTCCTGGAGTGGATTGGCAGATTTAGCAAATAAAATATAGGATGCTCAAATTTGAATTTTACTTTATTTTTATTTATATTTATTTATTTATTTTTGAGACAGAGTCGCCCAGGCTGGAGTGCAATGGCGCGGTCTGGGCTCACTGCTGCAACCTCTGCCTCCCAGGTTCAGGTGATTCTCCTGTCTCAGCCTCCTGAGTAGCTGGGATTACAGCACAGGCCACCATGCCCAGATAATTTTTGTATTTTTAGTAGAGACAGGGTTTCACCATGTTGGCCAGGCTGGTCTCAAACTCCTGACCTCAGGTGATTCTCCTGCCTCAACCTCCCAAAGTTCTGGGATTACAGGCATGAGCCACTGTTCCCCATTTTATTTATTTATTTTGAAACAGAGTGTTGCTTTGTTGCCCAGGCTGGAGTACAGTGGTGTGATCCCAACTCACTGCAACCTCTGTCTCCCAGTTTCAAGTGATTCTCCTGCCTCAGCCTCCCAAGTAGCTGGGATTACAGGAGCATGCCACCATACCCAGCTAATTTTTGTATTTTAGTAGAGAGATGGGGGGTCTTATCATGTTGGCCAGGCTGGTCTTGAACTCCTGACCTCAAGTGAACTGCCCGCCTCAGCCTCCCAAAGTGCTGGGATTACAGGCGTGAGCCACTGCACCCAGCATTATTATTTTAAATTATTGTTTTTTTTATATAGAGAGGGTCTCACTCTGTCACCTAGACTGGAGTACAGTGATGCAATCATAGCTCACTGCAGCCTGGAACTCCTGGGTATAGGCAATCCTCCTGCCTCAGCCTCCCGAGTAACTGGGACTATAGGCATGTGCCACTAGGCCCAGCTAATTCTTAAATTTTTTTGTAGAGGTGAGGTCTCACTCTGTTGCCCAGGCTGGCCTCAAACTCCCGGCCCAAAGCGATCCTCTTGCCTCTGTCTCCTGCTGTGTGCTGGGATTATAGGTGTGAGCCACCACACCAGCCAAATTTAAATTTTAAATGTTTTTTAAAACAAAGTCTCTTGAACCCAGGAGGCAGAGCTTGCAGTGAGCCGAGATTGCACCACTGCACTCCAGCCTGGGCGACAGAGGGAGACTCCGTCTCAAAAAAAAAAAGAAAAAAAAAATTTTTTTAGTATAAGTATATTCCATGCAATAGTTGAGATACACTTACACTAAAAATTATTTGTTGTTCATCTGAGATTCAAACTTTACTAGGCATCCTGTATTTTATCTGGCCGCTCAACTACCCTTGAAGGGGATGTCTTAGCTCAGATGTGAGTAGGGGAGCTTTCTGGGTAGAGGCCTCTGGGGAAAACTGCAGGTGTGTTGGGGTCCTGATTAGGGAGGCAGGGTGGGTCAGTGGGTTCACTGACGGATGAGAAAGAGCAGCCGTGCAGCAATGCTTGACTTGACTCTTTAAGGTGATCCAATACCAGGGTTAGGAACTTTGCTTCTGGTCTCACAACCATGGGGAGCCATTGAAGGATTTTGACCAAGGGAAAGAACGTAGTAAAGTGATGCTTTAAGAATGGAAACTTGGGGCCGGGTGCGCTGGCTCACGCCTGTAATCCCAGCACTTTGGGAGGCCGAGGCGGGTGGATCACGACACAAGGTCAGGAGATCAAGACCATCCTGGCTAACACGGTGAAACTCCGTCTCTACTAAAAATACAAAAAATTAGCCGGGCGTAGTGGTGGGCGCCTGTAGTCCCAGCTACTTGGGAGGCCGAGGCTGGAGAATGGTGTGAACTTGGGAGGCGGAGCTTGCAGTGAACCAGCCTGACCAACATGGAGAAACCGTCTCTACTAAAAATACAAAATTAGCTGGGTGTGGTGGCACATGCCTGTAATCCCAGCTACTCGGGAGACTGAGGCAGGAGAATTGCTTGAACCCGGGAGGTAGAGGTTGCTGTGAGCCGAGATCACGCCATTGCACTCCAGCCTGGGCAAAAAAAAAAGAATGGAAGCTTGGCCGGGAGCTATGGTTCATGACAGTAATCCCAGCACTTTGGGAGGCCGAGGCGGGGGGATCACTTGAGGTCATGAGTTTGAGACCAGCCTGGCCAACATGATGAAACCCCCATCTCTACTAAAAATACAAAAATTAGCTGGGCATGGTGGCATGCGCCGGTAGTCCCAGCTATTCCAGAGGCTGAGGCAAGAGAATCGCTTGAACCTGAGAGGCGGAGGTTGCAGTGAGCCAAGATCACACCATTGCACTCCAGCCTGGGTGACAGAGCAAGACCCCGTCTCAAAAAATAAAATAGAATGGACACTGGTTGGGGATGGAAAGTTGCTGTCGTAGTATGTGGCTGACAGGTGGCAGGCGGGTAACGGGTTTTGGGTGGACTCCCTTGCATGTGGGTGGATCTGGAGTCGCCCTGTTTTCTCTGTTTCTTCTCCATCTCAGTTCACACCTCGGAAGAAAGGTGGAGAGAAAGGCATCCCTTTCCGCCTCCAGATCGACACCTTCAGGCCCAGTGACAAGGGGCTGCCGCTAGACCACCTGCACTCAGCTGGCTGCCTCATCAAGGTGTTTAAGGTACAGGCAGCAATGGGGCCCATTTTCCTCTCTCTCAGGGCTGTCACCTGGCCTCGCCGGCTGTGTGGGTTCTGGCCCCACGTTGCTGTGGATCCTCAGCCTGCTGTGCCCCATCTCTTGGACTGTTTCCTTTTCTGTACACAGAGGGATGGGGCTTGGTCTCTGTCTCACAGCCAATCCAACAGAGCCACTGAAGAGAGGCAGGCAGGTAAAGAAAGAGTCTTTGGGCCGGGCGCGGTGGCTCACGCCTGTAATCCCAGCACTTTGGGAGGCTGAGGTAGGTGGATCACAAGGTCAAGAGGTCGAGACAAGCCTGGCCAATAGGGTGAAACCCCATCTCTACTAAAAATACAAAAATTAGCCGGGCGTGGTGGCACGAGCCTGTAATCCCAGCTACTCGGGAGGCTGAGGCAGGAGAATCGCTTGAACTCAGGAGGCGGAGGTTGCGGTGAGCTGAGATCGCGCCACTGCACTCTAACCTGCACAACGGAGCGAGACTGCAGCTCAAAAAAAAAAAAAAAAAAAAAAAGAAAAGAAAGGAGCCTGAGGCTTTCCTCATCATCCTCCTGCAGCACAAAGGAGCGGAAACTGAAAATGGACCGTGAGAAGATGGAGAAACAGCCCCTGCATGAGAGGGACAAGTATCAGACCGCCTGCGAGAGCACTGTCTTCTTGGAGGTGTGTGTGTTGGGGCGAGAGCAGGAGGGGAGAGTTGGAGAAAAGATCCTCACGGTACAGATGGGGAAATGGAGGCCTCCAGGGCTCTGACTGCTGCAAGCCCATCACAGCCCCCTGGGGACTCCACCACTTCCTGCAAAGGACACTCTCTGCCCTGTCTGTGGTTGTTGAAGCTTCCAGGAGCTGACGCCCTCCAGGCTGCCTGTCCTACGCGGGCCATCGCCACCTCCTTCCTTGTGTGCTCCCTCTGCCTGGCCCCCTCCTCCTCCTGCTGCTCCTCCTGGCCAGCTCCTCCAAGGCCCTTCCTCACTGCCCCAGGCCCGCCGGGTGGTTAACTTCTTCCTTCCTGTGGAAACCCAGTCCACTTGTCAGGCCCCTGGTCAGCTCTTAATATACAGGTGGAGAGAAGGGAGCAATGACCAGCCTTGCTGTGTGTTTGCCTGCAGTGTTCGCCATGGCCGGAGTCCCCTGCAAGGCCCCGGCCACCTCTCAGCTCTCTGGCTCTGACCTCTCCCCACTCCTGCAGGCTCTTGTCCCCAGAAAGGTGAGGCAGGATGAGCACCTCCTGTCAGCCCTTTGGGGTGAGAGTGAAGAAAAGAGCTCCCAGCCCAGGCATGGAGCAAAGGGCAGGGCTGGGGATTGGTGGGGAATTTGTGGGGTGAGGACAGGAGCAAGCTCTGTGTCCCAGGGCAGGCCTGGAGGAAGGGTGTTGGTGGAGGGAGACTGGCTGTAATGCTCCGCAGAGTTCTTGAACCTTTGCTCCTCCTCATAGGCTCTGTTCCTCACCACCATTCGCTCTGGATACCTTGGGGTGTAGCCCAGTTGAGGTGAGCCTTCCCCTTCCCACTCTCCACTGTCCCAAAGCCTTCTCCGCAGCTTCATCTCAAGCTCCAGAATGGAGTGGCCCTGCCCCCTGGTGGCCAGATGTGATATGGCCATAGATTGTAACTTACCTGATAAGACTGGGCAGGAAGAGCCTCCCTTCTCAGACTTGGGACCTCCCAAGGGAGGGGCTGTTTCCCTTTCTTGTTCTGTCCCTGGGTCCTGGTATTACCTGGACCATCCATTTTATACCTCAGGATCTGAACCAAAAAGCCCCCATCTCAGAGACACAGCAATGGTTGCATCAGCACTGGTTCTCCAGCTACTGCCGGATGCTGGCCAACTTCACTGGTGAGGCTAGTGTCTGGCAGGAGCCAGACCTGTAGGGGACTGAGAGTGGGTGGGACACACAGGCAGGAAGCCTGTCTCTGTCCTGGCTTGTTGTGGGCCCTTCAACTAACATTTACTGGGGACTAAGAGTTGCCCAGCATTGTGCTAGGCTCTCGTCTCACGAATTATCCCATATAATTTATACACTATTCCTTGAGGACAGTGCCCAGAGAGGTTAAATAACTTGCCCAAGGACACACAGCTAACAAGTGGCAGAACTGGCATTTAAATCCAAGCCTGACTCCCATATCTGAGCACACTAGGGCTATTTGTAGACTAATAGACTGTGTCCCTTACTTCCCACCCTTGATCCCAGGCCTCTTTCCTCAGTCTGGCCCTGTCTGACTCTACAGGTCTGGATCTGCTGAAGCTTACATGCCAGGACCTTATCCAAATCTGCGGGGCTGCTGATGGGATCCGCCTTTTCAATACTCTTAGAGCCAGGTGCTGGACACTGCCAACCAGGGTCCCCTTCCCACTGTAGTGGCCCTTACTAACTTAGCTAGCAGGTATGTTTCATACAATTTTTTTTTTAATATGGAGTTTCACTCTTGTTGCCCAGGCTGGAATGCAATGGCGCAATCTTGGCTCACTGCAACCTCTGCCTCAGGTTCAAGTGATTATCCTGCCTCAGCCTCCTGAGTAGCTGGGATTACAGGCGTCTGCCACCATGCCTGGCCAATTTTTTTTTTTTTTTTTTTTTTGAGACGGAGTCTTTTGCCCAGGCCGGACTGCAGTGGCACTATCTCGGCTCACTGCAAGCTCCGCCTCCTGGGTTCACGCCATTTTCCTGCCTCAGCCTCCCGAGTAGCTGGGACTACAGGCGCCTGCCACCGCGCCCGTCTAATTTTTTGTATTTTTAGTAGAGACGGGGTTTCACCACGTTCGTCAGGCTGGTCTTGAACTCCTGACCTCAGGTGATCCACCTGCTTTGGCCTCCCAAAGTGCTGGGATTACAGGAGTGAGCCACTGCACCCGGCTCATACAATGTTTAAGCCAGAAGTCACCTTAAAGACCACTTAGTCCCACTCCCTCTTTTTACAGAAGAAACTCAGGCCCAAGAAGGACAGTGACCAGTCTGAGGTCACAACCCAAAGCTGGCAGGGCTGGGGTGAAAAGCTAGGCTCCTGTGACCTCCTTCTGTGGCCATCCCACCTGCCTCATTCCATTTCTGGGGATAGAGATGTCTGTGGGGTTTTTTCCTCCCCATTTTTTCTCCCCCTAGTGTCCAGCATTCGTTAAATACCTAAGAACTACTTAGTGACCTCCCTCCCTCGAGACCTGGGAGGAGGCTGGGATCTCTCCTAGGATGGGGGCTAGAAGTGGGAGCTGTTAGTTCAGGTATAAGACTGATACATAGACTGTTTTCCTGGCCCAGGCCCATCTGTCACCAACTGACTTTGTATGTGGCTCAGGAGACCTCTAGGCAAGGGAACGAGGTTCCTAAGAACCCTGACTCAGGTGAGGTTCTGGCCTCTCTCTCCAGAACATAGGAAATTCAGGTGTAGCTGCATGAAACCTCTCCCTAGAAGAGGAATGGTGATACCCCACCATTCCTGGGACCCAGGATGCCCTTCTTGGCATTTCCCTACCTTCCATGACCAGATTAGTCCCTCTCCTTCCAGAATGTCTCCTTGGGTTTATTCACCATGTTCTACTCCTCCACCCCACCTGATCGTCACTGCATTAGCATATGGGATTAGAACATCATCTTGTTATGTACTTGGGTCCCAGTCACTAATATGTGGGTGTCCTGTCTTTAAACTGGGGGTTCCCCTCAGACACCTCCCAAAAGATGAGGGATGAGAGGTGAAGTAGACTTTTTTCTTTTTTTTTTTTTTTTGAGACGGAGTCTCACTCTGTTGCCCAGGCTGGAGTGCAGTGGCGCGATCTCAGCTCACTGCAACTTCTGCCACCCAGGTTCAAGAGATTCTCCTGCCTCAGCCTCCCAAGTAGTTGGGATTACAGGAGCCTGCCACCATGCCCAGCTAATTTTTGTAGTTTTTAGTAGAGATGGGGTTTCACCATCTTGGCCAGGCTGGTCTTGAACTCCTGACCTCGTGATCCACCCCTCGGCCTCCCAAAGTGCTGGGATTACAGGCATGAGCCACCACACCCAGCCAACTTTTCCCTCTTTACTTCTCCTCCCCCCACCCCATAGCCATCTTCCTGGCACCCCTGGTTTCCTGTGGGCACATCTCTGGACTCCCTTCCCCTGCTGACCCCTGCCTCTGTGTTGCCCATGCCCCCAGACTTTTATCAAGAGATCTCTCTGGATGAACTCAGTGCTGTAGAGCTGATGGGGAAACTGGCTGAGCTCTGGCCATCCCAGCCAATCAGATCCATCACCTTTTCCACCAGGGCACCGGGGGCATCTTCATTCTCCTCAGTGACCAGATAAAGGGCAGCCATTTCCTGTCGCAAATCCCCACGGAGGCCTCGCTAACACTTCTGCCTCAGATTAAGCTTTCTTTTCCATGGCATGGCTTGTTCTCTTTGGCTCCAATAACAAAATTGCCTTTGTGCCCGCTTCACTCTTACAGGTGGTCCAGAATTTTAAGGACGAATCATACTTTGTGGCTGTGGTGAAAAAAGGGATTTTAGAGGCAGAGGAGTGTGCCTGGCTGGCCCTATAAAGGGGGATAAGAGTGTGCTGAGCATATATTCCGTCTCCTAAATGAGACTAAAAGGCTCTTTGGGGGCCAGGCGCAGTGGCTCATGCCTGTAATCCCAGCACTTTGGGAGGCTGAGGCAGGTGGATCACTTGAGGACAGGAATTCAAAACCAGCCTGGCCAACATGGCAAAACCCCATCTCTATAAAAAATACAAAAAACTACCCGGGCGTGCTGGCACGTGCCCGTGGTCCCAGCTACTTGGGAGGCTGAGGCAGGAGAATCCCTTGAACCCAGGAGGCAGAGGTTGCAGTGAACCGAGATTGCCCCACTGCACTCCAGCCTGGGTGACAGAGCGAGTCTGTCTCAAACGTCTCAAAAACAAACAAACAAACAAAAAACCTCTTTGAAGGGGATTAAGGGGATGTGTCCCAATTAACTAGCAAACACCTGTGAATGCCAGCTTTGTGTCAAGGGGAGAGGGATTTGTATAGCTAAAAGATATTTATTGCTTAGGAAAAACATGACTGAATAAATGCATCCTCATTAAATAAAAAATGCTCCAGTTTCTGTTGTCAGGGAGTTTATTAGAGGGAAAGGTAAGGCCCCCACTTTTCTCCACCTGCCCCTGGCATGATACAAGGCAGAAGGGCAGGTGCTTCCTGGACATCATCTGGCATAGGGCACCTCTGACTAGTCTGCTTGGCATCTGGTTATTCAGATGTTTGCCTTCCACCCCTCCACATGCCAGAGCTGGTCAGCTTGGCTTATGTACACAAGGGGGTAGGAAGAGGTAGATGTGAAGTCGGGTTTTAAGACACGTGTGGCCGGGCGTGGTGGCTCACACCTGTAACCCCAGCACTTTGGGAGGCCGAGGTGGGCAGATCATGAGGTCAGGAGTTCAAGACCAGCCTGGCCAAAATGGTGGAACCCCATCTCTACTAAAAATACAAAAATTAGCCAGGCGTGGTGGCGGGCACTTGTAATCCCAGCTCCTCGGGAGGCTGAGGCAGGAGAATCGCTGGAACCCGGGAGGTGGAGGTTGCAGTGAACTATCGTGCTACTGCACTCCAGCCTGGGTGACGAGCGAAACTTCACCTCAAAAAAAGAAATAAAACAAAAAAACACTTGGGTGTGCCAGACGCATTGTAGGCTGCTTGGAGGGTGAGGACCTGACTGGTCCTGCTGGTGCCTTTTTACTGCTTTCGGTGCAGAATCCAGATGGCTACTACTTGGTTCTGACCTAGGCCAGGGGAACTCCACTGCTCAAGAGACTGATAGCTTGTCTTCACCAGAAACCTTGTTAAAACACTTGGCTGACTCAACAGGCTCCAGGTGAGCCAAAGTATCTTGCATCTCACCCCGAGAGGAGGCAAGTAGCCTCCAGCTTCACTTTTCTTTCTGGTCAGCAGCAATGGCTGTTGGAAGTCTTCCTTACCCATTCGTTCTTCTGAGCTGGCCAAGTTTATGAGGCAAAAAAAAAAAAAAAAAAACTGGCAATGTGGAAAGAGCTTTTGCCATGAGCAGTGTTGGCTGGTGATCACTGAGAGTGTTAATTCATTTAAAAATTTTAAGCCCTTTTTAAATTAAAAGTTAATTTTTAAAAGGTATATACACTTAATGTGTTGTCCAATGTGTTGAACATTTAATGTGGTGTTCAGTTTTCTTGGCTTTATTGTCCCCAAGGGGAAATGTCTTCTGCTTAAACTATAAACTAGGGCAAAGGATGGGGTCTGGAACAAGGGAATAAATCAATCCAGCTGGATCTTTTTTTCACAATTAGTTTGGGCAAAACTAATTACTAAAGCCTCCAAAAGA
The DNA here is from genome assembly GCF_000001405.40 of Homo sapiens. Classification (NCBI taxonomy): domain Eukaryota; kingdom Metazoa; phylum Chordata; class Mammalia; order Primates; family Hominidae; genus Homo; species Homo sapiens. The sequence goes on from NC_000017.11 coordinate 39,249,654, forward strand.
CCATTCAATATTCAAATCACTGTACCTACTAAAAAACTCAGTTCTAAGAGATTTAGGAAATACTATAGCTATTATCTAGAATTGAGGCTATGGGGCTTTTAGAAAAAAAAATTTAGACATATTGTTTCCTTAGTTTTAAGAGATGAGGTCTCTGTTGTCCAGACTGGTCTTGAACTCTTGGTGTCAAGTGATCCTTCCATCTAAACTCTCAGTAGCTGGGATTATAGGTGTGCACCACTGTGCTTGACTTTTTTTTTTTTTTTACCTTAAATTTTATTAATCTTTCCCTAAAGTCATAAATTTAATTTTTTTTTTTTTTTTGAGATGGGAGTCTTGCTCTGATGCCCAGAGGTAGAGTGCAATGGTGCAATCAATCTGGGCTCACTGCAACCTCCACCTCTAGGATTCAAGCAATTCTCCTGCCTCAGCTTCCCGCATAGCTGGGATTACATGCTTGCACCACCACGCCCAGCTAATTTTTGCATTTTTGGTAGAGATGAGTTTCATCACGTTGGCCAGGCTGGTCTCAAACTCCTGACATCGTGATCCGCCTGCCTCAGCCTCCCAAAGTGCTGGGGTTACAGGCGTGAGCCACCGTGCCTGGCCTACTTTTTTTTTTTTTTAATTTATAAAGAAAAGAGGCTCTTTTTTGGCCGGGCGTGGTGGCTTACACCTGTAGTTCCAGCACTTTGGGAGGCTGAGGTGGGCGGATCACCAGTGGTCGGGAGTTCGAGATCAGCCTAGCTAACATGGTGAAACCCTGTCTCTATAAAATATACAAAATTAGCTGGGCATGGTGGTGTGTGCCTGTAATCCCAGCTATTTGAGAGGCTGAGGCAGGAGAATCTCTTGAACCCGGGAGGCAGAGGTTGCAGTGAGCCCCGGGGTTGGTCTCCAAAAGAAAAAAAAAAAGGTTTGACTCAGTTTTGCTTTTCACGTTTAGGTCAGTAACCAACTGAAATTGATTTTTGTGTATCTTGCAGGTAGGAATCTAGTCCTCTTTTTCCATACAGAAAACCACTTTTTTTTTTTTTTTTTTTTCCTGAGATGGAGTTTCGCTCTTTTGCCCAGGCTGGAGTGAAGTGGTGAAGTGGCACGATCTCAGTTACCGCACCAGGCCCAGAAAACCACTTTTATATTAAACAGTAAACGCTTTCTTAAAAGACAAATGGTATCAGGTCATATCTTAACTGTTTTTTTCCATTCTCCCTCCCTTAAAGTTTTATTACGAAAATCTTCAAATATACAGAAAAGTATATTTGATGATTTCCAAATGCACAAAGTGGAAGACAAGTCATTTTTAAGAGACAAGTGCCCTCTTAAAAATTCTTGCATAAGCCCGGGCTTGGTGGCTCACGCCTGTAATCTTCAGCACTTTGGGAGGCTGAGTCAGGCAGATCACTTGAGGTCAAGAGTCAAGACCGCCTGGCCAATATGGTGAAATCCCATCTCTACTAAAAATACAAAAAAACCATAGCCAGGCCGGGCACGGCGGCTCACGCCTGTAATCCCAGCACTTTGGGAGGCCGAGGTGGGCGGATCACGAGGTCAGCAGATCAAGACCATCCTGGCTAACACGGTGAAACCCTGTCTCTACTAAAAGTACAAAAATGAGCTGGTCGTGGTGGTGGGCACCTGTAATCCCTGCTACTTGGGAAGCTGAGGCAGGAGAATGGCTTGAACCCGGGAGGCAGAGGTTGCAGTGAGCCAAGATCACGCCACTGCACTCCAGCCTGGTGACAGAGCAAGACTGTCAAAAACAACAACAACAACAACAACAACAACCAAAAAACATAGCTGGGCCTGGTGGCACACGCCTGTAATCCCAGCTACTCGGGAGGCTGAGGCAGGAGAACTGGTTGAACCCAGGAGGTGGGGTTACAGTGAGCTGAGATTGTGCCACTGCACTCCAGCCTGGGCCACAAGAGAGAGATTCCATTTCAAAAACAACAACAACAAAACAAAACACAAAAACCTTGCATAATTATTTGCTGATAATTTACCTACGGTATTATTTACTAATCATCTTTGATGAGACTTGAACCAGGTAGCCTCTGCTAGGGAGGGTGGGAAGGAAGAAGGCTCTGAGATGATAACCAATGGATGGGGTAAAGGGAAGTCTGTTTAATATTTACTTAAAAGTTAATATGGACAACTGAGCAGACACTGCTTGCATCCCTGGAAGGGACTGTGTTGGGACTTATCTAGACCAGGTCTTTATGCAGAATAAACAGATGTAAAGTGGGGCCTTTGATTCCACAGGGCTCCCCAAGGGTGCTTCATGGCAAGGTAGATAGAGATTTAAATTTAGTTTGCTGAGTTGGCTCTACTGCTCATCTCTACCAAAACAATAGGGACCCTGTTGCATTTATGTTTGTGTATCTTTAAGCCCTAGAGGCCTCTAGCACAAGACTAGGTATTGAAATATTAGTTGAGATAAAGGGAATAAAAGCAGCCAACACATGAGTGTTTACTATGTACCATTATCTCATTTAATCTTTACAACTCTATAAAGTAGATACTGTTATCCCCATCTTACCAATGGAGAACTGAGAAAGGGGGGTTAATTGGCTGAGGTCATACAAGATAAATGGTATAGGTTTGACCTCAGGCAATCTGACTTTCGAGCTTGTGTGTTTAACCATTACACTACTCCATCTTCACTCCTTCATAGTCAAGGTAAGGGCAATGAATGCTCTGCAGAGAGAAGGGACTTGGCTTGAATTTTATCCATCAAATTAACTAAGGCAACTCATTTACATTATGTCTTCCATGTTTCTCGAGGACAAGTGAAGCTCAGGGTATTAAATAATGGCTGTTAAAAAAGTATTAAACGGAGGTTATTAAATGAGTAAATGAGTATTAAATAAAGGCTATTAAAAAGTATTCAAAAATATAAGGATGCCAAAAGGAAGTCCCTTCATTCAGCCTCACGAGTAGTTCTAGGGTTCAAGGAAGTTAAGAATCACTGCTCAAAGTCAGGCTATTTCCACAGGAAAATGAAAAGTCTTCACAGCTTACTTTCTTTAATTACATCATAAAACAAAATTAGAACATACAAGAAACAATAATAGTTACATAACAATTTACTTTATATATTTATATATAAAAAACTTTTTTTTTTTTTTTTTAGTCCAAAGATTTTTAAAGCAAAAGGAATCCTCTACTGCCACCTCGGATTTTATTTATTTTAAATAATCCCCCTCCCCCCATCCTCAAGCGCCAAAAGTACTGGGTGGAAACAGTCACTTGGAGAGCTAATGGAACCTGGTGCTAAGTCACCCCGTAGGCAACTGTGTCGGCTCCAGAGATTGGCTAAGCATTTGGAGCAGGCCTAGTGGAGAAACAAGCAAGCAGCAGCTCTCACACACTGCAGCACTCCAGGGTAGGCCCTAAGGCTTGGGAAGGAGGGAATCAGACCCTTCAGGTCAACCACCTCTGCATTTTACCCCCTCAGGGGAGTGAGTGGGGGTGCGGGGTGCAGGGATGAAACAGAGCCTGGTATGAAGATAAAAATGTCTCCAACAGCACCATTTACCCATCCATCTCTGTCCCTGAGCAGAGTCTGACAGGCATGGGTAGTCCTCACAGTTCTCTGAGCTCTGCACAGGCCACATTATTCGGATCTGTACTCTCAGGGTCACGGGAAGGTGGGCAAAGGTGAGCAGAGCAGCTGAGAAGTGCACATGGTAGGTTACCTGGAAACAATTCCTAGGAGAAAAAAGGAGGAGGCCAGAGTAGGAAGCATCTGAAGGCCAAGTCATAAAACAGGAATGGAGAAAAACAAAATTAAGAAATGCAAAATTAAGAAGGCCGCTCTCCTCTTACAGTCAACCTTTGGAGTGGGTAGTCACAGATACTCAGGGCTCCAAGAGCCACACCATGGTGAGAAAGGACATGGGTAGCTTCTGAGGAGCATGGTCTCGTGGATCTTGTGTATGTGCCAACAGGCTGTAAGGGTTAGAAGTTAGTGTGTAATTTGGAAGTAGGGTGAGGAGGGGAGTGAGAAGAAATCAAAAGCTCATCCCTTCCTGCACTATTAGAAATTAACAGTCATCAGAGAAGCACAGATAAATTATTCTTAAGGGCAGGAAAAAACTAATGTAAACCCAGGAAAGCAGCAGCAAAGGTTTCACTTACTAAAAATCTATTATATAGGAAAGAAAATTATTTGTCCACAGGGGAAAAAAGTAATCAAATCATGCCAGTTAGAGACTTTTTCAAGTTAAGATTTTCTAAGACCTTAGGTTTTCATTCTCTAGTGCCATAAAAAAGGAAAAGAAAAAAAAAGAGTAGAATAATGACTTCAAGGCCTGAGAAGGTTCAGGCTAAGGTAAGAAACATATATGTGTGAGCAGCAATGAGGTACAGATCTGAATTAATGAGATAATGGCAAGAGAAACTTAGTGAAGCAAAGTTTTCTTTTCTTTTCTCTTTTTTGTGAGATGGAGTCTCACTCCGTTGCCCAGGCTGGAGTGCAGTGGCGTGATCTCGGCTCACTGCAACATCCGCCTCCCAGGTTCAAGTGATTCTCTTGCCTCAGCCTCCCAAGTAGCTGGGATTTTGTATTTTCAGTAGAGATGGGGTTTCACCATGTTGGCCAGGCTGTTCTCAAACTCCTGACACTTTGTGATCCGCCCGCCTCGGCCTCCCAAAGTGCTGGGATTACAGGCGTGAGCCACCACGCCTGGCTGCAAAGTTTTCTTCTTCCAATTTAACAAAAAAGACGTCACTTCAAAGATGATCCTTGGTTCTTGGGGCATGACAGAAGAGAAAAGGTAAATATGTCTGGACACCTCTCTTCTCCCATCTCTTCCTAGGGTAAGGACTGTCATTTACTGCTCACTTCTCTAGTCCTAGTACCAAAACCATGCCCAGATGCAGCTGGGGTGCACTTGTGGTTCTTTCGGTGGTGCCAAAACCTATCTGTTTGACTGGTTAAGTGTGTAGAAAGTAGGAGCCCTCTTTGCCAGTAAAAAGGGGTGCAGTTGATCAGAGAGGAAAGTAAATGTACCCATGTGTGACACAGCCATCACTATGTATTCAAGACAGATGCTGTACCTGAGGCAAAGTACCCCAATTCTAGAGCTAATTATCTGCTTTATTTGAAACTTGTCTATCATTTTACCATGCCGATTCTTCAAAATAAGACTATAAAACATAAAACAGAAAGGACTATTGATAGGATTTTGCTTGTTCATGGTTCTTTGTAAAACAGCAATAAACCACCCTGGCTGAGGAAGCACTGAGACTCAACCTCTATAAACTGAACTTCACAAGCACTTATTTAAAAACAAGAGGCAGAGATGGAAGAAGCGCATATGGACTTTCTCTTAACATCCCACAGGGGAGCTTGCCCTAATTCTTTTTCTCCTGAAAATTAACTCTCTTGGGCTCCAAAGATCAACTCAGCTTCACCTAAGAGGTTATGTACTGACCTTCCTAACGATCAAAGGCTTCAGAGACACTGAATTGATGCGTCTAAAAAAAATAGATACAACGGGCCGGGCGCGGTGGCTCACGCCTGTAATCCCAGCACTTTGGGAGGCCGAGGCGGGTGGATCATGAGGTCAGGAGATCGAGACCATCCTGGCTAACAGGGTGAAACCCCGTCTCTACTAAAAATACAAAAAATTAGCCGGGCGTGGTGGCGGGAGCCTGTAGTCCCAGCTACTTGGGAGGCTGAGGCAGGAGAATGGCGTGAACCTGGGAGGTGGAGCTTGCAGTGAGCCGAGATCACGCCACTGCACTCCAGCCTGGGAAACAGAGCGAGACTCTGTCTCAAAAATAAATAAATAAATAAATACAACAGGTAGATGTGACTTGAGGGGGAAGCTGCAGAAGCCCATCATGCAAGAAACTCACTTGCCTCTTATGGTACTTTCAGGCAGGTAGAATGTTTATCCTGGGCTGGGCGCAGTGGCTCACGCCTGTAATCCTAGCATGTTGGGAGGCTGAGGTGGGCAGATCACCTGAGGTTGGGAGTTTGAAACCAGCCTGACCAACATGGTGAAACCCCGTCTCTACTAAAAATACAAATTTTGCCGGGCGTGGTGGCACAGGCTGTAATTCCAGCTACTCGGGAGGCTAAGGGAGGAGAATCGCTTGAACCCAAGAGGCGGAGGTTGCGGTGAGCCGAGATCTCACTATTGCACTCCAGCCTGGGCAACAAGAAAAAAAAAAAAAGTTTATCCCAAGTGAGAAGGCAAGGTTAGTAACCTAGTAACCTATGTTCTTTGCTGGAGAATCAAAATGTCAAGTTAGGGCACTCGGATACAACCCAATTTTATTCCTAAACTACCTGGGCTAATTATACCCTACTGGTATGATTTTATACAGCTCTCTGTATCTTCCAATCTTACATTTAAAATTTATGATAGAAACTGGCCAGGTGCGGTGGCTTACACCTGTAATCCCAGCACTTTGGGAGGCCAAGGCAGGTGGACCACTTGAGGTCAGAAGTTCGAGACTAGCCTGGCCAACATGGCAAAACCCCATCTCTATGAAAAATACAAACATTAGCTGGGCGTGGTGGTGGGCACCTGTAATCCTGGCCTCTTGGGAGGCTGAAACAGAAGAATCACTTGAACCCAGGAGGCAGAGGTTGCAGTGAACTGAGATTGTGCCATGGCACTCCAACCTGGGTGACAGAGCGAGACTCCATGTCAAAAAAAAAAAAAAAAAAAAGAAATATAGGCGAGGAAAGGCTGTGACTCCATTTTTCCCCATTATCCTTTTACTGCTTTAGAATTCTTTGGTACAACATCATTAATGGGGAGAGAGGTTCTGTCTCAAGAATTCCAACCAAACATCCTACATTTCTTCTCAAACAGGACTTGGCTAATTCACAGTGCCTGGGTTTGAGGTGGCTAAAGATTCTAGGATTGGCAGGCAGATAGAGAGGCAATCTTTTTGTAAAATGCTTCAGAGCTCAAACATATGATTGAGAAAGTCTGTCAGCCAGGAGATACAACCAGGATAAAAGCCTACCCTTAAATCATACACATAAGGAGGAATAAGGCAAAATAGAGCAATTTCCTTTAAACCCCTCCTCTCACTGGTAGCAACTGGCATGAGCCGCCTGTGACTTTCAGCACAATAAACATAAAATGGCCAAGGGTCACCCATGACCCATGAGTGCTCTTCTCCCAACAACACAGTCACCTAAGGACATGCTGACTAAACAAGCAGGCAGGAAGCCACTCTCTTCTTTCCAGTGACACTCTCACACTTTCTAACAACTTCAAACCAAGACAGGTTTCATCACATATTTTGTTTAGTCCCCCATGGCATTAGTGGGCTATCAAACTAGTAACGATGCATTTTTTTCTTTCTTTCTTTCTTTTTTTTTGAGATAGTCTCACTCTGTCGCCCAGGGTGGAGTGCAGTGGTGCGATCTCAGCTCACTGCAACCTCCACCTCCCGGGTTCAAGCAATTCTCTGCCTCAGCCTCCCGAGTAGCTGGGATTACAGGCACCTGCCACCACACCTGGCTAATTTTTGTATTTTCAGTAGAGACAGCATTTCACCATCTTGGCCAGGCTGTTCTTGAACTCCTGACCTTGTGATCCACCCACCGTGCCGGGCCATAACAATGCATTTTACAAGGCAATTAGAAGTAATAAAAGAATGTCGCTACTAAAACATTATGGCTATCTTGAATAACTCAAATAGTCTGGAAAGCCCAAAATGAAGCATCATAAATTTACTAGGTTTCCCTATAAAATGTTTGATACAAGGGATATGTGAAACTTCTGACTTACATGTCTGCTAAATCAACTTAATGAATGTGGAAATCAGACTAGAAATTTGCAAAAGCTACTTAAGGAATACTTTTACCTTCAGTAAAGACAAGAGCAGAATAGGAGAAGAAAACATTTTTTACACAAAGCACAATATGCTTTCATATTCCAAATATTGGAAAAAGGGCTAAGGCCATATCCCTTTCTTCCTCATATCCAACAGTTTGCTTTTAAACTGAATTCAAATTCAGTATGCAAACACCAAAGACCACCCAATGAAAAATGGCCTGAGCCACCTAACAGTCACTGAACTTTAAGGCTGCCTTTGACAGCCCCTGGAGTAGGAGAAGGATTCAAAAAGGAAGCTAGACTTGAGACATCTGAGAGTAAATCAGCAGCATTACTGAGGGTGAGATGGAGGCTTTAAATAGAGGGAAAGGATGGGTGTGGGAAGGAAATGGTGGAAATCAGTGCAAAAATAAGCTGGAGTCAGCTCAATGGGGCTGATGAAGAGGATGAAAAGACATTGATGTAGCAAATGATGCTGGAAGATGTAAGGTATGAGATTAGGGGAAAAACTGCTTAGAAAAGAGATGATTTGGATGTTCAAGAACTTTCTCCAGAGACACTACAGTAATTCCTCCTTGCCCACCTGTAGGTTTACGGCAGTAGTTTTGAGGGTACCTTCTAACTTATCCCCAAATCTCTTCTCTCTGTTCACTGTTTTTTTCCATTATAAAAGGCATATTTTGGAGTGGCTATGAGGTTAGACAAACAGATCAATTAGCTTTTCCTGTAAAGAATTTTTCCTACATTAAGCCTTACTGAATTTTCAAAAGTATCCCAGATGTTGAGAGAGGAAGCATTATGTTCAGATGTCAGGCTCCTTTCCACCTGACCAAAACTTACCATGCTTTGTGTTCTCTCAAAGTCCTAGCATATTCATCAGCTGGTGTAGGCTGCAAATCAGCATAAAAAAATGTATTTCCTTCCAAGCTTGATAGGCCTGAAGTTTTCTTGAGAAAGGAACAAGGCTTCTGCCTGACAACATACAAGCCAGTGCTGCACATCTCTGAGTCTTCATTCTCTCTCACTTGACTCTGTTCTTGGCACAAACAGGCTGGAATTTGCCTTAATAGCAGAGATCACCAGAGCAAGTCCCCATGGACCTGCCTGTGGGTATATCCTTTGAGCAGAGAAACAGCATTTCCAAGATCATCATGAACTGATGAATAGAGTCTTTTAAACTTATCTTTTAAGTAAAGAAGTACCTTAATAGCCTCAACTTAGGCAACTCAAATCCACACTCACTAATCAATCTGGGTTTTATGGTCAATTTGTACAGGCACTAAAACAACAACAAAACACCTTAAACTTTAAAGCAGATGGCCCCTAAATAGTTCTCTCCTTTAGTTTTGTTTGAGTAACCTAGGGATCTGAATATTATTAACCACATCTGGAAGTATGTGTGTATGCACGTATGTATTTTTATGTGTAGGGGTACAGACAAGAAACTGAGTTTCATGTTAAAAACTATATTCCTTATAAGGTAATCTGAAAGAGAATAAGGGGAAAGGGGAATGAATAAACAAGTAATCTGCGTTTTTAAAGCGGCACAATAAAACAGGATTTAAAATAAATTTAATATGATAAATATTAATGGATAGTATAGACTTCTAAGACCCTTTCATCCAATTGCCTTCTAAATCAATGGATAAATAAATCAGACTTTATTCTTATATATGCTGGTATAATCAGCAACTGCAGCATTAAAACAAACCTCTTAAGCTGGGTACAGTGGCACACACCTGTAGTCCCAGCTACTTGGGAGGCTGAGGTGGGAGGAAGGCTTGAGCCCAGGAGTTTGAGTCCAGGCTGGGCAAGATAGCGAGACCCCATCTCTAAAAAAATAAAATAAAATAAAATAAATAAATAAAACAAGCCTTTTAATAGTCTGGATCATATAGAAGATTAATATTATGATGGATTGCACATTAATGTCTCAAAGGACACCCCCCGCCAAAATCACCCTACTAAAAATCACACTGGGTTTCTAATCTTGGGGTTTAGAAATTTTCTTCTTATGCTTTAAAAACTCATTTTACTTCCTTTATCCTCTGATTTTTTGGGAAGACAGAGGGTGCTTCTTCTTGGACTCTTGAGTCCTGGACACTAAATTCCTCCCTCAGTTCTAGTGCCCAGGCTAAGCAGAGACACTAAACCCCTTACTTCCTCTCAGTGTTCTCTTTCAGCTGCCTCAATGCTTCACCTGGCTACATTCATACTTCATTCAGAAGTCTGAACAGGGCCGGGCATGGTGGCTCATGCCTGTAGTCCCAGCACTTTGGGAGGCTGAGGCAGGTGGATCATTTGAGGTCAGGAGTTCAAGACCAGGCTGGCCAACATGTGAAACCCCATCTCTACTAAAAATACAAAAATTAGCCAGGCAGTAGTGGTGCATGCCTGTAATCCCAGCTACTCGGTAGGCTGAGGCAAGAGAATCGCTTGAGCCTGGGAAGTGGAGGTTGCGGTGAGCCGAGATCGCACCACTGCACTCCAGTCTGGGCAAGAGTGAGAACCCGTCTTAAAAAAAAAAAAAAAAAAAAAAAAAGACTGGGGCAGAAAAGAGAGATGACTGACAGGTTATGGGAAGGTTCTGGCCCTTTGGGGTGCCAACACTAGATATGAATCCATTAACACTGACATACAATTGACCAGCTGTTATAGAGCCATTCTTGTATCCCTGAAAGGCTGAAATGGGGGAAAAGAGAGAAACAGACTGGCTAGAATACACAGCTCCTCTAGTGGCATTCCTGTTAAAACAACCTCATAGGTCAGAGATGCCACTGATCACTCCTAGATTTCAGTAAATATATAATAACATTAATCATTAATGTCTGAACTTGGGTGTTGGGGACTTTCAGGCTCTGTTTTGTGATTTATCATTTTCACTCTTTCCTAATAATACATCTCTCTCTTTCCTTATGATACAGTTGGTGGAGTCTGACAGAAGGAAGAATATGTAGGGGGAATATTGGGGATACCATGCGAATTATCACATATCAGAAGATAAAATAGAAACCAAAAGGTAGCATCTGTTTTCATCAAAACAGTTTCTTCTCATAACTTTTCTTGCTTTCATTAGAGTTTCCTTGCAGGTTGGCAAAGATTCAGGCAGGGTCCCCTAATGGTAAAATTTAGAATTAAAAAAATATTTATTGATAATATCTTTTTAAAAAATGTTTGGTAATCCCAACTAATCATTCAAAATGCAAACTGTAAACACGACAACAGCAAAAGGGTAACAATTGAGTGAGTAAGCAGACTGAACAGGTGACAGACTGAGCAAGAGTGTGGGGGGGAGCAACAGAGAATGTAAGACAGGTGCACAAGTGTGCTACAGACAGTGATAATTTGAGTGTGTAAGAATTACATTTGGACCACAGTGATTTCAAGGCAACCATTTAGGAAACCTCTGGGCCAAATACTAAAACACAGGAGGAATGGACGAGCCTTCTTTGTGAGCATGCTCAGCATGTTGGCATGGAAACAAGGAAGCATAGAAGCTCTTTAGTCACAATGAATGTCTACCATTTCTAAGATGCAAAGAAATTTTCTTTCTGGTCCCTGGGTACATCATATATTGTCTTTCCATGCTTTTCTTGACCCCGGAGGACAGCAGATGCTGTTCTAAAATCCCCAAAGAAACCCCTAGACAAAAATTTAAAAACCACAGTAGCATTAACACGGGGTTTGCTGGAATGCCCCTCCCTATCTTGGCCTATGATTTTCTTATGGGCACCTCAACAGGAATGGTTAAATTTTACCAATCTACTTGATAAAAAAGCCATCACAAACTTCAGTCCCATGGTCACAAAGCTAGAGTGGATGGGGGTAAGGGTGTGTATGTGTATGTATGTGTGGCTCTGGGGATCTGGACACTGCCCTCCCTCACTTTGTAACCCTTGCTCAGAACACTGGGGTTGCTTCCACTGGAGAGACTCCACGGTAGCTCTAGAAGTGTCATTAAATACTCAGTTCGCCAAGGTTGACCACCTCCATTGTCATAGGATGATGCAGCATCTGCAGAAGCGCTGTCTGCTGCCCCCTACTGATGGGGGTGGAGTGACAGGTGCGAAGTAGGCGTGGACTTTAATATTGGGTAAATGGGTCTGAAACAAGACAGAAACATTAAACGTTTAAGAGAGGGCTTAAACAGAAAGAGCAATGTTGGTTCTTAGAAAAACTACCGAGGGGCTCAATGAACATAAAAGCAGGGCAAAGGCTGAGCACTGGTCAGGATGTTAGAGGGCCTGGGTTCTACTTTGTTCCATCCTAGGTTGTTCTCAATGACCAGAACAACTCATATGACTTTGGTACCTGTTTGTGTAATAATAAAACTGAGGGCCGGGCGCGGTGGCTCACGCCTGTAATCCCTGCACTTTGGGAAGCCGAGACGGGCGGATCACGAGGTCAGGAGATTGAGACCATCCAGGCTAACATGGTGAAACCCCGTTTCTACTAAAAATACAAAGGCTAATTTTTGTATTGTTAGTAGAGACGGGGTTTCACCATGTTGGCCAGACTGGTCTCGAACTCCTGACCTCAAGTGGTCCGCCCAAGGATGGGAGATGGAAGAGACTCCTGGCAGCCAGGCAGTCTAGGAACCCTAATGTAAGTAGGCACGTAAGAGGCTCTGGTTGACCTGTGGCTCTCATTCTCTTTGGTGAAGAAAAAAAATGGCTGCAAGGCCACCCCCAGTGCAATTATGCTCACAGTCCTCTATGTCTGAAGAGGGGAAGAGGAACTGAGGCCAACTCGAACTCAAGATGAAGTTTGGTACTCTTTTATTTGCTCAAGGCCATGTGGCCAACGTGGATTTTTTAGAGGTTGGTATTTTTTTTGAGATAGAGTTTCATCTTGTTGCCCAGGCTGGAGTGCAATGGTGTGATCTTGGCTCACTGCAACCTCCGCCTCCTGGTTCAAGCGATTTTCCTGCCTCAGCCTCCTGAGCAGCTGGGATTACAGGCACCTGCCACCATGCTCGGCTAATTTTTGTATTTTTAGTTGAGATGGCATTTCGTCATGTTGACCAGGCTGGTCTTGAACTCCTGACTTCAGGTGATCCTCATGCCTCAGCTTCCCAAAGTGCTGGGATTACAGGCGTGAGCCACCGCGACTGGCCTAGAGGTTGGTATTAAGGGCCTGAATAAGCACACTGCCTTTCCTACAGCAGGTGTGAAGCAGATGTTCCAATAAACATCTGTTGAGCAGAACAATCTAACACACAGATTCATCCAGCTTTTTAAAACTTCTTTTTCGGCCGGGCGCAGTGGCTCATGCCTGTAATCCCAGCACTTTGGGAGGCTGAAGCGGGCGGATCACGAGGTCAGGAGGTCGAGACCATCCTGGCTAACACGGTGAAACTCTGCCTCTACTAAAAATACAAAAAGAAAATTAGCCGGGCGTGGTGGCATGCACCTGTAGTCCCAGCTACTGGGGAGGCTGAGTCAGGAGAATAGCGTGAACCTGGGAGGCAGAGCTTGCAGTGAGCCAAGATCATGCCACTGCGCTCCAGCCTGGGTGACAGAGCGAGACTCTGTCTCAAAAAAAAAGAACAAAAAACTTCTTTTTCTAGTTATTTGGCTATACCTGGGTCTCTCTATTATGGTGGATAGGTCCAAAAGCAAAGGTAAAAATCTGGGCCTGGCACAGTGACTCACACCTGTAATCCGAGCACTTTGGGAGGCTGAGGTGGGAGGATCGCTTGAGGCCAGGAATTTGAGACTAGCCTGGGAAACATAGCAAGACCTTGTCTCCACAAAATAGTTTTTTAAGGCCGGGCATGGTGGCTCACACCTATAATCCCAGCACTTCTGAAGGCCAAGGCAGGCAGATCGCTTGAGCTCAGGAGTTTGAAACCGGCCTGGGCAACATGGTAAAATGCCGTCTCTACCAAAAATACAAAAAATCAGGCTGGCGTGATGGCACACGCCTGTAGTCTCAGCTGTTGGGAGGCTGGGGTGGCAGGAAGCCTTGAGCCTGGGAGACAGAGGTTGCAGTGAGCCAACATCGAGCCACTGCACTCCAGCCTGGGTGACAGAGGAGACCCTGTCTTAAAAAATGAAAAAAACAAGTTTTTCATAAAATTACCTAGGTGTGGTGGTGTGTGCCTGTAGTCCTAGCTACTGGGGATGCTGAGGTGGGAGGATCTTAAGCCTAGGAGTTCGAGGCTGCAGTGTGCTAACAAGGTGCCACTGCACTCCTGCCTGGGCAACAGAGTGAGATCCCATCTCTTAAAAGAAAGACAGAAAAGGTAAAAGTCTATGTCTACTTTACTTGTTGCCTTAAAAAATATGAATCCCAGGAAGAGGGCTCAATGTGAAACACAATTACAAATTAAATTCTTAAATCCCATTTAACCAAACACTTTCTCTGTTATTCCTTTCTTTCCTTTAGAACAAAAATGTGGCATGTGCTTTTTTTTTTTTTTTTCTTCAATCTGGGAATGTTATTAAGCCCTAGACATTATTAGACAGACTCTGCTGGGAGGAGACCTACTTTTCTTCCCTTCAGTGGGTCTTTTCCTACTAAATTTCCATCTCTGGAGCCAGAGGGAAAAACTATCTGTCCTTAGGTTTGCACTTTTTTCTCTTTCCCTTGTTAAATGTTCAAGTAAATATAAAAATCATAGGAACCTAAATTTGAAAAAAGGAAAAAAAAAGAGAGAAGAAAGTGCTGCTAACACTAGAGTTGGAGAGTTATGTAGCCATTTTTACCCTGAGTCTCTTGATTCCAGCCCGTGTGATTTGCTGGCAGTCATAGAGTTCTATCCGCTCAAGGCTATGACAGCTCTTCAAGTGCTCCAGGGATGCATCTGTGATTAGTGGGCAGTTGTCCAGCTCAATCACCTCCAGCTGGTCATGGGCGCAGGCCCCATTCCCCAGGTGACGAATTCCATCATCTGTGATCAGCTCACAGTGAGACAGACTCTGCAGCCAAATAGAGCAAGGAAGGATGTTGAAATATCTTCTGGCATTCCTCTAGCCAGAGGCTTGTGTGAATTGGAAAGGAGACATTTTGGTTTGATTTTGATGAATATGGAGCTGGCACTAGATCCACGTGGTGAAATTTAAAAAACTAGAGATAGTGGGGTTATGCTTTTGGCAATCAGTGATTGATATTTTGGTGTGTGATTCTAAATATATTTTATAAATTCATGTAATGACTATGAAGTAGTTCATAAACAAAATAAGACAGCCTTAAAAATTACCCCTTCCTCAAATTAACACTTTTCCTTCTCTACAGGGATAAATGGGAATCAAGCTTTTCATGCAGTTTTCTGGAATTTGAACTAAATATTGAATATCTGGTTCAGAGACATGCCCCAACAATTAATTAGCTGAAGATTTTTACAGCTGTCAGGTGTGATCATCTCATCATCTCTTCATCAATATTTATTAAATCCCTGATCCTGGGAAACTCAGAAAATCTTGACCCAATTTTAGATAGTACTGTGTCACCAAACACCAAAAATGAGCCTGGATACAACAGAACAGTCACTCAGAATGCCTTCCTCTAGTGTCACTGAAAGTAGGAGCAGAACACCCCTTAGTAAAGCTTTGATTGGTTCCATTCTTACGACCAGTAACATTACATCTTAAGGTGAAGCAAATTGTATTTTGGGCAATCTGATCCCCTGGATCTCTAGAAATTTAAACATCATTCAGGTTGGAGTATAAGTTATCTACAAAAGAGAACTCATATGTTCCAAGGCAGTTTTCAGTCTTCAAGCATTGATATAGAAAACATTTAACTTTTTCAGTTCTTATCTGTTTCCTACTTCACTCATGTACTCCTTTGGTTCTCAG
This sequence comes from Homo sapiens, assembly GCF_000001405.40. NCBI lineage: Eukaryota > Metazoa > Chordata > Mammalia > Primates > Hominidae > Homo > Homo sapiens. Next base: position 39,265,267 of record NC_000017.11, read on the forward strand.
TAAGCTGGCAGTTTGAAGAAGCATCCTTTCCTAAAATGGTAGCCAGACACTAAGAGCTGGGTTCTTGAACTGTAGCACTGGCTTTTGATTAAACCCAGTAAACACATAAAGTTTTCAAAGTTAAACTCACCAATACTTGAAGTCGAGGACAGTGTATAGAAAGTTGGATTAATGTGCTATCTGTTATCTGAAAGAAATAACGTATGTTGATTTTAGGTATAATCCAAATAAAATCCTGAGTCATACCTGATTCTTTTTTCTTTTAGTCTTGCTCTGTTGCCCAGGCTAGAGTGTAGTGGTGCAACTATAAGCTCACTGCAGCCTAAAACTTCTGGGCTCAAGCAATCTTCCCACCTCAGCCCCCTGAGTAGCTGGGACAACAGGCACAAGCCACCAGGACTAATTTTTTAAATTAAAAAAATTTTTTTTTTTTTTTTGTAGAGACAGGGTTTCCCTATGTTGCCCAGGCTGCTCTTGAATTCCTGAGCTCAAGCAATCCTCCACCTCAACCTCCCAAAGCTCTACAGGCCACCATGTGCGATCACAGCTCATTGCAGCCTCAACCTCCCAGGCTCAAGCCATCTTCCAGCCTCAGCCTCCTGAATGGCTGGGACAACAGGTGTGCACCACCATGCCCAAGAAATTTAAAACTTTTTCTTGGGCAGAAACAGGGTCTTGTTATGTTACCCAGACTGGTCTTCAACTTTCAGGCTCAAGCAATCCTCCTGCCTCGCCTCACAGAGTGTTGAGATGACAGGTGTGAACCACTGCATGTAGCAGCCCCATACCTCATTCATTCTTTTTTTTTTTTTTTTTTTTTTTTTGAGACAGAGTCTCTGTTGCTCAGGGTGGAGTGCAGTGGCATGATCTCAGCTCACTGCAACCTCCACCTCCCAGGTTCAAGTGATTCTTGTGCCTCAGCCTCCCGAGTAGCTGGGATTACAGGCTAGTTTGTTGTTTTTTTTTTTTTTTGGAGATAGTCTCGCTCTGTTGCCCAGGCTGGAGTGTGGTGGCACGATCTCAGCTCACTGCAACCTCCACCTCCTGGGTTCAAGCGATTCTCCTGCCTCAGCCTCCCAAGTAGCTGGGATTATAGGCATGTGCTACCACGTCCAGCTAATTTTTGAATTTTTAGTAGAGATGGGGTTACACCATGTTGGCCAGGCAGATCTCAAACTCCCGACCTCAGGTGATCCACCTACCTCAGCCTCCCAAAGTGCTAGAATTACAGGCATGAGCCACCATGCTCGGAATATTTTTAGTGGAGATGGGGGTTTGCCATGTTGGCCAGGCTGGTCTCGAACTCCTGGCCTCAGGTGATCCACCTGCCTCAGGCTTCTAAAGTGCTGGGATTACAGGAGTGACCTACTATGCCCAGCCCCCATGTCTTATTCTTGACTACATTTCTAGTCCAGACATTTTAATAATCAATCATCAAATAACAGAATCTTTCGGTTTAAATCCCATTGGCTACCTGAACCTGTTCTATGAGAATCCACTCAGGCTACATTTGAACACATCTAGTCATCTCTAGTCTTCATCTTTAGACAGCTCTATTCAAAATCTGTTTTATTTTTTAAATGAATCAAAATCTGTCCCCTTGGTAGCTAGTTGTAGTGGCTTGCGCCTATAGTCCCAACAATGCTTGGGAGGCTGAGGCAGGAGGATTGCTTGAGGTTAGAAATTCAAGACCAGTCTGAGCAGGGCCAGACATGGTAGTTCACGCTTGTAATCCCAGCACTTTGGGAAGCTGAGGCTGGTGGATCACCTGAAGTCAGGAGTTCGAGACCAGCCTGGACAACATGTTGAAACCCTGTCTCTACTAAAATACAAAAACTAGCCGGGCGTGGTGGCAGGCGCCTATAATCCCAGCTACTTGGGAGGCTGAGGCAGGAGAATTGCTTGAACCTGGGAAGTGGAGGTTGCAGTGAGCCGAGACTGAGCACTGCACTCCAGCCTGGGCAACAGAGTGAGACTCTGTCCTCCCCACCCCACACCACAAAACAAAACAAAAAAAAACAGTCTGAGCGGTAACAGCAAGAAAAAAAACAGTCTGAGCGATAACAGCAAGACCCTGTCTCTAAAAAAATCTGTCCCCCAGAACCTCTACTTGCTGGACTTTGTTCTATCTCCTTAGAATCATCAGAGAAAGGAATCAGACGATAGTGCTTGCTGGACTTTGTTCTGTCTCCTTAGAATAATCAGAGAAAGGAATCAGAAGATAGTGCAGTGCTCTATGAAAAAAATTAATGTTGGAACATCCTAAAATTTTTAATAAAGCATGCCACTACTCAGTATCGATAACTTGGGTTATTTTCCCAAGGGTGGCAGCCAGGCACTGCTGGAATCTGGGTTAACCAAGAATATTCAGGTAGGAAGAACAGTTTTCATGGTTATGTTAGGACTGAAAGTAAATCAGCACTTCTTTTCAAATTCTTCTCCAACTCTGAGTTTATTATTTTCTACTACACATAGCTTCACAGGGGCTACAAAATGGTAGAGAAAGGGGGTGGGCGAGCAGGCAGGCATGTCCGTTCAGAAGGAATAACACTGGAAGGGACATAGAGGACACTCAGGCATGTATAAGAGATAAACGGATGCGAACAAGTTTTAGTTTAGTAAGAACTAACAGCTGTTAAGTAGTGCCTATAAAACAAAAAATTTTTTAGAAAGTGGCTTTTACAGTTACTGACATATCTCGCCTTCTTTATTTTTACCATTAAAAAATTAATTGCTCTTTCTTTTGTGGAGTCCCATGTTCGAAGTTTTTCCTTGGTCAATTAATAATCTCAAAGTTCTTAAAATTGTGTTAATGTGGCTCACGTCTGTAATCCCAGCACTTTGGGAGGGCGAGCCAAGTGGATCACCTGAGGTCAGGAGTTCAAAACCAGCCTGGCCAACACAGTGAAATCCCATCTCTACTAAGAATACAAAAAATCAGCCGGGTGTGGTGGCGCATGCCTGTAATCCCAGCTACTTCAGAGGCCAAGGCAGGAGAATTGCTTGAATCTGGGAGGTGGAGGTTGCAGTGAGCTGAGATCTCGCCACTGCACTCCAGCCTGGGCAACAACAGTGAAATTCCATCTCAAAAAAATAATAATAATAATTAAAAAATAAAAACTGTTAATCAGGAGATCAGTTTGGCTTAAAGGCAGAGTTCCATGCAGAGTCAGGTCTCCAGGGCTAACGATGCCAGGGATCTAGGATACAGCAAAGCTAAAGAAAGGCAGTGCTATATAGATCAGTGTGATGGGGCTTTAATTATTTACTAGCATCATAACTCTACAGGTCTAAGGAAATATTTTTAACAGCTTTACAGCCTGAATGCTTGGGCCTCCTTTCTCTCTAATGGCAACCTGATTGATGGCATATATTTCCACAGTTCTGCAACACATACCATGAGCACCTCTGCCTGGAAGATACCTTACTTAATGGGGAATCTGCAATGCTGTCAGGCACTACAGTATCCTACACTAGGGTAGGGAATTGCACATTCTGATGTTGTGTATTATCTAAGTGTCTACTATACTGTATTTCTGAATTAAAATCTACAATCTTACCTGAACACACTCTTCCAGGTCCATCTTTTCAAGTTCATGGCAATTCTACAAAGTACAAAAACAAACACAAACATTACAGTACAAACATTTAAAACATGAGAAACTTTTAAGGACAGAAAACTAAGAGGTAATATTAAATACGTTGATAAATTCTTTGGTGTTTCAGAGCTAGTGTCATGCTAATTTTTTTTTCTTTCTTTTGAGACAAGGTCTCACTCTGTCACCCAGGTTGGAGTGCAGTGGTGAAATCATGGCTCACTGCAGCCTCCAACTCCCTGGGCTCAGGTGATTCTCCCACCTCAGCCTCCCAATTAGCTGGGACTATAGGAATGTGCCACCACACCTGGCTAATTTTTGTATTTCTTTTCTTTTTTTTTTCTTTTTGAGATGGAGTCTGGCTCTTGTCACCTAGGCTGGAATGCAGTGGCATGATCTCGGCTCACGGCAAGCTCTACCTCCCGGGTTCACGCCATTCTCCTGCCTCAGCCTCCTGAGTAGCTGGGACTACAGGCGCCCGCCACCACGCCTGGCTAATTTTTTGCATTTTTAGTAGAGACGGGGTTTCACCATGTTAGCCAGGATGGTCTCGATCTCCTGACCTCGTGATCCGCCCGCCTCGGCCTCCCAAAATGCTGGGATTACAGGCGTGAGCCATCGCGCCCGGCCTTTCCTCTTTTTTTTTTTTTTTTTTGAGACAGAGTTTCGCTCGTTGCCCAGACTGGAGTGCAATGGCACGATCTCAGCTCACTGCAACCTCCGCCTCCCGGATTCAAGCGATTCTCCTGCCTCAGCCTCCCAAGTAGCTGGGATTACAGGCATGCGCCACCATCACCGGCTAATTTTGTGTTTTTAGTAAAGTCAGGGTTTCTCCATGTGGGTCAGGCTGATCTCGAACTCCTGACCTCAGGTGATCCACCCCCCTTGGCCTCCCCAAGTGCTGGGATTACAGGCATGAGCCACCGCGCCCGGCCTTTTGTATTTCTTACAGAGATGAAATTTCGCCATGTTGCCCGGGCTGGGCTCAAGCGATCTGCTTTCCTTGGCCTTCCAAAATGCTGGGATTACAGGCATGAGCCACTGCACCCAGGCTATGGCCTCCTTTAGTCATGCCATGTGCTGGCTCCCACCTAATTAATATTCTATCGATCTGCCTAAAAGCAAACGACCATCCCCTTGTACCATAACACTGGTCAAAGTCAGTATAATTTTAAATATTATCATATAGTAATTTATAAACCCGTCCAAGTATTAAAATACTCAGGAGAATACAGAAAATCTCCTAAAACCTTTCCATTTAGAACCAGACATGTGTTTCCTTCAATGTTACTTTCATCCACTAGTCATGTACCAAATAACCAATAAGTTTTTTCACAAAGTACCAAGAAGCACCTGCTTAATCTATTAGCTTATGAAATTGTGAAGAATCAAGTCTCATGGGTGGGTGCAGTGGCTCACGTCTGTAATCTCATCACTTTGGGAGGCCAAGGTGAGCGGATGACTTGAGGTTGGGAGTTGAAGACCAGCCTGGCCAACATGGTGAAACCCTGTCTCTACTAAAAATACAAAACTTAGCTGGATGTGGTGGCACATGCTTGTAATCCCAGCTACTCGGGAGGCTGAGGCAGGAGAAATGCTTGAACCTGGGAGGTGGAGGTTGCAGTGAGCCGAGATCGTGTCACTGCACTCCAGCCTGGGTGACAGAGCGAGACCCCATCTCAAAAAAATTTAAAAAAAATTGTTTAAAAAGTATCATGAAGGGGTTTTATATTCTCCAATGCATGTGTGCATTTCTAGGAGCAGTTTGTATTCTTATTGATATCAGTAGGTCTGTAGCTATAGCATGAAACCCCGTCTCACTCACCCAATTCTGCTACCATTTCACATTTCCCTTGCTGCTTGTTCTTCTGAAATAAAAAGCCCTAATAAAACCTATGGAAACAAACCTATGGAACCTAAAGAAAATACTTACCCTGGCTAGAGTGGTAAAGCCCACATCTGTTAATTGAGAACATCTTGCCACTTCCAATATTCTGTTAAAAAAAAAAAAAAAACAGTGAAAGTCAAGCTCTTGGTCCCTGAAAACTGAGTTTATTAAAACAGTAAGAATTTACAAAAACAATCTTCTATTCTCTAAGGACTTTATAATATAGAATGACATTAACAACTAAGCAAGTCTGTATACAGATCTTGCCATTCATTTTCATGGAGTCATCATAAAGTGGTCCTATAAATACCACATTTCAGGGTGATGCAATCAATGAACACAGAAGAATATAATTGAAGCTTGTAGTTAATGCCAAAACGCATGAAATGCATTAAAAGCCTTCTTGATGGCATACTGCTTACCCCCAGAGGGCAGCCTGCTCCTAGAAAACAAAGGAAACGGAGATACTCTATTTCAGTTAATCTCTTGCTGAAATGAATTATTTTCTTTCCTGTTTTAGAAGTAGGTTCACTTAGATTTAAATTGCTTTAAAAAAAATGTGACAGGCCGGGCATGGTGGCTCATGCCTATAATCCCAACACTTTGGGAGGCCGAGGTGGGCGGATCACCTGAGGTCAGGAGTTCGAGACCAGCCTGGCCAACACGGTGAAACCCCATTTCTACCAAAAATGCAAAAATTAGTCTGGCGTGGTGGCGGGTGCCTGTAGTCCCGGCTACTCGGGAGGCTGAGGCAGGAGAATCGCTTGAACCCGGGAGGCGGAGGTTGCAGTGAGCCGAGATCCCGCCACTGCACTCCAGCCTGGGTGACAGAGCAAGGCTCCGACTCAAAAAAAAAAAAAAAAAAAAAAAAAAAGGTGGGGGGGATTGCTTAATTACAGGTCTATCCCAAATATGAAATTCTAGACTTGTGAAAGCTTCCTGCTTTCTCCCACAGGCTCCCATGGAGGCCCAGTTGAGAGGGAAGCTGAGCTGGCAGCCATTCACCTCTTATTAAGCAACTGTTAAACTCCAATCTAAATACCAACCACAGGATTGGGGAATCAAAAGTAGCTCTCTTCTGTGAAAAGTTGGGTGACCTCTGTAAAATGGTAACAAAGAACATGTTTGTTTATAAAATTCTTACTACTGAAGTTGAAAAAAATTGAAGTTAAAGTATAGGAAACAATTATCAACTGAAAATCAATGAGAAATGGATGGCGGGGTGCGGTGGCTCACACCTATAATCCCAGCACTTCAGGAGGCTGAGGCAGGAGGATCACTTGAGCTCAGGAGTTCAAGACCAGCCTGGGCAACATACCAAGACTTCACCAGTATAAAAAAATTTTTAAATTCTGTCCGGGCGCGGTGACTCACGCCTGTAATCCCTGCACTTTGGGAGGCCGAGGCAGGCGGATCACGAGGTCAGGAGATCGAGACCAGCCTGGCCAACATGGTGAAACCCCGTCTCTACTAAAATTACAAAAAATTAGTCAGGCATGGTGGTGGGCACGTGTAGTCCCAGCTATCTGAGAGGTTGAGGCAGGACAATCACTTGAACCCAGGAGGCGGAGTTTGCAGTGAGCTGAGGTCACGCCACTGCGCTCCAGCCTGGCAACAGAGCGAGACTTTGTCTCAAAAAAAAAAAAAAAAAATTTTTTTTTTAATTCCAAGAGATGGCCAGGTGCGTTGACTCATGCCTGTAATCCCAGAACTTTGGGAGGGCAGATCACCTGAGGCCAGGAGTTTGAGACCACCCTGGCCAACACAGTAAAACCCAATCTCTACCAAAAATACCAAAAAAATTGGCCAGGCATGGTAGCGTATGCCTGTAATCCTGCCTACTCTGGAGGCTGAGGCACGAAAATTGCTTGAACCTGGGAGGAGGAGGTTACAGTGAGCCAAGATCATGCCATTGCACTCCAGCCTGGGCAACAGAGCCAAACTCTATCTCAAAAAAAAAAAAAAAAAAAAGAAAGAAAGAAAGAAAGAAAGAAAAAGAAAGAAAGAAATGAATGCTACCTAATGGGAAAACACGATCTGACTGGAACACAACTTTTGATTTTCACAGTTGAGAGCTTTTCCATTCTAACAATGTAATGAACCATATAGGGAGATGGAGCTGAAGACTCCTCTCTCTACAGTCGAAAAGGATAAAGTGTAAGATATTCAGAGAGAAGTTTGATTACCTCCCCAGCTCTTGAGGAATATTTTAGGCTTCTGATATTACTAATTTTGACCAATAGGTGTATGTTCTCTTAAGAAATTTTGATATTGTAGGCAAAAGGTTTTTTTGTTTGTTTGTTTTTTTGAGAGGGAGTCTCACTCTGCCACCCAGGCTGGGAGTGCAACTTCCACCTCCTGGGTTCAGACAGTTCTCTTGTCTCAGCCTCTCGAGTAGCTGGGATTACAGGAGTGGGCCACCACGCCTGTAATTTTTGTATTTTTAGCAGAGACGAGGTTTCACCATGTTGACCAGGCTGGTCTCAAACTCCTGACCTCAGATGATCCGCCCGCCTCAGCCTCCCAAAGTGTTGGGATTACAGGTGTGAGCCACTGCGCCTGGCCACAAAAGTTCTTTCAACAATTATGGTTAGGCCAGGTAATCATCAGAAACAATTTTCTGAAAGTTTTATAGCTTTACAATGATTATTATATGTAAGAAAAGTGGCTTCATAGGCTCAGGAATCAGAGTTCCTGGGTGAATACTTGTTCCTACACTAACTAGCTGAGACCTTGAGCAGGTTACTTTGTCTCTTTGTGCTTCAGTTTTCTCATCTATAAAATGGCAGTAACAAGGCTGGGTGTGGTGGCTCACGCCTGTAAACCCAGCACTTTGGGAGGCCGAGGTGGGCAGATCATGAGGTCAGGAGACCATCCTGGCCAATATGATGAAACCCCATCTCTACTAAAAATACAAAAATTAGCTGGGTGTGGTGACACTCGCCTGTAGTCCCAGCTACTAGGGAGGCTGAGGCAGGTTAATCGCTTGAACCCAGGAGACGGAGGTTGCAGTGAGCCGAGATCGCGCCACTGCACTCCAGCCTGGGCGACAGAGCAAGACTCTGTTTCAGAAAAAAAAAAAAAAGGCGATAATAGTGCTTATATGGTGCTATGGAGATTAAACAAATTATTACTGTTATTGAGAAAGAGTCTCACTCTGTTGCCCAGGCTAGAGTGCAGTGGTGTGATCTTAGCTCACTGCTGTCTTGACCTCCTGGGCTCAAGTGATCCTCTCACTTTAGCCTCCTGAGTAGCTGGGACTACAAGGCACACATCGCCATGCCTGGCTAATTTTTTTATTTTTTGTAGTGACAGGGTTTCGCCATGTTGCCCATGCTGGTCTCAAACTCCTGGGCTCAAGCGATCTTCTAGCCTCGGTCTCCCTAAATGCTGGGATCACAGGTGTGCGCCTCGGCACTCAGCCCTGAATTAGTATTTGTAAAGCACCTAAAGCAACACCTAATTTACAAGTACTATGTAAGTTTATTTTAGAGAACAAAAAGTGTAGCCAGGTGTGGTAGCACATGTCTTTAGTCCCAGCTACTCCTGAGGCTGAGGTGAGATGATCACTTGAGCCCAGGAGATTGAGGCAGGCATACACAACACTACCTCAAAAGACAGTAACAGGCTGGGCACAGTGGCTTTCACCTGTAATCTCAACACTTTGGGAAGCTGAGGTTTGAGGCCAGCCTGAGCAACACAGCCTGACCCCATCTCTACAAAAAGTAAAAAACACAGCATTCTTCAAACTGAGGAGCCAGAGAGAAATAAGACTGTTTTAAAAACCCATCAGTACAAAAGAGGTATTCCTTTAAGAGTGTCTTTTAAATATAGTACCCCCTGCTATGTACCTGGTATCATTACTATGACAAATGACCTTAGGGTGGACCTTTAAAAACTACTTTGAGAAAAGAATTATACAAAAGCATTAATAAGAGAAAATACCTTTCTTTCTATCTCAAGTAATAAAATGTTGATTCTTTTTTCTAGTATGGATAGCAAGTAGTGGAATTTGGGGATTGTTACCCCTTGGTTCACACCAATTACATGAAATCAAATGAGGTACAAAAAGGAAGTAGGTGGGCATCTAAAAGGGACTACCTTAAAATTTCAAAGCGTCTGCAGTGCCTACCTTAAAATTCCAAAGTTCCAAGGAAGAAATATGGGTGAAGGAAACTTTTGTTCTATGATTTTTTTGAGCTAAACAAGAAATGTTTACCTAAGCCGTGGGCAGTTCTGACCTAGAGCATTCAGGATGGCATCTGTGATGTTGGAGCAGCCAGAGGCACAAAGGGATTGTAACTTATGGCACCCTCTGCATATAGTAATGAGACCTTCATCTGTGATTTGCTAAAAAACAAGAGCAAAAAAATCCATAGATATTAGTATCTTAGCAAAACAAAAAAAGAAAAAAATGATAGCTCTGTGAAAATAATCACCAAAAAGGAAATCAAGACATGCTTAACACATTCATCAGATAGCAGACCTAAAAGAAAATGAACACACGTTGTTTCTTCCTTCCAGTTCTCTGTGCTTACCTTTGGTGCAAAGGGAAGAAGCTATAATAGAATCCTGTTGAAAGCTACAATGGAATTCTAATAGAACTGGGATCAGTATGGGGTACATCATAGTTTAGGTTCAATTAAATAATTTTATTTATTTATTTATTTATTTATTTGGAGATAGAGTCTCACTCTATCACCCAGGCTGGAGTGCAGTGGTGCAATCTTGGCTCACTGCAACCTCCACCTCCCAGGTTCAAGCGATTCTCGTGCCTCAGCCTCCTGACTAGCTGGGACTACAAGTGCACGCCACCATGTCCGGCAATTTTTTTTTTTGTATTTTTAGTAGAGATGGGGTTTTTGGCCAGGCTGGTCTCGAATTCCTGGCCTCAAGTGATCTGCCCACCTCAGCCTCCCAAAGTACTTGAATCACAGGCTTGAGCCACCATGCCTGGCCTCAATTAAATATTAAAACCTAGAAAAAAGATAAGGATATAAGTATTTTAGTAGTATAAATATATCTAAAAGTTCAAATTGACACTGATAAGTTAGTGAAAAAAATTAAACTGTGGATGACAGTTGCAATATTGTATCAGCCACAGCATCCATTTACTTCTATATTTTAGTTTTATAATATAAAGAACATCCTAATTTATAGATAAAAGAGTTGTATCTAACTCAGACACAATTTTGTATTTTTTACAAGTTATTAGACTGGGTGGAGTGGCTCACACATGTAATCCAAGCACTTTGGGAGGCTGAGGTGGGTGGATCACCTGAGGTCGGGAGTTCGAGACCAGCCTGGCCAACATGGTGAAAACCTGTCTCTACTAAAAATACAAAAATTAGCCAAGTATTGTGGCACATGCCTGTAATCCCAGCTACTTGGACGGCTGACACAGGAGAATCGCTTAACCCCAGGAGGAGATTTGCACCACTGCACTCCACCAGGCAATAGAGCAAGAAAAGAAAAAAAAAAAAAAAAAAAAAAGGGACGGGAAGGGAAGGGAGGAAGAGAGGGAAAGGAAAGAAGGAATAAAGAAAGGAAAGAAAGGAAGAAAGAAAGAAAAGAAAGGGAAGGAAGGGAAGGAAGAGAAGAAAGAAAGGAAGAAGGAGGGAGGGAGGGAAGTTATTGAGGCCGGGCATGGTGGCTCAAGCCTGTAACCCCAGCACTTTGGGAGGCGGAGGCGGGTGGATCACGAGGTCAGGAGTTGGAGACCAGCCTGGCCAAGATGGTGAAACCCCGTCTCTACTAAAAATACAAAAATTAGCCAGGCGCAGTGGCGGATGCCTGTAATCCCAGCTACTCGGGAGGCTGAGGCAGGAGAATCACTTGAACCTGGGAGGTGGAGGTTGCAGTGAGCCAAGATTGTGCCACTGCACTCCAGCCTGGGCGACAGCCTCAGCCTCCCAAAGTGCTGGGATTACAGGCGTGGGCCACCACGCCCGGCCCAGGTACAAATATTTCATAAATAATATCTGGTTGTTTTCTAACCAACTGAGTAATTTGTTGCACAATAAGCCACCTCACATCAAAGATGTTATATTTTTAGAAATATTACAAGCACACATGCCTACAGTCCCAGCTACTCAGGAGGCTGAAGTGGAATGATCGCTTTAGCCCAGGAGTTCAAGGTTAGTCTGGGCAACATAATGAGACCACCCCCAACTCCCGTAAACAAAAAAAAGGAAAGTTACACATAAACATCTCAACATGGTGGATACTATCAACTCTTCAATTTGTCCTCCAGATTCACTAATTTTGTGTAGGCCTAAAAATAAAAGCTCTCTTCTTGTCTCTGTTTAATAGTCATGTCCATAAATTACAAGGACAACTGAAAAAACAAAATCCCACAACTTTTAATATCCACTGCTTAAATCATGCTTTCAATATCATGTAGCTGACACAAATATAGATTAAAAAAATTGGATGCTAAGGCAGATACTAATGAGGATCAAGTAATGAGATACTAACACACGTGGAGGCAGCTAAAAAAGTCCCACACAAACATGATGTATTGTCTTTAGACTATGATAGCCGAGATGTAAAGAGGGAAGTAAGAATCAATACACATGCAAATTTAGCAGGCCAAAGATATTTGTGCCACACAATATTAGAAAAGTACCGTAGGGCTGTGCTGCCCTTTCCTTTGTATGTTATAAGAGAGTACTGAGGAAGAAAGATGAGTTAAGTCATACTGTCAGTACTTTAAAAAATTGTAGGCCAGGCACGGTGGCTCGCGTCTGTAATCTCAGCACTTTAGAAGGCTGAGGTGGGCAGATCACTTGAGGTCAGGAGTCTGAGACCAGCCTAACATGGCGAAACCCCGTTTCTACTAAAGATACATAAAATTAGCCAGACATGGTGTCACGTGCCTGTAATCCCAGCTACTGGGGAGGTTGAGGAAGGAGAATCGCTTGAACCCAGGAGGCAGAGGTTGCAGTGAGCCAAGATCATGTCATTGCACTCCAGCTTGGGCAACAAGAGCAAAACTCCGTCTCAAAAAAAAAAAAAAAAAAAAAGTAAAATTTACTAAACTTTTATGTTTTTCAAATCTGTCAAGAAAATGAAAGCATCAAAAATGTACTTTAATCACCTCAATAATTTTGGGCAGAGCATGAAATCTCATGAATGCTGAGAATCATTTTATCACGCTGTAGGGAAGAAATGACTCCTGTACTAAGATTTGGGTGAAGGAAAACAATAAAATACACATAAGATAGAATTGGTTCTTTACGTTCACTGTGATTCCTGCCTGCTGGAAGGATGAAGAAACACCAAACTAAACCCACAAATGTACATATTTATGTCTATATGTGTGTGTATGTAATGTGTATGTATAGAGTGTGTAAATATATGTGCATATATATGTGCTTATACATACAAACACACACACTTGTTTTTTGTTTTGAGACAGAGTCTCGCTCTGCTGCCCAGGCTGGAGTGCAGTGGCGTGCTCTTGGCTCACCGCTACATCTGCCTCCCAGGTTCAAGTGAGTCTCCTGCCTCAGACTCCTGAGTAGCTGGGATTACAGGCACACACCACCACACTTAGATGGTTTTTGTATTTTTAGTAGAGATGGGGTTTCACCATATTGGCCAGGTTGGTCTCGAACTGCTGACCTCAGGTGATTCACCCGCCTTGGCCTCCCAAAGTGCTGGGATTATAGGCACGCGCGTGTGTGCACACATACACACGAAGCTCTCCAGGAATAGTTTTTCTTTGGCATTTTAAGATAATGATTTCATGTTTACAATAACTGTGGTTGATCTCTCAGGAGTAAACATTCCAGTCTTTTTTTTTTTTTTTTTGAGATGGAGTCTGGCTGTGTCGCCCAGGCTGGAGTACAATGGTGCGATCTCAGCTTACTGCAACCTCCACCTCCTGGGTTCAAGCGATTCTCCTGCCTCAGCCTCCCAAATACCTGGGATTACGGGCACACACCACTACGCCCGGGCTAATTTTTGTATTTTTAGTGGAGATGGGTTTCACCATGTTGCAGGCTGGTCTCGATCTCCTGACCTCAAACGATCCACCGTCTCGGCCTCCCAAAGTGTTGGGATTACAGGTGTGAGCCACTGTGCCTGGTCACATTTCAGTCTTAAAAATGAAATCATGGCCGGGTGCAGTGGCTCATGCCTGTAATCCTAGCACTTTGGGAGGCCAAGGCCGGCAGATCACTTGAGGTCAGGAGTTCTAGAGCAGCCTGGCCAACATGGCAAAACCCCATCTCTACCAAAATTAGCCAGGCATGGTGGCACGCCCTGTAATCTCAGCTACTCGGGAAGGTGGGGCAGGAGAATTCCTTGAACCTGGGAGATGGAGGTTGCAGAGAGCCGAGATCGCACCACTGCACTCCAGCCTGGGCGATACAGCGAGACTCCGTCTCTAAATAAATAAATAAATAAAATGAAATTAGGCAAATTCTGATAGTCAGCAACTATAGTAATCGGAATTGTAAGGAAGAGCCCAGGTAGCTCACGCCTGTAATCCCAGCACTTTGCGAGGCTGAGGCAGGCAGATTGCTTGAGCCCAGACATTTGAGACCAGCCTGGCAACATAGGGAGACCCTATCTCTACAAAAAAATTAAAAAATTAGCCAGGTGTGGTGGCACACACCTGTAGTCCAAGCTACTCAGAAGGCTGAGGTGGAAGGATTGCTTGAGCCCTGTAGTTGGAGGTTGCTGTGAGCTGTGATCATGCCACTAATAGTCCAGTCTGAGTGACAGAGTGAGACTTCACCTCAAAAAAAAAAAAAAAGGAACTTATCACTTTTTTCTTTGCCATGAGCAACTCTCACTCCAAGGCAAATACATTTGTAATTTTTAAGGCAAGAGAAAAAAGCTAAAGGTGTACTGTTGGCCAGGCACGTGGCTCACACCTGTATTCCCAGCACTTTGGGAGGCCAAGCCAGGTGGATTGCTTGAGCCCAGGAATTCGAGACCAACCTGGCCAACATGGCAAAACCCCATCTCTACAAAAAAAATACAAAAATTAGCTGAGTGTGGTGGCACATGTCTGTAGTCCCAACTACTAGGGAGGCTGAGGTGGAACAATCACTTGAGCCCGGGAGGTGAAGGTGAGCAAAAATCACACCACCGCATTCCAGCCTGGGTAACACAGCAAGACTCTGTCCCAAAAATTAGGCCATGGCAGTGGCTTACGCCTGTAATCCCAGCACTTTGGGAGGCCGAGGCAGGCAGATCACCTGAGGTCAGGAGTTTGAGACCAGCCTGGTCAACATGGCAAAAACCCATCTCTACTAAAAATACAAAAATTACCAGCCTGGCCAACATAGTGAAACCCCATCCCTACTAAAAATACAAAAAAATCAGCCAGGTGTGGTGACGGGCGCTTGTAATCCCAGCTACTTGGGAGGCTGAGGCAAGAAGAATCGCTTGAACCTGGGAGGCGGAGGTTGCAGTGAGCCGAGATCGTGCCTCTGCACTCCAGCCCAGGCAACAGTGCAAGACTCCGTCTCAAAAAAAAAAAAAAAAAATTAGCCGGGCATGGTGACACACACTTGCAATCCTAGATACTCAGGAGGCAGAGGTAGGAGAATTGTTTGAACCCGGGAAGCAGGGTTGCAGTGAGCCGAGATAGCGTCACTGCACTCTAGCCTGGGCGACACAGTGAGACTCTGTCTCAAAAAAAAAAAAAAAAAAAAAGTAGCTGGGTGTGGCGTGTAATCCCAGCAATGCAGAAGGCTGAGGCAGGAGAATCGCTTGAGCCTAGGAGGTGGAGGTTGGCTGCAGTGAGTGCAGATCTCACCACTACCCTTGAGCCTGGGTGACAGAGTAAGACTTTGCCTCAAAATAAATAAATAAATAAATAAATAACAAAATAAAGATGTACTGTTAACATTCTAGGTGCCTGAATAGTTTCAGCAAATTATCTGAGTAGAATTCAGGGGTTTTGGGGTAGACACAAAAAAGCTGATAGTTTGAACAAGACAAAACGCTAAATATAGATGCTACTTGAAAATAATTTGACGAGTATATATTGCTCATCATCTTATTTATTTTTTTGAGACAAGGTCTCACTCTGTTGCCCGAGCTGGAGTGCTGTGGCATGATTTCAGCTCACTGCACCTCAAGCTCCCAAGCTCAACTGATCTTCCCACCTCAGCCTCCCAAGAAGCTGGGACTACAGGCACACACCACCAAACCCAGCTAATTTTTGCACCTTTTGTAGAGACGGGGTTTTGTCATGTTGCCTAGGCTGGTCTCAAACTCCTGGACTCAAGCAGTCTGCCTGCTTCAGCCTCCCAAAGTGCTGGGATTACAGGCATGAGCCACCGTGCCCAGCTTGACTGCAATTTTAAATACTAAACTTGTGAATCATTTACATTTTAAAAGTAGACAGTTTTTTTAAGTATGTAAGAAAGGGGTGGAGCTACAGTTAGTTCATCTGGAATTCTGCATAAGCTAGCTACCTCCTATCTTATCTATGCCAAGGCCCCTAGGAATGAGTATTGTTAAGCACGTCAAAAGTCATCTGTGTGTTTACTTTGTCACTAGGGTTGTGGTAGAAAAACAATACTGGTCTTGATGACTGAAGCTCTTAAAATAGCTCTTAAAAATTTTAATGAAATGAATTACTAAAACAGAAGAGTTGTGAGAAGGGATGTTTACCAAGCAAGTCTGCAAGTTCAAAGTCACCAGTTCAGGGCAGTGTGCACCTATGTACTTGAGAGCTTCATCTTCTAGCTAGAAAGATTAAAAAGTAAGAAAAAAATGATTATTGACATTGTCTCAAAGGAAAGAGATTTAAGAATGTACACATTCATTCATACATTCTAATACAGCCAACCAAGTTTCGAAGGAACAATGAATCAGAAAATACGCTATGATCATATAACAGTATAATTCTTATTATGATTCTCAGTATTTTTAAAATCAGCTTTGACCACATTCAAATTCACATAATCATCAAATCAAGAACAAAGATGAAGTAAACACTGCCTAGTTTTTATGGGTTTTACTTCTGATAAATTAAATATACCTGACAGCATTTTACTGAGGGCCCATGAAACTAAAATAATTTTCAAACTTCTACACACCCCTTATAAAGTTTTTTATAAACAAACTTTGAGGAAATACAGCCAAGAAAGGAATCCAGTGTTCATCTCCCACTGGAAGATAGGTGCCATGCTTACAGTGCTGAGAACAGATGGTAAGTAACTGATTATAATGATACATTCCAATCAGTATTTTTCAGGATTCCTTAAATAACCAGAAGCTCAAGCTGTTGTTTTAAGGCAGTCATACATCTGAAATTCTCTTTCAAACAATGGAACCCCTCTCATCGTGATAAAAGAATCAGGGCACTTTTAATGGAATCCAAGTTATGGTTTTAGTAACCATTAATAAAATAAAGTAGAGCCTAGCCTTAGTTTGTCAGCCACAATTTAAATCCACTCATTTCTTTCCAGAGGCTAACTAATCAATTCTTTTTTTCACTATAAAACACTGAGATAGTAAAATTTTTAATGACAAAATATGTTGGATTTGTAATGTGACTGGCAGGAAATAAGCATCAATACTATAAAATGCAGGTTGCTGTACACTTGGCATATTTAAGAAACACTGGTGGTTAAAAAACAAGTGGAAATTGCTAAGACTGCCTTCTTTGCCTATCCAGTTCAAAGTATCAGGCAGTGACAACAAGCCAAGTTTTCTTTTCAGCACAAATTAAACTGCATGGAACTCTTCTTGACCATGGTGTATCTTTAATATAATCTTAATTTACACTTTGTCTCCCTCCTCCTCAAGTTTATTTTTGGTCAGATGTTAATTCTTCTCATTCTTTTATCCTAAGGAAAACACTTTAATTTTTGGTAAGCATTTGTCTTTTGTCAATAATACACACAACTAACCTTTCCCTCCAGACAAACATCTTGGGGCTGTCTATAAAGAGCTCATGATTCATTCACGATTCTTCCGAATTTCACGAGCCCTACATGGAGTATTACCTGCGTGCAGCCTTTTAAGAATAAGGCCTTGAGACCCCCACAGCCCCTCACTAGTGCTTGAATGCCATCCTTGGTTACTTGGTCACACCAGGAAATGTTCAACTGCTCCAACAGTGGACATCCCTCACTTAGGATAAAACAAAATAAGAGAAACATATCACTAAATCCAATTCCAAAAACACCAACGTCTCAATTTATTGGCTATTTAGTAAAGGAATGGAAACATTCCCATTTTTTCCCACAAGAAAAAACATATTTACCTAATGTATATTTAGATTTATCGATGTGGTATTCACATGGGACTATACCATTAGCAGGAACATCTAAAATCCAGCTTAACCAACAAACACAAAGCATTATAATGTTTTTCAGATTTATATTCCTTTTGTACTTATCACATATCTCAAAGCTCTCTAGACAAAAAATGGAAATTAAGTGATTTATTCTAGTTTACAGAGTAATTAATAAAGAGCTCTGATTCAAAACGAGATTCTCCATCGAGCAATGCTATTACTGGTTGAGTATCCCTTATCTTAAATGCTTGGTACCAGCAGTGTTTCAGATTTCAGATTTTGCAATATTTGCATTATACTTACATAGCTGAGTATCCCATATCTGAAAATCTGAAGTGCCCCAGTGAGCAGTTCCTTTGAGTGTCACATTGATACTCAAAAAGTTTGGGATTTTGAAGCATTTCAGATTTTCTTTTCTTTCTTTTTTTTTTTGAGACAGGGTCTCGTTCTGTCACCCAGGCTGGAGTGCAGTGGCGCCATCAGGGCTCACTACAGCTGTGACCTCCATGGCTCAACTGATCCTCCCGCCTCAGTCCCTCAAGTAGCACCCAGCTGCATTTTGGATTTTTGAAACGGGGATATTCAACTCACAGTACCAAAGTAGTAATGAAGCCTTTTAAACTTTTATTTTAAAAAATTACAAAGGCCCTGTGTATTTCCTTATCTGAGATGTTTCTAGAGTACCGCTTTTGTAGGCTGAATTTAGGATATCTTATGTCCGATCTCTGCCTTCAAAATACTAGTTTCATTGTTGATTCCATCTACTCTTAATAGTTTAGCTTCATATTTGTATTATGGATGAATTCCAAGTTTTCTATAATATTCTTCAGAAAAACACTCCATAAATTGTTTGAAATATTCCTGCCTGCAGAAAAGATCCAGAAGATAAAGCCATGATATCAAGTTCATTCTCCAATATTAATAGTTTAACTTCAGGCAAATGACTTTAGGAAGCCTGTCTGAACCTCTCTTAGTCCAAGATTAGCCCCATAGCTCTCTGTTTTCCCAAAACTGATGTACTCATTCCTACCATAGCATTTATTCCACAATAACAGTTGACTGTGAGCAACTTAAGGGCAGCAATATCTTACTCGGTTACATCTCATGGTTGCATCACAGTACCTGGCAGTCAACAGCTTTCTAGATTTTCTTAGCTGTAAAATGACCATCCACTCTACTTCACAAAGCTTTTAAATAAATAAGATCATTTATGTGAAAATATTTTATAAATGATAAAAGTTGTTATATTATCAAGTTTATTAGCCTACACAGCAAACCGTCTTAGGTACATGTGTTCAATATTCACAAAGAAGGTCTAAAAGGAGCCACATTTTAGATTATTTATACTCTACTTAACTAAATTTGTATTTTTTTCTTGAGATGAGGTCTCGTTCTGTTGCCCAGCCTGGAGTGCAGTGGCACGATTACAGCTCACTGCAGCCTCAACCTGCTGGGCTCAAGTGATCCTCCTGCTTCAGTCCCCTGAGCAGCTGGGACTACAGGGGTATGCCACCACGCCTGGCAAATTTTCTTATTTTTTTTAGTAGAGACAGGGTTTCCCTATGTTGCGCAGGCTGGTCTAGAACTCCTGAGCTCAAGCGATCCTCTTACCATGGCCTCCCAAAGTGCTGGGATTACAGGTGTGAGCCATCACGCCTGGCCTCAGGGACCCTTTTTAAAGCACTTTATATTCATTAGGTTGAGCCACATGTAGCTGTCATTCTTATAACATGAAAACTGTCAAATACTAGCAAAACTTTATATGGTGTTGCCTAATACCTTGTTAAACCTTAATAAAATGTTATGAGGTGATAAGAAAAAGCTCAGAAAGGTTGTGTTTGCTTAAAGTACCTGGTTAATAATCTGGCTCCAGATACCTGTTTTAAGCACTAAGCTATAACACGTGCCCTTTCTTTCTTTTTTTTTGTTTTTTTTGAGACAGAGTCTCACTCTGTCAGCACACTGGAGTGCAATGGTGTGCTCTTGGCTTACCGCAACCTCTGCCTCCCGAGTAGCTGGGACTACAGGCGCACGCCACCATGCCCAACTAATTTTTATATTTTTAGTAGAGACAGGGTTTCACCATGTTGGCCAGGATGGTCTTAACCTCTTGACCTCGTGATCTGCCTGCCTCGGCCGCCCAAAATGCTGGGATTACAGGCGTGAGTCTTCATGCCTGGCCTTATTTTCTTTTTGAAAATAAGACTTCATAAAAATCTAATTGTTTATGTATAAACTGTACTACCCTGTTCAGAAATCCTAGTTACCTCTAGTCATTTCACTTTAGTATGTCCCATAATTGTAATTTGGGCAAGTGGTAAAACAAATTATCTATTCTGAACTATAGAATATATCCATAAAACAGAGTTGCCTTCAATTCCCACTTTATATCAATTATTTTTTTAAAATATGTATTTTTTTTTGATTACTTGACATGCTTATTATAAGAAATTTACCTCAGAGCTTTTAGAGACATGTTTGTTATTGATGTACAGGAAGCCAAGTCAAGGTGCCTGAGTTTGGAACAGAACTTGCTAAGGCTAGTACATGTACTGAAAAATGGAAAAAGGAGAAAATAATGAATAAACAAGACAAGTACACATCCTTGGTATATCAGACACTGTTCTTATTAAACACATGTGTATATATAAGAACTGTAAAATTTTCATACCCCTAAAAAAGCAGTTATATATCCTACGACCCTTCACATTGAGGAAGAGACAGATACCATTCACAAAGAAAAAAGGCTGTGCTGCATATGAGAATTTGAATGAGGGGAAGATGGTGTTTGATTCACATTTTAAAATGTTAACAGCAATTGACAACATGATACTTAATGTGAGTTCGAAGAGATCTATATGCATTTTGCAAATCCAGAAACACCAGAAGCTAATGGCTATCTACCAGACGTAGTCAAACATGAAGAAGAAACGCTCTGCATGTTTTTTCACTTAAATCCCTACTCAAGATAACCTTTTGCATAACACTAATGTAGGAACTGGATTTTTGCAAGGTATACAAAGGATGGACTGGTCTGGTATTGGGCTGAAAAAAGTAAGTTATGTATTAAAGACTTTTTTCTGCTGGTCAAGTTCTCATTTTAATATTTAACAGATCATGGAAAACTTCAAATATAAACAAGAGTAAATAATACAGAGAACCCACATGTACCATCAGTAAACTTCAACATTTATCAATACTGTTTTTCTTTTTGAGACAATCTTGCTCTGTTGCCCAGGCTGGAGAGCAGTGTTGCAATCTAGGCCCACTGCAACCTCCATTTCCGGGTTCAAGCAATTCTCATGCCTCAGCCTCCTAAGTAGCTGGGACCACAGACACACACCACCACACCTAGCTAATTTTTCATATTGTTTGTAGAGATGGGGTTTTGCCATGTTAGCCAGGCTGGTCTCCAACTCCGGGCCTCAAGTGTTCCGCGTGCCTCAGCCTCCCAAACTGCTGGGATTACAAGTGTGAGCCACTGTGCCTGGCCCAACATTTATCAATATTCTACTATTAAATATTTTTATTTCTTGGGAGGCTGAGGTGGGTGGATCACCTGAGGTCAGGAGTTCTAGACCAGCCTGACCAACATTGTGAAACCCTGTCTCTACTAAAAATACAAAATTAGCTGAGCGTGGTGGCACATGCCTGTAATCCCAGCTACTTGGAAGGCTGAGGCAGAAGAATGGCTTGAGCCCAGGAGGCGGAGGTTGCAGCGAGCCAAGATTGCACCATTGCACTCCAGCCTGGGCAACAAGAGTGAAACTCTGTCTCAAAAAAAAAATTTTTTTTATGCCATCTCTTCTTCCCCCCTTTTTTATTCCAGGATTTTAAAGCCAATTCCACACATATCATTTTACCTGTAAATATTTCAGTATCTATTTCTTTTTTTTTTTTTTTTTTTTGAGACAGAGTCTTGTTCTTGTCGCTCAGGCTGGTGTGCAGTGGCACGATCTTGGCTCAATGCAACCTCCGCCTCCTGGGTTCAAGCAATTCTCTTGCCTCAGCCACCCAAGTAGCTGGGATTACAGGCGCCTGCCACCATGCCCAGCTAATTTTTCTATTTTTAGTAGAGACGGGTTTTCACCATGTTGGCCAGGCTGGTCTTGAACTCCTGACCTTGTGATCTGCCCGCCTCGGCCTCCCAAAGTGCTGAAATTACAGGCATGAGCCACCACGCCCGGCCTTGGTATCTATTTCTAATAGGTAAATACTTTAATTTATTAATATCATCTGATACTGAAATGTGCTAACTTTTCTCCAATTATATCATAAATGTTTTTGACAAGTTGATTTGTTCAAATTAGGATCCAAACAAGAGTCACACATTCTCTTTGGCTGATATGTCTCCTAGGTCTTTGTGTGGGCCAATGTTTTCATTTCCTTTTTCTTTTTTTGTTACAGACAGGGTCTCACTCTGTCACCCTGGCTGGAATGCAGTGGCACTATCATAACTCAATGTAACCTCCAACTCCTGGGCTCAAGCGATCTCCCACTTCAGCCTCCTGAGTAGCAAGGACTACAGATACATGCCATCACACCTAATTAAAAAAATTTTTTTGTAGAGACAGGGTCTAACTATGATGCCCAAGCTAGTCTCGAACTTTTGGCCTCAAGTGATCCTCTTGCCTTGGCCTTCCAGAGTGCTGGGATTACAAGCATGATCCACCACACCCGGCTTGTTTTCATTTCTTTTGGGTAGAGTCCTAGGAATGAAATTGCTAGATCCTATGGCAAGGTTATGTTTGACTTTGAAGAGAACTGCCAAACTGTTTCCCAAATTGGCCGTACCATTTTACATTCCCGCCAGAAATTCATGAGGGACCCAGTTTTTCCAAATCCTTGTCAACACTTGGCATTGTCTCTCTTTTTGAATACAGCTATCTTAGTGTGTATGGTGTGGAATTGCATTGTGGTTTTACTTTACAATTCTGTAATGAAAACTTTTTTTTTTTTTTTTTTTGAGATGGACTCTGTCACCCGGGCTGGAGTGCAGTGGCATGATCTCAGCTCACTGCAACCTCTGCCTCCCAGGTTCAAGTGATTCTTCTGCCTCAGCCTCCAGAGTAGCTGGGACTACAGGCGCACACCAACACACCCAGCTAATTTTTTTTGTAGTTTTAGTAGAGACGGGGTTTCACCAAGTTAGTCAGGCTGGTCTCAAACTCCTGACCTCAAACGATCCGCCCACCTTGGCCTCCCAAAGTGCTGGGATTGCACACATGGTGAGCCACCGCACCTGGTGTAAATACCTTTTCTTATGCTTATTTGCCATTCCTATGTCTTCGGTGAAATGTCTATCCAAGACTTCAGCCCATTTTTGTTCGTTTAATTGTCTTCTCATTATTAATTCTAAGAGCTTTCTATATACTCTTGAGAGAAGCACTGTTATTAGATATATGACCTGCAAATACTTTCTCCCAGTCTGTGTCCTGTCTTTTCATTTTCTTTCTTTTCTATCTTTTAAATTAGAGTTGGAGTCTTGCCAGAAACACCAGTCAGGCTAGATTTGCTCTTCTGGGCTTAAGTGATCCTCCTGCCTCAGCCTCCCAAGTAGTTGAGACTACAGGTATAGGTCATGGTCCCTGGCCTTTTCCGATTATTATTTTTTTAATTTTTTCCCCCTCAGACAATCAGGTGAAGTGACCTTTTTTGTTTTTTTAAGTTAATGGTATCTTTAGACGCATAATTTTTTTTTTCCTAAGACACAGTCTTGCTTTGTCACCCAGGCTGGAGTGCAGTGGCGCGATCTCGGATCACTGCAACCTCTGCCTCCCAGGTTCAAGCGATTCTCCTGCCTCAGCCTCCAGAGTAGCTGGGAGGCACGTGCCGCCACACTCGGCTAATTTTTTGTATTTTTAGTAGAGACAGGGTTTCACTGTGTTAGTCAGGATGTTTTCAAACTCTTGACCTTGTGATCTGCCCACCTCGGCCTCCCAAAGTGCTGGGATTACAGGCGTGAGCCACCGTGCCTGGCAGAAGCATAAAGGTTTTTAATTTTAATGAGGTACAATTTATCATTTTTTTCTTTATAGCTTGTCTATGTGTGGGCTCCTTTCTAGGCACTTTATTTTAATCCACTGACTGATATGTTTATGCTTATAGCACCAGCACATTGCCCTGATGAACGTTCCTGTAATAATAACCCTTCAAATCAGGTAGTATAAGTCCCCAAACTTCACTGTCCATCAAAATTGATTTCGTTATTCTAGAACCTCTGCATTTGCACATGAATTTAGAATCAGCCTTTCAATTTCAACAAAAAAACCTATTGGGATTTTTTATTGGAACTGCACTGAATCTGTAGAACAATTTAAGGAAAACAAGTATCTTAACAATATTGAGTTTTTAGGCCAGTCTCAGTGGCTCAGGCCTGTAATCCCAACACTGTGGGAGGCTGAGGCAGGCAGGCTGCTGGAGCCCAGAGTTTGAGACCACCTTGGGCAACATGGTGAAATTATCTCTCTACCCAAAATAGAAAAATTAGCCAGGCATGGTGACACACACCTGTAGTCCCAGCTACTTGGGAGGCTGAGGTGGGAGCCCAGGAGATGGAGGGTGCAGTGAGCTGTGGTTGTGCCACCACTGCATTCCAGCCTGGACGACAGAGAAAGACCCTATCTCAAGAAACAAACAAAAAAAAAACCCAAACTATAACAATACTGAGTTTCTAAATCTATATGTATGAGGCCAGGAGTGGTGACTCACGCCTGTAATCCCAGCACTTTGGGAGGCCGAGGCAGGCAGATCAGTTGAGGCCAGTAGTTCAAGACCAGCCTGGCCAAAATGGTGAAACCCTGCCTCTACTAAAAATACAAACAAAAATTAGCCAGGTTTGGTGGCAAGTGCCTGTAATCCCAGCTACTCAGGAAGCTGAGGCACGAGAATTACTTGAACCTGGGAGGCAGAGGTTGCAGTTAGCTGAGACTGTGCCACTGCACTCCAGCCTGGGCAATAGTGCGAGACTCAGTCTCAAAAAAAAAAAAAAAAAAAAAAAAAAAAAATTCTATGTTTATTTCTCTATCATTTACTTAAGTCTTTTTAAAATTTTCTTTTCTCTAATTTTTGTTAGTGATCATTTTATAATTTTCAGTGTATATGATGACTTACACATTATTTTTAAGTTTATCCTTATATTTTTTATATTTTTGGGTATTACTATAAATGATGTATCTTAAACTTCATTTTCCAATTGCTGATTGCTAGTATACAGAAATAGAATTGAGTTTTTGCAAAGTAGTCATGTATCTCATTACTTTGCTAGAACTCAGTGGATCTAGTAGCTTTGACAGATTCCATGGACTTTCCTATGAATCCAATTATACCATTATGTGAATGCCTTTTATAATCCTTCCTCTATTGCATTAGGCACAACATCCAGTACATGTTGAACAGCTGTGGTAAGACCTGATATCCTTGCCTTGTTCCTGATGTTAGGGAATCTTTGATCTCAGGAAGTCTTTCACCATCAAATATGATGTTGTAAGAGATTTTTCACATATATACTTGATCAGGTTGAAGAAGTTACGTTATCTTATTTGTCCACAAACTTTTTTTTGAGACAGGGCTTCAGTCTTTCACCCAGGCTGAAGTGCAGTGGCATGATCACAGTTCACTATACCCTCGACCTCCTGGACCCAAGCGATCCTCCCACCTCAGCCTCCGAGTAGATAGGAACACAGGTGTGCGCCACCATGCCCAACTAACCTTTTATTTTTTGTAGAGATGGGGTCCCACTACGTTGCCCAAGCTGGTCTCAAACTCCTGGGTGCAAGCAACCCTCCTGCTTTAGCTTCCCAAAGTGTTGGGATTACAGGCATGAGCCAATGCACTCAGCCTGTGCGTGTTCTTTCTTGACTAATCTAGACAGAGGTTAATCAAGCTTATTCATTTTATTTTGAACAATCAACTTTTACTTTATAAGTCTTCTCCATTCTGTATTTTTTTTTTTTTTTAAGACAGAGTGTCGCTCTGTCGCCCAGGCTGGAGTGCAGTGGCGCGATCTCGGCTCACTGCAAGCTCCGCCTCCCGGGTTCATGCCATTCTCCTGCCTCAGCCTCCAGAGCAGCTGGGACTACAGGAGCCTGCCACCACGCCCGGCTAACTTTTTGTATTTTTAGTAGAGACGGGGTTTCACCATGTTAGCCAGGATGGTCTCCATCTCCTGACCTCGTGATCACCCGCCTCAGCCTCCCAAAGTGCTGGGATTACAGGCACTAGCCACCGCGCCCGGCCACCTATTTTTTATTTCATGGATTTCCAGTATTATTTCCTTCCTTCCTTTGGATTTAATTTACTTTTTTCTATTTTTTTCTTCCTTTTTGGTAGGTAGGGAGGGAGGGAGGAGAGAGGAGAGACTCTTTTCTAGCTCTCTAAGCAGATTAGATTCTTGATTTTAAAACTTTTCTTTTTTTTTTTTTTTTTTTTGAGATGGAGTCTCATTCTGTCACCCAGGGTGGAGTACAGTGGCACAATCTCAGCTCACTGCAACCTCTGCCTCCTGGGTTCAAGCGATTCTCCTGCCTCAGTCTCCCAAGTATCTGGGACCACAGACATGCATCACCACGCCAGGCTAATTTTTCGAATTTTTAGTAGAGACGGGGTTTTGTCATGTTGGCCAGGCTGTTCTTGAACTCCTGATCTCAAGTGATCCACCTGCGTCGGCCTCCCAAAGTACTGGGATTACAGGTGTGAGGCACTGTGCCCGGCCAAACTTTTCTTCTCTAATATTAGCATTTGATGCTATACATTTTGCTCTAAGCAATACCTTAGGCGCATTCCACAAATTTACAAAGTTATATTCTCATTATCACTCAATGAAGCATATTTTCTAAATTTCTTCGTAAGCAATTCTTTGAACTATGGGTTATTCCAAAGTATGTTATTTAATTTTCTAATCTTCCAGGTATCTGTTATTAATTTCTACTTTAATTTTGTTGAGGTCACAGAACATACCCAATATGATTTTAATCCTTCCAAATGTATTAAAATTTGTTTTATGGCTCATTATTTGGTTTGTCCTATTGAATATTCCAAATGTACTTGAAGAGAATGTTTATTCTGATGCTTTTTGGTGTAGCAATCTATAAATGTCAATTATATCAAGTTCATTGATAGTGTTGCTGAAGTCCTTAATAGCTTTACTGCTTTTTGGCATACTTGTTTTATAAGCCAGGGGTACTATTTAATACCTTTTTTTCATCTAATTTTTTTCCTTAAATTTACGCCATCTGATATTACTGTCCACTCCAACTTTCCCAACTAGTATTTATAATAGTATGTATTTTCCCATTCTTTTAGTTTCATTTTTTTAAATTTTTGCACATATTTGTAATTGTTATTTAAAATTTCTTATGTACTTATTTACTTACTTTTTGAAATGTGGTCTTGATAGGTTGCCCAGGCTTGAGTGCAGTGGCTATTAACAGGCATGATCACAGTGCACTGCAGTCTCTAACTCCTGGTCTCAAGTGATCCTCCTGCCTCAGCCTACCAAGTAGCTGGGATTACAGGAGCATACCACCACACCTGGCTTGTAACTGCTATTTTTAAACTCCTTATTGTTCAGTTCTATTTCAGTCACTTCTGGGTCTATTTCTTTTCTTTTCTTTTTTTTGAGAGTTTTTCGCTTGTTGCCCAGGCTGGAGTACAATGACACGATCTCGGCTCACTGCAACCTCTGCCTCTTCCGGGTCTATATTTCTATTGACTGGCTTTTCTTTTGGTTTTGGGTCACATTTTCCCACTGCTTTGCATATGTCTTATAATTTTTTTTTTTTTTTTTGAGACTGAGTCTTGCTCTGTAGCCCAGGCTGGAGTGCAATGGCGTGATCTCAGCTCACTGTGCAACCTCCGCCTCCCAGGTTCAAGCAATTCTCCTGCCTCAGCCTCCTAAGTAGCTGCGATTACAGGCACCCGCCATCATGCCCGGCTAATTTTTGTATTTTTAGTAGAGACGGGGTTTCACCATGCTGGCCAGGCTGGTCTCAAACTCCTGACCTCAGGTGATCCGCCCACCTTGGCCTCCCAAAGTGCTGGGATTACAGGCATGAGCCACTGTGCCTGGCCAACATGTCTTACAATTTTTGATTGAGTGACAGATATTCTGTATGCCACATTGCTGGGTTTCTGGACTTTGATGTCTTCCTTTAAAGAGTGCTGAGCTGTGTTTTGGCAGGCAGTTAAGTTTGTTTTGGATCACTTTTTTTTTTTTTTGAGACGGAGTCTCGCTCTGTCGCCCAGGCTGGAGTGCAGTGGCATGATCTCGGCTCACTGCAACCTCCGCATCCTGGGTTTGAGCAATTCTTCTGCCTCAGCCTTCCAAGTAGCTGAGATTACAGACACATGCTACCACGGCCTGGCTAATTTTTGTATTTTTAGTAGAGATGGGGTTTCACCATGTTGGCCAGGCTGGTCTTGAACTCCTGACTTCAGGTGATCTGCCCACCTCAGCCTCCCAAAGTGCTGAAATTGCAGGCGTGAGCCACCATGCCCGGCCTGATTCTTAAAATAAAATAAATAAAAAAATAAAATATTTAATAGAGCAGGTCTATTTTAGCCCTACCACCAAGGTGTAATCTTTCTGGAGTCTTTATTGAATGTCCCAGGTGTTCAATGAATTTTCTCCATTTTGGGTGGGTGGAACTTCATCCAGCCTTATTAAGCCCTGGAAATTCTTTGGCTTATAGTTTCCCAGTAATTGTTTTTTTCCTCACTAGATCTTCTTTGCCAAACTGTGTGGGGTCTCATCCTGTGCATGCAGAGTTTACTATTCAGCCAAATCTACATAAATTTCTGTAGCCTTTATTTTTTTTTTTTAGTAGCTTCCTCTTTATCAGCCACAAATTTCAGCTACTTTAGCCTCCTTGAATTCTGATCTCTTTCTTTTCAAATCAGCAAAAACTCTGTCCTCTGCTTGGGCTCCCCCTCCCTCTATGGCATTGTCTGAAAAATGCCTCAGTCACAAAGTGAGGATAATCACATGGCTCATTCATTTGCTTCTCAGTCTTGTGCCACAAGTACAACATCCTAAACTGGTCTTCTAGGTTTTGTTTAGTTTTCTAGTTGTTTACAGCAGGAGGGCAGTTATTGTCACTGTGAGAAGGAGAAGTCTACTTGGATTTTTTTTTTTTAAGACATAGGGTCTCACTATGTTGGCCAGGCTAGACTCAAACTCCTGGTCTCAAGTAGTCCTCCTGCCTCAGTCTCCCAATGTGCTGGGATTACAGGTGTGAACCACCACACCTGGCTGCTTCTTTATTATTTTTTTGAGACAGGGTCTTGCTTTGTTGCCCAGGCTGGAGTGCAGTGAAACATAGCTCACTACAACCTCTGGCTCCCAAGCTCCCAAGCCCAAGCAATCCTCCCACCTCAGCCTCCCAAGTAGCTTGGACTACAGGCATATGCCACCATGCCTGGCTAATTTTTTGTATTTTTTTGTAGAGGTGGGGTTTCTCATGTTGCCGAGGTTGGGCTAAAGTAATCCACCCACCTCAGCCTCTCAAAGTGCTGGGATTACAGGAGTGAGCCACAGTCCCCTGCTGCTTCTTTGATTTAAAAAATTTGTATATTTCAAGGCTAATACTGTGTTTAAAATAGTGTATTTTTAAATTCACTAAAATGTGGAAATTTGAATATTGACAACTGGTTATTTGATGATTTTAAGATATTGTTTTTAGAGGAGTGATAAAAGTTAATGCACTTATGGCCAGACACGGTGGCTCACGCCTGTAATCCCAGCACTTTGGGAGGCCGAGGTGGGCAGATCACCTGAGGTCAGGAGATCCTGACCAGCCTGGCCAACATGGTGAAACCCTGTCTCTACTAAAAATACAAAAATTAGTTGGACATGGTGGCATGGGCCTGTAATCCCAGGTACTCAGGAAGCTGGGCTGAGATTGTGCCACTGCACTCCAACCTGGGCAACAGGGCAAGACATCGTCTCAAAACAAAAAAAGTTAATGCACTCATATGAGAGACTTTATTGTTAAAGAGTACATACTGAAATACGGATTAAATAATATGATGTCTAGGACTTTTTTTCAAAATAAGATAAAACAAGAGGGGATAAGTGGGTGGGGTTATCGATGAAACAAGACTGGCTGTAAACTGGTAACAGTTAAAGCTGGGTGATGGGCTCATTACACGTTTTTGTCTACTTCTGTATATGTTTCAAATTTTCATATTTAAAAAAAGTCAGCAGAAGTAATTTCTCTCTGTGTGACTATAACTCCAACTTGGGTTCAAGGGGTTTTTTCTTTGAACCAGAGTCTTGCTCTTTCATCTAGGCTGGAATACAGTAGTGTGATCTCAGCTCACTGCAACCTCCACCTCCTGGGTTCAAGCGATTCTCATGCCTCAGCCTCCCAAGTAGCTGGGATGTGCCACCATGCCTGGCTAATTTTTGCTTTTAGTAGAGATGGGGTTTCACCATGTTGGCCAGGCTGGCTTGAACCCCTGACCTCAAGTTATCCACCCACCTCAGCCTCCCAAGGTGCTAGGATTATAGACCTGAGTCACCGCACTGGGCTGGTTCATGTGTTTTTAATTTGTAGGGATTGCTTTCATTTCTTTTTGACTTAATTTTTGTTTGAATTATGTAAAATATTTACATGGCTATTAAACGATAAAACATAATTCAGAGTTCTCCCTTTTATCTCTTTCCCTTGTGTTTTCTCACTTCCCCATATAAGTAACTATTTTTACTTATTTTATTTTTGATTGGCATTTCCATTCTTTTTGAAAATATGCAAATATGGAGATATATATATATATATATATATTAAGTCTTCTGGCCCTATAAAAGGTGTATTATACAAACTCCTCCGCAGTTTGCTTTTCTTCATTTAACAACATGTCCTGAAGATCATCCAGAGTATTATATATA
Source organism: Homo sapiens (assembly GCF_000001405.40). NCBI lineage: Eukaryota > Metazoa > Chordata > Mammalia > Primates > Hominidae > Homo > Homo sapiens. The sequence goes on from NC_000017.11 coordinate 39,295,911, forward strand.
GATTTTCCTCATTACTTTTATTCAACCTGTTCTCTACTAATAGACATTGGGGAGTTTCCTATCTTTTGCTATTACAAGTAATGTAGTAGCCTTGCATATACATATTATGTTTTCACCAATGCATCTTGAGGATAAGATAGATTCTGACAAAAAAGTGTTAATTACATGTCACTTTTCTAGATACCAAGTGGTCAAATTCTTATTCTTTATAACACTAAGTACTCAAAGGAAACAAAAATTAAAAGATAATTTATCTAAAGTAAATGTAGTTCTACTGGTATAAAGTAATGGTGGGGGAAGAGGTTAGTATATTTCATCTCTCACAGTAAACGTTTCCAAATCAATCTATAGGAATACTTATTAGCAGAGGCCAGGCGCGGTGGCTCATGCCTGTAATCCCAGCACTTTGGGAGGCCGAAGTGGGCGGATCACGAGGTCAGGAGATCGAGACCATCCTGGCTAACAAGGTGAAACCCCGTCTCTACTAAAAATACAAAAAATAAGCCGGGCGTGGTGGCACGTGCCTGTAGTCCCAGCTACTCGGGAGGCTGAGGCAGGAGAATTGCTTCAAGCCAGGAGGCAGAGGTTACAGTGAACCAAGGTTGCGCCACTGCAGTCCAGCCTGGGCAACAGAGCGAGACTCTGTCTCAAAAAAAAAAAAAAAAAAAAAAAAGAAATACTTATTAGTAGAGTTAATGAATAACTACCCTCTAGGTCTAATTTCTGTGACTGTAAGCCTCTTGAGGATGAAGAATTAAGCTTAATTTCCTTCAGATCATGACCAACACAGACACAGCACATTTAGTGAATCATTTTCATTTAATAACTGTTCTCAGGACTGATTATCATAAGCTGTTTAGTCCTCTGTTTAAGATTTTAATCTTTTCACTGAATTATGTTTACTGTGGCTTTTAACTGGTAGCTACTAGTATCTAGAAATATAAATAATCCCAGTAATATGTATTATTAGTATCCCTACTGTATGTACACTGACTACAATTATTAAAAGTTTCACCTTAAATTGTATCAAAGATAGAATTCCAAAACAAGTTTCTTATTCTATTTCTACTTTGATGTTGCTTTCTCTTCTAAAAATATCTTTCCTCTACAAAACCAAGATAAAATTTGCTCAATAGAGTTAATGGCCTGAATTTAAGGTTGTATCAGCCAGACATAAGGGGTTATGACTTATCCTCCAAAAACATAAAATACTTACGCGTCTGTTGTCTTTGTACACCCATTTAGATTCAGTACTTCAATGTTCCTGCAGTTTTGTGCAAAGGTTCTTTGTAGGAAAGAAAGTAAGAGGTTTCAAATGAAATAGGCCAAATTCCAGTCATTAAAAAAGTAATAAAATATATTATTATTGGTAATATTGATTGTTGATATCTGTGATACTGTGATATAAAGGAAAAACATGTATTTGGTCTTCATCTTCGGTTCTTGGCATACCATCCCTAAAATCTTTGTAATTTCCTGAGTGATAGTATCTTTTGTTACAGGTTGGTGAGAAGTAATCGCGGTTTTTGCCATTACTGCTCATGGCAAAAACTGTGATTACTTTTGCACCAACCTAATATAATATTTGGTCTTCAATTATGTCTACGATCAAGGAAACTCTGTAAAAACCCCTAAATGATAGGGATCAGAGAGCTTCTGGGTTGGTGAATGTAACCACGTGCCAGGAAGGTAGTACACCCCAACTCCACAGGACAGAAGCTCCTGTGCCTGGGACCCTTCTAGACTCTGCCTTATACACCTCTTCATATTCCTTCTACCTCAGCCTCCCTAAATGCTGTGATTACAGGTGTGAGCCATTAAGCCTGGCCATGATTTTTCTTTTGAGATGGAATCTCTCTCTGTCACCCAGGCTGGAGTATAGTGGTGTGATCTCAGCTCACTGCAGCCTCCACCTCCCAGGTTCAAGTGATTCTCCTGCCTCAGCCTCCTGAGTAGCTGGAATTACAGGCACGCACCACCATGCCCAACTAAGTTTTTGTATTTTTAGTAGAGACAGGGTTTCACCATGTTGGTCAGGCTGGTCTTGAACGCCTGACCTCAAGTGATCCACCCACATCAGCCTTTCAAAGTGCTGAGATTACAGGCTTGGGCTATCACACCTGGCTTAAATGAATTTTCCATTATAAATTCTTCAAACATAACTTTAAAAATTATTTTAAATTAAAAAAATAAATGATTGCTTATTTATTTATTTATTTTTAGAGACAGGGTCTTCCTCTGTCACTCAGGCTGGAGTACAGTGGTACAATCACAGCTCACTGTAGCCTCAACCTCCCAGGCTCAAGTGATCCTCCTACTTCACTCAGTATCCCAAGTAGCTGGGTTTACAGGCATATGTCACCTAACCTGGCTAATTAAAAAAAGTTTTTTGTAGAGATGGGAGCCTTGCCATGCTGCCTAGATTGGTCTTGTACTCCTGGCCTCAAGTAATCCTCCCACCTAGCCTCCCAAAGTCCTGGGGTCACTGCCCAGGTTAGGGTTAACCATAACCCTAAAAAAGAACTAAGCTGGGTGCAGTGGCTCATGCCCGTAATTCCAGCACTTTGGGAGGCTGAGGCAAGAGGACTGCTTGAGTGCAAGAGTTCGAGACCAGCCTGGACAACAAAATGAGACCCTGACTCTATAAAAAAATTTTAAAACTTAGCCAGGCGTGGTGGTACACGTCTTCAGTCACAGCTACTCAGGAGAGGGAGGATTGCTTGAGTCCAGGAGTTCAAGACTATAGTGAGCCATGATTATGCCAGGGCACTCCAGCCTGGGTGATAGTGTGAGACCTTGTCTCAAAACATAAAATAAAAATATTAATTAATTTAAAAAAAACTTATTCAAAGCTCCAAAAGAACCACTTATGATGGGGAATCTGGGTTTTTTTCAGGCAGTACTTGTTCTTGTTTACTGTTAAAACTACATTTCTTATTACTGGATATTTTCAGATTATAAGCAATGTGTGGTTGCATTTTTAATAACTTAGGAATTTTAACGATTTTAGCCTTTTCTGGGTGAGATGGTGCTGCTCTTCACTTCCATCAAGAAGATTAATCAATAGTTATGTTTTTACCTTAATGCATTGTCTCCCACTCCAAGACATCCACGAAGACTTAACTTTCGTAAAAAGCCCCCACATCGTTTTGAAATATTCTCCACTACTCGGCCCTGTAAAATGAGACAGGCAAACAAAAAGATAACCCACCTCATTACTTTAGAAAAGAACACATACTCATTTTTAACGATTTATAAACAAAGAGAAAATGCTTCTATTATGACCTAATTTAATAGGAAAATTGTAACTTACCCTGAGAAAGCTTTCCTGATTAACCCCTATCATTTGCATCATGCCTAAACCCCATATTCTTATTTTGTTTAACTTGTAAAATATATTCTGTACTTGAGAAAATAATGTTCTATAGTTCTCTTTGGCATTATATGCATATATACTGCCTAGCTGGGTTAAGCTGCAGCTACTGAAAGACAGCAACTACATTATTTTTTTGTATCTTTTCCAAAATGTTTATTATAGTACTCTGCTTATAGTAGAGACTCAATGAACATTTAACAAAAGCTGGTCAGGGGCCAGGCACGGTGGCCCACGCCTGTAATCCCAGCACTTTGGGAGGCCGAGGCGGGTGGATCACGAGGTCAGGAGATCAACACCATCCTGGCTAACACGGTGAAACCCCATCTCTACTAAAAATACAAAAAACTAGCCGGGCGTGATGGTGGGTGCCTGTAGTCCCAGCTACTCGGGAGGCTGAGGCAGGAGAATGGCGTGAACCCAGGAGACGGAGCTTGTAGTGAGCCCAGGTCTTGCTCCACTGCACTCCAGCCTGGGCGACAAAGCGAGACTCTGTCTCAAAACAACAACAACAACAACAAAAACAAAAGCTGGCCAGGTGCAGTGGATTCCGCCTATAATCCCAGCACTTTGGGAGGCTGAGGCAGGCAATCATTTGAGGTCAGGAGTTCGATACAAGCCTGGCCAACATGGTGAAACCCAATCTCTACTAAAAATACAAAAATTAGCCGGGCATGGTGGCTCACACCCGTAGTCCCAGCTACTTGGGAGGCTGAGGCACAAGAATTGCTTGAACCCAGGAGGCAGAGGTTGCAGTGAGCTGAGACCGCACCACTGCACTCCAGCCTGGGTGACAAAATGAGACTCTGTCTCGAAAACAAACAAAAACAAAAGCTTGCTGAATAATTCTGTGGGCGGTGTTGCTTTAAATATTTACATCCATGAAGGGTATAGAATTGTGAAAAACAAAATCCCATATAATGCCAGTGGATATTATTTTAAAAGCACTTTGGTTGGTTTTGAACTCCTGACCTCAGGTGATCCGCCCACCTTGGCCTCCCAAAGTGCTGAGATTACAGGTGTAAGCCATCCCACGTGCCCTCAAAAAACCTCATTTAATCCTTAAGAAGCCATGAAGAAGCTATTTATTTCTACCTTCCTGATGAGAAGGATAAGAAAAACAGGAGTTCAAATTCAGTTTAAAATAATTTAAGTGTAAGCCATTCTCCATTTTATAGATAATAGGCTATACTAGGAGATAAAACATGGGGCAAAAAGTGAGAGGAGGAAAAAACTTCTCTCTCTAGCAAAAACGATTCAATAAATGGCTTTGGCCTCATTCAACCTTCGTTCTCCACAAGAAATTGGCTCCTCAAGAACCAAAACACATATCTCAAAAAAATATATACGAACGCCATCCCAACAAGTTATAACTCTATTTATTCCTCAGTAAACAAATATAAAATGTCTTCACTAAAATAAACATAGATTCAATGTTTCCACTGCAAAAACAAACTTTTAGTCCTATTTCAAGACCAAAGAGTCCTATTTAGTCCTAGTAATACTAAGTAATTGTATTATTTCAGTGAAATAATCTGGCTCATTCTCAAAAACTGCAGAAACCCTTGGTAACTTTGGGGGTTCCTGTAAAGTTCAGATGCACTGAAAATAATAGTTCCTCTCTTTAACGAAAATGAGATTAATATGGCTAGGGCTAATCTGTTCCATGCTGTAATTACTAACATGAAAACTGGGGCCACACACCACATAATTATACCTCAATATCCCTCTGGAAATCAAATAGGTCAATTCGCTGCCAGTTACTGCCATCCAGAGCCAGAACATTCCAGGCCTATTTTAAAGAAAAAGAGACAGAATGAGCAGAAGCTAAAATTAAGGGGAAAAGGCAGCAATATTCAAGTTCACAATTCAACCAACTAATGACTAAAATGGATCCAAAAATTTATCAGGCCCTATCCACTTACTCCCAAATGATGTGTCTTACTCCTGACCCATATTGTATTCTCCAATTAGATAATCTCATAAACGAGTGGGTACTAGAAACTAGCAGCTACAAAAGATCTTAGGCCAGGCATGGTGACTCAAATTTATAATCCCATCACTTGGGAGGTCAAGGTGGAAGGATCACTTGAGCCCAGGAGTTCCAGACCAGCCTGGGCAATATAGCCAGACCCGATCCCTATAAAAAAATTTAAAAACTTGGTCGGGCATGGTGGCTCACGTCTGTAATCCCAGCACTTTAGGAGGCCGAGGCAGGCGGATCACCTGAGGTCAAGAGTTCGAGACCAGCCTGGCCAACATGGTGAAACCCCGTCTCTACTAAAAATACAAAAATTAGCCGGGTGTGGTGGCACGTGCCTGTAATCTCAGCTACTCAGGAAGCTAAGGCAGGACAATCACTTGAACCTGGGAGGCGGAGGTTGCAGTGAGCCAAGATTGTGCCACTGCACTCCAGCCTGGGCGACAGAGCGAAACTTCATCTGGGGGGGAAAAATTAAAAAAATTAGTCGGGCATGGTGGCACACAACTGTAGTCCCAGCTATTCGGGAGGCTGAGGTGGGAGGTGAGCCAGGAGGTAAGGGCTGCAGTGAGCCATGATCTCACCATTGTACTCCAGCCTGGGTGACACAGCAAGACCTTAGCAAAAAAACAAAAAACAAGACTAACCCTCCCTCCCCCCGCCCACGCACACTTAAATTAGAGAAGTTAAGGAAAGGGCAAGTTGTGATAAGTATCATAGCCAGAAGGTATTTTCTAACTGGAAAATTCTAGTTTCTAATCCCAAAATGAGACAAAAGTTCAGTTTATGAAAAGCAAGTCTTTCTTCTATGCTTAAAAATATGATCCTTAAAAAAAATCCTTCTATCTGGAAAAATATGAAGGTAAAACCAAACATCAAAGGGGACAGTACTCTGAATATTGCTCTATTCTCACTCTCTTTTTCTATATATAGAGTATATATATAGAGAAATATATGTATTTCTTGAGACACGGTGTCACTGTCACCTGGGATGGAGTGCAGTGGCTCAATCATGGGTCACTTGCAGCCTTGACCTCCCCGACTCAAGCAATCCTCTCACCTCAGCCTCCCAAGTAGCTGGAACCACAGGCATGCACCACCGCATTTGGCTTTTTTTTTTTTTTTTTGAGACGGAGTCTCGTTCTGTCGCCCAGGCTGGAGTGCAGTGGTGCAATCTTGGCTCACTGCAAGCTCCACCTCCCGGGTTCACGCCATTCTCCTGCCTCAGCCTCCCGAGTAGCTGGGACTACAGGCATCCGCCTCCATGCCTGGCTAATTTTTTGTATTTTTAGTAGAGATGGGGTTTCACTGTGTTAGCCAGGAGGGTCTCTATCTCCCAACCTCATGATCTGCCCGCCTGGGCCTCCCAAAGTGCTGGGATTACAGGCGTGAGCCACTGCACGCAGCCCTAATTTTTTAAATTTTCTGTAGAGATAGGGCTCCCTATGTTGCCCAGGTTAGTCTTGAACTCCTGGCCTCAAGCAATCCTCCCATCTTGGCCTCCCAAAATGAAGGGATTATAGGTGTGAACCACCAGGCCCAGCCTTAGTTCAGTACTTCTTTGCTATCTATATCCTATCAGGTGGTAGGACTTACAACTGTGATATAGTGATTTGGGACTTAGAAAAGATACTATCATTGCTCTGAAACTATTTTTTTTTTTTTGAGACAGAGTCTCGCTCTGTCGCCCAGGGTAGAGTGCAGTGGTGTGATCTCGGCTCACTGCAAGCTCCGATTCTGCATTAACTGTGAATCTTACTAACTAGAATTACTGGTGAAGCAAACTTATCCATCGAGACTATCTGGTATGTGTTACGCATGTATTCTGTTGGTGCTGGAAGATGTCTGTGTGCCTGCATCAACATGTGACTTCATGTAAAGTTTCTTCATGTTCACAGTTCTTAGCAAATGCAGTTTCAATCCATAGATAGCCAGCAGTGGATGTTACTACAGGAAAATGCAAGATTAAAATTGTCCTTGTGTAAAAAAAAAAAATGAACTAGGAAAACATAATAAAACAAGATTTCATCACAATTTTGAGTCAAGTCTAAACTTTTAATATGCATGTTTATTGCTTTTTCATCGAAAATGTTTCCTGTTTATATTACACAAATAAGAGATACAAAAAGTCAGAGACAGTATATATAGTAGAATCCCATCATAAATTTACATGGGTTTGGGTATGTCATTGGTGAAATAATCTCCTTTAAAACATGAAAACATACAAGTAACACCTAAAATAAATGGATGGCCTATGAAAGAGGCTGTTATCATCAGTATGAAGAAGGGGTCCCCCTGTAACTATGCCAACAATACTTACCCTGGAGACCTGAGCACAGCGGCACAGGGTAACAACATCTAGAAAAGAAAATATCCTAAAAAGAAAAGAGAGAAAGACAAATTTTATTGTATGATAAAGTAGTTGACCTTTATTTATTTTGAGACAGGGTCTCACTCTGTCAGCCAAGCTGGAGAGCAGTGGCATAATCACTGCTCGCCCCAGCCTTGACTTCCTGGGGTCAGGTGATCCTCCCACGTCAAGCTCCTGAGTAGCTAGGACTAGAGATGCGTGCCACCATACCTGGCTACTTTTTAATTTTTTGTAGAAACGGGGTTTCACCATGTTGCCCAGGCTGGTCTCGAACTCTTGGGCTCAAGCAATTGGCCTCCCAAATTGCTAGGATTACAGGTGTGAACTATTGCACCTGGTCAGTATGATAAAGTAGTTGCTCTTGATTTTAGCATAGAAATAACAGACTACATGTATATACACACACAAACACAAAGGCAGTTCTTTAGAAGAAACACACAAAATGCTTGAGCAATCTGTGAAGATAATACTGCCCATATAAAACACAGTGGGAAAAAATGTTTTACTTGATAATGTACATACAGATGCTGACCAAGTTCAATTACCTACACCAAAGGATAATAAATAATCTCTAGCTGGTTTTTTTAAAGTAAAAAAAAAAAAATTCCCACCTAAAATTATCAAAAGAAAGAAGCCAGGGGAAGGATCTTTTTTTGTTTTGTCTTGTCTGAAGACAGGGTTTCACTCTGTCACGCAGGCTTGAGTGCAGTGGCACAATCACAGCTCAATGCAACCTTGACCTCCTGGACCCAAGCAATCCTCCCACCTCAGCCTCCTGAGTAGCTGGGATAACAGGCACATGCCACAAAGCCTGGCTAATTTTTTAATTTTTTTGTAGAGATGAGGGTCTCCCTATGTTGCACAGGCTGGTTTTGAACTGCTGAGCTCAAGCAATCCTCCTGCCTCAGACTACCAAAGTGCTAGGACTGCATGTATGAGCCAACATGCTTGGATGGGAAGGATTTTTTTATTTGAAACAAGGTCTTGCTCCTGTCACCCAGGTTGGAATGCAGTGGTGCAGTCATCATTCACTCCAGCCTCAATCACCCAGGCTCAGGTGATTCTCCCACCTCAGCCTCCCAAATAGCTGGGACTAAAGGCGCATGCCACCATGCTCAGCTAATTTTTTTTTGTTGTTGTTGTTCTTTTTGTTTGTTTGTTTTTTTGAGAGAGACTCACCCGGCTGTCCAGGCTGGAGTGCAGTGGCATGATCTCGGTTCAAGTGGTTGTCGTGCCTCAGCCTACCAACTAGCTGGGATTACAGGCATCCACTACCACGCCCGGGTAATTTTTGTGTTTTTAGTAGAGATGGGGTTTCACCGTGTTGGGCAGGCTGGTCTCAAACTCCTGATGTCAGGTTATCCGCCCTGTCTCAGCCTCCCAAAGTGCTGGGATTACAGGCGTGAGCCACCACACCCAGCCCCTGCTGGGAAGGATCTTAATGAAGTATTTTACAGTTATGAAGAAAAAAAGATAATTTAATAAAGCCTAAAAAACAGCAATGAAAAATGTTAAATGTCTAGAAAAAAAAACCCAGAAACAAAATATAAATTAAAAAAAGTTAGATCTCTACATATTTCATTCTAATTTAATAAATTACAAGACTCCTTTAACACAGCAATGTTAGAAAATATTTACTGTCTAGAATTTTTCTCAGCCTTATAGAAGGCAAATAAGTATTTATTTTGAAGTAGACCAATAAGTTATTTGCTGAAAGCCTGATAAACCACACCATAAGCTACCTGTGCAAATAGTTCAGGGAATCCTGGAAATAAAAGTGAATGGGAGATCAGGCAAGGTGGCTCATGCCTATAATCCCACCTCTTTGGGAGGCTGAAGTGGAAAGACTGCTAGAGGCCAGGAGTTCAAGACCAGCCTGGGCAACACAGTGAGGCTCCCTATTTTAAAAAAGAAAAGAAAAAACATAGCTTTGGCTAGGCATGATGGCTAAAACCTGTAATTCCACCATTTTGGGATGTGAGGGCAGGAGGATAACTTGAGGCCAAGAGTTTGAGAACAGCCTGGAAAATACAGTGAGACCCTGTCTCTACAAAAATTTTAAAAATTAAGCCGGGAACAGTGGCTCACGACTGTAATCCCAGCATTTTGGGAGGCTGAGGTGGGTGGGTCATCTGAGGTCAGGAGTTCGAGACCAGCCTGACAAACATGGTGAAACCCCGTTTCTACTAAAAATACAAAATTAGCCAGGCGTGGTGGTGGGGGCGCTTGTAATCCCAGCTACTCGGGAGGCTGAGACAGAAGAATCGCTTGAACCTGGGAGGTGGAGGTTGCAGTGAGCCGAGATGGTGCCATTGTACTCCAGCCTGGGAGACAAGAGTGAGACTGTGTCTCAAAAAACAAACAAACAAAAAAAAACAAAGTAGCCAGGCATGCTGGTATATGCCTGTAGTTCCAGCTACTTGGGAAGCTGATGTAGGAGGATCTATTGTGTTCAGTTTGAGGCTGCAGTAAGCTACAATCACAGCACTGTACTCCAGCCTGGGTGATAGAGTGAGTTCTTTTTTTTTTTTTTAAGACGGAGTTTTGCTCTGTCGCCCAGGCTGGAGTGCAGTGGCACCATCTCGGCTCACTGCAACCTCAGCCTCTTGGGGTCACGTGATTCGCCTGTCTCAGCCTTCCGAGTAGCTGGGATTACAGGCATCCCACCACCACACGCCAGGCTTTAAAACAAGTTTTAAATTTTGATGTAATCCACTTTATCTATTTTTTCTTTCATTTCCTGAACTTTTGGTGTCAAATCCAAGAAATCACTGCTAAACTCAATGTCATGAAGTTTTTCTCCTGTTTTCTTCCAAAGATTTTATAATTTTAGTTCTTAGATATAGGTCTTTGCAAGACCATTTATTGAAAAGACTGTACTTTTCCCCACTGAATGGTCCTGGCATTTTTGACAAAAATCATTTGACCATATATGTGAAGGTTTATTTCTGAGCTCTCTATTCTATTCCATTGGTCTATGTCTGCTTTATGCCAGTATCACACTATTTTAAATATTTTCAGTTTTGAAGCAGAAAGTGCTTTTGGTGATTGAAATATTTGCATGATGTCAGAAAAACTATTAATAGCAACTGAACTGGTTTCAAGAATCTTCCCTTAGGTTTTCTTACACATTTACTTCCTCTAACAGATTTCTGATATTTTGATTTTTCTCCAACTGTAGAGGCCCATGTAAGGGACTGTTTAAAACTGATAATAAATTAAATAAGCTGGGAGGGTTAAGCAAGGAGCAACACGGAAAGCAAATATAACTGATCTATATCCTGCAATCTCAGCAAGACACCAGCAAGGGACAGGAAAATCCCTGAATAAAAGCCCAGAGACCAATTATAGTGAATAATGTCTAGAGAATCTGCCTTCTCTAAGGAGAACCGGATAGGTGGATACAAAAGGGGGAAACATCTAGTTAAAATGATGAGCAGTATCTGAAGCTGTGGTTATAATTTTTCAGCTTGCCTGAAAGGAAAGAAAAACATTCTGATTTGGAGGGTGGTGAGTTTCATTCAAAAAACATTTTTACCACCTGCTATCTACGGGCACTGTTTTAAGTCCCTACTGTTGAGTAACTCACGGCATAGGGGCTGGAGGTAGATAAAAAATAAGTAAAATATATGAGAAAATTTCAATTAGTGATGAGTACTATAAAAAACATAAAGCTGAGTAATGTGATAGAAGGGTGGTCAAGGAAAGCCTCCCCTAGGAGTAGGTATTTGATTTAAGATCTAAATGATCAAAGGAAACAGATTGCCAAGATCTGGGGAGAAGAGCATTCCAGTAGACGAAATAGTGGGTGTATGACAAACGAATGTTTGAAGATCAGAATAGACAGTGAAGCTGGACTGCAGCAGCAGCACAACCCTATACTGAGTTCTTAATTATGTACCAGGTATCATTCTAAGTGTGTAAATTTACATACTAATCCAATGACTCCTTAAAACAATTCTATAAGATAGGTACTATTAGCATTCCCATCTTATAGATGAGGATATTGAACAAACTTCTGTTAGTCAAGGGCCAGAATATGTTAAAAAAAAGACTGGGCGCAGTGGCTCACACCTGTAATCCCCAGCACTTTGGGAGGCCGAGGCGGGTGGATCACCTGAGGTCAGGATTCCAAGACTAGCCTGGCCAACATGGTGAAACTCTGTCTCTACTAATAATACAAAAACTAGCTGGGTGTGGTGGCAAGTGCCTGTAATCCTAGCTACTTGGGAGGCTGAGGCAGGAGAATCGCTACAACTTGGGAGGCAGAGGTTGCAGTAAGCTGAGATGGCTCCACTGCACTCCAACCTGGGCAACAGAGCAAGACATCATTTCAAAAAAAAAAAAAAAAAAATTTAAAAGACTTTGTGGACATAGTAAATGATTTCAACTGTATTCTAAGTCTAGGGGAAGCCAGGCCAGGCATGGTGGCTCACACCTATATATAATCCTAGCACTCTGGGAGGCCAAGGCAGGTGGAGGATCACTTGCGGCCAAAAGTTTGATCTTTTTTTTTTTTTTTCCTAAAGACAGGGTTTTGCCATGTTGCCCAGGCTGGTCTCGAGCTCCTGGGCTCAGGTGATCTACCCACCTTGGCCTCCCAAAGTGCGGGCATTACAGGCGTGTGTCACCACACCTGGCCCATGGCCAGGAGTTTGAGGCCAGTATGGGCAACACAGTGAGACCCCGACTCTGTAAAAATGAAAAAATTTAGCTGAGGATTGTGGTGCACGCCTGTAGTCCTAGCTATCCAGGGGGCTAAGGAAAGAGGATCACTTGAGCTCAGGAGTAAGTGGCTGTAGGGAACTGTGATCACCCCACTATGCTTTGGCCTGGGCAACAGAGCCAGACTGTCTCTTAAAAAAAGAAAAAAAAATAGGTTTCTATTAGAATGGTGGGAAATAAAAAATCAAAAAAATTTTTAATACAATAATTTTTTTTTTTTTTGAGACGGAGTCTTGCTCTGTCACCCAGGCTGGAGTGCAGTGGCACAATCTTGGTTCCCTGCAAGCTCCCCCTCCCAGATTCATGCCATTCTCCTGCCTCAGCCTCCTGAGTAGCTGGCACTACAGGCGCCGAACCACCACGCCCGGCTAATTTTTTGTATTTTCAGTAGAGACGGGGTTTCACTGTGTTAATCAGGATGGTCTCAATCTCCTGGCTTCCTGATCCACCCGCCTCAGCCTCCCAAAGTGCTGGGATTACAGGAGTGAGCCACCGCACCTGGCCTACAATAAAAAATTTTTTAAAAGGTAGAGAGGAATACACCCATTCATACAAGTATTATAGGCATAGCCTTGAGGCTTCTGCCTCAGCCTCCCAAGTAGCTGAGATTACAGGCATGTGCCACCACGCCTGACTAATTTTTGTATTTTAGTAAAAGCCTTGAGGCTTTTAAAAGTCTAGGATTCCTTATTAAAAAGTTCCAGCAAAGCCATTTTTTTTAAAAAGGGTCTATATGGCCAATCACTATTCTTGTTGCACTTTATGCAAATAATCAGGCCAGATATAATAGGACTAAAAGTTACTTTGCACACAAATTGATTACTACAATTTGTCTCTGATAGAAATAAGGGACTGAAGAGAAAAATATTATGCTTCTAAAGAAAACTATACCTTGTATCAGATTCCAACCCCGACCACTGTTTTTGAGTTATCGTCTATAATTCAGACTGAGTCCTGAATTATCTCTAACAGTGGCCTCTAACAAACCTGGATATATATATTTAAAACCTTGTTTTCATGGATCCCATCAGGAATAAGATCTATTTTTGAAGGATTACTTAAACTAGGACTTATACTTCTATACATGCTGAGATTTCTCTTCCTTCTTGTCAAGGTCTGTACCTGCTGTTTGTCTATTATTTTTATTTTATTTATTTATTTAGAGACAGAGTTTTTGCTCTGTTGCCCAGGCTGGAGTGCAATGGTGCGAGACAGCTGGATCACCTGAGGTCAGGAGTTCGAGACCAGCCTGGCCAATATGGCGAAACCCCGTCTCTACTAAAATACAAAAATTAGCCAGGCGTGGTGGTGTACGCTGTAATCCCAGCTACTTGCACAGGAGATTTGTTTGAACCTGCGAGGCGCAGGTTGCAGTGAGCCGAGATCATGCCGCTGCACTCCAGCCTAGGTGACAGAGTGAGACTCCATCTCAAAAAAAAAAAAAAGAAAAGAAAAATAAAGAAAAGAGAAAGAAAAAAAAGAAGAAGAACAAGAAAAAACAACTTAGGCCAGGTGTGGTGGCTCACACCTGTAATCCCAGCATTTTGGGAGGCTGAAGAGAGCAGACAGATTGAGACTGAGCCCATGAGTTCAAGACCAGCCTGGGCAACAGGGCAAAACCATGTCTCTACAAAAAATACAAACTACCTGGGTGTGGTGGCGTGTGCCTGTAGCCTCAGTTACTCGGGAGGCTGAGGCGGGAGGATTGTTTGAATCAAGGAAACAGAGGTTGCAGTGAGCTGAGATCGCCCCACTGCACTCCAGTGACAGAATGAGACCCTGTCTACAAATTTAAAAAAAAAAAAAAAGAAAAGAAACGAAACAACTTGCTGAAACTCCTTCTGCTTGTAAGATCACAAAACTGGGTGACATCAGCTGGAACCAATGTGTCCAACTGGAGTCTGCATAGAACCAGTTTGCCGATGTCACAGCTAGAATTTCCATCACGTTTCATACTAACTTCCCCTGAATTTGCACATGCAATCCATGACGTAGCATGAAAAGACAGCCATGCATGCCTGAAGACTTTCCAGACCTCCCCTTTCCTTCCGCCAGTTACCTAATCTAAGAATTCATCCCCTAAACCTTTTCTAATAAAATTAGTGCATTAAAGCCAGCACAGGGCAACAGATTTGAGCTGGACTCCTGTCTACGTGTTAGTCGACTTGCAATAAAAATCTTTCCTTTACTCAAAAACTCAGTGTCGGGTAGGCACAGTGGCTCATGCCTATAACCCCAGCACTTTGGGAGGCTAAGGCAAGGAGGATTACTTGAGCCCTGGAGGTTGAGACCAGCCTGGGCAACACGGTGAGACCCTATCTCTACAAAAAAACACAAAAATTAGGCTGGGCTTGGTGGCTCAAGCCTGTAATCCCAGCACTTTGGGAGGCCAAGGTGGATGGATCACTTGAGGTCAGGAGCTCAAGACCAACCTGATCAACATGGTGAAACCCAGTCTCTACTAAAATACAAAAATTAGTCAGGCATGGTGGCACACGCCTGTAATCTCAGCTACTTGGGAGGCTGAGGCAGAAGAATCGCTTGAACCCAGGGGGGCAGAGGTTGCAGTGAACTGAGATCGCGCCACTGCACTCCAGCCTAGGCAACAAAGTGAGACTCTCTCTCAAAAATTAAAAAAAAAACACACAAAAAATCAGCTGCGCATGGTGGTATGCACGTATATGTAGCCCCAGCTACTCCAGAGGCCAAGGTGGGAGGATCACTTGAACCCAGGAGTACGAGGTTGCAGTGAGCTATGATTATGCCACTGCACTCTGGCCTGGACAACAGAGTAAGCCTGTTTCTAAAAAACAAACAAAAAAACAAAACCCCGTGTCACAATATTAGTTTTGAGTGCATCAAGCAGCAAGCCTCTTTTGCTCAGTAACAAAACTTTTGGCTTTTAAATTTAGCTGCTGCAGTATTTTATCTTCTCCTTACCTGTCATATTATTTATTTTCCCTTCTTTCATTACACTTTACTGTCCTTTTAAGCATTTCTGATTTTTTCTTATTTTTCATCTCTTTGTTTCCAAGTCTTACCTGGGTTCTCTATTAAGACTCTTTTTTCTTTTCCTTTTCAGTTTCTAAGTGGCAGGCAAGGGAGGGTATCAAATAACCAGGAAAGGTTGTATGTCTTTCTTCTTCCCTTGAGACAAATTTGCTACCACCCTGATGGTTCTCCTTAATAAATTTTCTATCTTCTTCAATATTGATTATCCAACTCCACTCCCAAATAAACATATATACTTCCAATCTAGGTAACTCAATTCCCAAAACAAAAAATTTATCTAATGTAACAAACATTACATTGATGAAATGCTGCTGCTTTTTCCTGTCATTCACTAAACTGTACTTTTATGAGGAGCTTCATAATCTAAAGATTCTTAGGTTTGCCAAAACATCACTAACTCCTGAGCAATTTTTATAAATATTATATGGGGGTGGCAGGAGTCACAGGTGAGAGGCTTTACAAGCAATGATCCTAATTAGACTTTAGTAACCTTTCAAGAGAAAGGTTCTCTATGAAATAAAGCACAATAGACAGACATGAAACATCAGGTTGGTAGTCAGATGTGTGCAGACTTAGGAGTACCATTAAACACACATCTCAACAATCCTAATTCTGTTCTTAGAATGTCCTGAAGGGGTTCTAAGTATTAAGATGTCATTGAGTTAGCTTTTCACTTGGATTTGAACGTTTTAGAGCATTTAAAAAATTAAGAGGAGAAGACAAATATAGTCACTATGTTCCTCTATTAAAGTAGTAAGAACTGGCCGGGCATGGTGGCTCACGCCTGTAATCCCAGCACTTTAGGAGGCCGAGGCAGGCGGATCACAAGGTCAGGAGTTTGAGACCAGCCTGGCCAACACAGTAAAACCCCATCTCTACTAAACATACAAAAATTAGCTGGGTGTGGTGGCAGGCACCTCTAATCACAGCTATCGGGAGGCTGAGGCAGGAGAATCGCTTGAACCCAGGTGATGGAGGTTGCAGTGAGCCGAGATTGTGCCACTGCACTCCAGCCTGGGAGACAGACCTATACTCCATCTCAAAAAAATAAAAAGTAGTAAGAACTTAGTCTTTACAGTTCTAATCTGGCTCCCTAGTAAGATGGATATAAGCCTCAGCACTTAAATCCCTTCTACCACTCTACATCTAGTATGTCTAAGTATTTGCTATTATTTAGCAACCCTTTAAATTCTATCTTTTTTTTTTTTTTTTTTTTTTTGAGATGGAGTCTCACTCTGTCCCCTGGGCTGGAGTGCAGTGGCACAAGCTAGGCTCACTGCAAGCTCCGCCTCCTGGGTTCACGCCATTCTCCTGCCTCAGTCTCCCGAGTTGCTGGGACTACAGGCACCTGCCACCACGCCTGGCTAATTTTTTTTTTGTATTTTTAGTAGAGACGGGTTTCAATGTGTTAGCCAGGATGGTCTCCATCTCCTGACCTCGTGATCCGCCTGCCTCAGCCTCCCAAAGTGCTGGGATTACAGGCGTGAGCCACTGTGCCCGGCCTAAATTCTATTTATTCCATATATTTGATAATGAAGATAGTTACTTTTTTTTTTTTTTTTTTGAGATGGAGGCGCATCCTGTTGCCCAGACTGGACTGCAGTGGCGCGATCTCGGCTCACTGCAACCTCTGTCTCCCGGGTTCAAGCGATTCTCCTGCCTCAGCCTCCTGAGTAGCTGGAATTACCGGCGCGCACCATCATGCCTGGCTAATTTTATTATTTTTAGTAGAGATGGGGTTTCACCATGTTCGTCAGGCTGGTTGCAAACTCCTGACCTCATGATCCGCCTGCCTTGGCCTCCCAAAGTACTGGGATTACAGGTGTGAGCCACAGTGCCCGGCCATCTTTTTGTTTTTTTCTTAATTTGTATTTTTTCTGAGATGGAGTCTCACTCTATTGCCCAGGCTGGGGTGCAATGGCGCAATCTCGGATCACTGCAACCTCCACCTCGCTAGTTCAAGTGATTCTCCTGCCTCAGCCTCCCAAGTAGCTGGAATTACAGGCGCCTGCCACCACGCCAGCTAATTTTTGTATTTTTAGTAGAGACAGCGTTTCGCCATGTTGGCCAGGCTGGTCTCAAACTACTCACCTCGAGTGATCCGCCCGCCTCGGCCTCCCAAAGTGCTGGGATTACAGGTGTGAGCCACCTTGCCCAGCCGAGATAATTATCTTTAGAAACCAAAATAAAAGAATTGGTGGGGTAGGCTGCCAGGGTTTTAGCTACTACAGCAATTATTTTTTTCCCTCATAACAAACATTTATTTATTTTTACTTTTTTGAGACGGAGTTTTGCTCTTGTTGCCCAGGCTGGAGTGCAATGGCACAATCTCGGCTCACAGCAACCTCTACCTCCTGGGTTCAAGCGATTCTCCTGCCTCAGCTTCCCGAGTAGCTGGGATTACAGGCATGCGCCACCATACCCAGCTAATTTTGTATTTTAAGTAGAGATGCGGTTTCTCCATGTTGGTCAGGCTGGTCTCCAACTCCCGACCTCAAGTGATCTGCCCACCTTGGCCTCTCAAAGTGCTGGGATTACAGGCATGAACCACAGTGCCCGGCCCAAAATTTATCTTTTAAAATACACACTTTAAAGTGCATAATTCGGTGATTTTTTTTAGTATATTCACAGTGTTGTGCAACCATCACCACTATGTAATTCCAGAACATTTCAACAATCTCAAAAGATTCCCTGTACCCATTAGCAGTCACTCTCTATCCCTTCCTCACCCAAACTCCTGGCAACCACTAATCAACATTATTTCTCTATAGATTTGCCTATTCCGCACATTTCATATAAATGGAATAATACTGTAATGAAGACTTTTGTGTTGGCTTTCACTTAGCACATTTTAAAGAATATATCCATGTTGTTGCACGTATTCATACTTCATTCCTTTTTATGGCGGAATAATATCCTACTGTATCCATTCTCCAGTTAATGGACAATTGGGTTATTTTAACTTTTTGGCTATTATGCTTTTTGTTTTTTCAGAGACGAGTCTCACTCTGTCACCCAGGCTGTCACCTGGCTGTAGTGGCGCCATCCTGGTTCACTGCAACCTCCTCCTCCCAGATTCGATTCTCCTGCCTCAGCCTCCTGAGTAGCTGAGATTACAGGCACAAGGAACCACATCCAGCCTTGTGCCTGTACAAATTTTGTATATATAGTAGAGACAGAGTTTCACCATGTTAGCCAGGCTGATCTGGAACTCCCAACCTCTAGTGATCCACCTGCCTCGGCCTCCCAAAGTGCTGGGATTACAGGTGTGAGCCATCACAACTGGCCAGTTATGTGGTATTTCTATATTTAGAGATTTTAGAAACTGCCAAGCTGTGTTCCACAGTGGCTGTACCAGTGTACACTGTAGTGTACATTCTCACGAGCAGTTTGTGAGGGTTTTAATTTCTCCATATCCTTTTCTTTTTTTTTTTTTTTTTTGAAATGGAGTCTCACTCTGTGTTGCCCAGGCTGGAGTGCAGTGGCACGATCTCAGCTCACTGCAACCTCTACCTCCCTGGTTCAAACGATTCTCCTGCCTCAGCCTCCCAAGTAGCTGGGATTACAGGTGTACACTACCACACCCGGCTAATTTGTGTATTTTAGTAGAGACGGGGTTTCACCATGTTGGCCAGGCTGGTCTCAATCTCCTGACCTCAAGTGATCTGCCCACCTCAACCTCCCAAAGTACTGGGATTACAGGGTTGGGCTACTGTGCCCAGCTTAATTTTTGTATTTGCACTAGAGACAGGGTTTCGCCTTGTTGGCCAGGCTGGTCTCGAATTCCTGACCTCAGGTGATCCGCCTGCCTCGGCCTCCACATCCTTGACAACACTTTTTGATTACAGACATCCTAGGGAGTGCGAATTGGTACCCCATTGTTGTTATGATTGGCATTTCCCTGATGGCTAATGATGTTGAGCATCTTTTCACGTGCTTATTGAAAGCAGTACGCTTTTAGTAAGGTTTTCACAAACTACCTCAGGAGGGAAGATTATTAATGGGCAAAGTTTAAATAATTTATATATATATATATATATAGTACATGTCTTTAAAACATATATAGGTACACGTTTTCTTCCTCTTCCTTTCCTTTGTTGAAAGAGTCAGTTCTAAAGCCATTAGGAGGGGCATAGAAAGGTAGGTATCAATGCCAGGTTAGAGGTTGGGTGCAGAGGCTTGAACAATACGTCGGAGTCCAAGCAGAGTGAGGAGAGGACCCTTGAGGAGGGTGACCTAGCAGGAGATACTGGGATACAAGCAGGGTGAATGGGCAGCCTTGGGTAGAGTGTCAAAGTAAGGTGAGAAGGGCATCCACACAGAGGATAAACCTAGTGCGGGCTTTAGAACCCAAGCAGGACTTTGTCCGTGCAACAGGAGGAAGGTGGCATGGCATGAAGTGCCCAAACCCAATGAAGTGAAGAGGGGATCTTTGAGAGAGAGTGAGAGAGAGAGACAGAGAGAGAGAGAGAGAGAGAGAGAGAGAGAGAGAGAGAGAGCAACTGTAGAGCGAAATTGGTTAAAATCAGGGGAACTGAGTAAATAATAAAATACATTAACCATAATAAAGATGGGCAAGGTGGCTCATGCCTGTAATCCCAGCTTTTGGAAAGGCCAAGGTGGATCACTTGAACCTTAGAGTTCAAGGTTACAGGGAGCTGTGATCATGCCATTGCAGTCTAGCCCGGTTAACAGAGCAAGATCCTATCTCTAAAAACAAAAAAACATGAACCACAACAGAAGTTAGGTTTCTGTTACAAAGGGAGATGTGAATCTGGAAAGGGAGAAAACTAGACTAAATTATGCAGTGTTGGATTGGAATTGGAAATATCAGTGTATTAATAGAAACATAGTTATCAATATATACAGATATAAACATACATGTAAATTGTGTACATATATACACGTGTTCATCTACATATACACACACACACACACACACATTTTTTTCTTTCCCCCCGAGCTCTGTCTACTAAGAGGGCCTGGAGCAATAACCCCTCAATGGCAATGGTATTTAACTCCCAGATACTGGCTTCTAAACATTTCTTTCTAGTAGAAGGAATCAGGGCTCCTTGGAGAAATAGGGCAGAGAAAATGTACGATGAGCCTGGAACACCTTGTGATAGAAAGCAAGTGAGTGCTCAAAGAATGATGGGGACACGTCAAAAAGTCATGGTAACCAGCTTGAAGGGGCTTCCACTGGCCAAATCTGGGACAACCTGAATATGAAAACAAACGAGAGCAATGAATTACAATTTACTAAATAAAAAAGGGAAGCCATAAGTTCAGACTGATGTAAATTAATAAACTGAAGTTTAAGAAGAATGGGACGGCTGGGCACGGTGGCTCACGCCTGTAATCCAAGCACTTTGGGAGGCCAAGGCGGGGGTGGGCCACCTGAGGTCAGGAGTTCGAGACCAGCCTGGCCAACATGGCGAAAGCCCGTCTCTACTGAAAATACTAAAAATGAGCCGGGCATGGTGCTGGGCGCCTGTAATCCCAGCTACGCAGGAGGCTGAGGAATGAGAAGCACTTGAACCTGGGAGGCGGAGGTTGCAGTGAGCGGAGATTGCGCCACTGTGCTCCAGCCTGGGAGACAGAGTGAGACTCCATCTCATTTAAAAGAAAATGAAGACAAGAATAATTAACCAAACATAAGATGTTCTTGGATAGCATAATTTAATATCTTAGAAGATACCAATACTTCCCAATGTAATTTAATTTCCTGATTAAATGTCCAATATATGAATTGAATCCAAACAGATTTTTGCTTAACGAAAAAAATTGATTCTGAAGTTGATATGGATGAAAAATGTGTGAAAATCACCAAGAACTTATTAAAAAAGACAAAGAAGAGCTGCTTTTCTTTCCCCCCATGAGACAGAGTCTCACTCCATCACCCAGGGTGGAGTGCAGTGGTGCTATCTTGGCTCACTGCAACCTCCGCTTCCGGGGTTCAACTGATTCTCCTGCCTCAGCCTCCTGAGTAGCTGGGATTACAGGCATGTGCCACCATGCCTGGCTAATTTTTATATTTTTAGTAGAGATGGGGTTTCACCATGTTGGCCAGGCTGGTCTTGAACTTCTTACCACGTGATCCGACCGTCTCTGCCTCCCAAAGTGCTGGGATTACAGGCGTGATCCACCGTGTCCGACCAAGGTGCTTATTAAAATGTACAAAAATTACTGAATTCCAAATAATATGGTGATTATAAAGAAGGAAAAAAAATGATGGAACAAAACAGGGCATCCAGAAAGGCCCCAGATACATGTAGGAATTTAATACATAGGAGAGTTTGACTTTGTTTTTTTTTTTGTTTTTTTTTTTGTTTTTTTTTTTTTTTTTTGAGACGGAGTCTCACTCTGTCACCCAGGCTGGAGTGCAGTGGCACGATCTCGGCTCACTGCAAGCTCCTCCTCCCAGGTTCACGCCATTCTTCTGCCTCAGCCTCCCCAGCAGCTGGGACTACAGGTGCACGCCACCACGCCCAGCTATTTTTTTGTATTTTTAGTAGAGACGGAGTTTCACCGTGTTAGCCGGGATGGTCTCGATCTCCTGACCTAGTGATCCGCCCTCCTCGCCTCCCAAAGTGCTGGGATTACAGGCGTGAGCCACCGCTCGCGGCCTCACTTTCAAATTAGTAGGAAAATAATGAATTATTTAGTAAATGGTGTTAGGAAACCTCATATTTGAAGAATGTAAAATCCCTGCCCTCAAGCCATATAAAAAAAAATTCCTATGATAGCTTTATTGGCAAAATGTTGACAATTATTGAAGTGGGGTAACAGGAGTTTCATTATACCATGTTGTCTACTTTTGTGTTCGTTGGAGTTAAGAATTCCATGAGAAAGAGTAGATTTTAGTGGATAAGAACAAAGGAAGGCAGGTTGAGTTTTTGGAGTATGCCTAAAGAATGAGAAGCTGGTCTGCATCTTTGATAGGATGTGGTAAGAATCCTCAACAATAGTCTAAGACTATCAGAATTCCACATAGCCAAGTCCTTGGAAAGCCCTTAACCTTAAAAGTGTTCTGTGCCACTAAATTTTCTGTTACGAACATTTTACCACAATTAAAAAAACAAAACAGGCCAGGCACGGTGGCTCACGCCTGTAATCCCAGCACTTTGGGAGGCCAAGGCAGGCAGATCACCTGAGATCGAGAGTTCGAGACCAGCCTGACGAACATGGAGAAACCCTGTCTCTACTAAAAATACAACATTAGCCAGGCTTGGTGGCGCATGCCTGTAATCCTAGCTACTCAGGAGGTTGAGGCAAGAGAATCGCTTGAACCAGGGAGGCGAAGGTTTCAGTGAGCCGAGATCATGCCACTGCACTCCAGCCTGGGCAACAAGAGCCAAACTCCATCTTAAACAAACAAACAAACAAACAAAGCAAAAACCTTCTGTACCATAATGCTGAAATAGTTCATAAGCAACTTCCTCTTCTTCTTAAATAAACCCAGAAACTCCCTAAAAAAGAAGCTCATAGCAAAATGTAAGCGGAAATCTCCTTATTAAAATACTGAGAAGTCTTTGTTATTTCCAACTTAACAATCAGCAAAAATTTTATTACAAGACAATATTAAAAAGAATTCTGAGCCGGGTGTGGTGGCTCACGCCTGTAATCTCAGCACTTTGGGAGGTCGAGGCAGGCAAATCACGTGGTCAGGAGATTGAGACCAGCCTGGCCAACATGGTGAAACCCCGTCTCTACTAAAAATACAAAAATTAGCTGGGCATGGTGGAGCATGCCTGTAATTCCAGCTACTTCGAAGGCTGAGGCAGGAGAATCGCTTGAACCAGGGAGTAGGAGGTTGCAGCGAGTTGAGATCGCATCACTGCACTCCAGCCTGGCAACAGAGCAAGACTCCATCTCAAAAAAAAAAGAGAGAGAGAGAATTCTGCCTCTCAGAGAATTATTAATGTTTAAGGATAGTTTTTCAAATTTCAGATAATAGCAACTCTACATTCTAAGATTACCTTACAAAATGGCCACTAAAGCCCAATGAAGAGAGATTTAAAAAGGATAGCAGGGCTGGGCACGGTGGCTCACGCCTGTAATCCCAACACTTTGGGAGGACGAGGTGGGCGGATCACAAGGTCAGGAGTTTGAGGCCAGCCTCGCCAACTTGGTGAAACCCCATCTCTACTAAAAATACAAAAATTAGCTGGGCGTGGTGGTAGGCACTTGTAATCCCAACTAGTCAGGAGGCTGAGGCAGGACAATTGCTTGAACCTGGGAGGCAGAGGTTGCAGTAAGCCGAAAGCATCTGGCCTGGGCAACACAGCAAGACTCCATATCAAAAAAAAAAAAAAAAAAAAAAACTATAGCAGAGGGCAGAACTGGGAGGAGGTAGTGAAGGCCAGAAAAAAAAAAAAAATAGAACAGCAGGGACATAAATCTTTTCATTATTATTTTTAAAATAGAGACCGGGTCTCGCTGTTGCCCAGGCTGCTCTCGAACTCCTGGCCTCAAGCAATCCTCCCACGCCAACTTCCCAAAGTGCTGAGATTGCAAGCATGAGCCACTGTGCCTAGCCAATCCTTTTACTAAGTCTAATACTGTGTATTACACTTACTTTGACGGGCTGATTTTAATTGAAAAACACACAGATGGTAATATACATACTGTAAAAAGTCCCTTCTGTCCTTGAGACAGTCACTGTTGCTTATTTATTTTCCCATGAATTTTCTGTCCCTACAAACAACATACATACACGTACACACAGATTTTGTTTCTTATATAAACTAGTTTTGTAACTTGCTTTGTTGACACAATAGATATGCAAATAATTTTTTATCAAATACTGTCTGCCTCTTGAAGAATTCTGTGCAAAATTTGGTAGATCAACTATCTATACTTGCCTTGTTAAAAATCAACTTAAATTTTTTTGGTATCAAGTAAAAATAATTAAAAAAATATGTTTATAGCTACTTTAAAATTTTAAAAACCCTTTAATTTTTGGAGGTGGATCTCTATTTGATCATACTTGCCTGTCTGCCTTCATCCATTCCCTCCTTCCTGAAGACAGTAACAGAGGCATAAAAGATAAGTGGTATATACTGACCTCACAGCACGGTTTACCAACTTCTGACTCTAAATATTTCACACATAACTATTAGCATAAGAGGCTTTTGAATATAACTTGTATTATACAGATGGAAATATTAAAGCTTAGACTGATTTCTGATAGTGCCCTGTCCAGAATGTCTAGTATGAATTTTTTTTTTTTTTTTTTTGAGATAGAGTTTTACTCCTGTTGTCCAGACTGGAGTGCAGTGGCAAGATCTTGGCTCACTGCAACCTCCGCCTCCCAGGCTCAAGCGATTCTCCTGCCTCAGCCTCCCAAGCAGCTGGGACTACAGGTAAATACAACCATATCTGGCTAATTTTTGTATTTATTGTAGAGATGGGGCTTCACCACGTTGGCCAGGCTGGTCTCAAACTCCCAGGGTTCAAGTGATCCACTGGCCTTGGTCTCCCAGAATGCTGTGACTACAAGCCGTGCTCGGCCCAGTATGAATACTCTACAACAAAAAGTGACTAACAGCCACACGTAACTCAGAAGACAATATATAGTTTTAATAAAAATCTTTATTTCATATTTTTATGATTGCATTTGCTAAGTTCTTTTTTTGTTTTTTTCTCTGAAAGAAACTAGTATGTATTTGTTAAGTTCTTGGTTGCCTATAAAACAATTCTGCTCCAAAATATACAGTGAACATAAGTGAAAACTTAAGAATACTCCCAGTATATTTTTGAAGTCCACAGTCGACATGCTGTATAAAACTAATCAGTCAGCCAGGAACGGTGGCTCACGCTTGTAATCCCAGCACTTTGGGAGGCCAAGGTGGGTGGATCACGAGGTCAGGAGTTTGAGACCAGCCTGGCCACCACAGTAAAACCCCATCTCTACTAAAAATACAAAAATTAGCCGGGCACGGTGGCAGGCACTTGTAATCCCAGCTAGTCGGGAGGCTGAGGCAGGAGTTGGAGGTTGAACCTGGGAGTTGAACCCAGGAGTTGGAGGTTGCAGTGAGCCAAGATTGCACCATTGCACTCCAGCCTGGCAACAGAGCTAGAATCTGTCTCAAAAAAAAAAAAAAAAGAAAAATCAGTCTAGGGCCAGGCACGGTGACTCATGCCTGTAATCCCAACATTCTGGGAGGCCGAGGTGGGTGGATCACCTGAGGTCAGGAGTTTGAGACCAGCCTGGCCAACATGGTAAAACCTCATCTCTACTAAAAATATACAAAAATTAGCTGGGCATGGTGGCAGGCGCCTGTAATCCCAGCTACTTGGGAGGCTGAGGCAGGAAAATCGCTTGAACCTGGGAGGTGGAGGTTGCAGTGAGCCAAGACTGGGCCATTGCACTCCAGCCTGGGCAACAAGAGTGAAATTCTGTCTCAAAAAAAAAAAAAAAAACAAAAATAACTGATCAGGCTATAGTCATTTCCTGAAGTAAGCGTACTATGACTGAAACTACCTGATTCAATGTTTGAATTTAGTACAAGGAAATCAGTTACCATATTCCTAAAAAATCAGTAATAATTGGTAATTCTAAGATAAATACTCAAATCTGTCCCAGTTAGAACCAGCAGTAGATATTTCATTTGAACTTGAATTAATTCTTGATTTGATAATAATAATGTCTTGCTACAAGACTAACCACAAGACCAAATGCCTAGGCCGAGCATGGTGGCTCATGCCTGGAAGGCCAAGGCAGGAGGATCACTTGAGGGTAGAAGTTCGTGATCAGCCTGGAAAACATAGTGAGACACTATCTCTACCAAAAAAAAAAAAAAAAAAAAAAAAAAGCCATGCCCCATGCTTAATTTCAGTTGTTTCATGTGTGCATATGTGTTTTGTGGGGAAATAATTATTTTTAAAATACTTTGAGACTAACAGACTAAAATATTCAAATGTATAATTATATGGAAGTGAGCTGTTTTACAATTAAATAAATTCTTTAGGTAATGACATATGCATCAACATATTAAACTCCCAAAAAGTTTACAAAAAGCTGCTGTTTCTCCAGAACATCTAAGGTGAATACATAAACTGAGTATTAAAATGTATGTAACCTGATACCTGTGAACATATAAATTTTTAATTAAAAAATTTTTTAATTTGACTAAATACTAAGATTGAGAAGTGTATAAAAGTTAAGTGGATCGTTATATTGAGTAGTTGATTACAAATTCTCATGAGTAGAATACTCCCGTTTACCTTGTCCAGATGCTCAAGCACTCTGTGTTAACTACTGGGGGTTGTGAGAATTCTCTCTTTCAGATAGGTAAAGCATGTTTTGATAGGAACACATATCTATAATGAGTAAAATAATGAAACTACTTCTGTAACCCACATAGGAAATAAAAAAAACAAACAACAAAACTCAAAAGTTAACCTCATTAATGTTTTTATTTATTTATTTTATTTTTTTATTTTTTGAGACAGAGTCTCGCTCTGTCATCCAGGCTGGAGTGCAGTGGTGCAATCTCGGCTCACTGCAAGCTCCGCCTCCCGGGTTCACACCATTCTCCTGCCTCAGCCTCTCAAGTAGCTAGGACTACAGGCACCAGCCACCACGCCCAGCTAATTTTTTTTTTTTTTTTTGAGACAGAGTCTCACTCTGTCGCCAGGCTGGAGTGCAGTGGCACAATCTCGGCTCACTGCAAGCTCCGCCTCCAGGGTTCACGCCATTCTCCTGCCTCAGCCTCCCGAGTAGCTGAGACTACATGCGCCTGCCACTGTGCCCAGCCAATTTTTTGTATTTTTAGTAGAGATGGGGTTTTACCATGTTAGCCAGGATGGTCTTGATCTCCTGACCTCGTGATCCGCCCGCCTCGGCCTCCCAAAGTGCTGGGATTACAGGTGTGAGCCACCACACCCAGCCTTAACCTCATTAATTCACAGCTTTCCAGAAAAAGCCAAGTCATTAGGTGTCCCTAAAGTTCTTAATTATATCCAGTACTGTGTCAGAGAGGAAATTCAGTAACAATATAAAATATCTGCTTTTCAGAAGCATATATTCTTGTTGAAGAAAACAGTAGACACTAGGCAGCTTATTAAGCAACATAATGTGTGACCTGAAAATATAGGTGCTATTGAAAGTAATGAAACAATGAGATCAAGATGGGTGGGGACAGTTAAGAAGGGGGTTTTCTCTCATCACCTCTTTCTTCTTTACAATCTAATTCCGGTCTTTACTCAATTGCAATTGTACCTTGAAGAATACTACTGACTTAATTGTCAAGGCCTTACTATTCAAAGGCCTTTTTCAGTTTTCAATAAGCCTCACCCCCTTAAAATACAGGACACACCGACCATTCCCTACTTATTAAGAATCTCTTCTCCTGGCTTCTCAGACACCACCTTGTTATGTCTTTAGTATACTTCTGTTTTCTTTTTTTTTTTTTGAGATGGGTCTCGCTCTGTCGCCCAGGCTGGAGTGCAGTGATGCAATCTCGGCTCACTGCAACCTCCCAGGTTCAAGCAATTCTCTGCCTCAGCCTCCTGAGTAGCTGGGATTACAGGCACCTGCCACCACGCCTGGCTATTTTTTGTATTTTTAGTAGAGACGGGGTTTCACCATGTTGGCCAGGCTGGTCTCGAACTCCTGACCTCGTGATCCAACCCCCTCCCCCCCCCACCCCCTGGCCTCCCAAAGTGCTGGGATTAAAGGCGTGAGCCACCGTGCCTGGCCTATACTTCTGTTTTCAAATGAAGGCATGTCCCAAGATTTAGTTCTTATTCTTACACTTCACCGTGTACTAAAGAACGGCTCATGAATCAACTGCATCAGTATACCTGGAGTGCTTATTAAAATGCAGATTCCTGGGTCCTAGCTCGGACCTACAGATTCCTCTAGGTGAGAGACCCAGGAATCTATCTTTTCTAAACATTCTCTCCAGGTGATTTTTCTTTTTTTTTTAGACAAGAGTCTCACACTGTCACCTAGGCTGGAGTGCAGTGGCAGGATCTCGGCTCACCACAACCTCCACCTCCCAGGTTCAAGCGATTCTCCTGCCTCAGCCTCCCAAGTAGCTGGGATTACAGGCACTTGCCACCACACCCGGCTAATTTTTTACATTTTTGGTAGAGACAGGGTTTCACCATGTTGGCCAGGCTGGTCTCGAACTCCTGACCTTACGTGATCTGCCCGCCTCCCAAAGTGCTGGGATTACAGGCGTGAGCAATGGCGCCTGGCCCAGGTGTTTCTTAATAATATTAAAGAGGGATCACCTAACTACTATAAAAACATTTATAAAATTGTGAATTTAGAGTTTGGCAATTCATTTTTTTTTAAAGAAAACTGCAGAACAAGTAGACATTTCTCTTTTAATCCTCCAATTAAGTTGTGAAATGTATCAGGATAGAAATGTGACAACAGTGCAT
This sequence comes from Homo sapiens, assembly GCF_000001405.40. Lineage (NCBI taxonomy): Eukaryota > Metazoa > Chordata > Mammalia > Primates > Hominidae > Homo > Homo sapiens. The sequence continues at coordinate 39,324,771 of NC_000017.11, forward strand.
TGCAGCAAGGTTTGATCATTAACTTACAAATTCTAATCTCCAGATGAAGATGAAATCTCTTAATCCAAATCCAACTGATAAAAAATGAATGTCAATGATGGCATTTGAGATTTAATACTCAAAAAAAGTCAAGGTCAAGAATCATTCTTTAGGCCAAGTGCAGTGGCTCACGCCTATAATCCTAGCACTTTGGGAAGTGCCAAGGAAGGTGGATGGGTTTGAGCTCAGGAGTTCTGAGACCAGCCTGGAGAATATGGCAAAACTCTGTCACTACAAAAAATACAAAAATTAGCCGGGCGTGGTGGCAGGCACCTGTAGTCCTAGTTACTCAGGAGGCTGAGGTGAGAGGATCACCTGACCCTGGGAAGCTGAGGCTGCAGCAAGCTGTGATTGTGCCACTGCAGTCCAGCCTGGATGACAGAGACCCTGTCTCAAAAAAAATAGTAGTAATAATCATTCCTCAGACAAAACTCTTGTGAAATGACTCAAAATGAAGGATGAGAATGGGGTAGAAAGAAGGTTGGAGTGGAGAGACATATCTTTTAAGTAATACCTTTTTGTACAGATCTGACTCTTGAAATAACATGTTTTAAATAATCAAACATAAAATTGGTTTCACTTCTGGTCACGGCTGAGTAAGCTTCCACTGAACTAACCTTCCAGGTACAATTATAAATTGGGAATGAAATATTAAAAATTACCACCTGAATGTATTGGAAAGTGAACAAAAACAGGTAGATATTAAAGGGAGAGGGGAATGACAATTTCTAGTTTTACAGCATTTATCCTGAGGGCAGGTTATATTTGGGACCCTCAGAACATTTAGAAAATGGATAGAAACCTGCAAAGGAAAACTAGAGAACAGAATTTGGAGCAACCACATTGTAAATTGTAGAGAGATCCAATGTGAGGCAACATAAATTCTGTTCAAATTACTGACTGACCTCTGAACACTGCACGCACAGGGCAGACTCCAAGCAGCTAAGGGTAAAAGAATTTAACTTATATTTGAGCTGGCACCCATGACAGGCAGTTTGGGTACAGCAAAGTTAACTATCTGCTAAAAAAAAATACACTGAATAAGGATAAGGAGAAAAATCCTGATATAGTTTGAATGTTTGTCCCCTTCAAGTCTCATGTTGAAATGTGATCCCCAATGTTGGAGGTGGGACCTAGTGAGAGGTATTAGATCATGGGGGCAGATCCCTCATGAATGGCTTAGTACTACCCCCTTAATCATAAGTGAGTTCTCCTCCAGTTGTTCATACACGATCTGGTTGTTTAAGAGTCTGGGACTTCCCTCTTTTCTCTCTTCCTCTCTTGCCATGTGATAAGCAAGCTCCCCCTTTGCCTTCTGCCATGATTAGAGACTTCCTAACTTCTCACCAGGAGTAGACGCTAGTTTCTGGTATAGGCTGCAGAATCATACGCCAAAAAAAAAAACCTCTTTTCTTTATAAATTACCCAGTCTCAGGTATTTAATTATGGCAATGCAAACGGACTGACACAAATCCAAAACTGAATACGAAAATAAATGAGTAAAACAAACTATATTCTAAATGAATAACCTAAAGAACTAATCAAAGTTAACTTAAAAAAAAATTCTTGGTCAGGTACAGTGGCTCATACCTGTAATCCCAGGCGTTCCAAGCCAGCCTGGGCAACATGGTGAAAACCCATCTCTACAAAAAAATACAAAAATTAGCTGGGTGTGGTGGCACCCACCTGTGATCCTAGCTACTAGGAGGGCTGAGGTGGGGGGATCACCTGAGACTGGGAATATCAAGGCTACAGTGAGCCATAATCACGCCAATGCACTCCAGCCTGCGTGACAGAGCAAGACCCTATTTAAAAAAAATTTTTTAGAGATGGAGTCTTGCTCTGTCACCCAGGCTGGAGTGCAGTGATGCTATCATATACCTCACTGCAGCCTCAAACTCCTGGCCTCAAGCAATCCTCTCGTCTCAACCTCCCAAGTAGTTAGGACTACAGGTGCACGCCACCACACCCGGCTAACATATATACACACACGCTTTTGTAGAGACAGGGCTCTCACTATGTTGCCCAGGATGGTCTTGAACTCCTGGCCTCAAACAATCCTCCTGTCTTGGCTTTTTTTTTTTTTTTTTGAAACAGGATCTCACTCTGTCACGCAGACTGGAGTGCAGTGGAGCATCTTGGCTCACGACAACCTCTGCCTCACAGGCTCAAGTGATTGTCCTGCCTCAGCCTCCCGAATAGCTGGGATTACAGGCATGTGCCACCACACTCGTCTCCACTAATTTTTTTATTTTTAGTAGAGACAACGTTTCACTATGCTGGCCAGGCTAGTCTTAAACTCCTGACTTCAAATGATCCACCCGCCTTGGCCTCCCAAAGTGCTGGGATTACAGACGCGAGCCACCGCACCCAGCCCTGTCTTGGCCTTTAAAAGTGTTGGGATTATAGCCATGCACCAACATACCCAGCCTCAAAGTTAACTTCTGAACTCAATATTTTCTTTGTATTATCAGGCTAAAGACAAAAAGCAAACAAAAAAGATAAATAATAAGCTCCAATTAGATTTTCTTCACAGTGATATGGGTAAATCACTTTATGTGCTTTCTAGGATTAAGTAAACATATTATGGAGTTATATTTCTTCCTTGGAGAAAGAAAAAAATACAGAAAGGAGGAGGGACAGAATGAACCCTAAGGTAATAAACTAGATATTATTGGAGGTGTCAATATGAACTAGGTATGTTTGCTTATGTAACAGGATTATCATAGTTTTTAATCTATCCAGCCACCTATACAGATATAAATATGGGCAGATATAAAATTACATAAGATGTACACACGCACCCCCCAAAAACCATATATTTATTAAAGTACATCCACAAGGAGACTTTAAAAAAAATACATCTACAACCAAACATGTATTTCTTTTTTGTTTTGTTTTGTTTTTTCAAGACGGAATCTCGCTCTGTCGCCCAGGCTGTAGTGCAGTGGCACAATCTCGGCTCACTGCAAGCTCCACCTCCCGGGTTCATGCCATTCTCCTGCCTCAGCCTTCCGAGTAGCTGGGACTATAGGCGCCTGCCACCACGCCCGGGTAACCAAACATGTATTTCTTAGCTCTGTCTTATGAGAAAGTCTAGAAGCAATGCCACTCAGGAGCAATGAGCATATCTAGAATAAAGACTGTATAGTTTCTGGCCAGGCAAAGTGGCTCATGCCTGTAATCCCAGCACTTTGGGAGGCCAAGGCAGGCGCATCACATGAGGTCAGGAGTTTGAGACCAGCCTGGCCAACATGGTGAAACCCCATCTCTACTAAAAATACAAAAATTAGCCGGGCGTGGTGGCGGGTGCCTGTAATCCCAGTTACTTGGGAGGCTGCGGCAGGAGAATTGTTTGAACATGGGAGGTGGAGGTTACAGTGAGCCGAGATCACGCCAACTGCACTCCAGCCTGGGCAACAGAGCGAAACTCTGCCTCAAAAAAAAAAAAAAAAAAAAAAAAAAAAGACTGTAGTTTATAAATACCATTCTCTACTAAAAAAAAATACAAGGGCTCCTTGGAGAAATAACTGATTCCAGGACTGAATCAAGGGAGGTGTAAGAAGGGTCTGAAACACCTTGTTGTGCCAGAAAACAAGGAAGTGCTCAATGAATGATGGGAACATATTCAAAGGACAAAGGACACAGTTGGAAGGGGATCCCACTGGCTAAATCTGAAACAGTTTGAGCATCAAAATAATGATAACCCAAATGAGATAACAATGCACTGAATATATTAGCAATCCATGAATCCATACGGATATAAACACAAACAAATAACAAAATGGAGTCCAAGAGAAAGCTCTTCTTTACAATGGAACTCCAACTAATAAAATGTGGAAGTAACGGTAAATTTAGAAAATCACAATCATATTGCAACTGCAATAGTAATAACTGTTTCAGGAAAGAATCAAATTAGTGAGTCAAAGTTTTATGAGAAACAAGATATTTACAATGTCATGGCTAGGCACAGTTGCTCATGACTCTAATTCCAGTGATTTTGGAGGCCCAAGGTGGAAGGACCACTTGAGGCCAGGAGTTCAAGACAGCCTAGGCAACATAATGAGATCCCTATCTCTACAAAAAATTTAAAAATTAGCTAGGCATGGTGAGGCATGCCTGTAATCCCAGCTACTCAGGAGACAGAGGTGGGAGGATTGCTTGAGAGCAGGAGTTCAAGGGTGCAGTGTGCTTTCACTGGCAACTGCACTTCAGCCTGGGTGACAGAGCAAGACTCTGTCAAAAATAAAATAAATACAATGTCTCAAAGTATTTTTACCATAGGACATTCTTTAAACAAAGGGAAAAAAAAGTAACATGACAACGAAAAAATCTGGCAGATACTCCTCAGACCTAATGATCAAAGCTGACATCACCAGTAAGAGGACAAACAGACATCCTATGCCTATGTTATGATACAGTTAGAAGGATACTACTTCTATGATATTCTAACCCAAATCCATAAGTTAAATTTAATAATGAAGGACATTCTACAAAGTAACTGGCCTATAATCTTCAAAACTGTCAATGTTGTGAAAGACAAAGACTGAAAAATTGTTGCAGATTAAATACATCCAAAGAGAGGTGACAAATAAATGTAATCTGAGATACTGGCTGGAACTGAATCAAGAAGAAAAATATTTTCCCCCTTTACTATAAAGGATATAAATGAAAAAATATTAATAACTAGAACAGGGTCTCTGGATTACATAACAGTACTGTGCCAATGCTCGTTATCTTCACTTTGATTACTGTACTGTGGTGTTTTGTATCTATCTATCTATCTTAGATATATATGTATATATAATGTTTTTGTTTTTAGAAAATACTGCAGCCTTTCAGGGGTAAAAAGCATCATGTCTATAACTTATCTCTAATGGTTCAGAAAAAAAACAGAGGGAAAAAAGGTCGGGTATGGTGGCTCACATCTGTAATCCCAGTGCTTTGGGAGGCCAAGGCAGGAGGATCACTTGAGGCCAGGAGCTCGAGACCAGCCTGAGCAACATAGCAAGACCTTGTTTCTACGAAAAAAAATTAAATTAGCCAGGTGTGATGGCACATGCCTGTAGCCCTAGCTACTAGGCTGGAATGGGAGAATTGCTTGAGTCCAGGAGTTTGAGGCTGCAGCAAACTATGATTGTGTCACCTGCACTCCAACCTGGGTGACACAGCAAGGCTCTGTCTCAAAAAAATCAAAAATAGGATGGGCGCGGTGGCTCATACCTGTAATCCCAGCACTTTTGGAGGTTGAAGCAAGCAGATCACCTGAGGTCAGGAGTTCAAGACCAGCCTGGCCAACATGGTAAAACCCTGTCTCTACAAAAATACAAAACAAATATTAGCCGGGCATGATGGTGGCTGCCTGTAATCCCAGCTACTCAGGAGGCTGAGGCAGGAGAATTGCTTGAAGCTGGGAGGCTGAGGTTGCAGTGAGCCAAAATTGTGCCATTGCGCTCCAGCCTGGGCAACAGAGCAAGACTCTGTCTCAAAAAATAAAAAATAAAAATAAAAAATAAAAAATAGGCCAGGTGCAGTGGCTCATGCCTGTAATCCCAGCACTTTGGGAGGTTGAGGCAGGCGGATCACATGAGGTCAGGAATTCAAGACCAGCCTGGCCAACATGGTGAAACCCCAGCTCTACTAAAACTACAAAAATTAGCCGGACATAGTGGCGTGTGTCTGTAATCCCAGCTACTTGGGAGGCTGAGGCAGGAAGACTGCTTGAACCTGGGAAGCGGAGGTTGCAGTGAGCCAAGATTACACCACTAACACTCCAGTCTGGGTGACAGAGCAAGACTCCATCTCAAAAATAATCAAATAAATAGATTAATTAAATAATTTGCTTTTAAAGAAAAAGAAAGAAAATGAGGGGCCAAACAGGGCCAAAGTCTCTCCCTGAGAGACTAAAACATCCAATGTACTCTAGAGAGTGTTTTTATTTTTCCTCCAGGAAATGGAACAATGAGCTTGACAATATTAAAACAGATGACTATTAGGCAGAAACAAACCAGGGAGAAAATAACATCCTACAGAGAGGCAGCATCCAATTTACAAAAGGAGTACATGTACAAAGTTTGTAAATTCTCCAAGAGAGATAAATGATGGTTAATTTGCCAGGCAAGCCTTTAAAAATAAAATCCTAAATTACAATACTAGGTACTATGCAAAGAGCTTGGGCCTCAAATCTTGTAGCATACCTGAATCAAAGTCCTTTTCCTCTGCCCACAAAAAGGACTCAACACAACAATCTCTCTCATGGGACTACACGCATGTGCCACCACACCTGGCTAATTTTTATTTTCGTTTTGTTTTGTTAAGACAGAGTCTCGCTCTGCGCCCAGGCTAGAGTACAGTGGCATGATTTTTTTACAGCCTCCACCTCCGGGGTTCAAGCGATTCTTCTGCCTCAGCCTCCCAAGTAGCTGGGATTACAGGTGTGTGCCATCATGCCCGGCTAATTTTTGTATTTTTAGTAGAGATGGGGTTTTACCATGTTAGTCAGGCTGGTCTCGAACTCCTGGACTCAGATTTTCTGCCCGCCTCGGCCTCCCAGAGTGCTGGGATTACAGGTGGGAGGTATCATGCTCAGCCTAATTTTTGTATTTTTTTGTAGATACAGGCTACTACTCTTTAAGTCACAGCTCATTTGTCTCATTTCTGGGGAAGCATTTTCTGAACTCTCCATGCTAGGTTTAAAGCCCTACATGTGAGATTGCTATAATGCCCTAGGCAAAACCTCTTTTCTAGCTCTATATTGATTATTTCCATGCCTGTTCTCTCTACTGCCCTGTGAGCTCCTTGAGGACAGTGATTGTTTATTTCTATCTTCAGCATAATGCCTGGAACACTGTAGGCACTCAACAAATGTTTGTATCCACATTAAAGTTTAAGGAAAGGTAATTTAATTATTTCTATACATCTAATGTCCCTCATAAAGAACATCGGTTGTCATCCCACATAGAGAAACTCTCCTAAATGACTAAATCTGTTTGTCTCTTCATTAACTAAACAGCCCTGCACTGTAATGGTTTGAATATTTCTATTACCAGTTTTTGTATTTTATACTTTTATATTTAATCCATTTGGCCTGCTACAACAAAATACCTCAGACTGGGTAATTTATAAACAGCATAAACTCACTTTATGGTCTATGAGTAAAAAGTAGAACCAATGTAACAATACATGCCTAACAATTTTATAGCATTTACTATGTGCCGAGCATTGTGTCCTCAATTAACAGCAAGTGTATGACAGAATCCAGGAAGTCAGATTGTAGAGTCCATGTTCTTAACTATTAATGCTTTTCAAAGGAAGGAAAACACAGACTTGTATTTTTCCACACCTTCAACTCCTAGAATTTAAACCGAAGGAGAGGCTACAAGAAATATAAAACATTGTGTGCGAGCTTCTCTGAAATGAATATGAGATTGCACATGTGCAGAAAAGAGTTAACAGAGCAGGCCTAAGAATGCTATCTTTAGAAATGCCTGCTTGCAAGGTTAGCCCCTGAATGGCACCTAAGCCGCTGGATTTTGGAAGGGTTCCTACCATTCACTGATGAACTTCTCTAATGGACAATATTTCACATGTGTCGTCACAACTTGCTCCTGGAGGAATTAAGTGCACCCTGTGTGGTTCCACTGGGAAAGGACCCTCGGAAGCTTACTTCTAGTTTCCTACACATTTTACCTGTGCACCTTTCCCCTTTGCTGATTTTTCTTTGTATCTTTTTTTTTTTTTTTTTTTTTTTTAAGACAGAGTCTCGCTCTGTGCCCAGGCTGGAGTGCAGTGACGTGATCTCGGCTCACTGCAAGCTCCGCCTCCTGGGTTCACGCCATTCGCCTGCCTCAGCCTCCCAAGTAGCTGGGACTACAGGTGCCCGCCACCAGGCCTGGCTAATGTTTTGTATTTTTAGTACAGATGGGGTTTCACCGTGTTAGCCAGAATGGTCCCGATCTCCTGACCTCATGATCTGCCCACCTTGGCCTCCCAAAGTGGTGGGATTCCAGGCATGAGCCACCGTGCCCAGCTGTATCCTTTCTTATAATAAACCATAGTTGTGTGTATGACTACATGATGAGTCCTGTGGATCCTCCTGCACATCACCATACCTGTGGATGGATCTAGGGGACCCCAACACAGTATGAATTGCTGCCTTTTTCCTTTTTCTTTTTTAAGAGATAGTGCCTAGCCATGTTACCCAGGCTGGTCTCTAACTCCTGGCCTGAAGCAATCCGCCTGCCTCAGCCTCCCAAGTAGCTCAGATTATAGGCCTGAGTCACACCTGGCTCTCTACTATTTTAGAAGGAAAAAAATTCAGCTCTCCCTCTCCCTCTCCCTCCTCCCTCTCCGTCTCCCTCTTTGCACGGTCTCCCTCTGATGCCCAGCCGAGGCTGGACTGTACTGCCGCCATCTCGACTCACTGCAACCTCCCTGCCTGATTCTCCTGCCTCAGCCTGCCGAGTGCCTGGGATTGCAGGCGCGCGCCGCCACGCCTGACTGGTTTTCGTATTTTTTGGTGGAGACGGGGTTTCCCCGTGTTGGCCGGGCTGGTCTCCAGCTCCTGACCGCGAGTGATCTGCCAGCCTCGGCCTCCCGAGGTGCCGGGACTGCAGACAGAGTGTCGCTCATTCAGTGCTCAATGTTGCCCAGGCTGGAGCGCAGTGGCGTGATCTCGGCTCGCTACAACCTCCACCTCCCAGCCGCCTGCCTTGGCTTCCCAAAGTGCCGAGATTGCAGCCTCTGCCCGGCCGCCACCCCATCTAGGAAGTGAGGAGCGTCTCTGCCTGGCCACCCATCGTCTGGGATGTGAGGAGACCCTCTGCCCGGCTGCCCAGTCTGGGAAGTGTGGAGCGCCTCTTCCCGGCCGTCATCCCGTCTAGGAAGTGAGGAGCGTCTCTGCCCGGCCGCCCATCATCTGGGATGTGGGGAGCGCCTCTGCCCCGCCGCCCCGTCTGAGATGTGAAGAGTGCCTCTGCCCGGCCGCGACCCCGTCTGGGAACTGAGGAGTGTCTCTGCCCCGCCGCCACCCCGTCTGGGAGGTGAGGAGCGTCTCTGACCGGCTGCCCCGTCTGAGAAGTGAGGAGCCCCTCCGCCCGGCAGCCACCCCGTCTGGGAAGTGAGGAGCCCCTCTGCCCAGCCGCCACCCCGTCTGGGAGGTATACCCAACAGCTCATTGAGAACGGGCCACGATGACGATGGCAGTTTGGTCGAACAGAAAAGGGGGAAATGTGGGGAAAAGAAAGAGAGATCAGATTGTTGCTGTGTCTGTGTAGAAAGAAGTAGACATAGGAGACTCCATTTTGTTCTGTACTAAGAAAAATTCTTCTGCCTTGGGATGTTGTTAATCTATAACCTTACCCCCAACCCCGTGCTCTCTGAAACATGTGCTGTGTCCACTAAGGGTTAAATGGATTAAGGGTGGTGCAAGATGTGCTTTGTTAAACAGATGCTTGAAGGCAGCATGCTTGTTAAGAGTCATCACCACTCCCTAATCTCAAGTACCCAGGGACACAAACACTGCGGAAGGCAGCAGGGCCCACTGCCTAGGAAAACCAGAGACCTTTGTTCACATGTTTATCTGCTGACCTTCCCTCCACTATTGTCCTATGACCTTGCCAAATCCCCCTCTCCGAGAAACACCCAAGAATGATCAATAAATACTAAAAAAATTAAAAAAAAAAAAATTCGAAAAAAAAATTCAGCTAATCCATGCTTGCCATTTCAGTTCATAAAGTTCACCTCTTACCCACTTACAGAGGATATATCACATCACAATTATGACCCAACACCAGAAGAGTTGAAAAAATGAGAAAAAAATTTCATATTCTTTTTTACCTGAATCCTTTAAAAAAATTTCATATTCTTATAGGTAATAACAGTCCTTATTCTGAAACCGCATGTTATAACTAAAAGGGCACAGTGCAGACTCAAGCAATCTTTATCACTTAATGTCATTTTTACAGTTATCAACGTCATCCTCAGAAGGAATCTTTGAGGGCTGGGCACAGTGGCTCATGCCTGTAATCCCAGCACTTTGGGAGGCTGAGGAGGGTGGATCCTGAGGTCACAAGATTGAGACCATCCTGGCTAACATGGTGAAACACCGTTGGAACAGAAATTAAAAGAAATTAAAGAATGTGTAAGCAAAAACTCAGTTGTATGTAAGAAAACCCAATTCCCCCTGAGGAAGAGAAAGAGCTGGAGTCCTTTAAAATTAACTGCCTGTTTTTCCCTCTGTGGCTAGTGAGCCTTATCTCTCCACTTCCCAGGCATTGTGAAGACCCTGTTTCTCTAGCTGTGCAGCTGCAAGGTCACTAGACAGATAATCTCAAGTCGTAAAACATGTTGTTCCTTAAAAAGTAAGAAATGATGTAATGCATGTCTTAACTGAATAACTGTCTTTGTTTCTTGCTTCTGTAATACGCTTCCCCCTGCACAGATCTACCCCCACCCCACGAAATGCTTAAAAGGTAGCTTGACTTTTTGTTCAAGGCTCAGTCCTTTGGATGTTAATCTGACTGGGTTGATGCACCTAAACAATTAAATAATTCCTCCTCAACCCCTCCGGTCTCTCTGATTCCTTAATTATCCCGCTGCAGTGTCTCTACTAAAAATGCAAAAAATTAGCCAGGCATGGTGGCACGTGCTGTAGTCCTAGCTACTTGGGAGGCTGAGGCAGGGGAATAGTTTGAACCCAGGAGGCGGAGGTTGCAGTGAGCCGAGATCATGCCACTGCACTCCAGCCTGGGCAACAGAGTGAGACTCCGTCTCAAAAAAAAAAAAAAAAAAAAAAGAAGGAATCTTTGAGAAACAACTCACTTCACAGTAGCTCTTGGAAAACACAGTCTTTGTCTTAGAAACATAGATGTTCCTTTTTCAAGTGGTACCGCTAAGTAAGTACATATGGTTTTGCTCTAAGAGGGAGTACTGTCAATCTTGCTAACTGAATTTCACATTATGCAAACAGTGGATTCCAGCTTGTTAAACCATTAATCACAAACTTTGTTTCAATAGGGAAGGAAGAGAATCAGTATAAAAGGGGAAACAGGCTGGGTGCAGTGGCTCATGCCTGTAATCCTAATACTTCGTGAGGCTAAGGGGAGAGAATTGCTTGAGGCCAGAAGTACAAAACCAGCCTGGTCAACAAAGTGAGTCCCCATCTCTACAAAAGAAAACAACATGCGTGTAGTCCCAGCTACTCAGGAGCTGAGGAAGAGGATCAATCGTTTAGGCCCAGGAGTTTGGGACTGCCATTATCATCCCACCGTATTCCAGCCTAGGCAACAGAGTGAGAGCCTGTCAGAGGGGGGAGGGGAGGGGAAGGGAGGGGGACTAGAATAAAATAGAGGAACCAAGAACATTTGCTTAAATTATTGGTAACTTGGCTGTAAGCACTGCAAATACATGGAAATAATATGGTCCTAACAACACAATTGTTTTTGTAGGTTAATATATGTTTGATGAAATGACATAATATGTAACTTAAAATCTAAACAAACCAAATGTTGTATATTTATTAAACTGCACTTTTAAAAATAGCTAATACACAGAAACTCAAAAGACACACACAAATTTAAAAGACAAAGAAAGGCTGAGCAACAAAATAAGCAGTGAGGGTAACAATATAATTCAGACTAAAACAAATATCCATGAGTCTATACTACACTAACTATAAATAGAACAGATGGGAAAGCTCTACCTTACAGCAGAATTACAATTAATGAAAGTAGAAGGTTGGGGGCGGTGGCTCACACCTATAATCCCAGCAGTCTGGGAGGCCAAGGTGGGTAAATTACGAGGTGAGGAGTTTGAGACAAGCCTGGCCAACATGGTGAAACCCCATCTCTACTAAAAATACAAAAATTAGCCCAGTGTGGTGGCGCACGCCTGTAATCCCAGCTACTCAGGAGGCCGAGGCAGGAGAATCACTTGAACCTGGGAGGCAGAGGTTGCAGTGAGCCGAGATTGCACCATTGCACTCCAGCCTGGGCGACAGTGTGAGACACCATCTCAAAAAAAAAAAAGAAAAGAAAAAGAAAGTAGAAAGAATTGAGCAGACAGAAACCACCATAGTAGCAAACTCCACAATGCTAACCTTCATATAACATCATGGATGTTAAAAATAATAAACGACCTCTCCCTCTCCCTCCTCTCCCTCCTCTCCCTCTCCCTCTCCCCACGGTCTTCCTCTCCCTCTCTTTCCACCGTCTCCCTCTGATGCTGAGCCGAAGCTGGACTGTACTGCTGCCATCTCGGCTCACTGCAACCTCCCTGCCTGATTCTCCTGCCTCAGCCTGCCGAGTGCCTGGGATTGCAGGCGCGCGCCGCCACGCCTGACTGGTTTTCGTATTTTTCTGGTGGAGACGGGGTTTCGCTGTGTTGGCCGGGCTGGTCTCCAGCTCCTAACCACGAGTGATCCGCCAGCCTCGGCCTCCCAAGGTGCCGGGATTGCAGACGGAGTCTCGTTCACTCAGTGCTCAATGGTGCCCAGGCTGGAGTGCAGTGGTGTGATCTCGGCTCGCTACAACCTCCACCTCCCAGCCGCCTGCCTTGGCTTCCCAAAGTGCCGAGATTGCAGCCTCTGCCCGGCCGCCACCCCATCTGGGAAGTGAGGAGCGTCTCTGCCTGGCAGCCCATCGTCTGGGATGTGAGGAGCCCCTCTGCCTGGCTGCCCAGTCTGGAAAGTGAGGAGCGTCTCTGCCCGGCCGCCCATCGTCTGAGATGTGGGGAGCGCCTCTGCCCCGCCGCCCCGTCTGGGATGTGAGGAGCGCCTCTGCCCGGCCGCGACCCCGTCTGGGAGGTGAGGAGCGTCTCTGCCCGGCCGCCCCGTCTGAGAAATGAGGAGACCCTCTGCCTGGCAACCGCCCCGTCTGAGAAGTGAGGAGCCCCTCCGCCCGGCAGTTGCCCCGTCTGAGAAGGGAGGAGCGTCTCCGACGGGCAGCCACCCCATCCGGGAGGGAGGTGGGGGTCAGCCCCCGCCAGGCCAGCTGCCCCGTCCAGGAGGGAGGTGGGGGGTCAGCCCCCGCCAGGCCAGCCGCCCCGTCCAGGAGGGAGGAGGGGGTCAGGCCCCGCCCGGCCAGCCACCCTATCCGGGAGGGAGGTGGGGGGGTCAGCCCCCCGCCCGGCCAGCTGCCCCGTCCGGGAGGTGAGGGGCGCCTCTGCCCGGCCGCCCCTACTGGGAAGTGAGGAGCCCCTCTGCCCGGCCACCACCCCGTCTGGGAGCTGTACCCAACAGCTCATTGAGAACGGGCCATGATGACAATGGCGCTTTTGTGGAATAGAAAGGGGGGAAAGGTGGGGAAAAGATTGAGAAATCGGATGGTTGCCGTGTCTGTGTAGAAGGAAGTAGACATGGGAGACTTTTCATTTTGTTCTGTACTAAGAAAAGTTCTTCTGCCTTGGGATCCTGTTGATCTGTGACCTTACCCCCAACCCTGTGCTCTCTGAAACATGTGCTGTGTCCACTCAGGGTTAAATGGATTAAGGGTGGTGCAAGATGTTTTTGTTAAACAGATGCTTGAAGGCAGCATGCTCATTAAGAGTCATCACCACTCCCTAATCTCAAGTACCCAGGGACACAAACACTGCGGAAGGCCGCAGGGTCCTCTGCCTAGGAAAACCAGAGACCTTTGTTCACTTGTTTATCTGCTGACCTTCCCTCCACTATTGTCCTATGACCCTGCCAAATCCCCCTCTGCGAGAAACACCAGAATGATCAATAAAAAATAATAATAATAATAATAAACGAAAAAAGTCACAATGTATAATGTAGTCTCAATGTAGTTCTAGCCAAAATAAATTTATTAACTACAAAGAACATAATTCTGCAGTGGATAAGCTAAAAGACACTACCTTAACTAAGTGACCAAAATTAATATCACCAGTAACAAGCATTAATTGACATCATGTACCTCTTGTTGATACATGGACAAGGATACACCACCATTTCTACAGTATACTTGTCAAACTGCATAACTTGAATTTAATTATGAGAAAACAAGAGTAAACATCAGACAAAGCCAAATCGAGGATATTCTATTTTAAAACTGACCAATATTCTTTAAAATTATCAACCCTGGGTAAAACAGCTCATGCCTGTAATTCCAGTACTTTGGGAGGCTGAGGTGGACAGATCATTCAAGGTCAGGAGTTTGAGCCCAGCCTGGCCAACATCGTGAATCCCTGTCTCTACCAAAAAATACAAAAACTAGCCAAGTGTGGTGGTGCACACCTGTAGCCCCAGCCACTCAGGAGGACGAGGCAGGAGAATCGCTTGAACCTGGGAGGCGGAGGTTACAGTGAGCCGAGATCATGCCACTGCACTCCAACCTGGGAGACAGTGAGACCCTGTCTCAAAAAAAAAAAAAAAAAAAAAGACCAGCCTAGGCAACACAGTGAGACCCCATCTGCCCCATCTGTATAAAAAAAATAAGAAAATTAGCCAGGCCATAGTTTAAGAGTAGCCTGGGTAACATAGCAATACCCCATCTCTATGAAAATTTAAAAATTAGGCAGGTGTGGTGGCATGTACCTGAGTCCCAGCTACTTAAGAGGCTGAGATGGAAGGATCACTTCAGGCTGAGAGGTCAAAGCTGCAGTGAGCTGTGTTTGCACCACTGCAGTCCAGCTTGAGTGACAGCAGGAGACTTTTCTGTATTCAGCAGGAAATCCTGCTGTATTTCCTGCTTCCCTGTTGAAGCTGTGGATAAAATCCTGTTCTTAGAAGAGCAAGGAGGCATAACAATTCAATGTAACGTGCAATCCTGGACTGAATCCTGGGCCAAAAAAAGAATACTACCGTACAGTTGAAGAATTTGAATAAGGTTTGTAGATTAGTTCACAGAACTTTTTTTTTTTTTGAGTCTTGCTCTGTCACCAGGCTGGAGTGCAGTGGCACGTGATCTCAGCTCACTGCAACCTCCACCTGCAGGGTTCGATTCCCCTGTCTCAGCCTCCCGAGTAGCTGGGACTACAGGCGCGCACCACCACACCTGGCTAATTTTTTTTTTGTATTTTAGTAGAGACAGGGTTTCATCATGTTGGCCAGGATGGTCTTGATCTCCTGACCTCGTGATCCGCCCGTCTCAGCCTCCCAAAGTGCTGGGATTACAGGCATGAGCCACCGTAACTGGATTTTTTTTTTTTGAAATGCAGTCTCGCTTTGTCGCCCAGGCTGAAGCGCAATGGCGCTCACTGCAACCTCTGCCTCCCAAGGTTCAAGTGATTCTCCTGCTTCAGCTTCCCAAGTAGCTGGGATGCCCGCTGCCACCATGCCCAGCTAATTCCTGGGGTTTTTGTTTGTTTGAGATGGAGTCTCGCTCTGTTGTGAGGCTGGAGCGCGGTGGCGCGATCTTGGCTCACTGCAACCTCTGCCTCCCGGGTTCAAGCGATTCTCCTGCCTCAGCCTCCCGAGTGGCTGGGATTACAGGCATGTGCCACCATGCCAGGCTAATTTTTGTATTTTTAGTAGAGATGGGGTTTCACCATGTTGGCCAGGCTGGTCTCAATCTCCCGACCTTGGGATCCGCCCACCTCGGCCTCCCAAAGTGCTAGGATCACAGGCGTGAGCCACCGCGCCCGACTAATTTCTGTATTTTTAGTAGAGACGAGGTTTCACCATGTTGGCCAGGCTGGTCTCCAACTCCTGACCTCAAGTGATCCGCCTGCCTTGGCCTCCCAAAGTGCTAGGATTATAGGTGTGAGCCACTGTGCCCATCCAACAGTCCTGTTTCAATGTTAATTTCCTGATTTTGATAACTGATATTATTGAGATGTAAGATGTTAATATTAATTGAGAAAGCTGGAGTATAAATTCTCTATCCTATTTTTAGAACTTTTTGTTTAAGTATGACACTATTTCAAAATGAAAACTTAAAAATAAGAACATCTAAAAAAAAAAGATACATAAAAGCCTAATAAAAAGTCAGTTTTTCTCATCTTCCTACTACCCAGTTATCCTTCCCAGAGGCATCTACTGTTCCAGTCATAAAAACCACATATTTGAAAGTAATTTTGAACCATTACTTAAAACTTTTAAAGATATATTAAACTCAATGAATTTTTTAAAATTACAAATGCCCCAAAGTGAATTTATTAAAATTTGTGCTGACCAATTGTTTTCTATCTAGTATAATGTCAAAGATGCCTCTATGCTATTTGGCTTTAATTGTTTAAACAAAGTTTTGCTTTTTTTTTTTTTTTGTAACATGGCAAGGTTTCATCATGGGGTTTAAACAAAATTTCAAAATTTCAAGCAACTACTTTACATACATAAACCAATGTTTTGTATAGTTAAATACATTCATAAGTATTAAGTGTTTTGTGGTGTCAAATCTGTTTCCTTCCTTTCCAGGATACTAATTTCATTTGGCCTCCAATTTAGGAAGGACTTGTTTCCAACATTAAGTTCAGAATTGGTTGTTTGGAATTCAAGTTCATTTTCCCATAGAAATCATGTAATAAATGATAGTTAGATTCCCTGATTAGCTTAGAAAGGAACCAATTTAACCTATAATGTATATAAGAGTTATTCCAATATAACACATATAAATCCAAATCAAGCTCTCAATGATAAAAATGTTGCTATAGATAAAATACCTCCAGTGTCCCAACTTGAGAAAACAGTCACATATCTTCTTTCAGATGAGAGGCAGAGGTCATGCTGGAAAATCATTACATAACTCTACACTGTAGTCAATGTTGAAGACTGAAGAGTACAGGCCGAATTAAGGAGAGAGGGTTCATATGTGACTGTGTATATATATGGTACCTACAGGACTGTTTACATATGTTCATATACTCCTTCTCCCATATACTTCCTCACTCCATCACTATTAGGCTTGGACATGTGACTCGCTTCAGGCAATGGAATCTAAGTAGAAATGTAAGCTGTATCAAAGATCACTTAGGTGAACTGGCTTGGTATCTTGTGCACCTGCCCTCAGCCTTGGAGAAAAAAACCACTGAGATTTACGACTTGTTTGTGATAGCCAAGTCTGGTTGATTTAGAAGTTTCTCCTCATCGAACTTCACTTGTAATGTCATCTGTATGGTAACTACACACCTTATAGCTCATCAACATGTAGTAGAGTGAGGTCAGAAATGATGACAAAAGCAAGAAAGAGCACAAGTAGGCAATGCTGCAGTCTAAAGAATTTCAGGAAATGTTATCTCTTGGATGGATTTACTGAACAGCCTTCCTATTGCTCCCCACTCCTATCCCGCAATTTGGTCTTTGCATGGTAGTCAGACTAATTATTTAAAAACAGAAACCAGTTTATATATTTATGTTATACCCCTGTCTGATCATGAGGGGTTTTGTAGGCCATGGTATGGAATTTTGAGTTTCATGGTGAAAACAAAGAACTCTAGAAGTAATAAAAAATAAAAATGTAGACCATAACACAGTAGGGCCAGTTACCAGAGTCAAGTAATTTTCCTAAATCTTAGTAAACCTCAAGTGAGCTACTGTAGGCCGGGTACAGTGGCTCAAGTCTGTAATCCCAGCACCCTGAGAGGCTGATGTGGGAGGACTGCTTGAGCTCAGCAGTTCAAGACTATTCTGGGCAACACAGTGAGACCACCTCTCTCTACATAAAATTGAAAAAAAAAAAAAAAATTGGGGCTGGGCACCGTGGCTCACGCCTGTAATCCCAGCACTTTGGGAGGCCAAAGTAGGCAGATCACGAGGTCAGGAGATCAAGACCATCCTGGCTAACACAGTGAAATCCCGTCTCTACTAAAAAATACAAAAAAATTAGCCAGGCATGGTGGCGGGCGCCTGTAGTCCCAGCGACTCGGGAGGCTGAGGCAGGAGAATGGCGTGAACCCAGGAGGCAGAGCTTGCAGTGAGCTGAGATTGCGCCACTGCACTCCAGCCTGGGCGACAGAGAGAGACCCCGTCTCAAAAAAACAAAAAAAATTAGCCAGACATGGTGACATGTGCCTGTAGTCCCAGCTACTCAGGAGGCTGAGGTGGGAGGACTGCTTGAGCCTGGGAGGTTGAGGCTGCAGTAAGCCGTGATTGCGCCACTGCACTCCAGCCTGGATGACAGAGCAAGACCCTGTCTCAAAACCAAACAAACAAAAAACCTACGTTACTGTATATACAAGAATAAAGAAAAGGGAAAATATGTACATAAAATCATATCATAAGTACAAGTTGGAATGGAAAAAATTGGTACTAAATTTTGAAATATCTTGATTGACATCTAAAAAATGCAGAGTAAGATTGTTCAAAGCAATCAAATTTAAAAATTCAGATACAGATACTATACATATATGAAAATTAGCAAAAAGTTAAAAAATTTTAAACAGGCAAATATGACATACACATAAAAAAACCCATAAAATTAGCATTCAGACTTACCGTAACAGGAGTTCTTTGGGAAGTTTTTTATTGATTACAGCTTCATCACTATTTGAGAACATCTGCAAAAACAAAATCATAGTGTCAAGTGTTACTTAACATTTTATTACAGAATGTTCAACTCAATAGTTTAGAGGCAATTCTCTCAGGAAAGAGGTAAAAAAATATAGTCGGCATCATAAACCAAAGTCATAATTTTGGAAACTCTTTAAGATGAAAAAGATCTTCGAGGCATTTAATTCATTCCCTGTCTCCAAAGAAAAACAAGAGCAGTCAGAAGGATACATTACGTGCCAGATACTGTTTCAGATGTTTTCACATATTAATGGTTTTAATCTTCATACCATCCCTATTATCTTCACTTTATAGATAGGAAGCTTGGTTACCAAAGGTCTACTGCTCAGAGTCCGGGCGCAGCAACTCACACTTGTAATTCCAGCACTTTCAGAGGCTGAGGCAAGCGGATCGCTTGAGCTCAGGAGTTCAAGACCAGCCCAGGCAACGTGGCGAAAACTCTTTTTTTTTTTTTTTTTTGAGACAGAGTCTTGCTCTGCTGCCCAGTCTGGAGTACAGTGGCATGATCTCAGCTCACTGCAACCTCCACTTCCCAGGTTCAAGCGATTCTCCTGCTTCAGTCTCCTGGGTAGCTGAGGTTACAGGTGCATGCCACCATGCCCGGCTAATTTTTGTTTGTTTGTTTTTGAGACAGAGTCTCACTCTGTCGCCCAGGCTGGAGTGCAGTGGTGCGATCTCGGCTCACCACAACTTCTGCCACCTAGGTTCAAGCAATTCTCCTGCTTCAGCCTCCCAAGTAGCTGGGATTACAGGTCCCTGCCACGGTGCCCAGCTAATTTTTGTATTTTTAGTAGAGGTGGAGTTTCACCAACTTGGTCAGGCTGGTCTTGAACTCCTGACCTCGTGATCCACCCGCCTTGGCCTCCCAAAGTGCTGGGATTGCAGGCATGAGCCACCATACCTGGCCAACATGGCGGAACTCTGTCGCTACCAAAAAACACAAAAAATGAACCAGGCGTGGTGGTGTGCGTCTGTGGTCCTAGCTACGTGGGAGGCTGAGGTGGGAGGACTGCCTCAGTCAGGGAAGTGGAGGTTGCAGTGAGCTGAGATCACACCACTGCACTCCAGCCTCAGCGAGACAGTGAGAACCCCTCTCCAAAAAAAAAAAAAAAGGTTTACTGCTCAGCTCACATCACTATGGAGTGACTATTTTAATATGCCATTAAGAGAAGATGACTCCCCAAACTTGGCTCACATTTACTTGCTCAAGGAGATGTTCGGAAATCTGGAATAGAAAATATTCACTTTTGGCCAGGCACAGTGGCTCACACTTGTAATCCCAGCACTTTGGCAGGCTGAGGTGGGTGGATCACCTGAGGTGAGGAGTTCGAGACCAGCCTGGCCAACATGGCGAAACCCCATCTCTACTAAAAATACAAAAAAAAGTACGCAGGTGTGGTGGCACACACCTGTAGTACCAGCTACTCAGAAGACTGAGGCATGAGAATCACTTGAACCCCAGGCTGCAGAGCTTGCAGTGAGCCAAGATGGCGCCCCTACACCCCAGCCTGGGTGACACAGCAATACTCTATCTCAATAAAAATAAAAATTAAAAAAGGAAAATATTCTCTTTCATGTTTATATATTGTGCAGAAAACCAACAGTGCTTCATAACTGCCACCATAGTGGCATCAAGTGCATCACTTGATGCACTCAAGTGATCATTTAACAAATTAATCAAATTACTCACAACGGATACTTTTAACGAGAGCCACCATTTTTGCCACAAAGGAGATCATGACTGTAAGCTTATCTAGCAAGCTATGTAAAAAACCAAATACCATACACAATCAAAAGCCCAGTAAAAATGGCACATACACATGTGACCGAAGCTGAGAGAAATACGTTCCGTCGCTGCTATTAAGTATTGCAGAAATTCCTCTTAAGGTCATGCAATAAACATTACTGAATACCCAATCAGGCACTTTTCTAGACAATGGGATAAAAAAAGACACGATCTCTATCCTTAAGGAGCTCTTGCACTACAATGAAGAAAACAGAAGAAAGCAAATAATGTACTAATTACTAGAGACAGATGACAAGAGATGTAAGAGAGAACAAAGAATGGCACAACTAATTCTACCCGGAGTTGTATCTAAATTGAGCTTAAAAGAAGGCCAAAAATTAGCTGGGAAAAAAAGATAACAATATGTACAAAATAATGGAGTCATACATGAAGATCCTGGTATCTCATGGAGATTCAAAGTAGAGGTAATGAAGAGAAAGCAGAAATGGTAGGGAAGTCACAGATAAAATGCACTGCCCCTCAATTTCATTTAAAGAATAATTTTAATAATTTTTTTTTTGAGAGAGTTTTGCTCTATTGCCCAAGCTGGAGTGCAATAGCACAATCTCAGATCACTGCAACCTCCACCTCCCGGGTTCAAGCGATTCTCCTGCCTCAGCCTCCTGAGTAGCTGGGATTATGGGCGCCTGCCACCACACTTGCCTGATTTTTATATTTTTAGTAGAGACAGGGTTTCACCATGTTGGCCAGGCTGGTCTCAAACTCCTGAGCTCAACGGATCCTCCCAACTCAGTGTCCCAAAGTGCTAAGATTACAGGTGTGAGCTACCACACCTGGCCTAAATATTTTCTGATTACAATAACCTACGTTCCAGATAAATGGAAAGCCCTGTGAGGGCAGGGAGCATGCCTGTTATGTTTGGCATAATTTTAGGGTTGTGCACAGAGCCTGCTACATGGCAGGAAATCAATAAATCTACCTCTGGGCAACATGGTGAAATCCTGTCTCTACAAAAAACACAAAAATTAACCAGGCATTGGCTGGGAGTGGTAGCTCATGCCTGTAAGCCCAGCACTTTGGGAGGCCAAGGTGGGAGGATGGCTTGAGCTCAGGAGTTCAAGACCAGCCTGGGCAATATAGTGAGATCTCATCTTGAAAAAAGATGTAAAAAGATTTATAAATAATAAATCAGATGTGATGGTGTACACCTGTAGTCCCAGCTATTTGGTGGGGGGGTGCTGGGGTGGGAGGATCACTTGTGCCCAGGAAGTCAAGGATGCAGTGGAGCATGTTCACACCACTGCACTCCAGACTGGGCGACAGAGTGAGATCCTGTCTCAAAAAAAAAAGATAATCATCATAATGAATGGTTTATTAAATGGATGGTGGGGCTACACCATGAAGGAAACCTGTATACAGTTTAGAAATGCGAAACACCACCACAGGGAAGAGAATCCTAAAGACACCGAACTCTGGACTAGTAGGAAGGAAATAAAGTTAGGAATCCATTAAAATTATGGTCCAAGTAAAAGATGACGCAGTTGTCTGTAAGATTAACAGGGACAGTGAAATGAAAAGAAACTGGAACAAAGATTGTTAAAAAAGCAACAATACTTAGTAACAAAAAGTTGAATCATTTAGCAGGTTTCAGTGCAACAAACAGACTACTAGAAATGCTAATGACTGACAATTACTTTTTTTTTTATTATACTTTAAGTTCTAGGGTACATGTGCACAACATGCAGGTTTATTACATATGTATACATGTGCCATGTTGGTGTGCTGCACCCGTTAACTCGTCATTTACATTAGGTATATCTCCTAATGCTATCTCTCCCCCCTCCCCCCACCCCACAACAGGTCCCGGTGTGTGATGTTCCCCACCCTGTGTCCAAGTGTTCTCATTGTTCAATTCCCATCTATGAGTGAGAACATGTGGTGTTTGGTTTTCTGTCCTTGCAAGTTTGCTCGGAATGATGGTTTCCAGCTTCATCCATGTCCCTACAAAGGACATGAACTCATCCTTTTTTATGGCTGCATAGTATTCCATGGTGTGTATGTGCCACATTTTCTTAATCCAGTCTGTCATTGATGGACGTTTGGGTTGGTTCCAAGTCCTTGCTATTGTGAATAGTGCTGCAATAAACATACATGTGCATGTGTCTTTATAGCAGCATGATTTATAATCCTTTGGGTATATACCCAGTAATGGGATCGCTGGGTCAAATGGTTATTTCTAGTTGTAGATCCTTGAGGAATCGCCACACTGTCTTCCACAATGGTTGAACTAGTTTACAGTCCCACCAACAGTGTAAAAGTGTTTCTATTTCTCCACACTCTCCAGCACCTGTTGTTTCCCGACTTTTTAATGATCGCCATTCTAACTGGTGTGAGATGGTATCTCATTATGGTTTTGATTTGCATTTCTCTGATGGCCAGTGATGATGAGCATTTTTTCATGTGTCTGTTGGCTGCATAAATGTCTTCTTTTGAGAAGTGTCTGTTCATATCCTTTGCCCACTTTTTGATGGGGTTGTTTGATTTTTTCTTGTAAATTTGTTTAAGTTCTTTGTAGATTCTGGATATTAGTCCTTTGTCAGATGGGAAGATTGTAAAAATTTTCTCCCATTCTGTAGGTTGCCTGTTTACTCTGATGGCAGTTTCTTTTGCTGTGCAGAAGCTCTTTAGTTTAATTAGATGCCATTGGTCAATTTTGGCTTTTGTTGCCATTGCTTTTGGTGTTTTAGTCATGGAGTCCTTGCCCACCCCTATGTTCTGAATGGTATTGCTTAGGTTTTCTTCTAGAGTTTTTTATGGTTTTAGGTCTAACATTTAAGTCTTTAATCCATCTTGAATTAATTTTTGTATAAGGTGTAAGGAAGGGATCCAGTTTCAGCTTTCTACATATGGCAAGCCAGTTTTCCAAGCCCCATCTATTAAATAGGGAATCCTTTCTCCATTTCTTGATTTTGTCAGGTTTGACAATTACATTTTTTAGAAGAAAAAAAAAATCCAATCCCTCCTCAGAAGGCAGTCTTTCAAAACTAAACCATTACATTTCTCTCTAAACAAGGTTGGGTTCGTCTTTTTTTTTTTTTGGTAGAGAGAGAGTCTCGCAGGGCACATGTTCTCAGGATCTCCTGAGGGCTGTGTCACACACATACAAAAGATGATGTCTCGGCTGAGCGCGGTGGCTCACGCCTGTAATCCCAGCACTTTGGGAGTCCAAGGTGGGTG
Organism: Homo sapiens; assembly: GCF_000001405.40. NCBI lineage: Eukaryota > Metazoa > Chordata > Mammalia > Primates > Hominidae > Homo > Homo sapiens. The sequence goes on from NC_000017.11 coordinate 39,348,239, forward strand.
GATCACGAGGTCAAGAGATGGAGACCATCCTGGCCAACATGGTGAAACCCAGTCTCTACTAAAAATACAAAAATTAGCTGGGCATGGTGACGCACACCTGTAGTTCCAGCTACTTGGGAGGCTGAGGCAGGAGAATCCCTTGAACCTGGGAGCGGAGGTTGCAGTGAGCCGAGATCATGCTACTGCAGTCCAGCCTGGCGACAGAACGAGACTCCGTCTCAAAAAAAAGAAAAAAAAAAGATGGAGTCTCAGTATGTTGACCAGGCTGGTCTGAAACTCCTGGCCTCAAGCAATCTTCCTGCCTCAGCCTTCCAAAGTGTTGGGATTACATTTGTGAGCCACTGTGCCCAGTCAGGTTCTTCTAATGTTCTTAAATAACATGGTTTCAAAGATACTATGTCACTATGGTCATCATTCTCCAGATGCACTCATAGGCAGTAATTCACAAAGTTGTAATGTGTTTACATGTTCTTACTTTTGAGACAAGGTCTCACTCTGTTGCCCAGGTTGGAGTACAGTGGTCCTATCATAGACCACTGCAGCCTTGACCTCCGGACTCAATGCTCCCCCTTCGGCCTCCTGAGTAGCTAGGACTACAGAAACGTGTTACCACACCTGACTAATTTTTGTATCTATTGTAGAGATGGGGTCTCACTATGTTGCCCAATCTAGTCTTGAATGCCTGAGCTCAACAGATCCTCCTGCCTCAGCCTCTCAAATTGCTGGGATTAGGCCGGGCACAGCAGTTCATGCCTGTAATCCCAGCACTTTGGGAGGCTGAGGCGGGCAGATCACTTGAGGTCATGAGTTTGAAACCATCCTGGCCAACATGATGAAACCCCGTCTCTACTAAAAATACACAAATTAGCCAGGCATGGTGGCAGGCACCTGTAATCCCAGCTACTTGGGAGGCTGAAGCAGGAGAATCACTTGAACCCGGGAGACAGAGGTTGCAGTGAGCTGAGATCATGCCACTGCACTCCAGCCTGGGGAACAGAGCGGGACTCCGTCTCAAAATAAATAAGCAAATAAATAAAAATCGAGCCACCATACTCCAGCCTGGGCAACAGAGCAAGATTCCATCTCAAAAAAAAAAAAAAAAAAAAAAAAAAAAGGCTGGGATTACAGGTATTAAGTCACCATGCCTGGTCAGAATTTTCCATAGTGGTGTCATGTCAGCACTCAAAATCTTTCAGATTTTGGGCTGAGCAAGGTGACTCATGCCTATAATCCCGGCACCTTGGAAGGTTGAGGCAGGAGGATAGCTTGAGCCCAAGAGGTCAAGGATGCAGCAAGCAGTGTTTACACCACTGTACTCCAGCCTGGTAAAACAGTGAGACCCCACCTCTGGAAAAAAAAAATAAGAAAATTCCACACCTGACCTCTTGTGATAAGTCACAGTCAAGATGCAGTCAAGGCCAGGCGTAGTGGCTCACGCCTGTAATCCCAGCACTTTGGGAGGCTGAGGCAGGCAGATCACGAGGTCAGGAGATCGAGACCATCCTAGCTAACACGGTGAAACCCCATCTCTACTAAAAATACAAAAAATTAGCCGGGCATGGTGGCTAGCGCTTGTAGTCCCAGCTACTCAGGAGGCTGAGGCAGGAGAATGGCATGAACCCGGGAGGCGGAGCTTGCAGTGAGCAGAGATCGCGCCACTGCACTCCAGCCTGGGCTAAAGAGCGAGACTCCGTCTCAAAAAAAAAAAAAAAAGATGCAGTCAAAACTTTGTTTCATGCCCAAAAAATTATTTAAAATATTCTATCAAACACTCAATCTACTAGAACTATGTCCAACCCAAATCCACAAAAAGTAAAACTTAATCATTTTAATTTTAGAAAACAAAGTATTAAATGCCACATCTCACCTAATAAGGCACTATGTTCACTTCAATATACATAATAATGGAAAATAACAAAAAAACACATTATATGTTGTTCACATGACTTCTACAATTTCACATATAAAAACAAAGAAGCACCAGGCACAGTAGCTCATGCCTGTAACTTTGGGAGGCCAAGGCGGGCTGATCACCTGAGGCTGGGAGATCGAGACCAGCTGACCAACATGGAGAAACCCCATCTCTACTAAAAATACAAAATTAGCCAGGCATGGTGTTGCATGCCTATAATCCCAGCTACCTGGGAGGCAGAGGCAGAAGAATCGCTTGAACCTGGAAGGCAGAGGTTGCAGTGAGCTGAGATTGTGCCATGGCACTCCAGCCTGGGCAACAGAGCTAGACTCCTTCTCGAAAACAAAAACAAAAACAAAAAAAGAAGCAAAAAAAAAAAAAAAAACATAGCTAATTTCCTCCCTTGCTTTGGTCTATATAAACTGAGAATGCTGCTGCCTCTGTAGGAGCATTAAAGTGAAGGGAAAAAGAAACAGCACCCTGGAACCATTTGGGAAATGCCATTATGTGTAAGACATCTGTCCAGATTTATATTTCCCTCCCCTTTCTTCTGCACATAAGTCTCCTAACTCCAGGTTTGTAAGAAAGAACCAGATTAGTGGTTAAGAACGGATGGTCCCCTGAGCAGGAGTATCAGCATCAACCCGGAACTTACAAGAATTGAAAATTCATAGGATTTTCCCTAGACCTGTAGAATCAAAGACTGGGGGTAGGTGGGCAGGAGAGAAAATGGTGGGGCAATCTCTATTTTAACAAGACCTCTATGTGATACTGATGTACCCTAAAGTTTAAGAACCAATAGGTCAGATGAAGTAGATTCAGGATCTCAGGAAAAAATAACACATAACCAGAATATTATCACTTGAAGTGACACAGCAATAGACATTAGAAAATAATCCTAAAGCCAAGCATAGTGGCTCACGCCTGTAATCCCAGCACTTTGGGAGGCTGAGGTGGGCGGATCACATGAGGTCAGGAGTTCGAGATCAGCCTGGCTAACATGGTGAAACCCCATCTCTACTAAAAATACAAAAAATTAGCAGGGCATGGTGGTGTGCACCTGTAATCCCAGCTACTCGGGAGGCTGAGGCAGGAGAATTGCTCGAAACCGGGAGGGGGAGGTTGCAGTGAGCTGAGATCACACCATTGCACTCCAGCTTGGGCAACAAGAGAGAAACTCTGTCTCACCAAAAAAAAAAAAAAAAAGAATCCTAAAAGTAGACACAATAACACTAGATGTTTTCTAGGAAACCCAAATGGTTCCTGCTCCTGTTCATGCTATTGTTTATAAAACAACTATTTCATAAAAGCAATAGAATATGTGTTTTAGGTATTTTACTATTTTATATTTCAGTTGAATCCAAACTCCAGGTTTCTCATTCAAAAATATAAAAGGAGTCAAAACAATTTAGATCAAGGCTATAACAAATTACAACAATCTTGTGAAGGATTTTCAATATAACAGTTGTAGAGGAAATAACTATTCAAATGTTTAACATTCTTAGGTAATTCTCTGGTTTTATATTAACACAGGAAGTATCATGATATATTTCTGTCATCTATAAACAATTACAAGGAAGTAATCAGCAGAAAAACATGGGAGCAACTAGATTCTTCTCTTCTTATTGTTTCAAAGGACAATATCACCTAAACATGCAAGCAGACACTGTGATAGCCATGACTTCTAGGGGTAGAATGTTCTTAAATATATTGGTTTTTAAAAAGCTAAGCAACTTGGTTTATATACAATAATATACTGTTGGTTTGTATAAAATTATAATTGTTTTTCTATAACGTACATAGCTGAGGAAACAACTTTGAAGGCCCTTGTACCAATGTAGAATTATATCATCTAATAGAGTTTGTGAATATTAAGCAGCTTGTGTGTGTGTGCACGCGCGTGCACGCTATTACTTTTGCCTTTTCTATCAGTTTCTAAATCTCAGTTTGACACATTTGAGGGATCTGTTTACTAACATAATACATTTATTTAAATGCTTAGTAAATAAACAGGACCCAAGAAACCACTTCAGGAGGCTCTAAAACCAGAGGTTGGGTGGAAAAGGGCCGAAAGGTTGAACAAAGAAACTAGGAAAGAGCCAGGCACAGTGGTGTGTGCCGGTAGTTCCAGCTACTTGGTAGGCTGAAGGGGAGTATCGCTTGATCCCAGGAGTTCAAGTCTGGCCTGGGCAAGATCGCGAGACCCCATGTCTGAAAAAATAAATACATTAAAAAAAATAGGAAAGAAATGGCCATGCACAGTGGCTCACAACTGTAATCCCAGCACTTTCGGAGGCTGAGGCAGGCAGATCACTTGAGCTCAGGAGTTGACCAGACTGGCCAACATGGTGAAACCCCATCTCTACTAAAAAATACAAAAATCAGCCGGGTGTGGTAGCGTGCACCTGTAGTCCCAACTACTTGGGAGGCTGAGGCATGAGAATTGCTTAAACCCTGGAGGCGGAGGTTGCAGTGAGCCGAGATCAGGCTACTGCACTCCAGCCTTGGCAACAGAGTGAAGCTCTGTCTGGGAAAAAAAAAAAAAAAGAAAAGAAGAAAAAAAAGGAAAGAAATACTTGTTCAACAGTGACCCCTATTGCTTAAATTAAATCTACTAAGTACTAAACAGGAAATTAAAAGCTCTGACCTATATTATTTAAGCTTTATAGATTATATACAGAATTCCCAATTCTTAGCTAGCACCTGGCTGTGTGGAAAGAAGACTATTTCTCTTGCAGCTAGGCAGGATTCAGTAACTAAGTTTTGACCAGTAGGTTGTAAGAAAAAGTGCCATGTACACTTTCAGGAGAGTACTTAAAGAGAGAGGTTATGTCCTTTTTCTTTACCCCTTTCTCAATTCTGCTGCTTAGAATAGGATTAGGATGCCTGGAACTCCATCTTGTATCATGAAGCTGAAGGCCACCGTTTTAAAGACAAGCAGAAAACTAGAAAAGGTCTGCAGATGATTGCAGGGATACCATGCCAATAAAAACTGTCTACATCTGGACTTTATGAGAGAAAATAAACATAAATATTTAAGCCACTTTTAATTTGGGTCTCTGACATATGCAGCTAAACTTAGTAATACATAGGCAGCTAAACCTACTAAAACATATGCAGCTAAACTTACTAAAACTTACTAAACTTACTAAGTACCTCCTTATCAGTGGTTTTCCTTTCTACGGTCCATGGTCAGCCACAGTCTGAAAACAGGTTAGTAAAAGAGACATTCACACAACTTTATTCCAGTATACTGTTATAATTGTTCTATTTTATTAGTTATTTTTGTTAATCTCTTTCTGTGCCTAATTTATAAATCATACCTTATCATAGGTATATAAGTATAGAAAAAATCATAGTATATATAGGGTTCTATACTATATGCAATTTTAGGCTTCCACCAGGGGTCTTGGAACATATTCCCCATGGATAAGGGAGACCACTACACCTTATTTATTTATTTATTTATTTATTTATTTATTTATTTATTTGAGACAGAGTCTCACTCTGTTGCCAGGCTGGAGTGCAGTGGCACAATCTTGGCTCACTGCAACCTCCACCTCCCAGGTTCAAGCGATTCTCCTGCCTCAGCCTCCCAAGTAGCTGGGATTACAGACACGCGCCACCACACCCAGCTAATTTTTGTATTTTTAGTAGAGATGGGGTTTCATCATATTGGCCAGGATGGTCTCGACCTCTTGACCTTGTCATGATCCGCCCGCCTTGGCCTCCCAAAGTGCTGGGGTTACAAGAGTGAGCCACCGCACCCAGCCTATTTTTATCTTAAAAATGTTTCGTTTTTCAAGATGAAGAGTTCTGAAGATTGCTTGTACAACACTGTGAATGTACTTAACACTACTGAACTGTGTAATGTACATTTAAAAACAGTTAAGATGGTAAATATTATGTTACATGTATTTTACCACAGAAATTTTAAAGGTACAAGTATTTTCACATTCTGGCATCTGTGAAATCAGGATTCATCTCACAATTAAAAACCAAAAGCATCTGTGTATAAAATAAAGTTGCAGTTTATAATTCATGGCATCTTTTGTTTAATGATATATAGTGAAGTCTACCAACGGGGAAAACAAATAAGATAGTATCCCTGAGGACCATTTGCTTCTCCTCAAACAAGCTCTTGCTTTTTTGTTCATGCTATTTTCTTTAGAGTACCTGTGCAATGAAATCTGCCTACTCTGTCAATACAAAGAGATTAATGTTCATCGCACTTACTACCCATTCCATGTCCTTCTCAATCTCGTTAACTGGATGTGACTGTTCCTTCTCCTATGAAACCTCAAAGCATCCCAAAGCTCAGAATACCAGTCCTACGTTGGTGTTACCAGACTATAAGCTCTGAGAGGAAAGGGACCATGTCTGTTTTGTCACCACAGTATAGTCAGCAACCCACAGCTAAACTAGTGCCTAGGAATCACTGAATCAATGAATGTTATTTATACGTTAGGAATCTGGAAGTACTCTAATCCCTCCCCTCTTTTTGACTGTAAATTCCCAGCAGCCTTTTGTGGCTTTTTCACTACGTATCTCTATAGCAGACTGTCTTGCAAAAAATGCAATAAAAATATTTAATAAATTGAATGTCACCCATTTAGCAAATAAGATATGAATGATATCAGCACAGCAATAGACAGACTGAATTATACTACAACAAATAAAATAACAATTAAAATAGTTGAAAAAACAAAAGTTTGGAAATCCAGGTTACAGCCCACTTATTTCAAGGGATGTTCACCACATAAAATTTCTTGGTTTTTTTGTTTGTTTGTTTGTTTTTGAGACAGAGTTTTGCTCTTGTTGTCCAGGCTAGAGTGCAATGGCACAATCTCAGCTCACTAGAACCTCTGCCTCCCTGGTTCAAGTGATTCTCCTGCCTCAGCCTCCCAAGTAGCTGGGATTATAGGCATGCGCCACCATGCCCAGCTAATTTTTTATTTTTAGTAGAGGCGGCATTTCACCATGTTGGTCAGGCTGGTCTCTTAACTCCTGACCTCAAGTGATCCACCTGCCTCAGCCTCCCAAAGTGCTGGGATTACAGGTGTGAGCCACCACGCCCGGCCTAAAATTTCTTGATTAAAAACACTATGGCCACGCCTGTAATCCCAGCACTTTGGGAGGCTGAGGTGGGTGGACTGTTTGAGCCCCTAAGGTTGAGAACAGCCTCCCAAAGTGCTGGGATTGCAGGCATGAGCCACGACACCTGGCCTTCTTCATATATTTTAAATAGCCCTTTATATAAATGATTTGATTATTTGATTTGCAAATACTTTCTCCCATGTCACCCAGACTGTGTTTTCTACTTCTTAATGGTGTCTTCTGACACACTACTGTTTTTAATTTTGATAAACTGCAATTTTTTTCTTGATGTATCATGCTTTTGATGTCTTATACAAGAACTCCTGGGCCGGGCGCGGTGGCTCACGCCTGTAATCCCAGCACTTTGGGAGGCCAAGGCGGGCGGATCACCTGAGGTCAGGAGTTCAAGACCAGCCTGGCCACATGGTGAAACCCCGTCTCTACTAAAAATACAAAAATTAGCTGCGCGTGGTGGCAGGTGCCTGTAATTCCAGCTACTTGGGAGGCTGAGGCAGGAGAATCGATTGAACCCAGGAGGCAGAGGTTGCAGTGAGCTGAGATTGTGCCATTGCACTCCAGCCTGAGGGACAAAATCGAGACTTCGTCTCAAAAAAAAAAAAAAAAAAAAAGAACTCCTTTGCCTAATCCAATTTCATAAAAATTTTCTCCTATGTTTTAAAAGTTTTGGGCAGGAGGGGTGGCTCACACCTGTAATCCCAGCACTTTGGGAAGCCAAGGTGGGTGGATCATGAGGTCAGGAGTTCGAGACCAGCCTGGCCAACATGGTGAAACCCTGTCTCTACTAAAAATACAAAAAGTAGCCAGGCGTGGTGGCATCCACCTGTAATCCCCTGCTACTTGGGAGGCTGAGGCAGAAGAATCACCTGAACCCAGGAGGCAGAGGTTGCAGTGAGCTGAGATTGTGCCACGGCACTCCAGCCTAGGCGACAGAGCGAGACTCCATCTCAAAAAAAAAAAAAAAAAAAAAAGTTTTATAGTTTTAGCTTATACACTTAAGTCTAAGATCCATTTTGAGTTAATTATCATATGTGGTATGAGGTGAGAGCACAACTTCATCTGTCTGCATGCAGATATACAATTGTTTCACCACCATCTGTTTTGTTTTGAGACAGGGTTTCACTCTGTCACTGAGGCTGGAGTACAGTGGCACAATCATGGCTCACTGCAGCCTCAACTTCTTGGGCTCAAGTGATCATCCCATCTCAGCCCCCCAAGTGGCTGGGACTACAGGTACATATCACCACGCTCAGCTATTTTTTCTATATTTTATAGAGACGGGATTTCGCCATGTTGCCTAGGATAGTCTTGAACTCCTGGACTCAAGCAATCTGTCTGCCTTGGCCTCCCAGGCGGCTAGGATTATAGGCATGAGCCCCTGCGCTCGGCCTACATTTGTGTTTGTTTTGAGACAGGGTATCACTCTGTCACCCAGGGTGGAGTGCAGTGGTGCAATCACCTCTCACTGCAGCCTTGACCTCCCAGGCTCAAGCAATTCTACCACCTCTGCCTCCTGAGAAGCTGGAACTACGGGTGCGTGCCACCACACCTGGCTAATTTTTTTTTTTTTAATTTTGCAGTAGAGACAAGGTCTCACTATGTTGCCCAGGCTAGTCTTAAACTCCTAAACTCAAGAGCTCCTCCCACTTTGACCTCCCAAAGTGCTGGGATTACAGGCATGAGCTATCGTACCCAGCCCCATTTGAAATAGTCTTTAAAGCAAATGGGGCTGGGTCCAATGGCTCATGCCTGTAATCCCAGCACTTTGGGAGGCCAAGGCGGGTGGATCACCGAGGTTGGGAGTTCGAGACCAGCCTGACCAACATGGAGAAACCTCGTCTCTACTAAAAATACAAAATTAGCCGGGCGTGGTGCTGCATGTCTGTAATCCCAGCTACTTGGGAGGCTGAGGCAGGAGAATCACTTGAACCCGGGAGGAGGAGGTTGAAGTGAGCCAAGTTCGTGCCACACTGCACTCCAGCCTAGGCAACAAGAGCAAAACTCTGTCTCAAAAAAAAAAAAAAAAAAGACTTTTTTTGCCCAGTTGAATTGCTTTAGTACCTTAATCAAATATCACTTGACCATAAATGTTGGCATTATTTCTAGACTCTCAATACTGTTCCATTAATCTATACATATATCTTTATGTCAACAATTCACTGTCACTGTTAGGCATGCCTCTCATTCTGTATGTTTTCTCTGTCTCATATCTTTTGTTCTTCTGTTCCTTTTATATTGCCTTCTGGTATCTTAAACAGTTTTATAATTATCATCTTACGCGAAACCCCCTTTATTTCTTGAGACAGTGTCTTACTATGTCACCCAGGCTAGAGTGCGGTGGCACAAACATAGCTCACTGCAACCTCCAACTTCTGGGGCTCAAGCGAAGCTGCCTCAGCCTCCCAACGTGTTGCGACTACAGGTGAGTCACCATGCCCAGCTGGCAAATGCCTTTAATTCAGTCAAGATAATAAAAGAAACATTTACTTATTGTCGTTCATATTTACCTCTGAAATTAACTTCTGCTCTTCTTTTTCTTCAAGTTACCATCTGGTACCATAGCGTTTCATTTCAGCTTGAAGTACTTCCTTTAGTAAGGCAAGCCTGCTAACAAATTCTCTCAGTATTTGCTTATCTGGAAACGTTTTTATTTTGCCTCAACTTTTGAACAAAGTATTAGTTCAGGTTTTCCAGAGAAACAGAAACAATTACATATATATAAACTCTTCTCATACATATGCATATGAAGAGATTTATTATAAGAACTGTCTCACAGAAAGCTTATAATGTAATCCAGTCAGAGTCCAAAGGCCTAACTAAGAACCAGAAGTGGAGGTGAGGCAGTATTACCAGCGTCCAAAGGCCAGAACAGGAGCTCTGATGTCCAAGGAAAAGAGAAAATGAATGTCTCAGCTCAAGGAGAGGCAGTATTCTCCCTTCCTCCACCTTTTTGTTTTATTCAGGCCCTCAGCTGATTGGATGATGCTGGCCCACACTGGTGAGGGCGGATCTTTCTTTACTCAGTCTACTGATTTAAATACTAACCTCTTCCACAAACACCCTCACAGACACACCCAGAAATAATGTTTTACTAGCTATTCGGGCATCCCTTAGCCTTCTCAAGATGGCATATAAGGCCAGGAGCAGTGGCTCATGCCTGTAATCCTAGCGCTTTGGGAGGCTGAGGTGGGTGGATCACTTGAAGTTAGGAGTTTGAGACCAGCCTGGCCAACATGGCGAAACCCTGTCTCTTCTAAAAATACAAAGATTATCCGGGCGTGGTGGCGTACGCCTGTAATCCCACCTACTCAGAGGCTAAGGCAGGAGAATCACTAGAACCCTGGAAGTGGGGGTTGCAGTGAGCTGAGATCAAACCACTGCACTCCAGCCTGGGCAACAGAGTGAGACTCTGTCTCAAAAAAAAACAAAAAAACAAAAAAACAAACAAAAAAAACACCTCTCAGTAGAAACAATAACAACACTATCAACAGAATGAAAAGACAACCTACACATTAGGAGAAAATATTTGCAAATATCTATCTCAGGAGTTAACACCCAGAGTATATAAAGAAATCCTACAAACTGAAAAACAAACAAAAAACAATCCAACTAAAAAATGGGCAAAAGGCTTGAATATTCAGACGTTTCACCAAAGAAAATATACAAGGGACCGATAAGCACATGAAAAGATGCTAAACATCACTAATCATTAGAAAAATGCAAATCAAAACCACAAGATACCACTTCACAATCATTAGGAAGGCTATTTTCTAAAACAAAAAATCTGGCAAGGCGCAGTGGCTCACGCCTATAATCCCACCACACCACTTTGGGAGGCTGCTGAGGCGGGCTGATCGCCTGAGCTCAGGAGTTTGAAACCAGCCTGGCCAACCCCATATCTACAAAAAAAATATAAAAAATTAGCGTGGCGGCACGCACTTGTACCTGTAGTCCCAGCTACTTGGGAAACTGAGGCAGGAAAATGGCTTGAGTCCAGGAGGTGGAAGTTGCAGTGAGCCAGGATTATGCAACTTCACTCCAGCCTGAGCGTGGGTGACACAGCAAGATCCTGTCTCAAAAACAAACAACAGAGGTGGGCCTGCAATCCCAGCACTTTGGGAGGCCAAGGCGGGCAGATCATGATGTCAGGAGTTCAAGACCAGCCTGGCCAACATGGTGAAACCCTGTCTCTACTAAAAATACAAAAATTAGCCAGGCGTGGTAGCACACCGGAGGCTGAAGCAGGAGAACTGCTTGAACCCGGGAGGCGGAGGTTGCAGTGAGCCAAGATCACGCAACTGCACTCCGGCCTGGGCAACAAGAGTGAGACTCCATCTTGGAAAAAAAAAAAACCCAGAAAGTAACAAGTGTTGGTGAGAATGTGGAGAAATTGGAAACCTTAAGAGACATTGCTGCATTGCTCATGGGAATGGAAAATGGTGTGGCTGCTACAGAAAACGGTATGGCAGTTCCCTAAAAAATTAAACAGAATTTTCATATGATCCGGCAATTCCTATTCTTATTCCTATTTCTTCAATTCCTATTTTGGTACATATCTGAAATAACTGAAAGCAGGTTCACAACAGCCAAAAGGCAGAAGTCACTCAGGTGTCCAACAGATGAATGAATAAACAAAATGTGCTTTTTACATAAAATGGAATATTTAGTATTAAAAAGCAATTATTACATACAGAATTAAATTATTCAGATAAAACATTAAAGTATTAAATGTATAAACATAAAATATTAAAATTATGTTGTTTTATGATTATATAAAATTTACATAAAAACATATATTACATATTATTTAGTATTAAAAATGAAAAAATTCTGACACATGGATGAACCCTGAAGACATTATGCTAAGTGGAATAAACCAGTCACAAAAGTACCACTTACAAAGGGTACCCACAGTAGTGAAATTCATAAGAGAAAGGATAGTGGTGGTTGGCAGGGGCTAAAAGGGGAGAGGGAATGGGGAGTTACTGTTTAATGGTTAGAGAAGTTTCAGTTTGGGAAGATGAAAAAAGTTCTACATGTGGATGGTGGTGACAGGTTTCATAACAATGTGAATGTACTTAATGTCACTGAACTGTACACTTGAAATTGCTTTACGTGGTACATCTTATGCATATTTTATAATAAAAATGATTTAAAAACAAATTTCACACTGTTGTCAATTTTAAATTTTCAATATTTGATGTGGTTCTGTGACAGATTTTACTGAGTCAATTTGGTTACGGTAGTAACAGTGTTTCCCAGAAATCTTTTCTCTACATGGTTTGGGTTAGGAGCGGGACAAAAATGGAACAAGATTTTGGAAAGCAGAGTGAGGCATGATGAATACACTTTGATGACTTTCATGATCTTTTCACACTCAGAGACAGATTCAGAAATGTCTGTCAGAATCCACTTTGTCCTCTGCTCTATGTCTGGCTTTCTTCCCGAACGCTGGCCTTGCTGACCAACAGTGGCCTCAAACCACTGTTGGCTAAGCATCAGAGACAGTAGCTATTCAGATAACAGCTTCCCATATACCACCCCAGGAACTCCTTGTTCAGAGGCCAATTCACATCCCCAAAACAATGCCTAGAAATCTCCTTAGATATACCAGTTGTTACCAATGGTCATATTTTTGCCAGTTAGTCTACATGTATTAATACATGACATGGGTCATATTTTTCCCAGATTCTAGTAGCAATTTCCCCCATTGTTCCAGCCTCCACCAACAGGCTTCTTGACACCCGTTCAGCCTTTGCCTGCTACCTGATCCTAAAGTCAGTGCCACATTCTAGGTTTTTATTATTGCATTGCATTTCTGAGTATAAATTTCTGTATTAAGCAAGGTTCAGTCAGGACAGCAAAGTCACCTGAGTGTTAGGGAACAGGAGTTACAAGAATTAGACCATAATGAAACCATGGGAAGATCTAGAGAGGTGAAGGTCTAGAAGAAGGAGTTGGAGGATCAGAGAAGAGCCATCAATCAGAGAAGCCAAGCAGATTGAGCTGCCAAGTTGATGCTGTGAATGGAGTTTGTGAAGTCTATGGGAGGCCATTTCGCTGTTAGCTGAATAGTTTGATAAACTAACTATGATAAAGTAACATGAGAGATATGCAGAAGAAAGAACTGCACAGTTTGCAAAGAACTGAGAATATTGAGAGCCTAGAATTTGCTGGATTGGAAAATAAAACTTCCTCATCTTCTGTCTCTGGAGCCCAGAAGCTTCTCAAAACAAGAAGAAATGTTTTTGGTCAGGCAGGGTGGCTTATGCCTGTAATCCCAGCACTTTGGGAGGCTGAGGCAGGTAGATCATTAAGTCAGGAGATCGAGACCATCCTGGCTAACACTGTGAAACCCTGTCTCTACTAAAAATACAAAAAATTAGCTGGGTGTGGTGGCACGCGCCTGTAGTCCCAGCTACTCGGGAGGCTGAGGCAGGAGAACTGCTTGAACCTGGGAGGCGGAGTTTGCAGTGAGCCGAGATCGCACCACTGCACTCCAGCCTTAGCGACAGAGCGAGACTCCGTCTCAAAAAAAAATGCTTTCTTGGCCAGGCACAGTGGCTCATACCTGTAAATCCCAGCACTTTACAAGGCTGAGGTATGAGGACTGCCCGAGCCCCGGAGTTCAAGACCAGCCTGGGCAAGATAGCAAGACCCCATCTCTAATATTTAAAAAGAGTAAAGTTTTAAAAATGCTTTTGGATTTTGGAGCACTAAAAAAAAAAAAAAAATGCCCTGGCCAGGCATGGTGGCTGATACCTGTAATCCCAGCACTTTGGGAGGCCAAGGCGGGCAGATCACGAGGTCAGGAGATCGAGACCATCCTGGCTAACACGGTGAAACCTCGTCTCTACTAAAAATACACACACAAAAAATTAGCCAGGAATGGTGGCGGGCGCCTGCAGTCCCAGCTACTCAGGAGGCTGAGGCAGGAGAATGGCGTGAACCCGGGAGGCAGAGCTTGCAGTGAGCCAAGACTGCCCCACTGCATTGCAGCCTGGGCAACAGAGCGAGACTCCGTCTCAAAAAAAAAAGAAAAATGCTTTCTTGGCCAGGCACAGTGGCTCATACCTGTAATCCCAGCACTTTAGAAGGCTGAGGTACGAGGACTGCCTAAGCCCAGGAGTTCGAGACCAGCCTGGGTAAGATGGCAAGACCCCATCTCCTGCCTCAGCCTCCCGGGTAGCTGGGATTACAGGCATGTGCCACCACACCCAGCTAATTTTCTATTTTTAGTAGAGAGAGGTTTTCTCCATGTTGGTCAGGCTGGTCTCGAACTCCCGACCTCAGGTGATCCACCTGCCTCGGCCTCCCAAAGTGCTGGGATTACAGGCGTGAGCCACCACACCCGGCTTTTTTTTTTTTTCTGAGACAGAGTCTCGCTCTGTCAACCAGGCTGGAGTGCAGTAGTGCGACCTCGGCTCACTGCAACCTTCATCTCGGGTTCAAGTGATTCTCCTGCCTCAGCCTCCCAAACAGCTGGGATTACAGGCATGCGCCACCACACCCAGCTAGTTTTTTTGTATTTTTAGTAGAAATGGAGTTATCACCTTGTTGGCCAGACTGGTCATGCTCCTGACCTCAAGTGATCTGCCTGCCTCGGCCTCCCAAAGTGCTGGGATTACAGGTGTGAGCCACTGCGCCTGGCCTAGTAAACTTTTCTTAATGAAACACTTATTACAACCAACCATTATTAAATGTCCTTTACATCCCTTTCCTACATTTTATTTATTTATTCATTTATTTATTTGAGACAGTTTCACTCTTGTCGCCCAGGCTGGAGTGCAATGGCACGCGATCTCAGCTCATCACAACCTCCGCCTCCTGGGTTCAAGTGATTCTCCTGCCTCACCCTCCCGAGCTACTAGGGAGGCTGGGATTACAGGCATGTGCCACCACACCCAGCTAATTTTTTTTGTATTTTTAGTAGAGACAGGGTTTCTCCATGTTGGTCAGGCTGGTCTTGAACTCCCAACCTCAGGTGATCCACCAGCCTGGGCCTCCCAAAGTGCTGGGATTATGGGTGTGAGCCACCGCGCTTGGCCAAATTTTTATTTTTAAATTTGTTTTAGAGACAGGGTCTCCCTATGTTGCCCAGGCTGGTCTCAAAACTCCTAGTCTCAAGTGATCCTCCCGCTTCAGCCTCCCAAAGTGCTAAGATTACAGGTGTGAGCCACCACACCTAGCCTCTTTTTGCATTCTTTACAAATATCTGAGTGTTTATAAATTAAGCCACATGTCTATACAAACAGATAAATAATGGGCCAAACAAGGTGGCTTACACCTATAATCCCAGTACTTTGGGAGGCCAAGGTAGGTGGGAGGATTGCCAGGAATTCCAGACCAGCCTGGGCAACATGATGAGGCCCCTCCTCTAGAAAAAATTTTAAAAACTAGCTGGGCATGGTGACACATGTCAATAGTCCCAGCTACTTGGGAGGAAGAGGTGAGAGGATTGCTTAAGCCCGGAAGTTGAAGGCTGCAATGAGCTGTGATCTGGCCACTGTACTCCAGCCTGGGTGACAGAGCAAGACTTTATCTCAAAAAAAAAAAAAAAACAAAAAACAAAAAAAAAAACAATAAAAAGTAAGTAATGAAACCCAATGAATCATATCTTTTTTTTTTTTTTTTTTTTTTTGAAGACAAAGTCCCACTCGGTCGCCCAGGCTGGAATGCAGTGACGCGATCTCAGCTCGCTGCAACTTCCACCTCCTGGGTTCAAGCAATTTTCGTGCCTCAGCCTCCCGAGTAGCTGAGATTACAGGTATGTGCCACCACGCTCGACTAGTTTTTGTATTTTTAGTACAGACGGGGTTTCACCATGTTGGCCAGGCTGGTCTCGAACTCCTGGCCTCAAGTGATCCGCCCACCTCAGTCTCCCAAAGTGCTGGGATTACAAGATGTGAGCCACTGCGCCTGGGTCCCAATGAATCATATCTTTGTGGCAATGCCCCTTTGCAATGCAATTTTGTTGCTTCTCCCTTCAAAAGATGGGGTTTATTTTCCCACCCCTTGAATCTAGGTTGACATAGTGACTTGATTTGACCAAAAGAATGTGGTGGGGCTGGGTGCAGTGGCTCACGCCTGTAATCCCAACAATCTGGGAGGCCAAGGAGAGTGGATTGCTTGAGGCCAGGATTTTGAGACCTGGGCAACATGGCAATACCTTCTCTCAAAAACAACAACAAAAATTATCTGGGCGTGGTGGTGCACACCTGCAGTCTCATCTACTCAGGAGGCTGAGGCGGGAGGATTGCTTGAGCCAGGGAAGGCAGAGGTTACAGTGAGCCAAGGTCGTGCCACTGCACTCCAGCCTGGGAGACAGAACAAGACCCTGTCTCAAAAAAGAAAAAGAAAAAAAGAATGTGGCAGGAATAACACTGTGATTTCCCAGGCTAGGACTTAAGAGACAATAAAGCTTTACCCTCTTGACAGACTCCTGCAGCCATCTAAGGAAGTCCACACTAAACTCCTGAATGATGAGAGATCATGTGGAGAACAAGAACTGGCTGACAGCAACACCAAAAGGTCTCAGAGTATAAGTGAGGCCATCTTAGACACGTAAGCCCCACTCAAGTCACCAAATGACTGCAGTCTTATGAGCGACCTATTGGGGAGATGGCAGGACCGTCAGGCTGCATAATGAATTGTTTTAAGCCACAAAGTTACAGGGTGGTTGTTAAATAGCAAATACTACAAAAACAGGTTCTCTATTGAAGAAGTTTATGACTCACGATCTAAATTTCATAGATTAAGAAATTTAAAAAAAGAAATTTCATAGATTAAGCAAAATTTCTAACATACAAAGGTAGCCCAATACAGGTCAAATCTTTTGGTGGTAGGAAAATGTTAATGAGAGATTAAGAATCAATTTTCATTAAAAAAAATCCAGAGTTGAAGCTGCAGAAGATTTTTTAAATGTGTATTTTTCCTATAAGTAATTTTTACTGATTATGCCATTCCTTCATTCAACCAACACCAGATGTTTTTTCCAGTTGGCCAGTTTTCTTGCCCGAATCTAAAAGGAAAAACATTTTTGTTTGGCCAGATAAACCTAAAACAAAGTAAGTTTATAATTCCTCCGCCCAACATCTTGTCCCTAGCAGAAATAAAATTGCTTTTTAGAAGCTAACTACTGCCAGTGCATTGCCGTCTCATGACTAAACTTCTCCTAAGAAAGAAATCACTAGATAAAAACATTACGGAAGGAATACATTTAGCTAACAGACACATTACTTAATAGGTCAAACTTTCTGCTTTGGACACCTTCTAACATCTGACTCAATATTCTGAGCTTTCTTTTATGCTGACTTCTGTTTCATTTACTTAACCCAAACCTATGTCCACTACCAATTCACTGCTCTCAGTCCAAAAATAGAGCATCTACACACTTTTATTTTTTTCTTTTCAGTATTTTTAATTTATTTGACATTAACCATCCTCAGCAACAGTCTAGGACCTGGAGGATTCCATGAACTCTGAAGAACTGAATATGACTGAATCTCATGTTGAACTGGTGCTGCTTAATCCTGGAAATGTTCCATGCCCTACTGAAAACTTCTTTTGAAGTTATGAAGTGAAAGGAAAGAAACTAAAATTCAAAGTGACAATATTATTTCATGTCCACCTCTCCTCCTCCTTCCTCCATTTCCCTTAGTTTCACTTCATCTGTAACACAGGAAAGAACTAAGAGGTGGATACTAAAAGACAACAACGGAATTTAAAAAAATTTTTTTTTTTTTAGAGATGGGGTCTCGCTATGTCTGAAGTAGACTGGCTATTCACAGGAGCGATCATAGTACACCCTCAAGCAATCCTCCAGCCTCAGTCTCTAAGGTAGCTGAAATTACAGTACATGCCACTGCTTCTGGCTGTATTCAGTGTAATTTTCTCACAATCTTTGTTTAAATTAAGCGTCCGTGTGAATATTTAGTATTTAGATACTACTCAGTGTCAGGACAAGCAGACAATAGGACTATGGACTCTTTCTCACCCTACATATAGGCTATCATATTTTTTTCTACTTTCTAGACTCTTTTCCCTCAACTGCTCCAAAATCTGTCACATCTGAATATTTTCCATATGCTCAAATGCATCAGATACTGTTTTTCTCTGGTGCTAAACATTCCCAGAACACTTTCTTTTCCTACACTCTAAGAAATTCCCTAGACTGGCTACACAACTGTCATCTTGGGCTCTCCAGTAGCTCTTCTCTTTTATTGCATTGTTTCCAGTACCCCATATTGTCTCACTTGCTTTTTAAGGGAACATCTCACAGTAATTTATGAAAAAACAGCTCATGGGAACTCAGGTTTTTAAGTCTCTTGCATGTCTAAAATATGTATTTACCTTAGACTCACATCTGATTGATAATTTGGCTTGCAATAAAATTATAAGATGAAAATCCTTTCCACTGAAGATATCTGAAGACACTGCTTGATGCATTTCTGACCTCGTAAGTTTCTGCTGTGATATATAATGCCATTCTAATTTGGGGTCCTTTGAATGTAACCTCTAGTTACTTTTGGAAGCTTTTAGTATATTCTCTTTATCCTCAGTTTACCAAAATTTCATCATCAAGCCTCTTGGTCTGAGGTTATTATTCTATCAGTCCTTTTTTTTTTTTTTTTCCTGAGATGGAGCCTCGCTCTGTCAGCCAGGCTGGAGTGCAGTGGCACAATCTCGACTCACTGCAAGCTCTGCCCCTGGGTTCACGCTATTCTGCTGCCTCAGCCTCCCAAGTAGCTGGGACTACAGGCACCCACCACCACGCCCAGCTAATTTTTTGTATTTTTTAGTAGAGACGGGGTTTCGGCGTGTTAGCCAGGATGGTCTCGATCTCCTGACCTCAAGATCTGCCTGCCTCAGCCTCCAAAAGTGCTGGGATTGTAGGCATAAGCCACCGCGCCCAGCCTATCAGTCCTTTCAATCTAGAAGTTTATATTTTTCAATCTGGTAAATATTTTGGAAGTTTTTCTGGTTTCTCTGTCCTCTCATTGTAGAATTCCTATTAGTCAAACATTGGACCTCCTGGTTTATCTTTTTCTTTTCTTTTTTTTTTTTTTGGAGATAGAGTCTCACTCTGTTGCCTAGGCTGGAGTGCAGTGGCGCAATCTCGGCTCACTGCAACCTCCAACTCCCAGATTCAAGTGATTCTCCTGCCTCAGCCTCCCAAGTAGCTGGGATTACAGGCGCCCACCACCACACCCAGCTAATTTTTATATTTTTGGTAGAGACAGGGTTTCACCATGTTGGCCAGGCTCATCTCAAACTCCTGGCCTCAAGTGATCTACCCACCTCAGCCCCTCAAAGTGCTAGGATTACAGGCATGAGCCACCATACCCAGTGAATCTTTAATTTGTTAAATAATTTTTCTCCTATATCCAAATTGCTTTGACTTTACTTCCAAATTTTTACTAATTCTTTTTGGGGGACAGAGGATTATCATATTTTAAAATTTTCAATAAGTTTCTATTTATTGAAAGATTATTTATATATATATATATTTTGAGAGTCTGGCTCCATCAGCCTGGCTGGAAGGCTGGAGTGCACTGGCCCAATCTCAGCTCACTGCAACTTCAGCCTCCCAGGTTCAAGAGATTCTCCTGCCTCAGGCTCCGGAGTAGCTGGAACTACAGGCACGCCCCACCACACCCAGCTAATTTTTTTTTTCTTTTTTTTGTACTTTTGGTAGAGAAGGGGTTTCACTATGTTGGCCAGGCTGATCTCAAACTCCTGGCCTCCAGTGATCCGCTGGACTCAGCCTCTCAAAGTGCTGGGATTACAGGTGTGAGTCACCACACCCCGCCTGTGAAAGATTTTTAAGAATAGTATCCTAGGCCAAACACAGTGGCTTACTCCTATAATCTCAACACTTTGGGAGGCCAAGGTAGGAGAATCACTTGAGGCCAGGAGTTCAAGACCAGCCTGGGCAACACAGCGAGAACTTATCTCTACAAAACAATAAAATAAAATTACACAGGCACAGTGGTGCACTCCTGTAGTCCTAGCTACTCAGGAGGCTAAGGCAGGAGGATCACTTGAGCCCAGGAGCTCAAGGCTGCAGTGAACTATGATCACACCACTGCACTCCAGCCTGGGCAACAAAGCAAGACCTTGTCTCTAAAAAAACTTAAAAATTTTTAAGAATGAAAAAGAAAGACATTTCACCACTACCTGATTTTAATCTCAAGCCTCATCTGTTTCTTAAGAGACCTTTTCCTACCAAGTCCTAAGTCTCTTTCCTACCAAGTCCTGAGTTTTGTTGAGTATACTTTTTGTTGCTGTTCAGTATACTTGCTTCTCCCTGACAAGCCCCTCTAAAAACAACAAAGGGTGTAGTTTCCTCCGCTTAGCTAAATCACTTAACACCCTTCTAACTTTTTTGTTTGTTTTTTGTTTTATTGAGATGGTGTCTCGCTCTGTTGCCCAGGCTAGAGTGCAGTGGTGCAATCTTACCTCACTGCAACCTCTGCCTCCCGGGTTCAAGCTATTCTCCTGCCTCAGCCTCCCGAGTAGCTGGGACTACAGGTGCAGGCCACCACACCGGGCTAATTTTTTGTATTTTTAGTAAAGACGGGGTTTCACCATGTTAGCCAGGATGGTCTCGATCTCCTCACCTCGTGATCTGCCCACTTCGGCCTCCCAAAGTGCTCGGATTACAGGCATGAGCCACCCCGCCCGAACCCATTTTTTTAATCTTCTAAAAAATAACTGAAGTTTCTCATGTATTGTGGTTTCTTCTTTCACTCACTTTTGTCCCTGTGATCTCATGTTTCTTTTGTTCCCTTATTATCATTTTAATGCTATTTGAAGAAAGGAAATAGGTATATTGGATCAAACCTCCATGTTTAACCAAAAGTACTATGCAATAGTTTTAGAAGTACTGGATAAAAATCATAAAGTACAGTATATTTACCAACCTTGTGGAGATTACAAAGCTCATTAGAATAAATAATGCCTCAAACAACAGAATTAGAATTCAATGCTTTTTTTTTTTTTTTTTTTTTTTGAGACAGAGTCTCTGTCGCTGAGGCTGGAGTGCAGTGGTGTGATCTTGGCTCATTGCAAACTCCACCTCCTGGGTTCAAGCAATGCTCCTGCCTCAGCCTCCTGAGCAGCTGGGATTACAGGCACACACTACCAGGCCCAGGTAATATTTGTATTTTTAGCAGACAGGGTTTCACCATGTTGGTCAGGCTGGTCTCGAACTCCTGACCTCGTGATCTGCCAGCCACCATACCCAGCTAATTTTTAGTATTTTTAGAAGAGACGGGGTTTCACCATGCTGGCCAGGCTGGTCTCAAACTCCTGACCTCATGATCCACCCGGCTTGGCCTCCCAAAGTGCTGGGATTACAGATGTGAGCCACCGTGCCCAGCTATGTGTTTATTTTCTTAGAGACAGAATCTTGCTCTGTTGCCCAGGCTGTAGTGGTATGATCATTTCTCACTGCAGGCTGGGCTCAAGCAATCCTCGCACCTCAGCCTCCCCAGTAGCTGGGACCACAGGCATGTGGTCCACACCCCACTACTTTTTAAATTTTTCTGTAGAGACAGGCTCTCGCCATGTTGCCCAGATTAGTCTCAAACTACTGGTCTCCAGCTTTCCTCCTACCCTCCTCCAAAAGTGCTGGGATTACAAACACGAGCCACTGCATCCAACCCACATAATACTTCAAAATATGGCAGGCATGGTGGCTCACACCTGTAGTCCCAGCAGTTTGGGAGGCCAAGGCAGGAGGATCATTTGAGCCCAGGAGTTGAGCCTGGGAGTGAGGCTTCAGTGAGCCGTGAACATTCCAGTGCCCTCTAGCCTGGACAACATAGCAAAACTCAGCCTCAAAAAAATAAATAAAATATTAATGGAATTAATACATCTTAAAAATAATGTTTGCATGTGTCCTTAACAAAGAGGATGGTTTAAAAAAAAAAAAAAGAGGACCAAGCGCTATGCCTCACGCCTGTAATCCTAGCACTTTGGGAGGCCGGGGCGGGCGGATCATCTGAGATCAGGAGTTCGAGACCAGCCTGGCCAACATGGCAAAACCCAGTCTCTACCAAAAATACAAAAACCAGCCAGATACGGTGGCAGGCACCTGTATTCCCAGCTACTCAGGGGTTGAGGCAGAAGCATCGCTTGAACCCGGGAGGCGGAGTTTGCAGTGAGCCAAGATCAAGCCACTACATTCCAGCCTGAGTGGACAGAGTGAGACACCATCTCAAAAAAAAAAAGAAGGCCGGGCGCGGTGGCTCACGCCTGTAATCCCAGCACTTTGGGAGGCCGAGGCGGGCGGATCACAAGGTCAGGAGATCGAGACCATCCTGGCTAACACGGTGAAACCCCGTCTCTACTAAAAAAAAAAAAAATACAAAAAATTAGCCGGGCGTGGTAGCGGGCGCCTGTAGTCCCAGCTACTCGGGAGGCTGAGGCAGGAGAATGGCGTGAACCTGGGAGGCGGAGCTTGCAGTGAGCCGAGATCGCGCCACTGCACTCCAGCCTGGGCGACAGAGCGAGACTCCGTCTCAAAAAAAAAAAAAAAAGAAAAGAAAACATTGGCAACCTTATATTAGCCCCTTCTACCTCTTTTCACCCATTTCACTAATCTCAGGCTTTTGTGGATTTCCTAGAACCTGTCTTATAGAACAGCTGTATAAAGAGTTTTGTCAGACCGAGGGTGTTGGCTCACGCCTATAATCCCAGCACTTTTGGAGGCTGAGGCGGGTGGATCACCTGAGTTTGGGAGTTCGAGACCAGCCTGACCACCATGGAGAAACCCCATCTCTACTTAAAATACAAAATTAGCCGGGCGTGGTGGCACATGCCTGTAATCCGAGCTACTAAGGAGGCTGAGGCAGGAGAATCACTTGAACCTGGGAGGCGGAGGTTGTGGTAAGCCGTGATCCAGCCTGGGCAATGAGGGCGAAACTCCACCTCAAAGAAAAAAGAAGGGTTTTGTCATGCATGACTTTATGAGGTAATCTGCCATCAGCCATAAAAAAAATAACAAAAATATGCTTATATACTTTTTTTAAAAAATCAAAACTTATAGGCATGAGCCTGTTAATGCATAAATATATTTTTTTAAAATTCAGCTATCTTTTCTCTGGGGCCATTCTTTTTTATTGGATGGAGGGCATTCTCTTACTGCAGA
The DNA here is from genome assembly GCF_000001405.40 of Homo sapiens. NCBI lineage: Eukaryota > Metazoa > Chordata > Mammalia > Primates > Hominidae > Homo > Homo sapiens. The sequence continues at coordinate 39,371,422 of NC_000017.11, forward strand.
GGAAGATCCTCTAAGCTTTTACTTGGCTGCAGGCATTCTACAGCTAGATGAGGGAAGGAGATGGGGAACTACACTACTAATTGTATAGACTTCTCACTTAATTGGCTCCTGACTTCCATTTTCTGTCTGGAACTTAGCTAACCCCATCCTCCTCTGGGATTGGGGTCCTAGGTCCTGAACATCTCATATTCAATTCCTCCAAAGAACAAATCTCCTAACTTCTTTTTGTTGTTTACTTTTTTCTTTTTTTTTTTTTTGAGACGAAGTTTTGCTCTGTTGCCCAGGCTGGAGTGCAGTGGCATGATCTCGGCTCACCACAACCTCCGCCTCCTGGGTTCAAGTGATTCTCATGCCTTAGCCTCCCAAGTAGCTGGGATTAAAGGCACGCGCCACCTCGCCCAGCTAAAATCTCCTAACTTCTGTAAGGCTGACGGTAGCTGTCCAACTACTCAGGTTTAAAGGAGAAAGTACTGAGAGGGAATCTATCTTCCCATTATAGACTTCTGGAAAGTGACCCTGTTGTCAGCCTCCATCTTATCCCTGCCTTCTGTTGTACGTGGTACCTTCAGGTTCTGAACTTTTCAGGAGCTTCACAGACAAATCATGACCTGCCTCTTGCCAGTAGTCTCCTGAAGCACTTGGGTTTGACCCACCTCTCTTCTGCTAAGTCATTTACTATTTCTTTCTCTTTTCCTTTTTCCCATACAAGGATTACATATGCCTCATAATTTCAAATAGAGTTTATATCACTGTTTTTAGGTGATTTTCAAAACAGCCTGGGAATAATTCTACTTTGCTGTCTTAAAACCAAAAAAAAGGCCAGGCACGGTGGCTCACTCCTGTAATCCCAGCACTTTGGGAGGCTGAGGCAGGTGGATCACAAGGTCAAGAGATGGAGACCATCCTGGCCAACAAGGTGAAACCCCGTCTCTACTTAAAATACAGAAATTAGCTGGGCATGGTGACGTGCGCCTGTAGTCCCAGCTACTTGGGAGGCTGAGGCAGGAGAATCGCTTGAACCTGGGAGGCGGAGGTTGCAGCGAGCCGAGATTGCGCCACTGCACTCCAGCCTGGCAACAGAGCGAGACTCTGACCAAAAAAAAAAAAAAAAAAAAAAAAAATTGGTAATCTTTTAAGGCAAAAAACCTTGAAAATGAGCCAATGACTGTTTAAGGGCTAAATGTCTGTTTGATAATTTTTTTTTTTTTTTTGAGATGGAGTTTCGCTCTTGTTGCCCAGGCTGTAGTGCAATGGTGCAATCTCGGCTCACTGCAACCTCCACCTCCCAGGTTTGAGCAATTCTCCTGCCTCAGCCTCCCAAGTAGCTGGCACTAGCTGGCACTACAGGTGTGTGCTACCACACCTGGCTAATTTTTTGTATTTAGTAGAGATGGGGTTTCACCAGGTTGGTCAGGCTGGTCACAAACTCCTGACCTCAGGTGATCCACCCGCCTCAGCCTCCCAAAGTGCTAGGATTACAGGCGTGAGCCACTGCGCCCAGCCTGTTTAATAACTCCCAAAGGATAACAAAACTGAAATCGAGAACTCAAATGCTTGATTAAATTAGACTACTTATTTTTCTTTTCTTTTTTTTTTTAATCAGACTACTTGTTTTTCAAACATAGCTTATACTGTCTCATCTCTGTGGCTTCACATCGTCTATATAGAAACCTACCCATTTTTAATGCTCAGCTCAAGGCATAACCTCCATGAAACCTTTTCTGACCCCCTTTGTAGAGAGGAATGCCTCTTCCCCACTCCTGGTTTACACAAGGAAAAACTTTCTCTAAACACACTCCTGGCTCCTCTGTACTTCTTTAAAGAGATTAAGTATAACTTATCTTTTAATCTTATTTGACTGGCAAATCATGGAAGAATGAAGTGCAACTTGGCTCAGAGTTCTGTGTTTCTACCCTTTCTGAACAAGTGTTCTCCATTTCTTCAGGGCCAGGCTCTCTCCTGCGTTGAAAAGCTTGATTTGGTATAGGACTGCTTAGAACTGCGGGCTGGGGATGTCTATCTGATAGACTTCAGTTAACAGATACAATTTGGCTCACATACTGAAAACCAGATCTTCCAACCTGGTTTCTTTTAATAATTTTGGTCTCCAGCTGCCACTCCTGTTTTCTCCATTTGTCTAGAAATTCTGCAAGGATGAGGAATGCTTTTCTTGAGACCTCTTCAGAAATCCGAATATTTTCTAGGTAGGCATGTTCTTTTATTTCCCTATAATCCATAGCACTTTGCTTATAGTTCTGTTACAAAGCTTCAATTTTGTCTTACTGTGTTCAATTTTGTCTAGCCTACTAGGCTGTAGTTTCCGGAAAGTAGATTAAACATAGTGCCTTACACATGACAAGCCACAAAACAAGTATTTGTTGGATTAACTGATTGAAGGGCTAAATGTTTCTTTCAACTAAAAGTGAAGATGATTATATGGGATTTGTTTTGCTTTCTTTGTTATTTCAGGTAAGATAAAGTCACAGACATCACCACATTATCAGTATTGCTAGATTATGGCCGGACACGGTGGTCCACGCCTGTATTCCCAGCACTTTGGGAGGCCGAGGAAGGTGGATCATTTGAAGTCAGGAGTTCAAGACAAGCCTGGCCAACATGGCTAGACCCCACCTCTACTAAAAATACAAAAATTAGCCAGGCGTGGTGGTGGTGGGCGCCTGTAGTCCCAGCTACTCAGGAGGCTAAGGCAGGAGAATCGCTTGAACCTGGGAGGTGGAAGTTGCAGTGAGCCAAGATCACGGCACTGCACACTAGCCTGGGCGACAAAGCAAAACTACGTCTCAAAGAAAAAAAGAAAAAAAAAAGACCAGTCGGAATGGCTCACGCCTGTAATCCTAGCACTTTGGGAGGCCAAGGTGGTTGGATCGCTTGAGGTTGGGAGTTTGAAACCAGCCTGGCCAACATAGTGAAACCCCGTCTCTACTAAAAATACAAAAAAAAAAAATTAATCAGGCCTGATGGCGGGTACCTGTAATGTAATCCCAGCTACCTGGGAGGCTGAGGCATGAGAACTGCTTGAACCTGGGAGGCGGAGGTTGCAGTGAGCCAAGAATGCACCAGTGCACTCCAGCCAAGGCAATAGAGCGAGACTCCATCTCAAAAAAAAAAAATTGCTAGATTATAACTAATTTTATAACTAAGATTTTATTTTTCCTTGCTATAATATGTTGGGTCATCACTGTTTCTGTTTTTTGTATGTATTGTCTAGGATTCCTAAAAACTAATTATACATCTTCTAAACCTAAAACTGAAAATAATTCCATTTACACTGAGGAGACAACTGTGCCAAAGCAATTCCAATGAAATGGACAGAATTTAAGCGGACAGCTCAAGCTACTTTTCTTTTCTTTTCTTTTTTTTCCCTGAGATGGAGTCTCTCTCTCTTGCCAGGCTGGGTGTAGTAGCGTGATCTCGGCTCACTGCAACCTCCGCCTCCTGGGTTCAAGCAATTCTCCTGCCTCAGCCTCCCGAGCAGCCGGGACTACAGGCGCGTGCCACCACACCCAGCTAATTTTCGTATTTTTAGTAGAGACAAGGTTTCACCATGTTGGCCAGGATGGTCTCAATCTCTTGACCTCGTGATCCACCTGCCTCGGCCTCCCAAAGTGCTGAGATTACAGGCGTGAGCCACCGCACCCAGCTGCTACTTTTCAATAATATAGGACAAAGACAATACTCACAGAATTAGTGTATCATCATCAGTGACTTTAGTGGTTAAAAATAAGCAGCATATAAAAAAAGTGACGAGGAGAAGACATGGCCCAAGTAGTTGTTGCGGCCATCTTCTGCAAAACAAAAACTATGAACTGAGAAATACATTTACTTTTGTATAACTGGAGGTCAAAATAAGGTACTGGAGCTCTTCAGAAACCTCCAATCAAACATGTACTCGGAGATGACATCAGTGAAAATGCCACAATAAGAAACAAACGAAAAAAATTTCACCCCTCCATAAAAGCAACAATAACAACAAAACTGGCAAAAATCAAATATTTACAGTTAGATAGAAGATACAAGTTCTATTGTTCCATAGCAGAACAGGATGACTATAGTTGGCAAGGATGTACTGTGTATTTCTAAGTAGCTAGAAGACTTGAAATGTTCCCAACACATAGAAATGATAAATACTTAAGGTGATGGATACCCAAGTACCCTGACTTGATCATTACACATTTTATGCCTATAATACTTATATGTACCCCACAAATACATAAATATTACGTATCAATTTTGAAAAATCAAATTTTTTTACTTTAAAAATTAACCAAGTCTTGCAATAACCCAAGGAGTTTTCATTCAAGAAAAACGGCTGAATCTCAGTAAGACTAGAGGTTTGTATCATTTTAATTTACCCCAAATGTGCCTGTTGGCAGTAACCTTAAAAATAACATCCGTGGCTGGGCGTGGTGGCTCAAGCCTGTAATCCCAGCACTTTGGGAGGCCAAGGCGGGCAGATCACGAGGTCAGGAGTTTGAGACCAGCCTGACCAACTTAGTGAAACCCCGTCTCTACTAAAAATACAAAAAATTAGCTGGGCATGGTGGCGGGCACCTGTAATCCTGGCTACTTGGGAGGCTGAGGCAGAAGAAGAGCTTGAACCCAGGAGGCGGAGGTTGCAATGAGCCGTGATTGCACCACTGCACTCCAGCCTGGGCGACAGTGTGAGACTCCATCTCAAAAAATAAAATAAAATAAAATAAAATAACAGCTGACATTGCTGGTAACTGAGGGAATGGAACAGATCTGATTCCCAAAGAACTGTAATGATTTGTTTTAACCTGTCTGGTGCTCCCTGGAAAACCAGCTCAAAACGTTTGTCTTTATATTGTCTCAGAACTGGCCTACTGCTAAAGTAGGTACCCTGCATTTGTCAAAAATATTTATAGGCAAATGTTTTAGTCACTGCTGACTGAGGGACAGATAATAAACTAACCAAAAAGCTTAAAAGAGAAGCCAGGGAAAAAAGCTAGGGAAATGTATGTCCATAAGGGCATTGGTAAGCTCTGATATATTCATGAGAGTCAGAAGGCCACATGCATGCCCAGCATTGTGCACATACTCAGGAAAGACCTGAGAAGGCCCAGAGTTCTCACCTCTGGTTGATCTTGAGAATTTGCAGAAGTAGGAAGTTGAAGGCTAAGCCAGAGTTGTAAACTGACTGGCCGTGTGTTCAAAGTGTGCCCCTACACAAATGCCTCTGGCAAAGACTAGGAGAATTTGCGGTTCTAGGTATTAAGAAATTTTTGTACAGTCATTAGCTGACCACTAAGCTAATGGAACAGAGATTTTAACCCAGGTGCAGTGGCTCATGCATGTAATCCTAGCACTTTGGGAGATCAAGGCAGGAGGATTGCTTGAGACCAGCCTGTGCAACATAGTGATACCCTGTCTCTACAAAAATAGGAAGGTGAGCCGGGCATTGAAACCACCTTTGCAAAATTATGACTGAGACAGTGAAAGAGATCTAACTTAACCGACTCCACCTTGCTTCTAACCTCCAAGCTGCCCTTGTTCATTCCTGGGCTGACCTAACTTTAGGATAAACTGAGTTTATAGTTTAAAACAAAGACCGTAACAGCCCTTTCCCAAAGCAGACCTCCTTCTTGCCTGGGGACTAGATTGCCTCTGTAGTACTAACATTAGCCACAAGATTAGAAATTATGGTTTAGGAGTCATGAAGCTGGAGGCTACAAGATTCTGACCCTCCCTAAACTGCTCCTAAGATCAGTGCTTGAGATATTTTGCAGACCCTGCACTTGATGGATCAGCTGGCACCACCCAGATCGATTAACTGGCTCATCTGATCTTGGAGCCCCCACCCAGGAACTGACTCAGTGCAAGAGGACAGCTTCGACTCCCTATGATTTCATCCCTGACCAATCAGCACTCCTGGCTCACTGACTTTCCCCCACCCACCAAGCTGTCCTTAAAAACTCTGATCCCCAAATGCTCGGGGGTGGGGTGGGGTACTGATTTGAGTAATAATAAAACTCCCGTTTCCCGCACAGCTGGCTCTGCGTGAATTATTCTTTCTCTATTGCAATTCCTGTCTTTTTTGTTGTTGTTTTTTTTTTTTGAGACGGAGTCTTGCTCTGTCGCCCAGGCTGGAGTGCAGTGGCGCGATCTAGGCTCACTGCAAGCTCCGCCTCCCAGGTTCATGCCATTCTCCTGCCTCAGCCTCCTGAGTAGCTGGGACTACAGGCGCCCACTACCACGCCCGGCTAATTTTTTTGTATTTTTTAGTGGAGACGGGGTTTCACCGTGTTAGCCAGGATGGTCTCGATCTCCTGACCTCGTGATCCGCTCCCCCTAGGCCTCCCAAAGTGCTGGGATTACAGGCGTAAGCCACCGTGCCCAGCCTGCAAGTCCTGTCTTGATAGATTGGCTCTATCTAGGCAGCGGGCAAGGTGAACTCCTTGAGCAGTTACAGCATGCTGGCACATGCCTGTAGTCCTAGCTACACAGGAGGATGAGGTGGTAGGATGGCTTGCACCTGGGAGTTTGACGCTTCAGTGAACTGTGATTCTAGCCTGCACTCTAGCCTGGGCGACAGAGCAAGACCCTATCCTCCACCACCTACCGCCCCCCAACCAAAAAAAGGACAGAGATTTTAAGGTCACAAATGACAAATACAGACTGTACAGAATTAGGTTGGGAAAGACACTAAACAAACAATACTAATACAACAAGTAGAACTAACTGGGAGGGAATTGAATGTGATTTCCAGAGTTGCCACATTATAATATGCAAAATGTTCTGTTTTCAACAACTACTAAAATCACGGTATGCATAGAAATTATTTTAAAATGATATGAATGTATCCAAAACGAAGAACTCTTATAACCCAACAATAAAAATACAACTAACCCAATTAAAAAATGGGCACAGAGGTGTGGTAGCTCACATTTGTAGTCTCAGCTACTTGAGAGGCGTAGGCAGGAAGATTGAGCATAGAAGTTTGAGATCAGTCTGAGCAACAGAGCAAAACCCCATCTCTTGAAAATATAAATAAAAAACTAAACGGGCAAAGGACTAAACAGACATTTCTACAAAGGAGATAGACAAAGCCAACAGGCACACAAAAAGATGGTCAACATCATTCATTAGACAATTACAAAGCAAAAACACAATGAGATACTACCTGACACCCACACCCACTAGAATGGCTATAATTTTTTTTTTTTTGGGATGGAGTCTCACTCTGTTGCCCAGGCTGGAGTGCAGTGGCACCGTGTTGGCTCATTGCAACCTCTGTCTCTTGGGTTCACGCCATTCTCCTGCCTCAGCCTCCCAAGTAGCTGGGATTACAGGCGCCCACCACCACGCCCAGCTAATTTTTGTATTTTTTAATAGAGACAGAGTTTCACTATGTTGGCCAGGCTGGTCTCGAACTCCTGACCTCAGGTGATCCGCCTGCCTCGGCCTCTCAAAGTGCTGGGATTACAGGCGTGAGCCACCGCGCCCGGCCATAGGATGGCTATAATTTTTAAAAAAACGAAAATAGGCCAGGCACAGTGGCTCACGCCTGTAATCCCAGCACTTTGGGAGGCCGAGGCGGGCAGATCACCTGAGGTCGGGAGTTCAAGACCAGCCTAACCAACACGGAGAAACCCGGTCTCTACTAAAAATACAAAATTAGCTGGGGTGGTGGCGCATGCCTATAATCCCAGCTACTTGGGAGGCTGAGGCAGGAGAATCGCTTGAACCCAGGAGGCGGAGGTTGTGGTGAGCCGACTCCAGCCTGGGCAAGAAGAGTGAAACTCCGTCTCAAAAAAAATAAATAAATAAAATAAAATAACATAATAATAATAATAAAGGAAAATAACAATTGTTGGCAGGATATGGAGAAACTTGAGCCCTTGTACACTGCTGGTGGAAATATACAATGATGTAACTGCTGTGGGAAACACTTTGGTGATTCCTTAAAAAGTCAAACATAGAAATTCTAACTTTGGGAGGCTGAGGCGAGGGGATCGCCTCAGTTCGAGAGGCCAGCAGTTCAAGAACAAGCCTTGGCAACATAGCAAGACCCCATCCCTTACCAAAAAAAAAAAAACTGGCCAGGCACAGTGGCTTACCCCTATAATCCCACTTTGGGAGGTCAAGGCAGGAGGATCACTTGAGATCAGGAGTTTGAGACCAGCCCGGGCTACACAGCAAAACCTCTTTTCTACTAAAAATAAAAAAAATTAGCTGGGCGTGGTGGTACCCATCTGCCACTTAGCTACTTGGGAGGCTGAGGTGGAAGGATCCCTTGAGCCTCAGGAGTTTGAGCCTGCAGTGAGCTATGATTGTACCACTGCAATCCAGCCTGGACAACAGATCAAGATCCTGTCTCAAATAAATAAAATAACATAAAATAAATAAGTATATAAAATATTTAACAATTAGCTGGGTGTGGTGGTATATGCCTGTGGTCCCAGTTACTCAGGAGGCTGAGGTGGGAGGATCACTTGAGCCCAGGAGGTCAAGGCTACAGTGAGCCATGATCGCATCATGGCACTCCAGCCTGAGTTGACAGAGTGAGACCCTGTCTCAACAAAGAAATTAGAAATAAATATATATATATAAGTTCTACTTTCAAAAGATATCTAGAATCCAATCACTTCTCCCTGTCTCTACTATAATCAACTTGATGCAAAATATTAACATCTCCTTTCTCATTTATTGCAAGAGCTAAGAACACTGGTTACAACATCACAGTCTACACAAAACAAGAGTGATACTCAATATGAGTTATATCACGTTCCTCTTCTGCTGAAAACAGAACACAATTCAAAAACAAATCTATGAATGTATGGCTTACTTTGTAAGAATAAAATTCAGAGCTTAAAATGGATTACAAGGCCATTCATTATCTGCCCTGCTCTCTAACCACCACCACCACCCTGTTCCGAATTCCCACCAATAACTCTGACCTCATCCCTACCACTGTTCCCCAACTTCACTATGATCTGACTACAGTAACCTACCACTGTTCTTAGAGTACATCAAGGACACTGCAACTTTTGTTTTTGCACTTACTATCCTTTGGCTATAATGATCTTTCCTCTGATAACCACACACCTTGCTTTATTTCATTAACTCTGCTCAAATATTACCTTAATAGTGAGGTCTCCTTTACCATTCTCTATAAAATGTGAACCATGCTCAGCTCCCTTCCCCCCTTTCCTGCCCTTTATTTTGCCCATCACTATCATTAACATCTGGCATATTATTTACTCTTTTATGTTGTCAATCTCCCCTCACTAGATTTTAAACTCCATTAGAGCAGGACTTTTTGTCCACTTTTATACGCTCAGCATCTATAAGAACACCAGGATGTAAAAAGTGCACCACAAATATTTGCTGACTGAATTAGTGATGAGAAAAATTTAACAGGAAAGAGAAAACTCACCTGTACTACCATTAAAAACTATAGAAATAAAACTAGCAGGCCGGGCGTGGTGGCTCACACCTGTAATCCCAGTACTTAGGGAAGCAGAGGCCGGTGGATTGCCTAAGGTCAGGAGTTCGAGAGCAGCCTGACCAACATGGTGAAACCCCGTCTCTACTAAAAATACAAAAACTAGCAGGGCGTGGTGGCAGGCACCTGTAATCCCAGCTAGTCAGGAGGCTGAAGCAGGAGACTCACTTGAACCCGGGAGGCGGAAGTTGCAGTGAGCCAAGATCAAGCCATGGCACTCCAGCCTGGGCAGTAAGAGTGAAACTCCGTCTCAAAAAAAAAAAAAGTTGTTAATAAAAGCTAAATAACAGGCCAGACACAGTGGCTCATGCAATTCCAGCACTTTGGGAGGCTGAGGCAAGAAGACTGCTTGAGCGTAGGAGTTTGAGACCAGCCTGGGCAACAGCTAGAACTACCTCATCTCCACAAAAAAATACAAAAAATTAGCCGGGTGTGGTGGCATACACCTCTGGTCCCAGCTACTTAGGAGGCTGAGGCAGGAGGATCACTTGAGCCCAAGAGGCAGAGGTTGCAGTGAGACAAGATCGTGCCACTGCACTCCAGCCTGGGTAATACAGTGAGACTCTGTCTCAAAAAAAAAAAAAAAAAAAAGGCTGAATAAAGCCTGGCTTGTAGTTCATGCCTGTAATCCCAACATTGTGGGAGGCCGAAGCAGGCAGATAACTTGAGCCCAGGAGTTTGAGACCAGCCTGACAACATGGTGAAACCCCGTGTCTACAAATAAATACAGAAATCAGCTGGGTATGGTGGTGTACACTTGTAGTCTTAGCTACTCAGGGGGCTGAGGTGGGAAGATTACTGGAGCGGTGGAGAGGTTTAGGCTGTAGTGAGCCATGATTGCACCATTGCACTCCAGCCTGGGTGACAGAGCAAGACCCTCTCTGAAGGGAAAAAAAAAAAAAAAAAGGCCGGGCACAGTGGCTCATGCCTGTAATCCCAGCACTTCGGGAAGCCGAGGGGGGCGGATCACGAGGCCAAGAGGTCAAGACCATCCTAGCAAACATGGTGAAACCCCCTCTCTGCTAAAAATACCAAATTAGCTGGGCGTGGTGGCACACACCTGTAGTCCCAGCTACTCAGGAAGCTGAGCAGGAGAATCACTTGAACCTGGGAGGTGGAGGTTGCAGTAAGCCCAGATCAGGCCACTGCACTCCAGCCTGGCAAACACAGCGAGACTCCGTCTCAAAAAAAAAAAAAAAAAAAAAATCCATTCCCCTAAATTAACATTATTGTATTATAAATTAAAAATAGATGGCTTGGCGCGGTGGCTCACGCCTGTAATCCCAGCACTTTGGGAGGCCGAGGTGGGCAGATCACAAGGTAAGGAGATCGAGACCATCCTGGCTAACACGGTGAAACCCCATCTCTACTAAAAATACAAAAAATTAGCCAGGCATGGTGGCGTACGCCTGTAGTCCCAGCTGCTGGGGAGGCTGAGGAAGGAGAATGGCGTGAACCCAGGAGGTGGAGGTTGCAGTGAGCCCAGATCGCGCCACTGCACTCCAGCCACAGCAACAGAGAGAGACTCCATCTCAAAAAAAAAAAAAAAAAAAATAGATGAAAGGAACAGGCCTTAGTTCAAAACAGACTTATGAATGTATTCAGCTTTATTATAGATATGGCTTTTCAAAACCAGGGGAAAGCCTGGGCAAAGTGGCTCATACCTGTAATGCTAACACTTCAGGAAGCTGATGTGGGAGGATCACTTGAGGCCAGGAGTTTTAGACCAATCTGGGCAAGATAGGAGAGCCCACTGCTACAATTTTTTTTTTCTTTTTTAAACTTGCCCAGGTGTGGTGGCATGCACCTGTAGCGCAGCTACTCGGGAGGCTAAGGTAGGAGGATCACTAGAGCTCAGGAGTTGCAGGCTGCAGTGAGCTATGATCCTACTCTGCACTCTAGCCTGGGTGAGAGAGTGAGACGTTGTCTCTAATAAGATAAACTAAATTTTAAAAATTTAAGAAAAGGTCAGGTGCGGTGGCTCACGCCTGTAGTCCCAGCACTTTGTGAGGCCGAAGTGGGCAGATCACAAGGTCAAGAGATGGAGACCATCTTGGCCAACATGGTGAAACCCCATCTCTACTAAAAATACAAAAAAAAAAAAATTAGCTTTGCATGGTGGCGTGCACCTGTAGTCCCAGCTACTCAGAAGGCTCAGGTCGGAGAATCTCTTGAACCCGGGAGGCAGAGGTTGCAGTGAGCCGAGATCACGCCACTGCACTCCAGCCTGGCAACAGAGTGAGACTCTGTCTCAAAAAAAAAAAAAAAAAAGAAAAACTGAAATATTCATATAATGGAATACTATGTAACAATTAAAAGAAATATATCCAACAGACCTCTAAAAAACATAAAGTTTCAGAATAACAGACACAATATAAGGTCAATTATGTAAACACACATACACAGACGCACATGGAGAAGAAAAACCTTGGTCGGGTATGATGGCTCATGCCTATAATCTTAACATTTTGGAAGGCTGAGGTGGGAAGATCAAATGAAGCCAGAGTTGGAGATTAGCCTGGGTAACAGAGAAAGATTCTGTCTCCAAAAATGAAACAGAAAAACCCTACAAGGATAATCACCAAGTCTGTAACTGTCCTTATCTCTTGAAGTACAGAGTAGAATGAAGAGGATCAGTGTTATAGGTAGTGTCAGAGTCTCTTTTTGTGATACTTTATATGCTTTTTTTTTTTTTTTTTGAGATGGAGTCTCATTCTGTTGCTCAGGCTGGAGTGCAGTGGCGCGATCTCGGCTCACTGCAACCTCCGCCTCCCAGGTTCAAGCAATTCTCCTGTCTCAGCCTCCCAAGTAGCTGGGATTACAGGCGCATGTCACCATGCCTGGCTAATTTTTTGTATTTTAGTAGAGACAGGGTTTCACCATGTTGCCCAGGCTGGTCTCGAACTCCTGAGCTCAGGCAATCCACCCACCTCGGCCTCCCAAAGTGCTGGGATTACAGGCGTGAGCCACCGTGCCGGGCTACTTTGTTATGTTTTAATTTTTAAAAAATTTATTCATGTAAATTTTATACATAAAATTTACAGGCCAGGCCTGGTGGCTCATGCCCATAATCCTAGCATTTTGGGAGGCCAAGGCAGGAGGACTGCTTGAGCTCAGGAGTTCAAGACCAGCCTGAGCAACATAGGGAGACTCCATCTCTACAAAAAGTCAAAAAAATCAGCCAGGCATGGCAGCATGCGCACATGGATTCAGCTACTTGGGAGGGTAAGGTGGAAGATCACTAGGGCCCAGGAAGTCAAGGCTGCAGTGAGCTGTGATCATACTCTTGCACTCCAGCCTGGGTGGCAGAGAGAAACCCTCCTCAAAAAAATAAATAGGCCAGGCGCAGTGGCTCACGCCTGTAATCTCAGCACTTTAGGTGGCCGAGGTGGGCAGATCAGAAGGCTAAGAGTTCAAAACCTCCTGGCCAATACGGTGAAACCCCGTCTCTATTAAAAATACAAAAATTAGCTGGGAGTGGTGGTGCGCGCCTGTAGTCCCAGCTACTCAAGAGGCTGAGGCAGGAGAATCGCTTCAACCCGGGAGGCAGAGGTTGTAGTGAGCCGAGATCACGTCACTGCACTCCACCCTGGAGGCAGAGCAAGAGTCCATCTCAAAATAAATAAATAAATAAAATATAATAAAATTTATATATAATTTGTATAAATTAAAACTTATTTCTAAAGGTGGAGAAGAAGAGGTGCTAAACTATATGTCCAGTATAATCTTGTTTGTTCATAAAATATAGAAATAGATTACATAATTTGGCCGGGCACGGTGGCTCACGCCTATAATCCCAGCACTTTGTGAGGCTGAGGCAGGCAGATCACAAGTTCTTCAGCAGTTCAAGACCAGCCTGGCCAACATGGTGAAACCCCGTCTCTACTAAAAATACAGAAATTAGCTGGGCGTGGTGGTGTAATCCCAGCTACTTGAGAGGCTGAGGCAGGATAATCACGTGAACCTGAGAAGCGGAGGTTGCAGTGAGCCAAGATCACGCCACTGCACTCCACTCCAGCCTGAGAAACAGAGACTCCGTCTCAACAAAAGATAAATAAATAAAATAAATAGATGCATAATTTATAAAAGGATACATAATACACAATTAACAATGGTTACTGCTGGGGCACAGTGGCACACAATGGCTCACACCTGTAATCCCAATTAGCTATGCATGGTGGTGCATGCCTGTAGTCTCAGCTACTTGGAAGACTGAGGTGGGAGGACTGCTTGAGCCTAGGAGGTCAAGGCTGCAGTGAGCTATGATGGCGCCACCGCACTCCAGACTGGGCAACATTGTGAGACACTGTCTCTAGAAACACACACGCGCGTGCGTGCACACACACACACACAAGCTATGATGGTGCCACTGCACTCCAGACTGGGCAACACTGTGAGACCCTGTCTCTAGAAAACACACACACACACACACATAAATGGTTACCTCTGGGGAATGAGGTGGGGAGAAGAAAGACTTACTTTTTAACCCAAACTCACTTTAAGATAAATAGAAAATTGTATTTTAACTTCCCTTCCCAGCACAAATACTAAAGCAACAGTTTAACCTCCATTTCCAGTCTGAAATTAAACCACAGGCCTATTCCTATAACTGTCTTATTTTAGTAAAACAGAAGTGGGTGGAAGAAAGATATGTCACTGAAACACATTAAACTGAGAGACTTGAGGCTACTGTAAGAACAGCCAAGGAGGTTGATGCTCAAGTTTCCTTAACTAAAATAATGGTAACAATTCACAGAGACTGAGCAGTCCAACTCAGCTGGAGTGAATGAAAACTACAAGAAAGTTAACTGAACTAGTTCTCCATTAAATTTTGATTAGGCAGCCAGGCGAGGTGGCTCACGCCTATAATCCCAGCACTTTGGGAGGCCGAGGTGGGCAGATCATGAGCTCAAGAGATCGAGACCATCCTGGCAAACATGATGAAATCCTGTCTCTACTAAAAATACAAAAATTAATTGGGCATGGTGGCGTGTGCCTGTAGTCCCAGCTACTCAGGAGGCTGAGGCAGGAGAATCACTTGAACCCGGGAGGCAGAGGTTGCAGTCAGCCAAGATCGCGCCACTGTACTCCAGCCTGACAACAGAGATTCCGTCTCAAAAAAAAAAAAAAAAAAAAACACCAACTAATCAGTCCTGCTGGGCGCGGTGGCTCACACCTGTAATCTCAGCACTTTGGGAGGCCAAGGTGGGTGGATAAGAGGTCAGGACATCCAGACTACCATGGCTAACACAGTGAAACCCGGTGGTACGTGCCTGTATTCCCAGCCACTCCAGAGGCTGAGGCAGGAGAATCTCTTGAACCTGGGAGGCAGAGGTTGCAGTGAGCGGAGATCGCGCCACTGCACTCCAGCCTGGGTGACAGAGCAAGACTCTGTCTCAAAAATAAATAAATAAATAAATAAAAATTAATCAGTCTAGGGACGGGTGACGTGACTCACGCCTGTAATCTAAACACTTTGGGAGGCCAGGGCGGGGTGGATCACTTGTGGTCAGGAGTTCGAGACCAGCCTGAGCAACACAGTGAGTCTCTACAAAAAATACAAAAATTAGCTGGAAGTGGTAGCGTGCGCCTGTAATTCCAGCTACTCAGGAGGCTGAGGCACAAAAATCGCTTGAACCCGGGAGGCGGAGGTTGCAGTGAGCTGAGATCACGTCACTGTACTCCAGCCTGGGTGACTGAGTGAGACTCCGTCTCAAAAAATAATAATAATAAATTTTTTTTTGCTTAGACCTCTATCTTATTTCCATTTTTAAAGAGTACCATTAGCATGAAGCATAGTAAATACCTACAAGTACTATGTGACTGGTTAGGGACTTTCAACCTAAATGTGTATCCACTTCTAATTCCACAAAAGAACACTATTTCCAATAAAGATTATGTGGAGCACACATATTCTCCCCTACTTCCCAGACTGATATTGCATTGAATCTTGTGCTTTTTTGTTCTTATGTTAACTCACCTCTGAAGAAATACTGTTTCTAGTAATACTGACCAAACATCAGCCATCTGACAACAGCCAGATCATGTAAAGAAAAGAATAAAACTGTATGCTTGCTAGGTATGTAATACAGGTGTTCCCTGACTTACGATGGTTTAACTTAAGATTTTTTGACGTTACAATGGTGTACACGTAATATGCATCAGTGGAAACTGCAATGAGTACACGCACAACCATTCTGGTTTTCACTTTCAGTAGTCATTAAGTTACATGTGATATTTAACATTTTTATTATAAAACAGCTTTGTGTTAGATAATTTTACCCAACTGCAGACTAACGGATTCTGAGCATGCTTAAGGTAGGTGAGGCTAATCTATGATGTTTGGTGGGTTAGGTGTATTAACTGCACTTTTTTTTTTTTTTTTTTTGAGACAAAGTCCCACTCTTGTCCCCCAGGCTGGAGTGCAATGGCGCAATCTCGGCTTGCTGTAACCTCTGTCTCCCGGGTTCAAGCGATTCTCCTGCCTCAGCCTCCCGAGTAACTGGGATTACAGGCGCCTGCCACCATACCTGGCTAATTTTTGTATTTTAGTAGAGACGGGGTTTCACCATGTTCGCCAGGCTGGTCTCGAACTCCTGACCTCAGGTGATCTGGCCGTCTCGGCCTCCCAAAGTGCTGGGATTACAGGCGTGTGCCACAGCGCCCAATCTTTTTTTTTTTTTTTTTGAGACAAGGTCTCACTCTGTCTTCCAGGCTGGAGTGCAGAGGCATGATCTTGGCTCACTACAACCTCCACTTCCTGGGCTCAAGCAATCCTTCTACCTCACCCTCCCAAGTAGTTGGGACTACAGGTGTGCACCATCATGCCCAGCTAATTTTTAAATTTTTTGTAGAGATGAGGTCTCACTATATTGCTCAAGCTGGTCTTGAACTCCTGGGCTCAAGCGATCCTCCCACCTTGGTCTCGCAAAGTGCTGGGGTTACAGGCGTGAGTGACCGCACCAGGCCTTAACTACGTTTCCAACTTACGATACTTTCAATTTATCATAGGTTTATCAGGGCACAGTCCCATCTGTATTATAAAAACTAAAAAGGTAATGTGATGAGTTAATTACATATTTCATTTGAATATATATTTGACAGTGGTTAGAGGATCAGCTAGATCTTGACCACAACTTCAGAACGCCATTTATTGAGACCACTTATAATGCAAATTTCACATTATTGAAATAATAAGTAATATAAATGCTTGAGAAAATGGTATTATTTTTTCTTGGTATTCTTTCTATATTAAAAACTTATTTTGACCAGGCATGGTGGCTCACACGTGTAATCCCAGCACTTTGGGAGACCAAGGCAGGCAGATTGCTTAAGCTCAGGAGTTTGAGACCAGCCTGACCAACATGGCAAAATCTCATCTCTACTAAAAGTGCAAAAAAAATAGCTGGGCATGGTGGCACACGACTGTAATTCCAGCTACTCGGGAAGGTGAGGCACAAGAATCACCTGAGCCTGGCAGGTGGAGGTTGCAGTGAGCCAAGATCGCACTACTATGGCTCCAGCCTGGGCAACAGAACAAGAACCTGTCTCAAAAAAAAAAAGTTGCTTTTTTTTTTTTAATTTTTTTTTTTTGAGACGGCGTCTCGCTCTGTCGCCCAGGCTGGAGTGCAATGGCGTAATCTCAGCTCATTGCAACCTCCGCCTCTCGGGTTCAAGCAATTCTCCTGCCTCAGCCTCCCGAGTAGCTGGGACAACAGGCGCCCGCCACCATGCCCAGCTAATTTTTATACTTTTAATAGAGACGGGGTTTCACCATGTTGGCCAGGATGGTCTCGATCTCTTGACCTCGCGATCCACCCACCTTGGCCTCCCAAAGTGCTGGGATTACAGGTGTGAGCCACCGCGCCCGGCAAAAGCTGCATTTTTTGTTGTGCTTTAAAAAATTAGATCTGCCGGGTGCAGTGGCTCACGCCTGTAATCCCAGCACTTTGGGAGGCTGAGGTGGGTGGAGTACCTGAGGTCAGGAGTTCGAGACCAGCCTGACCAACATAATGAAACCCCCATCTCTACTAAAAATACAGAAAATTACCTGGGCATGGTGGCAGGCGCCTATAATCCCAGCTACTAGGGAGGCTGAGGCAGGAGAATCGCTTGAACCCGGGAGGCGGAGGTTGTAGTAAGCTGAGATCACGCCATTGCACTCCAGCCTGGGCAACAAGAGCAAAACTCCATCTCAAAAAAAAAAAAAAAAAAAAAAAAATTAGATCTACATTTGGGAAGCTTCTTTTATATAACCCCAGTCAACTGTGACTAAGAATACTGAATAATAATGAAGTTTCTTATCTCCCTGCAGTTACTATTCATGATAATGTACAAGGAAAGTTATAGTATTAAAGAAAAGTTTTAACCAGTCCTAGGAGAACGCCAAGATACATCAGGTTGCTTTTCTACAAGTGGGTGGCAGAAATAAGTTGTGATATGATTTTGTTTAATATGACCTTCTTTTCTTTACATGAAACACATGCAAACGATTTTCAAAAAGCTGATAAGGACGAATGTCGGGAAAGGGTATTGGCAATGCAGTGCTCGTTTTAAAAAATAAATGCAGGCCAAGTGCAGTGGGAAAGGGTATTGGCAATGCAGTGCTCGTTTTAAAAAATAAATGCAGGCCAAGTGCAGTGGCTCATGCCTGTAATCCCAGCACTCTGTGAGGCTGATGCAAGCACATCACAAGGTTAGGAGATCGAGACCATCCTGGCTAACACGGTGAAACCCTGTCTCTACTAAAAATACAAAAAATTAGCCAGGTGTGGTGGCAGGTGCCTGTAGTCCCAACTACTCAGGAGGCTGAGGCAGGAGGATGGCGTGAACCCAGGAGGCGGAACTTGCAGTGAGCCAAGATCGCACCACTGAACTCCAGCCTAGGTGACAGAGTGAGACTCTGTCTCTAAATAAACAAATAAATAAATAAATGCATCTTTAATGTCTGTGTTTAATCATGTCATAGCTTTACTTTCTACATATCAGAGAAGGAAGAATGACCCATTTCTGGGGGCGGAGGTAGGGTGCGGTTAAAAGCTTGCTGATCCAGTGTTTTAGATGTCAACTTACAATTTGGTGCCAGATTTTCATCTTAGGAGACACTTATTCATATTTGCCTAACAATGAGTACAATAATAGTTGCAGTATAAATTCTAGACTGAAACACTACTAAATTATTACTGTTGAACTAGATTAAAATTCATAGGCATTCCTGTTTAATAAACCCAATATAAAAAACTGATTAGGCTGGGTGCAGTGGCTCATACCTGTAATCCCAGCACTTTGGGAAGCCAAGGTCCAGGAGTTTGAGACCAGCCTGGGCAACATGGCGAAATCCCATCTCTACAAAAAAATACAAAAATTGGCCAGACGCGGTGGCTCACACCTGTAATCAATCCCAGCACTTTGAGAGGCCGAGGCAGGTGGATCACCTGGGGTCATGAGTTCAAGACTAGCCTGACCAACATGGTGAAACCCCGTTTCTACTAAAAATACAAAAATTAGCCAGGCGTGGTGGTTGGCACCTGTAATCCCAGCTACTAGGGAGGCTGAGGCAGGAGAATCACTTTAACCTGGGAGGCAGAGGTTGCAGTGAGCTGAGATGGCGCCACTGCACTCCAACCTGGGTGACAGAGCGCAAGACTCCATCTTAAAAAAAAAAAAAAAATAGCCAGATATGGTGGCACCCACCTGTAGTCCCAGCTACTGGGGAGACAGAGGTGGGAGGATGGCCTGGGCCCCAGAGGTCAAGGCTGCAGTGAGCCCTGATGTCACCACTGCATTCCAACCTGGGTGATAGATCAAGACCCTGTCTCAAACAAAAACTGAGTCAGATAAATAAAGAGGTCATTAGTAGGCCAAGTACAGTGGCTCACGCCTGTAATCCTAGCACTTTTGGAGGCCAAGGCAGGTGGATCACGAGGTAAGGAGTTCAAGACCAGCCTGGTCAAGATGGTAAAACCCTGTCTCTACTAAAAATACAAAAATTACCCGGGCATGGTGGCAGGCGCCTGTAATCCCAGCTACTTGGGAAGCTGAGGCAGAGAACTGCTTGAACCCAGGCAGAGGTTGCACTGAGCAGAGACAGCTCCACTGCACTCCAGCTTGTGCGACAGAGCAAGGCTCTATCTCAAAAAAAAAGATCATTAGTTGTATTCTTCCCTCTGTAAAAGGATTTTTCCATTAAATAGTAAGTTCCTCTAAAGCATTTAAAATTTATTTGCAGTTCGGTGCAGTGGCTCATTCCAGTAATCCTAGCACTTTGGGTGGCCAAGGTGGGAGGATTACTTGAGACTAGGAGTTGGAAACCAGCCTGGGCAACTAGTAAGACCACCTGTCTCAAAAAAAAAAAAAAAAAATTATTAAGAAAAAAAAAGAAACAAGCAGGAATCGAAAGCAGTATATAGGATAATATTACAAAGTCTAACTGGCTTTTCTTTAATAGCAGATGTAAGCAAAGAAATCTAAGAACACTGGCAATAAACTGACTATCTAATCTCTCTCCAGAGAATCACAGAATTTCCATGCTAGAAGGAAACAGAGTTGAGACAATGTAGGTCCAGAGACGTAACTTACCCAAGGTCCCACAGACACCAGTAATACTAGAACTTCACTAGAATATGTATAATACACACAAAAAAAAACACAAATTTATATAAATTATAAGAGTACATTTTGTTTCATAGTTCGGAACTGACTCCCTTCGTAAAATCCTGATGACATCACCTTAAAGCTGTCATTGTCTCCTTATCCAAATTAATTTCAAAATAATAACATCAAAAGATATAGATGATCTGGTTCCAAAAAACAAGATGAAAAAACATTCCAACAGAGAGCTCTGGAAAACCTTGTAGCTAAAATTTAAATCGTTTATTTGCTACAAACCACAAATCCCTTCTCCCTTTCTTTTTCTTTTCCGCAACTACCTCTAAAAAGGAAAAAAAAAAAAAGGGCTGGGTGTGGTGGCTCACGCCTGTAATCCTAGCACTTTGGGAGGCCAAGGTGGGTGGATCACAAGGCCAGGAGTTCGAGACCAGTCTGGCCAACACGGTGAAACCCTGTCTCTACTAAAAATAGGAAAAACTGGTCGGGTATGGTGGTGCAGTAATCCCAGCTATCGGGAGGCTGAGGCAGGAGAATCGCATGAACGCAGGAGGTGGAGGCTACAGTGAGTCGAGATCACGCCACTGCACTCTAGCCCAGGCGACAGTGCGAGACTGAGAAGAAAAAAGGAAAAGAAAGAAAACAGCCAGGCGCAGTGGCTCATGCCTATAATCCCAGCACTTTGGGAGGCCAAGGCAGGTGGATCACCTGAGATCAGGAGTTTGAGACCAGCCTGGCCAACATGGTGAAACCCCATATCTACTAAAAACACAAAAATTAGTTGGGCATCATGGCACGTGCCTGTAGTTCCAGCTACTCAGGAGGCTGAGGCACCAGAATCACCTGAACCTGGGAGGCGGAGGTTGCAGTGAGCGAAGATCACACCACCGAATCCCAGCCTGGGCAACAGAGTGAGATTGTCTCCAAAAAAAAAAAAAAAAAGAAAAGAAAACAAAAAACAAAAGTAGCTCTTTTTCAATAAGTGCAATTCAGTATACAGTGCGTTGGCTTTTCTTGGACCTATAAAAAAAGGGCGACATATACAAAAAATGCTCTACACTTAAGAACCTACCCTAATCTAAAACTTTTAGTTTTCTTTTTGCCTGTCCTTCCTGCCACATATAATTCCTCACTCTGCAGATAGTAAGCCAAACATGAAGTGCCCAGAATAGCTATACGTATGGTATCTTATTATCACAAATTAAAAGTAAAACTGAGGCTGGGCGAGGCGGCTCACCCCTGTAATCCCAGCACTTTGGGAGGCCAAGGCGGGTGGATCACTTGAGGCCAGAAGTTCGAGACCAGCCTGACCAACACGGTGAAATCCCATCTCTACAAAAAAATGTAAAATTTGCCGGGGGTAGTGGTGCATGCCTGTAATCCCAGCTACCTGAGAGGCTGAGGTTGAACCCAGGAGGCGGAGGAGCCGAGATCGTGTCATCGCACTCCATCCTGGACAACAAGAGTGAAACTCCATCTCAAAAAAAAAAAATAGGCCGGCACGGTGGCTCATGCCTATACTCTCAGCACTTTGGGAAGCCAAGGCGGGCGGATCACCTGAGGTCAAGAGTTTGAGACCAGCCTGGCCAAAATGGCAAAACCCTATCTCTACTAAAAATAAAAAAATTAGCCAGGTGTGGTGGCGGGCACCTGTAATCCCAGCTACTCAGGAGGCTGAGCCAGGAGAATCACTTGAACCCAGGAGGCAGAGGTTGCAGTGAGCTCAGATCGCGCCATTGCACTCCAGCCTGGGCAAGAAGAGCGAAACTGTCTCAGGAAAAAAAAATAATAAATAATAATAATAATTAAATAAATAAATAAACTGAGAACGCTTCCCCAGTTTTCACTTTGAAATGCATTCTCCACTTGATCAGAAAGTCATACCAACAAACACCACAGTGGTTACTACATTTGATTAAGTTTGGGCTGGGATTTTATATATTTATTGCCAACCTTCACTTCCATGTTGTTAGATAAAATTTCTGTCTTAGCACCATAGTAATGCCTAAGATCAACTTAATTACTCACTTACATGGAATTGGATTTCCTTTTTTGTTTTGACCAGAAATTCCTGGGATCAAGGACAAAAATGATATATAAATTCATTATATTTCCACCTGACTACAACTATTAGATAAGAGGCTTATTAAAAGAGTATCATAAAATCAGTTTGAAGATACATGATTAGGGTATAAGTAGGTTACTTACTTAGAGCTATAACTCAAATGCCTAATAAATAATTATTTAAACTTTGCTGAATACCCAATAAAATCATTTACTTTAAGAGAAAGTCTTCAAAAGCTAATGCAAATTTGGTTTGGATTTATCATATTAAATACGTATCTTTGTTTTTTATAAAAGTTATACAACTAAGCAAGATGAATTGAGCACAAATACTATTGCACAGTTCAATACCACCACCTATTGTTAGTTGCTGTCAAGTAAAAATGTTTTATATATCTAATGAATCCAACTACATTAAGACATAAAACTGTAAACCACAGTTGGATGCCTTGGCTCTTCTGAGCCAATATTTGGGTGGGAGGGGTCTGATCTAAGAATTCGCTTAGTCTCACTAAGTCTGGAAGATCAAGTAGGAAAACAGTGTAAAGACAACTGTGCACAAGTAGCTAAATTTGGTCACTTTAAGGGCTTTCTTTCTTCTCCCTCCCTCCTTTGGATTTTCCTGGTGTCACGGAATATTTTATTTTGAACATCTAAAAATACCCTTCTAAAAACCACAGTACTAGTTAGATTACTGAAACTTTTTTTTTTTTTTTTTTGAGACAGAGTCTCGCTCTCTCGCCCAGGCTGGAGTGCTGTGGCTCGGCTCACTGCAAGCTCCACCTCCCAGGTTCACGCCATTCTCCTGCCTCAGCCTCCCGAGTAGCTGGGACTACAGGCACCTGCCACCACGCCAGGCTAATTTTTTTTTTTGTATTTTTAGTAGAGATGGGGTTTCACCGTGTTAGCCAGGATGGTCTCGATCTCCTGACCTTGTGGTCTGCCCACCTCAGCCTCCCAAAGTGCTGAGATTACAGAATTTTTCTTTTCTTTTTTTTTTTTTTTAAGACGGAGTCTCATTCTGTCTCCCAGGCTGAAGTGCGCTGGCACGATCTCAGCTCACTGCAACCTTCGCCTCCCGGTTTCAAGCGATTCTCCCACCTCAGCCTTCTGAGTACCTGAAATTACACACACTACTACACGTCTAATTTTTGTATTTTTATTAGAGACAGGGTTTCACCATGTTGGCCAGGCTGGTCTCGAACTCCTGACCTCAAGTGATCCGCCCGTCTTGGCCTCCCAAAGTGCTGGGATTACAAGCCCGAGCCACTGTGCCTGGCCAGATACTGTACCCGGCCAGATACGGAAATTTTTAATTCAGTTTCTAGTATGTTACTAGTTGAGAAACAGTAATCTAAAGAGTAGGAATGAGATCCTTGGCCTGTAAGAAAGCACTTATAAATTTGCAAGAAAAGTGAGATCAAGATTTGAAAACAGACAACTTTGGGAATGAAAAGAGATGGATTTTTTTAAAATTAGGATTAAAAAGCATCATCAACACTAACAGTTAAAAACTAACAAATGACCTAAAACATAAGAAGATTTTAAAAGTGTGACCACTTCTAGGCCGGGCGTGGTGGCTCACACCTGTAATTCCAGCACTTTGGGAGGCCGAGGTGGGCAGATCACCTGAGGTCAGAAGTTCTAGACAAGCCTGGCCAACATGGCAAAACCCCATCTCTACTAAAAACACAAAATTAGCCAGGCATGGTGGCATGCCCCTGTAATCCCAGCTACTCGGGAGGATGAGGCAGGAGAATCGCTTGAACCTGGGAGGTGGAGACTTCAGTGAGCCAAGATCATGCCACTGCACTCCAGCCTGGGCAACAGAGTGAGACTCCGTCTCAAAAATAAATAAATAAAAGGTAAAAGGACCCATGATTATGCAATAAAGAAACATCAACAACACTATTCAAAAAGGACAGGTGGTCTGAATGGGTCCAAAAAGCCCAGGCCTTTGCTATGTATTTTCTATAAGTTAGATAATTGTTTTCAAACCAGTTGCTAGAGTGTTAAAAACAAAATTCCTTAGTTTCACCAGTACTCAATCCCATTGCAAAGGTTTTCAAAAGAAACAAATTACTGTCACCCACTAGAAAAATATATACCATTTTCACATGCACCAATTTGGAAATATGGTTATTTTCTATGCACAATGTTCTTTAAATTAGATGCTAAAAGTTTTAATGGATAAAAAGGTCTTTATTCAGTCACTTTGTCATTGTGAAAAGCAGGAGTATGAGTGAAATGATGTAGAGAGAAGCTCTGGCATTAGAAAGCAGTGGCCAAAGGCTGGATCCTGAGAGGCAACACTCATTACCAGGTTAGCAGAAGAGAGCGTTCCATGAAAGAGACTGCAACTCATCCCGGAGGCATGAGGAGAACCAGGAAAGGGCAGAACCACAGTCATTCAAAGCCAAGAGTTTTGTGGGGTTTTTTTTTTTTTTTAATTCATTTGTTTTAGTAGGTGTTTCATGTATTAAAAGACTTTTCGAAAAAAAAAAAAAAAGGTCTTTATTTCAGCCTTAACGGTGTATTCTGAGACTGAGCCTACAAACTTAAATATTATAGTGGCTGTTTCAGAAGAAATGGCCAGGGAAATATGATCCTCTGCTTTTATTCAAAAAGCACAGATGCATAGGATTCTAGAAAAAAGGTACCTTAGTGATTGATTCTATCTCCCTCGCTTTACAGAAGAGGGAAATCACCAAGCTAGAAAAGTAAAAAGAATGACCAGGCCGGGTGTCGTGGCTCACATCTGTAATCCCAGCACTTCGGGAGGCTGAGATGGGTGTATCACCTGAGGTCAGTAGTTCAAGACCAGTCTGGCCAATATGGCAAAACCCCATCTCTACTAAAAATACAAAAATTAGTTGTGCATGGTGGCGGGTGCCTGTAATCCCAGCTACTCAGGAGGCTGAGGCAGGAGAATCGCTTGAACCCAGGAGGCGGAGGTTGCAGTGAGCCAAGATCGCACCATTGCACTCTGACCTGGGCGACAAAAGCGAAACTCCGTCTCAAAAAAAAAAAAAAAGAAAGAAATGACCAAAGTTACAGTTAGTTGCTAGCAAAAAATTAAGATTAATATGCAGGTCTTGCCGGGCGTGGTGGCTCACACCTGTAATCCCAGCACTTTGGGAGGCTGAGGTGGGCGGATCGCGAGGTTAGGAGATTGAGACCATCCTGGCTAACACGGTGAAACCCCGTCTCTACTAAAAATACAAAAAAAATTAGCCGGGCATGGCAGCAGGCACCTGTAGTCCCAGCTACTCGGGAGGCTGCGGCAGGAGAATGGCGTGAACCTGGGAGGCGGAGTTTGCAGTGAGCTGACATCACGTCACTGCACTCCAGCCTGGGCGACAGAGCAAGACTCCGGCTCAAAAAAAAAAAAAAAAAAAATCCAGGTCTCTCCACTCACAATGTAGTATGCTCTTTTTGCCATGCTGCATTTTAAGATTTTTGTTATTCTGTTTTTTGTTTGTTTGAGACAGGTCCAGGTAATTTTTGTAGTAGAGACAGGGTTTCACCATGTTGGCCAGGCTGGTCTCGAACTCCCGAGCTCAGATGATCCACCCGCTTTGGCCTCCCAAAGTGCTGTGATTACAGGCGTGAGCCACCATGCCCAGCCAGATTTTTGTTACTTTGGATAAAATGAAGCAAGTAGGCAAACAAATATTACATGCTAGGGTTACAGGTTGCACATAATATTACAGATTTATACGAAAGGCAGTGACGTATAATGAAAAACAATAATGAACATGGATTCAAAATACCGAAATTGGAGCATATCACTTTCTAACTTATGGGTTCTTATCTCCAGGCACTGTTTAAACTGTAAAATGGTATCTGAATGTCAGTTAATGTTACCACTATGATTGTTTTTTAATGTTAGGCTTTTTAATAAACCCATTAAGACAGAATTTTTCTCCAACAGTACTACATCCTCATAAAGAAGCTACTAAGAGCATGACAAAGTGGAGAGGCTTAACTGAAGCAAATCTAAGCTTAGATTCAAGGGCTAGTCTAGATATTTAAACATTAATCTCACTAAGTGTTAAGATAATGTCAGTTATGGCACTTAAAATGAAGGCAGTCAGGTGTGGTAATCACACCTGTAATTCTAACACTTTGGGAGGCCGGCGAAAGGATTGCTCAAGCCCAGCAGTAGCAAATACAAAATAAAATAAAATGGATGAACTTTGGAAAAGCTCTTTTCCACAAATTTTATAGACTTTTTGCTAGTCATGCTAAAAAAAAAAGCAGGATGACAGTGGAGTCAAAAAAAAAAAATGCAGATTGGAATCCTGGTTCCCCCACTTACTAGGTGTGCAATTTGAACACCTTACTTAACCTCTCAGGCCTTCACTTTCCTCAAGTGTAAAACAGAATCGTAAAACTAGAGGTAACTAGCCGGGTGCGGTGGCTCACGCCTGTAATCCCAGCACTTTGGGAGGCCGGCGGGCGGGGGGGGGGGGGGGGTTGGATCACGAGGTCAGGAGCTCGAGACCAGCCTGGCCAACATGGTGAAACCCCGTCTCTACTAAAAATACAAAAATTAGCCGGGCATGGTGGCAGGCGCCTGTAATCCCAGCTACTCGGGAGGCTGAGGCAGTAGAATCGCTTAAAACCTGGGAAGTGGTTGCAGTGAGCCGAGATCGCACCATTGCACTCCAGCCTGGGGACAAGGGCAAGATTTCATCTCAAAGAAAAAAAGCAACAAAACAACAACAACAACAAAAAGCTAGAGGTAACTGAGGTAAAACATCTGGCTCAGTGTCTGTCATGCAGGAAGTATTCAATAACCATCGTTAAATTTGAAAGACAATTACTAAAATTTGCTGCAAAGTTTACCATAAATAACATAATTAAAATATCTGAATGGTAAGTTTTAATTGATTAACACAATTCAGCACATACTATGTTGACCTACAAGGGTTATTACTGTATACATTTAATGCCATGGTGACACAGCAAGAAAAACATGAATTTTCACATCTCTTGATCTCTTAAATAGAGATTCTTTATTCAGTAGTCATCTACTTTGGCTATTCCACAGGATGCTACACATCTGGCTAACAGGTACTCACCCTCGTTGTTTTTTGTTTTTTTTTTGGAGACGGAATCTCTCGCTCTGTCGCCCAGGCTGGAGTAAAATGGCACAATCTCGGCTCAATACAACCTCCGCCTCCTGGGTTCAAGTGATTCTCCTGCCTCAGCCTCCTGAGTAGCTGGAATTACAGGTGCCCACTACCACGCCCGGCTAATTTTTGTATTTTTAGTAGAGACCGGGTTTCACCAGGTTGGTCAGGCTGGTCTTGAACTCCTGACCTCGTGATCCACCCACCTCGGCCTCCCAAAGTGCTGGGATTACAGGCATGAGCCACCTCGCCCGGCCCCTTGGTTTTAAATTAAAAAAATTTTTTTTCTATAGCTCTAACCCAGAGTGGGAGATTTAAGGTGTGTGGCCTCCAGTTACAACATATAAAAGCATACCTACAAAAGGATTTCAATGAATCAACTATCTGAAAATCATAGAGCTTCAGTTATCTTCTCCAAGAAAAATAAACCTTACGTAGCCACAATTTGAAATTAGCTATTATGTGATATAAAGATTTCATGCATCCACAAAAATTCTCAATGAGATCTGCTATCTGCTTACAGTTGTAAAATTATCAGTTCTTTAAGAAGCAGACTGTAATCTTGAGGATTTAAAATATCATTTGATGTAAATGTTTAGATCTGCTTTATTTACGTATCTTTTATTGAAAGTAAATATTTAAAATATTTTCAACAAATAAGCAATAAATTTATTTACTACTTCCTAAGAAGCCAATTACTAATTGTCTCAGTCCTTGTAAATTAGGTCAATAAAGAGGTAAATGGTTTTAAGAAGTACTCAATGAACTTCATTAACACATATCATTTCTAGCCATTCTCATCTGTATTCCGGCATGGAACACTTCACATCATATTAAGTGAATAGCTTTTAGTTTATAAACAAACACTTATTTAATCATGAAACCGTCCAAGAAGGACTCCCCACCTTATTCTTTTTTTTACCTTCTCAGATCATATTTAGAAAGATTTCGTTGCCAGCTACATCAGCTACAAGTTAAAAAGAAACCTCTTAATACAGCAACAAATTTCCTTATTACTTTATTATAGTATGCCACCCCTACAGAGATTGTAAATTAAAGTATAAGATAATTATAAAAATACAAAATAGCAATGTAATTTTACACCACATACAAGAGAATACTTTCCAAAAATTATTCAATCTAAAATGAACAGCAAACTGATAAAGAGCTAATTCCACAGGCAAAAGACTGTCCCCGACTCAAATCTTCAGTATCTGGAACTGCCTTTCAAGATTCCTGTTAACTGCTGAACGTCTATTCAGCAATTTTAGTGACATTCTGGGTTTTTACGGTACTACTGAATACGAAACCATCATAAATTAACTTTATTGGGGCTCTGTACATTAGGGCCATCCAATGTCCTATTAAACACCAAATAATATATTCCATAACATTTTCTTCTAGTGATCAAGTTAAATACTAAAACTCTAAGAAGGCCAATTCTTTGATTTTCTCCACTCCTGAAGTGCAACAGTAACACTGAAGCTCTGAACTTAAACTGCACCCAAAACACTTCCTATCTTGATCTTCGTGGATCAATTCAAATTATTTCCCAGTTCGCATAATAAGAAATCAAAGAATAGATTAAACTGACAACCCTTAAAAGTTTTCACACCCTGAACCTAGTTGTCGAGTTTCTTAAACTTTTGTCTCGCCGTCTTACAATTTCATCTCTCAAATGGAGATGAAGAAAAACACCGAGTGAGATTGTCCACTGAGCTGTGAGTGATCCCAGGTCAGCCTGGTTCTCTGCCAGAAAAGACCAGGTGACATTTACTCTTCCTGTAGAAGTTTCTTTCTCTTGACCCTCAAGGAACCTTCCAGTATATTGTTATACTACTGTAATTCATCAGTAGTTACAATATTTCACTTCCCAAAGGAATCTCTTCCTTGCAAGATGACTACTCTCTAAAGACGCTTTCAAGACCGTCCACTCCTCAATTCCAGGACAGTAAACCTCCCTCGCTAGAGGAGAAAAAGTTCCTGAAAGACAGACCGGAATGGATTTGCTGAACTTTCGTCCCAATCTCAAAGCATGTAGACATCCAAGGGTTCCCAAGGAACAATGAGCTACAGAAGTACAGACTAAACGGGAAAGCAGAGGAAGTATCAGAACAATACCCAAACCAAACACAGCACCGAAAACCCGTGGTAGC
Organism: Homo sapiens; assembly: GCF_000001405.40. Lineage (NCBI taxonomy): Eukaryota > Metazoa > Chordata > Mammalia > Primates > Hominidae > Homo > Homo sapiens. The sequence goes on from NC_000017.11 coordinate 39,400,872, forward strand.
CTCTATCATCCCAAACTACCGTCCCCACTTCCCTAGTTTCACCAAGGTCTCAAACTCGGAGAAATGGTACCCATCCCCTAATTTCCTCCCTCAACAGACAACAAACGCGTCATGAAGGTAGCAGCGAGAAAAGCAGCAGGCTCTGGTGGACCGGAGCCGTGATGGCTGGGTGGAAGGAGGCAAGCCAAGGGTTGTGTAAAGAATGGAAAGCTGAGCGATCCTGGAGGAGGGTGGAATTAGGGCGCCCGAGCTAATCCCCCGCGGGGGCCCGCTGGTGGGAAGAGACGGGGGGCGAACCGGCGAGGGGACTGGGGGCACCGGGCTGCGCTGGGCTTCTGGGTCGCAAGAAAGGGGAGCGGAGTCTGGCAGCCCCGCCAGTGGGTGGGTGACGGCGCCTGCCAGGGAGGAGGCTCCGTGCGGAGCGGACGTTTTGGGATTAGAGCGCGCGACCCGCCCTCCTCACGCCGCCCGAGCCCCCCAAGCTCACACCTCAAACCTGCTCTTGGTCACTCCGTTCACGTCCCTCCTCATGGGGCCGGCGGGTGCGGCCCGGGCCGGGCGCTGCGGCGAGCGGAGTGCACAGACCGGGGGCCCAGGACAGGCCCGGGAGTTCCGGGACGGGGACTGGGCGCCGGAGGGGTGACGCCGGGACCGTGGGACGGGAACAAGAGACCTCTCGGCTCCGGCTAGGCCTCCACCACCTCCCGCGGCGCCGGCGGCCGCAACGACTGCTCGTCGCTAGCTCGGCTCTCTCCTCAGCCTCAACTTCAACCCAAAACAAAAACACTCCCCACCTGCCAGCAACGCCGCTGCTCATTGGACAGAGCCGCCCGGGCCTCGGAGCGCCCGGGAGGGGGAGGGGCGGGAGGGGAGGAGCGCGGCGGCGGCGGCGCGAGACCACCCCTCCCCCACACGGGGCCGGCCCTGACGGCGCTCCCGGGAGCAGCCGGTGCGCGGCGGCGGCACGACCCCCTGCGCCTCCGAGGCAGACGAGCCCATCGGGAGAAGGCGAGGCAGGGAAGTGCCTGTGCGTGTGGAAAAGGGGGTCTGTGGGGCGGATGCGAGTGCGCGCGTGCTCGCGGACCAGCGAGGGAGAGTAGAGCAGTACCGCACTCTGCGCGGGGGCCCCTCTTCTGCCCCGTGTCCCCCTCTCCTCCCTCCGCGGGCAAACAGGCACGCACCTGCCTGCACAGAACCTCAGCCTCTGCCCGCGCCCGTCGCCCCTCGTCACTTGTTCCCCAGGATCCTGTAAGGCACCCGCATCCTTCCCGGCCACCCAGCTCCCTTCCCCTGTCACTCACTGTCGCCTTGAACCCAAAGTGCAGCAGGCGGTCCCTGCTCGGAGCCATTTTCCTCCTCTTCTGGATGTGTCTAGATTGGGGCAGTGCGGCTGCCGCCGCGCCTCCGCGGTTGCCGCCGCCGCCGCCTCCCCCGCCTCCCCCGCCCCAGTGCATTACATTACGGGGTGCTGCAGGGAGGCCTGGGGGGCCGGGGCCGGACGCTTGTCTCCCTGTGCATGGCTCGGGAGGGCGAGGGTGGTTGCGCTGAGCAACAGGCCAAGTGCCCGCCCTGGTCCGGGGATGGCTGCGGAGCTGCACCTGAGGCCGGGGGTCGGGGGTGCAGGGCTGGAGCCGGGCAACCCTTCCTTTGGCCGGGGTCGGGGCGCGCGTCCGTGGGGGTGGGGCGGGCGAGACCGAAGAGCCTTTGGTTTTCCTTGCTCGGCCGCCGCCGGCGCCCAATGGGCTGCAGCGCCTGCCTGTCCGCCAATCAGGGCGCTGTTTGGTGAGAGCTTCGGCCTGACGTCACTTTGGCGGGAGAAACAAGCGTGTGTGAGCGAGTAGGCGGGGGCGTTTTCCCGATGGAAACACTTCATCAGACTCCCGGGCTCCTTGTATAGAAGCTGATCTGTGTCATCATATTATATTATGTTTTAACAACTCTGGCCTTCAAGGTCTCAGAATTTATGACCGAATTTCCACGAAGGAATAACACAGGATTTTGTAGTTTTGTTGCCCCTTCTATGAGCAACAAACTACAAAATTATGTCCTAAGAGTGAACTATTAGAAACTGTATAATAAATTCCAGCACACCTGGCAGGAGCAGCAGCACTGCTAATTGTATGCTTCCAAAGCAGTTATGAGTTGGTCTTCCTCACACCCCTTTTAATTAGTGGTTTTAGCGACTGACTTGTTATGCGTCTAAGAAATTAACAAGAGCAACAAGTGCGGCAGATCTTTAAGAACAGGTATATTTTAGCTGGAGGACATATTACCCAACTCTTAAAGCACTGTACAAACTTTTTCTTTTTTTTTTTTTTTTTTTTTTTGAGACAGAGGTTCAACTCTGTCGCTTAGGCTGGAGTGCAGTGGCACGATCTCGGTTTACTGCAACCTCTGCCTCCCGGGTTCAAGCCTCCCAAGTAGCTGGGATTACAGGCGCGCCGCGCCGCACCTGGCTAAGTAGAGACGAGGTTTCGCCATGTTGGCCAGGCTGGTCAGGAACACCTGACTACAAGTGATCCGCCCGCCTCGGCCTCCCAGAGTGCTGGGATCTTTTTTCTTTTGTAGAGACGGGGTCTCCCTATGTTGCCCAGACTAGTCTGCAATTCCTGGGCCCAAGTGATCCTCCAGCCTCCTCCCAGTGCTGAGATTACAGGCCTCATGTGAGCCACCACGACCAGCGCGCCACCCCCCGGCTTTTTTTAATCCTAGAGGGGGCTTCCTAAAACCAGGGACCTAGCTTCAGAAACTCATTCTCAGGCCCACAAACCCAGGTCTGTCTTCTCCTCCTGTCCCAGGTACTTTTAATGTTTTTGCTTGACTTCAGCCAGTGGAATAAAAAAGCCTTTTCATTCTGTCTCATCTAAGAGCTGTTTTCTCCCAGCAAAAACTGATGCATTTGGTGAGTAACAATGGCAAAGGGATGGCCGGGCGCGGTGGCTCACGCCTGTAATCCCAGCACTTTGGGAGGCCAAGGCGGGCGGATCATAAGGTCAGGAGATTGAGACCATCCTGGCCAACATGGTGAAACCCCGTCTCTGCTAAAAATACAAAAATTAGCTGGGCGTGGTGGTGGGCGCCTCTAATCCCAGCTACTCGGGAGGCTGAGGCAGAATTGCTTGAACCCGGGAGGCGGAGGTTGTAGTGAGCCAAGATTGTGCCACTGCACTCCAGCCTGGGCGACACAGCGAGACTCCATCTCGAAAAAAAAAAAAATGGCAAAGGGTAGAAAAACTGGCCTACAGAGTAATAGAATGAAGACAAGTTTCACAGCTCCGTCAGTTACCAGTTGACCCATTTCAAGTAGTACTCAGGGAAGACATTTACTGTTGACTGACTCTTTAAAATTGACTGGAGTTTTGAACAAATGAAAAAAGTATTCAAAGGCTAAAATTTTATTACACACAGGCAAATTACTTTTTATCAAAGAAGTTTATTTGCATGTAAATAAACAGGTTATTTTGTAATGTTTCGGGAAAAAAATCCCACAACAGATTTCATCTACTTTCAAAAAAATGAAAAACCCCAAAGTATTTACAAAACGGCCATATGCACAGAAAACCAAATTTGAAAGATTTTTTTAAAAAAAGACCCTCCCCAGCTGCTCCTGATGTACATTTTTAAACTCAAAATTTAAAGCTCAGTTCTTATAGCTGAGCATGTTTCCCAATCTAGCTTCTGAGATGTTAAGTACTTCCTGCCCCTCCAAAACTAACTCAAGGATAGAAATGTATGGGGGGCAGGGGAGGAGGGGAGAAGGAAAAAAAAATGAGATTGCCCAAGGATTGTGAATAATGTTTCGTATACTGACATCTTTAAGTGACTCAACTGTGGATACTGTATGACTCACTGGCTCCCTGAAAGGGCTTCTGAGAATTCATGATATTGCTGCACTTAATTTTCTGATCTAGGCCTGAAGAAAGAAAATCTTTCAAGAGTCACCAACCTCAAGCCTGGTTTTGGCAATTATATCCTGCGTTGTTTGTCCCCACCACCCCACCCCCCACCCGCTAAAATACTTCTGTTTTAAGACACATTGATATTGAACCTGAAATCTTTATGTACATCAGAGCAGGTTATGACCAAGAACCCCTAATGTTAAGTCAAAAGACAGAAGAGGAATCAGGTCAAACTGAGAATACATAAGACACCAGCAGCAGAAGATAGGTAGAAGTTGACTTCATGTCCTTGCCTTCTTTTGAAACAGAAGAATGAGTACACCTAGACAGGAGGGAGGTGTCCCAGGCTTGGTTTATTCTGCCTCTTCTCCTCCACCCTGTGGAGAAATGCAGTGCTCCCTGGTTCTCAGGCAGGGTGAAGCAGTTTAGCCCCGGCTCCCTGTTAAGCAAGTTCAGATGCTGGGTCAGTGTGGGGGTGAGCCCATCGACAATTCAGGGGCTTATCCTTCATCCAGATCCTAACTCGGGATTCTTTGATCTGGGATGAAGACAGAAAGAGAGAAAAGCTTCCCAGTTTACTCATTTTGGTATTTGTTGGCCCTGCATGGGGGAGCTGAGCCCATGATACTATTCAGTACATTCCCCCTAAGATTCTCCCCACTCAGAACAAATTTTAAAAACCACATAAATTTTTTTTTTTTTCCTGCAGAAACCAACGGGATAGGATTCAAAACTAGGTGACAAACTCATGAGAAATCCAACCTGGCTGAATGTCTGAGAGGCTGCTACTGTATCAACATCACAAGATAAAGCACTCTGGTATCACCTGCCCATATCCTCCTTAGTGTCACCCAAGACATTTGACTCTGATGTGGTTAATTGATAACTTTTCTTGCTCCACTTTACAATGTTTTGTTTCCTACATCTTATTACCTTGGGACACAAAAGTGGCAGAGTTGTTGAGAGCTGATGACAATAAAAAGGAGAACACTAGAGGAAATGAGACAGGAAAGAAAGCCAAAGCTGATTTTCCAACTCTATGCTGACTCCAACCTGCAGAAAAAGCTGAATATAGAAATCTTCTTCCATATATGATGAAGTCACTCCACTTACGACATAACACACAAAGGAATCACCTGGCTTTTTTTTTTTAACCCAGAAGAGTTGTGCTGGGGACCATGCCCCATCCCGCTGATACAGATCCTGAATGGAATAATCAGGAATGGCACAGTGCAGGTGTCAATATCAAAGTAAGGCCGCAGAATTTTTGAGAGGACCCTCCAAATACTGAGAACTTCTGTTGCACTCGAAACAGTCTCCTGGATTTCTATATTTTTATGTGAAGGGCTCTTATTGATGTCCCCCAGAATCCAGACTCAGACCTATTTCTCCAAAAAGGTCCAATTGGGTTGCTACATAGTAGCAAGGGTTTATCTTCATGCTCACCTAGCATTCCAGGCCCCCATTACTTCAAAAGTGAGCTTGAAATTGTTTTAAGTGAACTATGGCTGCGGATTTTTTACTGTTTTATCTCAGGGAGCATACAGTGGAGTGATTAAAGTTTGGACTCCTTCTCCTTGTGATGAAGAGAAACAGTGAGTCCAGCTCTTAGGAATGGCATCAGTTCTCCTGCAAACAAAATGCTGGGATGCAGACTTTTGGCACATTGTGGAAGTAGGAGAACTATTAATCCTGTAATGGTTTTCATGCCACTGGGTCAGGAAGGCTGTCCTACACTAAACCTTACTGCATCTGAAAACATGTTTACATCCCAACAAGCCACCTTAGCTTTTTTTTTTTTTTTTGAAAGGAAAATGAGATTACAAGTCAATACCTCCACAGAGAGGTAACTCCTAATATTCCTATGATCTCTGAACCCTATTTAAACCCTCCTAAAATAAAAATATCATTTTGGTTTTTCTATTATATTTAACTCTAAAGGCGGGCTCTGACTAATTTGCTTGGGCTTGATGCTACAGTATTAGCACAAGCTATAAGCTCCCTACCACCATATAAGCCTTGCTCTTCGGCCTTCCATCATTTTGAACCCTAAACCTCATAGATTTAGAACGAAACACTGTATAAAAACAAACAGATAAAGGGTTAAAATATTACAAATAAATAGCTAAAATAATCTTCCCTCCCCCAGTCACTCCTAAGAAACAGACACCAAACATTACTTAAGTGTCCAAAATGACCAAAGTCCTTCATTTGCCCATGACTCAAACGGACAACTACCTCAAACAAAGTTGAACAACCTTCATGCAAATGCATCAAGGAATGTATTGCTTTTTCATTTTCTGCCCAGCCCTTCATATACATGCACTAAAATGAGTTTAAAACATGGCCTAAAAATGGAAAAAGGGAGAAGAAAATATATATGAATATTTCCCACAAAACTGTTTCCCTCCCTTCCCTCTCCCTACACCCCTCCCACCCCCCTCCCTTTCTTAAGCAAGTATTTTAACTTTCTTTCTGGCACAGGAACAAAGAAGACTTCCTGGTAACCAGAATCAAACCCTGTGGTTTCTTTAATAGGGTCTGGATATGCCTTTCTAATTCACCCAGCTTGATGTCAAAGCCATGCCATTTAGGATTCTTAACCAAATCAGACCTGTCTGACTCACCCCTTATGGTGGTTTGCCTATAAACTTATCAATAGTTTTTTTTCCTCTGGCCCTGTTTCTTTTAGGAAATAAGGTTCCTAATTCCCAATCAGGGCCACATCCATAAGATCATCATCTTCCTCCCCAATCATAAAGTCTGGGCTGAGCCTTGAGGGTCTGTCTGCAGATAAGATTGTGTTACTTGTCATAGACAAGGACTGGTCTGAAGAGATGGGTGATTTGGACCAACTCTCTGGCTTGATGCTATGAGATTTTTTCTTGTCTCGGTCTTTGTCCCGGTCTCGGTCCCTATCTTTGTCTTTTACTTTCTTCTTTTCCTTTTTGTGCTTCTTATGTTTCTCTGTGCTGTATTCTGGAAGTGGTCGGATACCATCGTCTGAGCTGGGACTATTCTGATAAGATTTCTCTGCTATGGAGGAGCCTGACTCACTTTCACTGTCCAGATTCTGGGGGGTATATGCTGGTGACTTACTATGGCTGGGAGAGCCACGCTCATGCTTTGGAGTGGAACCACTGATGAGTGGAGAGCCATAGTTTTTAGAAGAAGCCATTTGAGGCCTAAGCCCTTCTCCACTACTTTCCCCAGGTTTCTGCAAAGTCACTTTGGCTTTAATGCTAGGGGAGCCTCCATCATGCTTACTGATGATAATTTTTGCCACACCTGTGCTCCCCACATTTTTTGACTCTGAGGTCTTCTTAGAAGAATCCACTGAACTCCCGGAGGTGGAAACCTTTGATTTGTCTTTATCACTTTTCTCACGCTTGCCCTGAAACTCTCCTCCTGACATGTTATGTTTGGAGGACATAGGATGGCTGGAAGAATTTGTGCTCACCCCCATCTGGCCGTCCAGTGGGTCTTCACCCCCAGGGCCACTGGTGACAACCCCATGCTTCAGTTTATCTATGACAGCTGTCAAGGACGGCTTCTTGTTTCTGCTGGGAGATTTTCCTTTAGAACTCCCATGCTGGTTCTGAGAGGATGACATGGAAGAGCCACTTGAGGAAAAGGAGGAGGAAGATGCCGTACAGGAATTAGATGATGGGGGAGTTTTCTGGGACAACGAGCCTGAGGATCCTAACCCTGAAGATGACTTCATGCCAGAGCTTGAACTAGTTCCAGACATATGAGAACCACCAGAACCTGAACTGATAGGGGACTTGGCTTTAGAGGATGGAGGAGTTCCAGGAACAGGCTTCATTGGAGAGGCAAGCTTGTCAGAGCCTCCAGGTGGCCTTGAATGAGAAGGGGATATGTTTGGTTTACTTAAAGAAGGATTCATAAGTGATGATGGCTTTCCTTGAGGTTTCATCTTGGTGCTGCTAGAGCCACTGCTCAGTCCATGCTTGGTTATGGGAGAGGAGCCTGGCTTCCCCCCAGACTGGGATGAATTTTTGGACTGGCTAGATCCAGAAGACCCCTGGCTAGAATACATACTGCTACTTAACTTGGAACTTGATGAACCTTCTGATTTACTGCTTTTCATCTTCCCTGAGGTGGAAGCAGATGAGGAAGAGGAGGAAGAATGGCTATGGTGGCTTTTGCTGCCTGAGGAAGACACAGAACCACTGCTGGTATACTGACTGTGAGAGGAAGGCTTGCCCACCATCACTGTTCCCTTAGGAATCTGAATAGTGATTTTGGGAATGGGTGGTGTGGCAACACCTGGGGGAGTCTGAGATCTTCCTGCACTGCCTGGCGATTTAGATCCACCTGTACTGGTAGGTGGGGTAAAAGGTCTGTTAGAAGAACTATGAGATGGAGACTTTCCCTCAGTGTCTGCCTTCTTCCGCTTTGGAGGCTTATCTTTGCTTTTCCCATCATTAGAAGGGGTCCGACTGCGCTTCCCTGGTTTGCTGTCTAATCCGGGCCCCGAGAGAGTACTATTACTGGTGCCATTGCCTTCCTTTACCCTCTTTTGAGTCTTTTCTTTCCCTAAGTCCCCAGTGGTCAGTAAAGGACCCTGACTACCACTGTGATGCTCCATAAGATCTGCAGGAGCTAAAGCTTTGCCGGCTACTGAAATAATACTGAAATCAACTGTGTCGGCTTGGTTATTGCCCTTAAACTTGGTCTCCCCATTATCACCTCCAAGCATTGGCACCCCCAAAGTATTTAGTGCCTGAGATGCAAATCCTTTGAAATCATCATTATCCCCACTTTGGCTGCTTTCATCAAAATATTCTTCTCCAAAACCACTTTGGCTCTGGCTGTTCAATAAATCAGGATTGAAATCTACTCCATCATGAAAAAAATGATTGGTAGGAGAGTCACTACTGGGGCTTCCAGCAGCATCTGCAATAAGATCAGCTGGATCAGTGTATGGATTTTCATTATTGTTAGTTTGAAAGACATCAGAGTCAAACAGGGTACTCTGAGAATGCCCAGAGCTTGAAGAATCTCGAAGAGGGGTGCCAATGGCTGGGCAATCATCACTAGTGCTGGGAAGTTTAGAAGCTTCTTCTGCAATGTCTGAAAGGATGTCAGTTACATCTGGGCCAATGCTGTCTGAACTGGATAGTCGGACCATCCTTTGAATACTGGGTTGGGGGTGAGGTACTGGTTGTGGGTAAGTTGTTGGGGGAGTGCTACACTGGCTTGGAGCTGGAGTGATGTGTGGCGTATCCAGCGTGTCAGCTGTCATGTTGACATCAAAGATAGGGTTCTGTGAGTCAACATCCATTGAAAATAGCTCCCTCTGAAAGTCATCTTCAGTCTGGTGCTTTGGTTTCTCAGGTGGTAATCTTGATGACTTCTTTTTCTTGGTCTTGTTGCTCCCCGAGCATATTTCCATGCGGGGTGAGCCGGAAGAGGAGTTCTGCCTTTCTAAAGGGCTGCTTCCATAAAGGGTTGAGAAATCCTGGGCAGGATTATCTTTAAGAAGGTTCATGAGCATCGGGTGGTTCTTGGTGTTGCCGGCCATCGAAGAGACAGGTGGCGGCGTGTGATGAGGAGGGGTCGGACTCGAGCCAATGGTAGACCCCCCGTTCCCTGTGATTTGCAACAAACTGGTAAGAATTGGGTTCTGAGACACCTTGCTGAAGTCCTCCCCATGGCCCACCGACTCATGCCGATCTTTGATGCTCATGCTCATATTAAACAAGGTGGTAATGGGACCCCCCGGAAAGGTGTTGGTTGGTGTAGTGGTACCACTCATTGGGTTGTTGCCTGTGGTCATGCCATACCCTGGGCTGCTAGCCGGGGGCAGGTTCTTTTTCACCATGTCTTCAACTGTCTCTGCAATGAGGGACAGTGCTGGGGTGTCGGCTTGAATGGTTTCAGCTTTCCTCCGAATAGCCCTCATCGTCACAGGGATGGACATACATCTGCAAAATAAAGAAGAAAACAAAGTTAACATTGCAATAGCTGCTGAATGAGACCTGAGATTTAGATATAACATCAGAGTTTTGCAGTAAGCAGTTTTCAGGTAGGGCAAATAATCTGTAAGACAAAAATAGTTCTATCAAATACCAGAGCTTTGGGTAAATACATTCTAAAAATCTAACCCAACATAAAATTGTCAACCTCTTATGAATCACACAACAAAAGCAAACTATAAACAAGAGTCCAAATAATTGAATTTCAAACTTAACTAAAAGAAAATTGGTAATAATGGAACTCAGTAAGAAAATGCCTCCTTAGGGGCCGGGCACAGTGGCTCACGCCTGTAATCCCAGCACTTTGGGAGGCCAAGGCGGCTGGAACATGAGGTCAGGAGATCGACACCATCCTGGCCAACATGGTGAAACCCCGTCTCTACTAAAAATACAAAAATTAGCTGGGCGTGGTGGCGCGTGCCTGTAATCCCAGCTACTCGGGAGGTTGAGGCAGGAGAATTGCTTGAACAAGGGAGGCGGAGGTTGCATTGCACTGAGATCACACCACTGCACTCCAGCTTGGCAACAGAGTGAGACTCCGTCTCAAAAAAAAAAATGCCTCCTTAGGTCGGGCGCGGTGGCTCACTCCTGCAATCCCAGCACTTTGGAAGGCCGAGGAGGGTGGATCACTTCGGGTCAGGAGTTTGAGACCAGCCTGGCCAGCGGGGTGAAACCCTGTCTCTACTAAAAATACAAAAAATTAGCCAGCCGTGGCGGTGCACAGCTGTAATCCCAGCTACTCAGGAAGGGTAGACAGGAGAATCACTTGAACCCAGGAGGCAGAGATCGCAGCGAGCCAAGATCGTCCCATTGCACGCCAGCCTTGGTGACAGTGCAAGACTTCATTTCAAAGGAAAAAAGAAAATGTCGTCCTCTGGGGGGCTTCATATGGTAATTACAGGGATACATAATTTATTTTAATTAAGGAACCATTAGAAAAATCTCCGCCGGTCAGAGTGGCTCACGCCTGTAATCCCAGCACTTTGGGAGGCCGAGGCGGGTGGATCACAGGGTCAGGAGTTTTGAGACCAGCCTGGCCAACATAGTGAAACCCCATCTCTACTAAAAAAAAGAAAAAATACAAAAAATTAGCTGGGCATGGTGGCAGGTGCCTGTAATCCCAACTACTTGGGAGGCTGAGGCAGAATTGCTTGAACCCGGGAAGCAGAGGTTGCAGTGAGCTGAGATTGTGCCATGGCACTCCAGCCCAGGTGACAGTACAAGACTCCATCTCAAAAAAAAAAAAAAGAAAAGAAAAATCTCTTGACCCATTAAGTACTAAACCTTAATGACTTAGATCATCCCAAACCTACACTATTATAAAAAGTGCTATTTCTGTTATAAATCTTGTTTATTTTAAAGCAAAGCACTTTTTATTTTCCAGATAAATTTATATTCATAAACCTCAGTTTGCAAACGTTTTGCTCTAGAACATATGTCAGCAAATTTTTTTTTCTTTTTTTTTTTTTTTTTGAGACGGAGTTTTGCTCTTGTTGCCCAGGCTGGAGTGCAATGGCGCGATCTTGGCTCACTGCAACCTCCACCTCCCAGGTTCAAGTGATTCTCCTGCCTCAGCCTCTCGAGTAGCTGGGATTACAGCCATGCGCCATCACGCCCAGCTAATTCTGTATTTTTAGTAGAGACAGGGTTTCTCCATGTCAGTCAGGCTGGTCTCGAACTCCTGACCTCAGGCGATCCACCCACCTCCCAAAGTGCTGGGATTATAGGCGTGAGCCACCACACCCAGCCAGCAAATTTTTCTTTTTTTTTTTTTTTTTTTCTTTGAGACAGAGTCTCGCTCTGTTATCCAGGCTGGAGTGCAGTGGCATGATCTTGGCTTACCGCAACTTCCGCCTCCCAGGTTCAAGCAATTCTCTGCCTCAGCCTCCCAAGTAGCTGGGATTACAGAAGCCCGCCACCACGCCCAGCTAATTTTTGTATTTTTAGTAGAGATGGGGTTTCACCATCTTGGCCAGGCTGGTCTTGAACTCCTGACCTCGTGATTTACCCGCCTCAGCCTCCCAAAGTGCTAGGATTACAGGGGTGACCCCCGCACCCGGCCGCAAATTTTTCTTATAAGGCCATATAGTAATCCGTTAGGCTTTGTAGGTCTTGTTTCCTGTTCACCTACTCTGCAATATTAACTAGAAATCTGCCACAGACATGTAAATGAACAGCAGTGTTCCAATAAAATTTATTTACAAAAATAGGCTGCCAGACCCAGCTGTAGAAAAATCTCAAAAAATTACATATTAATGGTTCTGGGATGCATACTGGCTTAACTATCACGTAACAATTAAGTTGGCTTTTTGTTTGTTTTGAGATGGCATCTTGCTCTGTCTACCAGGCTGGAGTGGAGTGGCACAATCTCGGCTCACTGCAGCCTCCGCCTCCCAGGTTCAAGCAATTCTCCCGCCTCAGCCTCCTGAGTAGCTGGGATTATAGGCACCTGCCACCACACCTGGCTAATTTTTATATTTTTATTTATTTAGTTAGTTTGTTTGTTTTGAGACAGAATCTCACTCTATCACCCAGGCTAAAGAACAGTGGCGCAATCTTGGCTCACCGCAACCTCCGATTCCCAGGTTCAAGTGATTCTCCTGCCTCAGCCTCTCAAGTAGCTAGAATGACAGACGGATACCACCATGCTCGGTTAATTTTCGTATTTTTATAGAGATGACATCTCAACATGTTGGCCAGGCTGGTCTCGAACTCCTGACCTCAAGTAATCTGCCCGCCTTGGCCTCCCAAAGTGCTGGATTACAGGCATGCACTGCCACGCCCAGCCTAACATTTAAGTTGTGAAATCTGCTCAGGCAGACACAGTGGCTCACACCTGCAGTACCAGCTACTCAGGAGGTCTAGGTGGAAGGATAACCTGAACCTCGGAGGTCAACACTTCAGTGAGCCGTCATCACACCACTGCACTCCAGCCTGGGTAACAGAGTGAGACTCTTGTCTCAAAATAAAAAAATAAAAGAATAAAAAGATAAAAATGTCACATCTATGAAGAATTGGCACACAGGATAGGTAAGAAAAATATCTGTATTTTATTATGGCTTTCTCCTGCCTTAAAGTACCATAATTCCAGGCCTGAAGTTACCTACTTTACTTCCCATTACTCTCATAGTAATATCATTAAAAAAAAAAAAAAAAAAAAAAAAACAAAGCTGGCTGTGTGCAGTGGCTCACGCCTGTAATCCCAGAACTTTGGGAGGCCAAGGCAGGCAGATCACCTGAGGTCAGGAGTTCGAGACCAGCCTGGCCAACATGGTGAAACCCCGTCTCTACTAAAAATACAAAAATGAGTCAGGTGTGGTAGCACATGCCTGTAATCCTAGCTACTCAGGAGGGTGAGGCAGGAGAATCACTTGAACCCGGGAGGCAGAGGTTGCAGTGAGCCAAGATTGTACCACTGTACAATCTGGGCATCAGAGCAAGACTCCATCTCAAAAAAAAAAAACAAAGCTTAGATTACTTTGAATCCGAAAGCAGAGAAGGGTGAAATCAAAGCAATAACTAAATTGCTCCTTTATTTGAAATTCATGCTAATTCTGAAAACAACATTTTTTTTTTTTTTTGAGACAGAGTCTCACTCTGTTGCCCAGGCTGGAGTACAGTGGCATGATCTCGGCTCACTGCAAGCTCCACCTCCCGGGATCATGCCATTCTCCTGCCTCAGCCTCCCTAGTAGCTGGGACTACAGGCGCCCGCCACCATGCCGGGCTAATTTTTTGTATTTTTAATAGAGACGGGGTTTCACTGTGTTAGCCAGGATGGTCTCAATCTCCTGACCTCGTGATCCACCCGCCTTCACCTCCCAAAGTGCTGGGATTACAGGCGTGAGCCACCAGGCCCGGCCTTTTTTTTTTTTTTTTTTTTTTTTTTTTTTTTTTTTTTTTACAACAAAAACAAAAACACGGAGTCTTGCTCTGTCGTCAGGCTGGAGTGCAATGGCGCAATCTTGGCTCACTGCAACCTCCACCTCCCAGGTTCAAGTTATTCTTCTGCATCAGCCTCCCGAGTAGCTGGTACTACATGTGCCCGCCATCGCGCCTGACTAATTTTTGTATTTTTAGTAGAGATGGGGGTTCACCATGTTAGCCAGAATGGTCTCAATCTTCTGACCTCGTGATCCGCCTGCCTCGGCCTCCCAAAGTGTGGGGATTACAGGCGTGAGCCACCGCGCCCTACTCAACAACATTCTTTATACATCTCTAAATGGGACTCAGATGAAAAAGGGCCAAGGCTACCTTTGAACAACTTTGGCAATGAAGTCATCTGTGCAGATCAGTGCATCCGACAGCCCTTTGTAGAGTTTACAGCTCACATGTGTTGAGTCCTGCACATCCATTACCACTGAAAGACAAAATACATAGGAAATTGTTTTAGATTTAGCTTCTGACTTTTCCAAAAAAGACATAGGGACCAAACCGCTCCATGAGAGGTGTTAGCCACCCACACAACTCACCACACACCAGGGAGTCATTCACAGGGTGCTGAAAAGATACGCTGAAACGAGACTCTGAGAGAGGACACACTTCAAATTGGAGAAGCCCAGGAGAATCTAAAAGGCAAAGAGAAAGATCATAAAACAACCAAATATAAGACTTCACACAGGCTGGGCACGGTGGCTCACGCCTGTAATCCCAGCAGTTTGGGAGGCCAAGGCAGGTGGATTACCTGAGGTCAGGAGTTCAAGACCAGCCTGGCCAACATGGCGAAACCCCAACTCCACTAAAAAATAAAAAAAAGAGGCCGGATGCAGTGGCTCAGGCCTGTAATCCCAGAACTTTGAGAGGCTGAGGTGGGCTCATCACCTGAGGTCAGGAGTTCGAGACAAGCCTGACCAACATGGACAAACCCCATCTCTACTAAAAATACAAAATACAAAATTAGTCGGGCGTGGTGGCACATGCCTGTAATCCCAGCTACTCGGGAGGCTGAGGCAGGAGAATCACTTGAACCTAGGAGGCGGAGGTTGTAGTGAGCTGAGATCGTGCCACTGCACTCCAGCCTGGGCAAGAGTAAGACTCCATCTCAAAAAAAAAAAAAAAAAAAAAAAAAATTAGCCGGGTGTGGTGGCGCACACCTGTAATCCTAGCTACTCAGAGGGCTGAGACAGGAGAATCGTTTCAACCTGGGAGGCAAGGGTTGCAGTGAGCCGAGATCATGTCACTGAACCCCAGCCTGGGAAACAGAGCAACACTCTGTCTCAAAAAAAAAAAAAAAAGACTTCACACAAATAACATTCCTTAAATGTACAGACTGAAATTCTCTCTCCCTCCTTGGAAACTAAATCGCACACTTTTTTCACATACAAAACCTACTATATGTCATCCACAGATGACAGAAGGAATCAGATTCCAAGGAACCTGCCAGTTTGTTATAAATTTCTCCAGAACAAAAGTAGCTAGACTTTCAATTTTCCAAGATGAAGAAACTTAATCCCTAAAATGTAAAAGTGAATTCTGAAAATAAAAGTGGCCGAGTGTCTCATTCTACTTGATAAGCAGATATCCAGAACCACTGCCATAAACTCTGCTTTCTATCAAGTGTTTGCAGCTGTTAGATGTGCAGCCCATAGTTTGGCAAGCAGAGATATAGAGGCTATAATCTAAAATAATGTATTTATTCCACATATATCTAGCCATCATCATATGTTCTTATGCCAGATGTGCTAGCAGCCTAGACACAAGGATCATATACTTTCTTTGTAAAAAGCATGCCTCTCTATAGGATTAGCTCCATAACTGCCTTATGAAAACTCATTTTTAAATGCCCTAAAGCTATCTGGAGACTTCTTAAGGCATTTTAACACATGAAACAGAAGTGCCACAACTTTGAACATATATGCTCTATGTTATTACTCCAACTACTAAAAATTTCTCATTTCTAAAGCAATTTTTATTTCCATGAGAAGAATCTCCTGGCCCAGCACAGTGGCTCATGCCTGTAATCCCAACACTTTGGGACACTGAGGTGGGAGGAATGCCTGAGGCCAGGAGCTCAAGACTATCCTATACAACATGGCAAGACACCATCTCTACAAAAAAAATGTTGCTGTATAAATATGTACACTGAAATAAAAAGTATAATATAAATTTCTTTAAAATTTGACTAGATGTAGAGGTGCATGCCTATAGTCCAGCGACTTGAGGAGCCTGAGGGAAGAGTATCACTTGAGCCCAGGAGTTTGAGGCCAAAGTGAACTATGACTGTACCACTGCTTTCCAATCTCGATAACAGAGCAAGACCCTGTATCAAGAAAAAAAAGTCCAGGCATGGTGGCTCACGCATGTAATCCCAGCACTTTGGGAGGCCGAGGCAGGCAGACCACTGAGGTCACGAGTTCAAAACCAGCCTGGCCAACTCGACGAAACCCCGTCTCTGGTAAAACTACAAAGATTAGCCTGGCATGGTGGTGGATACTTGTAATCCGAGCTACTTGGGAGGCTGAAGCAAGAGAATTGCTTGAACCCAGGAGGCAAAGGTTGCAGTGAGTGAAGATCACACCACTGCACTCCAGCCTGGGTGACCAAGCAAGACTCCGTCTCAAAAAAAAAAACAAAAAGGCCAGGCGTGGTGGCTCATGCCTGTAATCCCAGCACTCTGGGAGGCTCAGGCGGGCAGATCACGAGGTCAGGAGATCGAGACCATCCTGGCCAACACGGTGACACCCCGTTTCTACTAAAAATACAAAAAAATTAGCCGGGCGTGATGGCGGGTGCCTGTAGTCCCAGCTACTCGGGAGGCTGAGGCAGGAGAATGACGTGAACTCAGGAGGCAGAGCTTGCAGTGAGCCGAAATTGCGCCACTGCACTCCAGCCTGGGCGACAGAGCGAGACTCCGTCTCAAAAAACAAACAAAAAATAAATAAATAAAAATAAAAGAGATCTGATTTGCCTTCCCTATTTCTTATTGTCTATCACTGGCACTGACACATATCTATCAACAGAGCGCTTCTGACTTAAGATTTTTAAAATTAACTATGGTTAGCTAGAACAGCCAAAATTTACAGCAAAGCTTCTAATAGCCAACTGTCTTTGAAAATCATCAGCATTTACGCCGGGTGCCATGGCTCACGCCTGTAATCCCAGCACTTTGGGAGGCCTAGGAGGGTGGATCACGAGGTCAGGAGTTCGAGACCAGCCTGGCCATGATGGTGAAACCCCATCTCTACTAAAAAAAATTTAAACAATTAGCCAGAGGCTGACGCAGGAGAATCGCTTGAACCTGGGAGGCGGAGGTTGCAGTGGGCCAAGATCATGCCACTGCACTCCAGCCTGGGGAACAGAGTGAGACTCCGTCTCAAAAAAAAAAAAAAAAAAAAAAAAATTCATCAGCATTCCAGAATCCTGAGAGAAAAAAGAGCTAAACCTTCTTAAAGCTGTAAGATTAAGTTCTCCAAACAATGGGGAGAGAAAACATACTCAGAACTAAACCTGGGAAGCACTCTCCTAACAACCTAAAATTTAACCTAAAACTGGCCAAGCACGGTGGCACCTATTATCCCAGCACCTTGGGAGGCCTAGTCAAGAGGATCGCTTCAGCCCAGGAGTTACAGACGAACATGGGCAACATAGAGAGACCCTGTCTCTACAGAAAAAATTAGCCAGGCTTGGTGGTACATGCCTATAGCCCCACCTACTTGGGAGGCTAAGGCAGGAGGATCGCTTGAGCCAAGGAGGTAGAGGCAGCAGAAAGCTGTTATCATGCCACTGTGGTTCAGTCTGGGCAACAGAGTGAGACCCTGTCTCAAAAAAAAAAAAGCCTCTCTCACTACAGCATTCCAAGTTCTACCTTATGTATATCTGCTACAGGGTACAGCCCCTAAAATACCCAGTTACATTACTATGTTCAGAAAAAGAGTTAAGAACATTGCAAAAAGCAGTGGTCTCCAAATGCTAGTCTACAGACTGGTTCCATCAAAATGATTTGTGGAGTTTAGATTCCCAACTCTTCCCACTGAGATTATCATTCAGTTCATCTTCGTGTGGAAACACAGCATCTGTGATTTTTTTTTTTTTTTTGAGAGGGAGTCTCATTCTGTCACCCACACTGGAGTACAGTGGCATGATCTAAGCTCAGTGCAACCTCCGCCTCCTGGGTTCAAGTGATTCTCCTGCCTAAGACTCCCAAGTAGCTGGGACTACAGGTGTATACCACCACACCCAGCTAATTTTTGTATTTTTAGTAGAGACTGGGTTTCACTAGTTGGCCAGGATGGTCTCAATCTCTTGACCTTGTGATCTGCCCACCTCGGCCTCCCAAAGTGCTGGGATTACAGGCACAAACCACTGCACTCAGCCTGGTGTTTTGTTTTTGATTCAGGGTCTTACTGTGTTACCCAGGTTGGAGTGCAGTGGTGCAATCTGAGCTCACTGCAATCTCTGCCTCCCAGGCTCAAGCGACAATCCTCCTGCCTCAGGATCCCGAGTAGCTGGGACCACAGGCGCACACCACCACAACTGGCTACTTTTTTCTAGAGATGGGGTTTTGCCATGTTCCTCAGACCGATCTCAAATCATGGGCTCAAGTGATTTGCCCACCTTGGCCTCCCAAAGTGCTGGGATTACAGGCGTGAGCCACCACACCTGGCCATCATCTGTAGTGTTAAAAGCTCCACATGTTTGAATTTTTTTTTTTTTTTGAGACAGAGTCTTGCTCTGTCACCCAGGCTGGAGTGCAATGGCATGATCTAAGCTCACTGCAACCCCCGCCTCCCGGGTTCAAGCGATTCTCCTTCCTCAGCCTCCCAAGTAGGTGGGACTACAGTCGTGCACCACCACGTGCAGCTAATTTGCTTGATTTTTATGCCAAATATGAAAAAAAAAAAACTTTTTTTAAGTTCTACAGGTGATTCTGATGGGCCACCAATTAAAGAACCACTGGAGAAGTAAGTTTCCATCTTCCAGTAAGCATATCAAAGGAAAGGCAGTACCTTCTTTCAGAATAGTTCTTTTGACACAGCTTCCAATGAGGGTGTTATAGGCCACTTGGTGTCTGATCAGATTTAGGATAAGAGGAACTCGGCCAGGGTGCTGAAAGGTGATTTTGCTAACAAGGGTTCCCTGTAGACTTCGGCCATCTGGAAGAGGAGCATCCTTGTTGAGGAAATAGCAGTGCTGCTGACCAGGAAGAGCCTGGGCAAAAAGAACAGTTAACGAGTGCTATTTAGTTACCTATTGTATTCCAACCACAAAGTATCCTGAAAAAACCTACTACTCAAAAAAGTGCAGAAAAGTCTCCACAGTGAATGTTTTCATCAGCTGATATTATAAATGTCAATCAATTACTAATTAGGCTGAAAAGATGTCTTTTTAGTAAATGCACTATGCTAGTGATTTCCTAACCTAGCTAACATAAAAACTACCTCAGAAATCTGTATTAAAGAGGTTCCTAAACCATAAATGCAAAATCTCTTTTTTTTTTTTTTTTTTTTGAGACAGAGTCTCCCTCTGTTGCCCAGGCTGGAGTGCAGTGGTGCGATCTCGGCTCACTGCAAGCTCCGCCTCCCGAGTTCATGCCATTCTCCTGCCTCAGCCTCCTGAGTAGCTGCGACTATAGGCACCCGCCACCACGCCCGGCTAATTTTTTTTGTATTTTTAGTAGAGACAGTGTTTCACTGTGTTAGCCAGGATTGTCTCCATCTCCTGACTTCGTGATCCACCCACCTGGGCCTCCCAAAGTGCTGGGATTACAGGAATAAACAACCACGCCCGGCTGCAAATTCTCTATTTTTAATAAAACACCTATATAATAATAATGCAGCCAGAATTTGGTAACCACTACTTTAGTCTATTGTAAAAGATTCAGATAAATACAAGTCCAGATGAGGTTTTGGAACGTTCCCTTATTATTATTATTATTACTTTTGAGACAGGGTTTCACTCCCATTACCCAGGATGGAGTACAATTGTGCAATCTTGGCTCATTGCAATCTCTACCTCCCAGGATGAAGCCCCTCAGCTTCCCGAGCAGCTGAGACTACAGGCATGAACAACCACATGTGCCTATTTTTTTTTTTTTTTTTTTTTGAGACAGAGTCTTGCTCTTGTAGCTCAGGCTGGAGTGCAGTGGCACGATCTCTGCTCGCTGCAAGCTCCACCTCCCGGGTTCACGCCATTCTCCTGCCTCAGCCTCCCAAGTAGCTGGGACTACAGGCGCCCGCCACCACACCCAGCTAATTTTTTGTGTTTTTTAGTAGTGACGGGGTTTCACCATGTTGGCCAGGATGGTCTCGATCTCCTGACCTCATGATCTGCCCGCCTCGGCCTCCCAAAGTGCTAGGATTACAGGCGTGAGCCACCGCTCCCGGCCACATCAGCCTAATTTTTGTATTTTTTTTTTGTAGAGACAGGATTTTGCCGGAGGATGAGGCAGAAGAATCGCTTGAACCTGGGAGGCAGAGGTTGCAGTCAGCCGAGATCGTGCCACTGCACTCCAGCCTGGGCACCAAGAGCAAAAAAAAAAAAAAGAAAAAAGAAAAGAAAAGGACAGGCAAGGTGGCTTGCGCCTGTAATCCCAGCACTTTGGGAGGCGGAGTAGGGTGGATCTCAAGGTCAAGAGATAAAGACCAATCTGGCCAACATGGTAAAACCCCGTCTCTACTAAAAATACAAAAATTATCTGGGCATGGTGGTGCACACCTACAGTCCCAGCTACTCAGGAGGCTGAGGCAGGAGAATCACTTGAACCTGGGAGGCGGAGGTTGCAGTGAGCCGAGATCGCGCCACTGCACTCCAGCCTGGCAACAGAGCTAGCTAGACTCCATCTCAAAAAATAAAAAAATAAAAAAGAGAGGATTTTGCCACGTTGCCCAGGCTGGTATTGAACTCCTGAGCTCAAGTGATCTGCCTTGCCTTGGCCTCCCAAAGTGCTGGGATTACAGGTGTGAGTCACTGTGCCCAGCCTCTTAATTACTGCTTCCAGCATTTTCCTCTCTGTAAGTACTTTCAGGATCTTTCCAGATTCTAAGCTCATGGCACTTGAAAGAATTAAACAGTAAGAATTTATAACACCTAATTATGATATTCTAAAAGTTCAAAATACCATTAAGAGTCTGTCACCCC
Source organism: Homo sapiens (assembly GCF_000001405.40). Classification (NCBI taxonomy): domain Eukaryota; kingdom Metazoa; phylum Chordata; class Mammalia; order Primates; family Hominidae; genus Homo; species Homo sapiens. Next base: position 39,421,848 of record NC_000017.11, read on the forward strand.
GCCAGGCAAGGTGGCTCACGCCTGCAATCCTAGCACTTTGGGAGGCCGAGGCGGGCGGATCACGAGGTCAGGAGATCGAGACCATCCTGGCTAACATGGTGAAATCCCGTCTCTACTAAAAATACAAAAAATTAGCCAGGCATGGTGGCAGGCGCCTGTAGTCCCAGCTACTCAGGAGGCTGAGGCAGGAGAATGGCATGAACCCGGGAGGTGGAGTTTGCAGTGAGCTGAGATCTCACCACTGCACTCCAGCCTGGGCGACACAGCAAGACTCCGTCTCAAAAAAAAAAAAAAAAGTCTATCACCCAAAATTTCTTTTTCTTTTTTATTTTTTTGAGACGGAGTCTTGCTCTGTTGCCAGGCTGAAGCGCAGTGGTGCGATCTTGGCTCACTGCAACCTTCGTCTCCCGGGTTCAAGCAATTCTCCTGCCTCAGCCTCCCGAGTAGCTGGGACTACAGGTGCATGACACCACACCCAGCTAATTTTTGTATTTTTTTAGTAGAGATGGGGTTTCACCCTGTTGGCCAGGATGCTCTCGATCTCTTGACCTCGTGATCCACCTGCCTCGGCCTCCCAAAGTGCTGCTGGGATTAGACATGTGAAACACCACGCCCAGCCTCGTTTTTTTTTTTTTTTTTTTTTTTTGAGACGGAATTTCGCTCTTGTTGCCCAGGCTGGAGTGCAGTGGCGCAATCTTGGCTCACTGCAACCTCTGCCTCCCGGGTTAAGTGATTCTCCTGCCTCAGCCTCCCAAGTAGCTGGGATTACAGGCATGTTCCACCACACCCAGCTAATTTTTATATTTTTAGTAGAGACGGGGTTTCACCATGTTATCCAGGCTGGTCTCAAACTCCTGATCTCTAGTGACCACCCGCCTTGGCCTCCCAAATTCCTGGGATTACAGGTGTGAGCCACTGCACCTGGCCAATCACCCAAAATTTCAACAAAGAACTGTACATTGTTGTTTCCTAATGGAAGCTCATGCCCTTTTACTTCAATACATTTCCGAGATTTCTTTTTTTTTTTTTTTTTTTTGAGACAGAGTCTCGCTCTGTCACCCAGGCTGGAGCACAATGGCACAATCTTGTCTCACTGCAACCTCTGCCTCCCAGATTCAAGCCATTCTCCTCCCTCAGCCTCCCGAGTAGCTGGGATTACAGGCACCCGCCACCACACACGGCTAATTTTTTGTATTTTTAGTAGAGACAGGGTTTCCCTATGTTGGCCAGGCTGGTCTCGAACTCCTGACCTCACGATCCGCCTGCCTTGGCCTCCTAAAGTGCGGGGATTACAGGTGTGAGCCACCGCGCCCAGCCCATTTCTGAGATTTCTGTAATTTCCTGCCTTACTAAAGAAATAGGACATGATCCAGCAGTCTTGAAGAAACTTATCTGACCTCAATAATGCTATAAAGGAAGATTATGATCTTGGGTCCAAACATAACCTACAACATTCTAGCTCCCTAGGGCTTTACTTACAGCATAAAATCTCATGTTGTGATTCAAAGGTATGGGGTCAGGGTCCTTTGATAGCTCAAACTGAGTGATCAGTTCATACAGGGGTGCATAAGTTGGTTGAGTTTCAAACAATGGAATTCCTGGAAAAACAAGAATCAATATAATGATCATGTTAAGATGAAAACACTGACAGCTCAGTTTCCCCTTGATATCTACATTCATTCACCCAAAAGAGTACTTACTAAGCATTTACTAGTACAAAGCACTATAACATCTTTACCAGTAATACTTCAATGAGGCATGTAAGACTGAAAGACGTCATGATAACCTGACTTTGAAGTTTCTTTTTCACATTTATAACAAGTACTAGATCCTGATGCTCAAAACTCACCTGTGCAGTTCTGCAGTTTCTGAACAAATGCTCTAGATACTGGGATTGGCTGGGGAAATTTCAAGAAGAAACAGGCAGGAAGATCAACACTGTTGGCACTGGTGATTGAGGAGAAGGAAGGGGTCCTTCAAAAAAAAGAGGGTGGAAGGGTTGGATTCTGACTTGATATAAAAATGAAAAACCCAAACACCTTTTTTTTTTTTGAGACAGATTTTCCCTCTTAATGCCCAGGCTAGAGTGCAATGGCGTGATCTTGGCTCACTGCAACCTCTGCCTCCCGGGTTCAAGGGATTCTCCTATCTCAGCTTCGTGAGTAGCTGGGACTACAGGTGCCCGCCACCACGCCCGGCTAATTTTTGTATTGTTAGTAGAGATGGGGTTTCACCATGTTGGCCAGGCTGGTCTTGAACTCCTGACCTCAGGTGTTCCACTTGCCTCAGCCTCCCAAAGTGCTGGGATTACAGGCGTGAGCCACCATGCCTGGCCACAAACACCTATTCTTAAACATGTATGTATCACACAGACACATAAGTACAAACTCTCAAAAGCTCACTCTGTGAAACTTCCTACCCCCAATTCCCAGACATGCTATTGGTTAACACTGTAGAATTTAATCAAACATTTATCCTGAGGCATGTTCTCCAGTTATTACTCCAATGTAACTAATGAACGTAAGATAAAAGGGGGCACTCATTAAGCCAGAGGAATTAGCACAGTTCTCTTCTTTCCCTTTCAGTGCAGAGAATGTGTTCTACGAGCCGACTTTGGAGAGGAACACTCAGATATCAAACAAAAGAGAAACCAATGAATGGATAAAACAAAAGGCCAACCTCTAGAAATTCAAGTGGGGTAACAGCCAGGTTAAAACTTGTTACATACTGCGCTTTGAGAAAAATTGACTTTGCTACTCTAAAATTATATTTAACTTACCATTTATTGTCAACTGGATGTGACCCCATAATTAATGGTGCAATTGGGAGTTTGTACACAGCAGATGTTCCTTCAATTGTCACTGATGCATTCATGCCCAAAGATCGAGAAACTGGGGATAGGAAAGAAAAAGGGTATTCCTCAAAGTAATACAAATGATGGGAATCACAGTATGTTTTAAGAGGTTAATTTTTGCAATATTTGTCAGCTATAATTTATCAGATGCTGTTATTCCCTTATTTATTTATTTATGTATTTATTTATTTATTTTGAGACAGAGTCTTGCTCTGTCACCCAGGCTGGAGTGCAGTGGCGCAATCTCAGCTCACTGCAAGCTCCACCTCCTGGGTTCACACCATTCTCCTGCCTCAGCCACCCAAGTAGCTGGAACTACAGGCGCCCATCACCATGCCCGGCTAATTTTTTGTATTTTTAGTAGAGATGGGGTTTCACCATGTTGGTCAGGATGGTCTCGATCTCTTGACTTCATGATCCGCCCATCTTGGCCTCCCGAAGGACTAGGATTACAGGTGGGATTACAGGTGTGAATCACTGCGCCCAGCCTATTTATTTATTTTTTTATTGGAGGCAGAGTCTCACTCTGTCCAGACTGGAATGCAGTGGTGTGATCTCGACTCACTGCAATCTCCACCTCCCAGGTTCAAGAAATTTTCATGCCTCAGCCTCCCACGTACATGGCATTACAGGAATGCACCACCATGCCTGGCTAATTTTTTTGTATGTTTTGTAGAGATGGGGGTTTCATCAGGTTGGCCAGGCTGGTCTCAAACTCCTGGCCTAAAGTTGATCCACCCATCTCAGCCTCCCACAGTGCTGAAATTACAGGCATGAACCACCAGGCACGGCCTGTAGTTCCTATAAAACTTAGAAATCAGGCCAGGTGTGATGGCTCATGCCTGTAATCCCAGCACTTTGGGAGGCTGAGGCGGGTGGATCACAAGGTCAGGGGTTCAAGACCAGCCTGCAGAAGACGGTGAAACCGCATCTCTACTAAAAACACAAAAATTAGCCAGGTGTGGTGACAGGCGCCTGTAATCCCAGCTACTCAGGAGGCTGAGGCAGGAGAATCACTTGAACCTGGGGGGCGGAGGTTGCAGTGAGCCGAAATCGCACCACTGCACTCCAGCCTGGGCGACAGAGTGAGACTCTGTCTGGGGAAAAAAAAAAAAAAAATTAGAAATCCTGGAAGTTACCTTTCTAATCAACCAATAATTTTTGTCAGTAAATAAAACACAAGAAACAATGCAGTCCAAAAACATCATTTTTGAAGGGTTCAGTATCAATATTTACTTATTTTTTCTTCAGAATGCATTTAAGTAGGATCATAATAAAAGGACAGGCTGGTGCACTGGCTCACACCTGTAATCCTAGCACTTTGGGAGGCCAAGGCGGGAGGATGGCTTGAGCCCAGGACTTCGGGGGCTGTAGTGAGCTGTGATCAAATCACTGTACGCCAGCCTGGGCAACACAGTGAGACCTACCCCGTCCCCCATGCCAAATTATAATAACAATAAAGGAGCCTGACGCCAAGGCTCGCACCTGTAATCCTAGCACTTTCGGAGGCCAAGACAGGTGGATCACTTCAGGTAAGGAGTTCAAGACCAGCTTGGCCAACATAGTGAAACCCCATCTCTACTAAAAATACAAGAATTAGCCGGGTGTGGTGGTGCATGCCTGTAGTCCCAGCTACTTGGGAGGCTGAGGCAGGAGAATCACTTGAACCCAGGAGGTGTAGGTTGCAGTGAGCTGAGATCGCACTACTGCACTCCAGCCTGGGTGACAGAGTGAGACTCCATCTTAAATAAATAAATAAACAAACAAACAAACAAACAATAAAGGGATGGAGTCAATGAGTGAAGCTACAAAGGGACCTAAGGAGGTATTAGTCCATTTCACTTTTTTTTGAGACAGAGTTTTGCTCTTGTTGCCCAGGCTGGAGTGCAATGGCACAATCTCGGTTCACTGCAACCTCCGCCTCCCAGGTTCAAGCGATTCTCCTGCCTCAGCTTCCTGAGTAGCTGGGATTACAAGCATGGGCCATCACGCCTGGCTAATTTTGTATTTTTAGTAGAGACAGGGTTTCTCCATGTTGGTCAGGCTGGTCTCGAACTCCTGACCTCAGGTGATTCGCCCACCTCAGCCTCCCAAAGTGCTGGGATTACAGGCATGAGCCACCGCGCCCGGCAGTCTATCTCTCTTTATCTTTTCTTGTATCAAGGGCAAACAGAAAATAATGTCCATTACCATAGTTCTTTAATTTAGAAAACTTCACTTTTTTTTTGATCAGTAACTCACTACGTTGCCCAGGCTGGAGTACCATGACTATTTACATGCACGATCATGGTATGCTACAGTCTCAAACTCCTGGGCTCAAGCAATCCTCCCGCCCAAACCTCCCAAGTAGCTAGGACTACAGGCATAAACTACCAGGCCCATCCTTCTACACTTTTTAAACAATGAGTAAGCTGATTATCTCAGGTCAGATCGTTTATATCTCTTCTTATGAGTTGCTCATTTACTTATTTATTCAAAAGTACTTTTTTTCTTTTTTTGAGATGGAGTCTCGCTCTGTCACCCAGACTGGAGTGCAGTGACGCAATCTTGACTCACTGCAACCTCCTCCTCCCGGGTTCAAGCAATTCTCTTGCCTTAGCCTCCTGAGTAGCTGGGATTACAGGCGCGTACCACCATGCTTGGGTAATTTTTGTATTTTTAGTAGAGACAGGGTTTCACCATGTTGGTCAGGCTGGTCTCCAAGTCCTGACCTCGTGATCTGCCCACCTCAGCCTCCCAAAGTGCTGGGATTACAGGCGTGAGCCACCGTGCCCAGCCCAAAAGTACTTATTAAGCTCCTATTATGTATGTGTGTATATATGCATGTGTGTATATACATATGTATGTACTTGTGAACACACATATACGTGTGTGAGGTGTTGTGTGTATAAGGTGCAAATGGTAAGGTCAACAAACTCATTAGAGAATAGCAAACCAGAAATTAAAGGCAAGCTGGGCACCGAACAAAACCTTTAATTCCTTTACAATTAAAGTCTTACCATTATTCTCATGCAAAATGATGGGAGATGCAGTCTTGTCATCCAGTAGGTCAGAAGGAGAGACATAGTACTTCAGGTTCATTAAATGACCTATAAAAAATAAAACTCATAACTGTATCTTTATCAGGTAAATTACAAACACAGAAAAACATTAACATTTATTATATAAACCGATATTCAAGAAAGTACTTTAACATATATGAAGAGTCATGCTCCAAAACAGCTTATGAAATATGGCAGGTGTGGTGACTCACACCTGTAATCCTGGCTCTCTGGGAGGCTCCGGCAAGAGGATCACTTGAGTCCAGGAGTTTGAGACTAGCATGGTCAACACAGTCAGACTCCACCTCTAAAAATAATAATAATAGGCCGGGCGCGATGGCTAATGCCTGTAATCCTAGCACTTTGGGAGGTAAAGATGGTGAATCACCTGAGGAGAGAAGTTCAAGACCAGCCTGGCCAACATGGTGAAACCCCATCTCTACTAAAAATACAAAAAATTGGCCAGGTGCGGTGGCTCATGCCTGTAATCCCACAACTTTGGGAGGCCAAGGCAGGCGGATCACAAGGTCAGGATATTGAGACCATCCTGACTAACATGGTGAAACCCCATCTTGACTAAAAATACAAAAAACTAGCTGGGCATGGTGGCACGCGCCTGTAGTCCCAGCTATGCAGGAGGCTGAGGCAGAAGAATCGCTTGAACCCAGGAAGCGGAGGTTACAGTGAGCTGAGATCATGCCACTGCACTCCAGCCCTGGCAACAGAGGGAGACTCCGTCTCAAAAATAATAATAATAATAATTAGCCTGGCATGCTGGTGAGTGCCCGTAGTCCCAGCTACTCAGGAAGTTAAGGTGGGAGGTCAAGGATACAATGAGCCGTGATTGTGCCACTGCACTCCAGCCTGGAAGGCAGAGCAAGACCCCGTCTCAAAAAGTAAAAATAAAAAATAAAGAAATATGACAGGCGCTTGGGTGTGGTGGCACACACCTGTAATCCCAGCACTTTGGGAGGCCAAGGTGGGCAGATCACGAGGTCAGGAGATCAAGACGAGCCTGGCCAGCATGGTGAAACCTTGTATCTACTAAAAATACAAAAAATTAGCCAGGCATGGTGGCTCGCACCTGTAGTCCCAACTACTCGGGAGGCTGTGACAGGAGAATTGCTTGAACCCAGGAGGTGGAGGTTGCAGTGAGCTAAAATCGTGCCACTGCACTCCAGCCTGGGTGACAGAGCAAGACTCCATCTCAAAAAAAAAAGACATATGACAGAAGATGAAGTATGGATTCCGGGACTAACAATTTATTTCACACAATTGATTTAAAAAAAAAAAAAGGCCAGGTGAACTGGCTCACGCTTATAATCCCAACACTTTGGGAGGCTGAGGCTGGAGGATCACTTGAAGCCAGGAGTTCAAGTCTATAGTGAGTTATGACTGCACCACTGCACTCTAGCCTAGGCAACACAGTGAGACCCCCATCTCTAAAAAAATTGTTAAAGTTACCCAGGCATGGTGGCACTTGACTGAAGTCCTAGCTACTCAGGGGGCTGAGGTGGGAAGATCACTTAAGCCCAAGAGTTAAGGGCTGAAGTGAGCTATGTTTCTGCCACTGTACTTCAGCCAGAGGGACATAGCAAGGCTCTGTCTCAAAAAGATAACAAACAAAAATGGGGAGGACAGGTATTGACAGCTTAGAAATCATCGCAAAAAGCCCAGGCGCAGTGGCTCACGCCTATAATCCCAGCACTTTGGGAGGCCGAGACAGGCAGCTCACCTAGGGTCAGGAGTTCGAGACCAGCCTGGCCAACATGGTGAAACCCTGTCTCTGGTAAAAATACAAAAATTAGCTGGGCACGGTGGCACGTGCCTGTAATCCCAGCTACATGGGAGGCTGAGGCAAGAGAATTGCTGGAACCCAGGATGCAGAGGTTGCAATGAGCCAAGATCGCGCCACTGCACTCCAGCCTGGGAGACAGAGCAAGACTCTGCCTAAATGCCTAAAAAAAAAAAAAAAAAAAAAAAAAGGAAGAAATCATCACAAAATACACAAATATCTGGCAATTTTCTCCCTCTGCTTATATGTTTATAAACCCCAAGATGAGGCCGGGCGCAGTGGCTTATGCTTATAATCCCAACCCTTTGCAATGCAGTGGCAGGAAGATCACTTGATCCCAGTTCAAGACCAGCCTAGGCAACATAGTAAGACCATGTCTCTATAAAACAACAAAAATTAGCCAGGCATGGTATCCTGTACCTGTAGTCCAAGCTACTCAGGAAACTGAGTTAGGGGGATTATTTGGGCCCAGGAGGTTGAGGCTGGAGTGAGTCATGATTGCACGACTGCACTCCAGCCTGGGCAACACAGCAAGACCCTGTCTCAAAAATAAATAAATAGGGATTGGTGCAGTGGCTAATACCTGTTTGTAATCCCAGCACTTTGGGCAGCCGAGGAGGGAGGATCACTTGAAGTCAGGAATTTGAGACCAGCCTGGCCAACATGGTGAAACCCCATCTCTACTAAAAATACAAAAATTAGTCGGGTGTGGTGGCACATGCCTGTAATCCCAGCTACTCGGGAGGCTGAGGCAGGAGAATCCCTTGAACCCAGGAGGCAGAGGTTACAGTGATCCAAGATTGTGCCACTGCACTCCAGCCTGGTGAGAGCCTGTCTCAAGAAAAATAAACAAATACATAAGAATAAAAATTGGCCAGGCGCAGTGGCTCATGCCTGTAATCCCAGCACTTTGGGAGGCTGAGGCGGGCAGATCACGAGGTCAGGAGATCGAGATCATCCTGGCTAACGCTGTGAAACCCCGTCTCCACTAAAAAATACAAAAAAATTAGCCAGGCGTGGTGGCGGGCGCCTGTAGTCCCAGCTACCCTGGAGGCTGAGGCAGGAGAATGGCGTGAACCTGGGAGGCGGAGCTTGCAGTGAGCTGAGATCGCGCCACTGTACTCCAGCCTGGGCAACAGAGCAAGACTCCGTCTTAAAAAAAAAAAAAAAAAACAGAATAAAAATTAACAAATAAATAGGCTGGGCGCAGTGGCTCATGCCTGTAATCCCAGCACTTTGGGAGACCAAGGTAGGCCGATCAGTCGAGGCGAGGAGTTCAGGACCAGCCTGGCCAAAACAGTGAAACCCTGTCTCTACCAACAATAGAATAAATTAGCTGGCTATTGTGGTGCACACCTGTAATCCCAGCTACTCAGGAGGCTGAGGCATGAGATTCACTTGAGCCCAGGAGGTGGAAGGAGCAGTAAGCCGAGATCATGCCACTGCACTCCAGCCTGGGCAACAAAGTGAGACTCTGTCTCAAAAAAATAAACAAACAAACTAAAGGTGAAATGAAAAGTAATGACCCTCAACTTAAATTACACATGTTTCTAAACAAGCAAAATAGGATCACGTACCCCCACTCCTTGGTGTGAGATAGCCAACACTTCCATGAAGAATCTTATCCAAGGGACCAGCATTAGTTGCTTTCCTGTAAGACAAGTGATCTATGTTTGCTTATATTTAATCCCTGATGGTCTTGGTACACACTGTGATATTGAGTTCACCTCTCCGAAGTCTTGTCTTTTTTTTTTTTTGAGACGGAGTTTCGCTCTTGTCGCCCAGGCTGAAGTGCAGTGGTACAATCTCAGCTCACCGCAACCTCCGCTTCCCAGGTTCCAGTGATTCTCCTGCCTCAGCCTCCCGAGTAGCTGGGATTACAGGCGCCCGCCACCACGCCCAGCTAATTTTTTGTATTTTTAGTAGAGACGGGGTTTCACCATATTGGGCAGGCTGGTCTCGAACTCGTGACCTCAGGTGATCCGCCCGCCTCGGCCTCCCAAAGTGCTGGGATTACAGGCGTGAGCCACCGCGCCCAGCCCAAAGTCTTATAATACTATCATAATGGTTCTGTCTTGTAATTGGGCATATAGCAAATGTATTTCACCTCCAAAGTAAAGGGATTATTTCCAAGTACACACCAGTATGTAGTATGGTGAACAAAAATTACACTTAGACTATTATTTCTCAGATGGGACTCCAGGTCTGATGAGTCTTGAGATAAAACCTATGGTAACCAACAACTTAGCGATACTGATACTCAGAAGTTCAAATACAATCATCATTTTGGAAGAGAAAGGACATATTATCATACAGGCTTAATAGAGATGTATAAAATAGGACCCTAATCTCCCCAGAGAAAAACTCAAGGGATCATGTAGAATTAAGGTTTTAGCAGTCTTACCAGTACATAATTGCCATTTTAGAAAGATCTTGTTCTAAGGATTGGAGAGCCAAGTACATTTTAGTCTTCAGTTTGCTGGAGAGTAGATGAGAAGAACATGAGTTAATAGTTGAAAAATATGACCAAGCGGGGTGGCTCAGCCTGTAATCCCAGCACCTTGGGAGGCTGAGGCGGGCAGATCACCTGAGGTCAGGAGTTTGAGACCGGCCTGGCCAACATGGCAAAACCCCATCTCTACTAAAACTACAAAAATTAGCCGAGCGTGGTGGCAGGCACCTGTAATCCCAGCTGCTCGGAAGGGTGAGGCAGGAGAATTGCTTGAACCCGAGAGGAAGAGGTTGCAGTGAGCCAAGATCATACCACTGCACTCCAGCCTGGGTGACAGAACAAGATTCCATCTCAAAAAAAAAAAAAAAAAAAGTTGAAAAATACACATATATACATACAGACACAAACAGTGACATAGAAGGCCTAAAGAGCAAGTCTAAATTGAAGGCAAAAATATATATATATTTTTAAAAACTGGCCAGGCGCAGTGGCTCATGCCTATAATCCTAGCAATTTGGGAAGCCGAGGAGGGCAGATTGCCTGAGCTCAGGAGTTTGAGACCAGCCTGGGCAACACGGTGAAACCCCGTCTCTAATAAAATACAAAAAAAAAAAATTAGCCAGGCGTGGCAGCATGCGCCTGTAGTCCCAGCTACTTGGGAGACTAAGGCAAGAGAATTGCTTGAACCCGGGAGGTGGAGGTTGCAGTGAACCGAGATCATGCCATTGCATTCCAGCCTGGTGGCAGAGCGAGACTCTGTCTCCAAAAAAAAACAAAAACCAAAAAAAAAACTGGCCAGGCGCGGTGGCTCACGCCTGTAATCCCAACACTTTGGGAGGCCGAAGCGGGTAGATCACGTGAGGTCAGGAGTTTGAGACCAGCCTGACCAACATGGTAAAACCCTGTCTCTACTAGAAATACAAAAATTAGCCAGGTGGCTGGGCGCAATGTCTCACGCCTATAATCCAAGCACTCTGGGAGGCCATGGCGGGTGGATCAAGGTCAGGAGTTCGAGACCAGCCTGGCCAAGATGGTGAAACCCCACCTCTACTAAAAATGCAAAACTTAGCCAGGTCAGTGGTGGGCGCCTTTAATCCCAGCTACTCGGGAGGCTGAGGCAGGAGAATCGCTTGAACCCAGGAGGCGGAGGTTGCAGTGAGCCGAGATGGCACCACTGTACTGCAGCCTGGGCGACAGAGCAAGAGTCCATCTCAAAAAAAATTATAATAATTAGCCGGGCGTGGTGGCGCATAGCCGTAAACCCAGCTACTCGGAAGGCTGAGGCAGGAGAACTGCTTGAACCCGGGAGGTGGAGGCTGCAGTGAGCTGAGGTCATGCCACTGCACTCCAGCCTGGGTGACAGAGCGACAATCCGTATTTAAAAAAAAAGAAAAAAAAAAAACATTTTAAAACATTAATTCTTGACTGGACCTCAGGTGGTCCACCCACCTCAGCCTCCCAAAGTGGCCAGGATTAAAGGAGTGAGCCACTGTGCCCAGCCTAAAACATTAATTTTTAAAATAAATTTTTTTTGTTACTATATATATATATATATATACACACATATTTTTTCTTTTTTTTTGAGACAGCATCTCGCTCTGTCAACCAGGCTGGAGCACAGTGACGCAATCACTGCTCACTGCACCCTCAAACTACTAGTTTGAAGTGATCGTCCCACCTTAGCCTCCGAAGTAGCTGGGACTACATGCACCCATCACCACCCATCTAAGCTGTTGCTGTTGTCTTTCTGCTAGAGACAGGGTCTCACTATGTTGCCCAGGCTGGTATTGATCTCCTGAGCTCAAGAAATCTTCCTGTCTTGGCCTCCCAATGTACTGGGATTAGAGGCATGGGCCACTTTGACTGGCTTCACTACTATTAAAGCCTATTTTTAGCACTTCAAAGCTTATTTTTATCTCTGTTTTAAAAAGCCAAATACGTTAATAGAATCCCAGGTAGGTTAAAAATAGAATTAAAGCCAGTTCCACAGCAACTAATTCCTTTCAGCCTAGAAATTGGAATGTTGGACATCTCAAAGATTATATTCTGTCTTCCAGCATTATGATCGATTAATGCAGGTGCTGCCTATTGAAGATATCTTTGAAAGGCCCAATGTTGGAAGCTGAGCTACAGATTGCAGTATAAGTAGAAACTAGGAGTGACAAACAGCAGAAGAGGTGGCAAATTTCTAGGCATAAGGTGGCTTATAGATTTATACTGATTTTTACAAACAAAAGCAAAAATATTAAAAATACTTACTTGTCCCCTGGAAGGTTATACAGATTAACAAGGCCCTTAAGGTGCTTAGAAAATTCATCAAAATTTTTTTCCCTATAAGGAGTTCAGGGAAGAGGGGAAAGAGAGGAAAATAAAACATAAAATTACTACTCAATCTTACAACAAAGTGCCAAAAATCACAGCTATATAAAACTGATTTTAATAATCAGCTTTAACCATTTTCCTCAAAAGTTTTCTAGCATCAATGTAAAGCAGCAAAAGAAAAGAAAATATTTTCCTTTGTCTCCCTCCTCCATTTTTTCTGGAGAAGGTGCTAATAAGCAGTGTGAAAGTTAAAAGGAAGGTGGGCAAAATCTCTTTACCAGGTGTTTTATTAGCTCCCAAGCAATGAAACCTGATTTAAATCAATCATTAACAACTTTCCTTTCTTTTCCCTTTTTATTAATTTTTTTGTAGAGACGGGGTTTCCCGATGTTGCCCAGGCCAGACTCTAACTCCAGGACTTCAGCAATGCTCTCACTTCAACCTCTCACCTTCAACAACAGGTGTGCACCACCACACCCAGCTCCTTTCCTCCAAATATGTAACTGAATTTGGATGTCAACAAAAATAAAACTTTTGATTGCAGAGATAATAAGAAGAAAATAAATTAGGAAGGGCCAGGCACAGTCCTCGCGCCTGTAATCCCAGCACTTTGGGAGGCCAAGGTGGGTGGATCATGAGGTTAGGAGATCGAGACCATCCTGGCTAGCATGGTGAAACCCCATCTCTATTAAAAATACAAAAAAAAATTAGCCGAGTGTGGTGGCGGGCACCTGTAGTCCCAGCTACTCAGGAGGCTGAGGCAGGAGAACAGCATGAACCAAGAAGGCGGAGCTTGCAGTGAGCCGAGATCGCGCCACTGCACTCCAGCCTGGGCAACAGAGCAAGACTGTGTGTCAAAAAAAGAAAATAAATTGGGAAGACACAACACTTGTGGGTATACAGCAACATGAGAGCAAAGATGAGAGGGAAAACAAATACTAGGACAGAGATGGAGACCCAGAGAAAAGGTAGTGGGTACTCTCGAGGCAAAATACCCATTAGAAAATATTGCTACGACCAGATCTACCCTAGAAAACATAAACTACTACCGTGACCTCTGGCTTTCTAGGACCCAATATTCAGGCTTCGATTGTCGGACAAATGGGCTTTTGTGGATAGGTTTAGGAATCCAATACATCTCCACAATTCTAACTCTTGATATCTTTTTTCAAACTTGAAAAAAAAAGCTCTCTGGAAAGCTAAACTGCCATGACAATGTCAGACACTTGAGCAGACATTCTGTGAGCATTTACTGAGCACTTACAGTCAACAGTGCTATTAAGACAGCAAAAAGAAACGAGTAGCAGCAAAATATATTCTTTAACTTAATATTACCATCTATACTAAATGGTAATATCAGGTAAAAGTCAACATTATTTCTTTTTTTCTCCTTTTCTTTTTTGAGACAGAGTCTCACTCTGTCGTCCAGGCTGGAGTCCGATGGCGATGGCACGATCTCAGCTCACTACAACTTCCACCTCCTGAGTTCACGCAATTCTCCAGCCTCAGCCTCCTGTGTAGCTGGAATTACAGACGAGCACCACCACACCCGGCTAATTTTTTGTATTTTTAGTAGACATAAGGTTTCACCATGCCTGGATACTACAAAAATTAGCCGGGCATAATGGCAGGTACCCATAATCCCAGCTACTCAGGAGGCTAAGGCAGG